>NC_000012.12:12084650-12709650 GCF_000001405.40 Homo sapiens | reverse complement strand
CTGGGCAACAAAGTAAGATCCGTCTCTACAAAAAATTTAAAAAGTTAACCAGGTGTGGTGGCATGTGCCTGTGATCCCAGCTACACGACAGGTGGAGGTGGAGGATCCCTTGAGCCCAGGAGATCGAAGCTGCAGTGAGCCCTGTTCATGCCACTGCACTCCAGCTTGGGCAACAGAGTGAGACCCTGTCTCAAAAACAAAAGGACACTATCTTCAGCCCATGTGTGATGAAGATGCAGATAATGTCTGTCTGCAGAGTGTCAGAAGAAAGAAAAAAATGTGCAAAGGGGGCAGAGAAGAGAGACCACATAGTTTTAGGAAGACAGACAGCCCCGAGCAACCAAAGACTCTTCAGTTTCCGGATCCTGAAGCTCATGAGGTACTACTCCCTATATTTACGTTCTATTAGCTCATGAGGTGCTACTCCCTACATTTACGTTCTATTAGTTCATGAGGTACTACTCCCTACATTTACGTTCTATAGCACTGTGTTTATAAAGTAATTTCCCCCCCTTTGCTCCAAGCTAGCTTGTTATGAGTTTCTGTTGGTTGAACCCAAGTCATCCCTAATTAACGTAATACTTTAATTTTTTTTTTTTTTTTTAGACGGAGTCTTGCTCTGTCACCCAGTCTGGAGTGCAGTGGCGTGATCTTGGCTCACTGCAACTTCTCCCTCTCCTGGGTTCAAGCAGTTCTCTGCCTCAGTCTCCCAAGTAGCTGGGATTACAGGTGTGTGCCACCACGCCCAGCTAATTTTTGTATTCTTAGTAGAGATGGGGTTTCACCATCTTGGCCAGGCTGGTCTTGAACTCCTAACCTCGTGATCCACCAGCCTTGGCTTCCCAAAGTGCTGGGATTACAGGCGTGAGCCACCGTGCCCAGCCACTTTAAATACTTTAAAGCAGGTTCCCTGGTGTCATCACATTTGATCCTCATAAGACCACAATTGTGAGGCAAATGCTATTATCCACTCTTGCAGATGAAGCTCTGAAATAGAGAACTGAGTGTTCCAAAGCCACAAAAGAGAGCAGAGAAGGCACTAGGACTAGTGTACTTATTAGTCCTACTTAAGCTGAGTCCAGAATCCATTGTAGAAGATGCAGTGACTGGATAGGTTTGCAATTATATCACTAAGGCTTCATTGGTTTAATTTACTTAGAATGCACTATTCACAAAACAAAGGCTCTGGGGAAAATGGGATTCAAATGCCTGGAAAAATGGCATCTTTGAAAAAATTAGATTCAAGAAGGGTTTAAAACTAATCTAGTGGGGTCAGAATTTAAAGAAAAAAAATGCATCAGGCATTTTACTTAGATGAAAATTTTCATTTCCAAGTAAAATGTAATGAACTAATGCAAGTTTACCAGCATTGCCAGGACCATAAGGATAGGAAATAGGCCGAGGTGGGAGGATGGTTTGAGCCCAGAAGTTTGAGACCAGCCTGGGCAAATAGCGAGACCCCATCTCTACAAAAAATTTAAAAATTAGCTGGGCATGGTGGCACATGCTTGGAGTCTCAGCTACTCAGGAGGCTGAGGTGGGAGTATCGCTTGAGCCAGGGAGGTTGAGGCTGTAGTGAGCTGTGATCACGCCACTGCACTCCAGCCTGGGCGACAGAGCTAGGCCGTATCTCAAAAAAAAAAAAAAAAAAAAAAAAAAAAGAATAGGAAATAAATAGCAAAATTTGGATTCATGATCACACACATAATTTAATTTCCATGGTTAAAACATAAGTGGACAACTTCTACTACTAAAATACAGAATTTGGGCTCGGCGCAGTGACTCATGCCTGTAATGCCAGCACTTCGAGAGGCCAAGGTGGGAAGATCGCTTGAGGCCAGGAGTTTGACCCCGCAGTGAGCTATGATGGCACCACTGCACTCCAGCCTGGGCGACAGAGCGAGACCCTGTCCCTAAAAAAATAAATAAATAAAATATGGAATTTGGAACAATAAACATATTTATTACCAATCCACCACATTCAACTACATTCTATTTTTTACATTGAGAAGACATAAAGGAGAACATTTTCCCTGATTCTGATCTTAGTCTTCAGTTTATACAAACTTCCATGTAAAACAAAACTGGAACCTACCCACTTGCTGTTCTTGACCAACTCTCTGAATAATTATCCACATTAATATTTGTTCATTTCTTCATTCATTAAATTTTTAATGAACCCTCACCAGATGCCAGACTCTCTGAGGACACAGCAGAGAACAAAGATAGCCAAAGTCCCTGCTGTCATGAAACAGAACTTACACTCAAGTGTGGAAGACAGACAATGGACAAATAAATAAGCATAATATGTCATGTTGCTGTAAGTGCTAACACGACAAATCAACTAATTAAGAGTACGGAGGGTAATGAAGGCAGATGCTGTATGAACAAGGAAGGACTTTTCAATAAAGTGATATTTGAGTAGAATCCTGAATGGAATGAGAGCATGGACCATGTAATTTTGTGTTGCAGGCACAGGAAATAGCAAATCCAGAGGCTCTGAGGTAGGAATGTGTCTGGGATAGTTGAGGGACAATAAGGGAACTAGTAAGCTGGAAACATGGTGAGTGGGGGCTGGGGAGTAGGAGATGAAGTCAGAGAAGAAGGAAGTAGAGACCCCAATCATGTAAACTTTATAAGCCATGGTAAAGGCTGGATTTTATGCCAATTGAAGTGCATCATCCTTGAGCATAGAGTTTTTTTACCTGACTTCGGGTAACTTTTGTCACTTTGCTGAGTAAGAAGTATTTCAAAGAGGCAAGAGAGAAGTAGGGAGACCATGTATTATAGTAGACTATACACTAATCCAGATAAGAGGTCATGGGCCTCAGACCAGGGTGGTAGCAGTGTACATGAAAAGAAGGGTAGAGAGTTGATAGTGTGTTTTTTGAAGATACAGCCAATGGGATTTGCTGAAGATTTGGAAATGGTCTGTGTGTGTGAGAAAGAGTTCATGATGACTCCAAGCAACTGAAGAAAGGTATGACCAGTTGCTGAGATAGGGTTGATTGAGAGATGAACAGATTTTGTTTGGGTCATGTTAAGTTTGAGATGTCCATAGACATCCAAATGGAGATGTCGAGTAAGCAGATGGATATGTGAGTTTGGAATTCAGGGCAGAAGGGTCTGTGCTGGAGATACACATTTGGAAATGTTTGGCATTCAGATGATATTAAAGCTATGAGACTAGATAAGAACACCAAGGGAGTGGGTTTAGATGTAGAAAAGAGCTAGGCAGTTAGCCTTAGGGTACTACAACTTTTAGAAATCAAGATGAGAAGTATCTAGATAAAGGAGATAGGGAAAAAGCCCTTAGTAGAGTGGAGGAGAGCCAAGAGAGAGGTGACCCAGGGATCAAGTAAAGAGAGTGTTCCAAGGAGGAAAGCATGATCAAATGATTCCAATGCCACTGATAGGTCAAGTAAGATAAACACTGAAAACTGACCATTGCATTTGGCCATCAAGTTCACTGATGACTTGATAAGAGGAGTCTTGGTAAAGATGTGAAAGCCTGACTGGTGTGAGTTAAAAAGAGAAAGTCATGTTATGCATGCTGTGTACCCACATGAATAAATTATGCACACACACTCCTAGTCTAAGCAGAGGGTAGATGGGTTCTGATCAGGAAACCAGTCTGGCAACAGGCCAGGCTGTGGCCAGGGGTGAGGGCTGGCTGACGGGGAAGCAAGCATATTAAAATGGTGCCATATATTGACTGCCTTTCTCTACTCTTTCATTGCCTGGTTTTACACTGTTTCCTTCAATATCTTTTCTTAACTGTCATAAAAAAATTATCATACTGGCCAGGCTTGGTGGCTCATGTTTCTAATCCCAGCAATTTGGGAGGTGGAGGCTGAAGAATCACTTGAGCCCAGGAGTTCAAGACCAGCCTGGGCAACATAGTGAAACCCTGTGTCTACAAAAAACACAAAAATCAGCTGGGTGTGTGGTGGTGTATGCCTGTAGTCCCAGCTACTGGGGAGGCTGAGGTGAGAGGATCTCTTGAACCCAGGAGTTCAAGGCTGCAGTGAGCTGTAAACATGCCACTGCACTTTTCAGCCTGGGCAACAGAGCGAGATCCTGTCTCAAAAAAAAAAAAATTGCCATGCTGACAAATGACCTTATCTTTAAAAGTAACCATTTTTGCAGGATATGCTAAGAGAATTAGCAAATAATTAGCTTTGCTTGTGAGTCTCTCATTTCAACTGGCAAATGTTCTGCTTAGAAAATCACTGTAGAACAGCATCTTCTGTTCCCACCATAATAGACTATCTTATTAACCAGATAAACAGTGTATGGCTTTATTATAAATTCTCAGCAATTTTTTTTTTCTGAGATGGAGTTTCGCTCTTGTTGACCAGGCTGGAGTGCAATAGCACGATCTCAGCTCACTGTAACCTCCGCCTCCCAAGTTCAAGTGATTCTCCTGCCTCAACCTCCCGAGTAGCTGGGATTACAGGCATGGGCCAAGATCGCACCACTGCACTCCAGCCTGGGTTAGAGAGCAAGACTCCGTCTCAAAAAAAAAAAAAAAAGATGCATTTCTATTTATTCTTGACAAAAAGCCTTTCCCAATGCTGTAATGATGGTGTTTTTCTCCAAACCTCGATAATCTGCTCGGATCTTCTATATTGGTGTATCAATTATATCTCCAATGTCAAATGCAATTTGCAATTAGTTGCCTTTTTCCATAACTCAGGATAAGATTGTTTGACCTAGAATGTTTCCAAGTAGTTTTCCTTCCCTTCCTTTACTGAAGAAACAGAAACATCCAAAATAGTTAGGCGCTCTGTGGCCACAGGAGGACAGAAGAGGATTAGTAATGAGATAGACTACCCTCCCCCAATTCGGAACATTCATGAAGCAGGAATGTAATTGACCTGCTGTGCTGTTTAAACAGCACAGGAGGGCAGCACAAGGCCAGAACTGTCAGCCCTAATCCTGCAACTATTCCAAACCACAACTGTATTTATAATCTGCTTTTCTAAATGCATACACAAGAGTTTTAATCCCCACCAAATTTAATTGAACTCTAAATTTGCATAGATTCTACCTATTCAACATTTTTATATCATTTTCATACACTACTCACACAATAATCTGAATTTAACAATTATTTTATGATAGTATTTTTTGTTTTTATTTTTCTGAGACAGAGTCTCGCTCTGTTGCCCAGGCTGGAGTGCAGTGGCACGATCTCGGCTCACTGTAACCTCTGCCTCTTGGGTTCAAGCGATTCTACTGCCTCAGCCTCCTGAGTAGCTGGGATTACAGACCTGTACTACCACACCCAGCTAGCTTTTGTATTTTTAGTAGAGGCAGGGTTTCACAATGTTGGCCAGGCTGGCCTCAAACTCCTGACCACAAGTGATCCGCCCATCTCAGCCTCCCAAAGTGCTGGGATTACAGGTGTGAGCCACAGCGCCTGGCCTTATGATAGTGTTTTAACAGTTGTCTATACAGTCAAGTTAAGTATTACAACCCTTAACAAGTGAAGTAGAACAAAAGATCAAAGGTGACTTCTCTATAGTCACACACGATTGGTTGCAAAGTCAAGATAACAACCTAAACTTGATCCTTTTCCACTACACATAGCTCTTTCAGAAAGTGCTTCCCCCGCCACATACACACCAACACATACACTGTCTCTATGACTTACTCACTTTGACTTCAGATATAAATCTATTTAGTCTTTAATCTTTTTTGTATCCTCCAATGAAGCTAATCTAATGCTCTAAACAAAATAACCGCAAAGTAGGTAATTAGCACCCAGTAGATATGATTGGCAAGTACACCTGGTTCTAGTGAAGATCCCAGAGATGGCTCCCAGTGCACGGTATTAGGAATCCTAGACATGGCAGTCATGCAACTTATACAGTCTATAGCCCCTTCCAAGAGAAAAGTACTCCAACTCCAAGCCACTGGCTTGGGCTCCTAACTCAGCACTATGGTTTATGATGGGGCCTGGTACAGACTGCTCTACCCAAAAGAAAGAAAATGGTTATTAGCTAAGCCAAGAACTAGAACTAGGAAGTACAGTAAGAACTAGGAAGTACAGTAAGAAGAAAACAGACAGGTGCATTGAGAAGACATGTAGGGACCAGCAGAATCACTATGTGCTAGAGCGAGGGGCCATAGGCTTCTATGGCAAAGATGTCTAGAATTCACAGACCTTGGGAATCTTTGATTACCATTTACCTGCGAACCTTTCAAGGTCCCATAGTTTGGCTTTTCATGTCCTATGGCTAAGATTCCTGTTACACACACGAACACGCACTCACGCATACTCCATATACTACTTGTGGTAAAAAGTGAGACTGTGTCTCACAATCAATAGACCTTACCCAACCACCAATGCCACAGACATAGAGGCAAGTTGAAATTAGGTAATAGATCCTTTCCACGTCCAATATAAGGGTAATCTAACCTCAGCCAAGCTCATTTGGAACATGTGATACTTGACCCCAGGTGTACTTCATTCACTCAATATGTATCCTTTATTACCTACAATGTGTCAGGCATTGTGCTGAGTGCTAGAGTTACAGAGACAAACAAGCACCAGAAACAAATAAGACAAAGTCTCTATTTTTGTGGGGCTCCTAGCTCTGTGGGAAAAGCTGGAACATCATACAAAAAAAGGAAATAAATTATAGAAAATTTAAGGAAACTGTATACTGATTGCCTAAACGGTAGATTCTCTTTTGCACTTAAGTCATCCTAACAGCTCTTCTATCCAAGTTCAGTTTATCAGTCATGATGAGATTCATGTCAGTATACGGTACATCCAAGTGAAAAGACCAGAACAAAATTAAATCATCATTTTTTAACACCTTTATCACTGGGGTGTAGAATAGTGTAATTAGAGGGCCAGGATTAATAAGTTCATTATGACCATTATTTAACAGGAATGCTGCGTTCTCAGGACTTTAAATGTGACTATGATGTTTTAGATTTAAGTTGAACATCCCTTACTGGTTTGTTTTGAGTGATTCTCAAAGCAGAGAAATAATGAAAACTGGTTTAAAATAGAGAAAAAAAACGAGAAGGCACTGAGTAAAAGGAGAATGGAGATCCAGAAAACTAGGGTCTTTTAAAATGAGTCATCACCGTAAGGATCTAGATTTATCACAGGTCTATATTTACCATGGATTTAATCATAATTACTGAAACTAATTTTTTAAAAAACCCACCAGTACATACTCTAACATGTTTAGCCTGACTTTGTAACACTATTTTACAGAGTATTCTGTTGCACTTTTTTAAAGCACTAGAGATGTGAGTCAAATACCAACTTGTATTTAGAATTTTAGAAATATTCTATCTAATCTGTTATTCTATTCCTAATAGAATAAGATTCTATTAATATTTTAGAAATATTATATTATTTATTCTATTCTATTCTATTAGTATTCTATTATTTTAGGATACAGCACAATTAAATTCAACAAATATTTAGTTGTGCCTAATTTGTACAAACCATAAGGCTAGTCATCAGAGGAATTTTGAAAAGTGAATAAAATACAATCACTGTCTTCAGTGGGAGGAGCTTTATTCTACATATGCAAATTAAAAATATTATTCTACATATAAAAATCAGACAATAACATAAACATAAGGCCAAATATGTGTTCTATAAAAAGATGATGCAAGCAAAATGCTTATAGGAGAGATCAGGAAAAGATTTACTGAAGAGACAGCCTTTGTCCATTCTTTTTTTTTTTTTTTTTTTTTGAGACAGGGTCTCACTCTGTCACCAGGCTGGAGTGCAATGCCATGATTATGCCATGACCTCTTCAGGCTCAAGCAATTCTGCCACCTCAGGCTCCCAAGCAGCTAGGATGACAGGCACGCACCACCACACCCAGCTAAAGTTTTCATATTTTGTAGAGCCAGGATTTCGCCATGTTGCTCAGGCTGCTCTCAAACTCCTGGAGTCAAGCAAACCTCCTGCCTTGGCCTCCCACAGTGCTGGAATTACAGGCATGAGCCACCTGGCCTGGCCTTTGAAATGGTTCTTTAGAACTCAATGGATTTTAGCTGGGAGAAAGGGGTAATTGAGTAAATCAAATGGGGCGATTAACTAAATGTTAACTTGGTGAATAGAAAGGACACTGTCCAAAATATCCCATAATTGGGTACCAACTCTTTGAAATTATAGGATTAGGATTTTCTCTCCCTTTTGTCTACTGGCAGTCCTATCTCCCACAATAAAAGCTTTATATGCCAGATATAGTCATTATTAGCTAATGGGCAAGCAACAAATGGGGAGATAATGTTAATATAATTCAGAAATTACATTGCTTCATTCATTATTTTTCCCAGCACACTAACATTTTGGGGCAAGCAGGGACAAGCTTCTCACAATTAAAGAGAAAACCTTAGCAACATATAAAGATGTTAAGAAAAAAAGCAGAAAATTCTGCAAGAATGCCTTCCTTTGGTGCAAACAGAGGCTTGTTTGGTGGCTTCAAGAGTTTTTTACAACATTAAGTTCTGTGGTAAACTGCAAAGTGTAAATGAAGGTGCAAAACCATTTTACCCCATTGGGGGAAAACTGATTGATAAAAAAGACAAAATCCTCGATCGGATTTTTAATTTTGATGAAACTGCTCTTAATTGGAATTAATACCCTCAAGGGCATATACATCCAAGGAAGAATCATGTGCCCCAGGATTCAAGAAACTAAAGCAGCACTGTCCAACAGAAACATTCGACAATTTAGGTTTTCTGGGAGCCACATTTTTAAAAAGTAAAAGTAAAAAGAAATGTTGAAGTGACATTTCAACATGTAATCAATATAAAATTTATTGAGATTTTTACATTATTTTTTATACTAAATTCTTAAAATCTTATGTGTATATTTTATACTTAACAGCCCTTCTCAATTTGGACTATCACATCTAAGTGTTCAATAAACACAGATGGCTAGTTACTACTGTATTGGACAGCATGGCCCTAAAGGATGACTGTGATATTGAGTACAAGTGTCAGAGGGAATTTAATTGTGTATTTTTTATTAGCATAGTAATTTTTATAGCCCTCAACTAACAAAGTTGCAAAGGTTTTGAGTGACCTGCTTCTAACCCTATATTTCC
Source organism: Homo sapiens (assembly GCF_000001405.40). Taxonomy (NCBI): domain Eukaryota; kingdom Metazoa; phylum Chordata; class Mammalia; order Primates; family Hominidae; genus Homo; species Homo sapiens. The sequence continues at coordinate 12,700,555 of NC_000012.12, read as the reverse complement.
CACAAGTCCTGTTATTTTTAGTGCACCATTAAAAAAACATGCTTGTTTTCTCTGTACATACTTCCCTAAGCCTCCCTTGAAGCTAAAGGTAGTCATATGACATAGTTCTGGGCAGTAAGAAATAAAGGGAAGTCTGCAACATCATATGGGAAACATTTTTTGCCCTTATGAGAGAGTCTAACAAAACAACAACAACAACAAATAGCCAGGTGTGGTGGTGCATGCCTGTGATTCCAGCTTCTTGGGAGGCTGAGGTGGAAGAATCACTTGGGCCCAAGAAGTCAAGGCTGCATTGAGCCATAATCATGCCATTGCACTCCAACCTGGGCAACAGAGTGAGACTCTGTCTCAAAAAAAATAAAAAATAAAAAATAAAGGGACAGAGAGAGAGAGAAAGAAAGAGAGAGAAAAAAGAAGAGAGAGGCCTCAAGGAGAAAGCTTTTGGCCAGGTGCAGTGGCTCATACCTGTAATCTCAGCACTTTGGAAAGCCGATGTGGGAGGATCGCTTGAGGCCAGGTGTTCAAGACCAGCAGGAGCAACATGAGGAGACCCCATCTTTACAAAAAAAAAAAAAAAGAAAGAAAGCTTTTTTTGGCTCATACTCTCTTTTCTATTTGAAACATTTCATATGAGAACATGATGTTTGGAACTGCGGCAGCTATCTTGTGACTATGATAATAGACTCTTTAATACATTGAAGATAACAGACCATAAAGGTATCTCTCCTTATCAGAGATGTAAATGGAATGAAGTCAGCCATGCAAACATGCCAGTAGATGGAGGCAAGGGCAGAGTTCCCTAGCAGGAAGTAGAGTGCATCTGCTTCCTGTCCTCAGTGGGCATTATTTGACCAGTCACAAACCAAATTTGCCCTTCTTTCTCCCTTTTCCCCTCTCGTGCTGAAGATTCTCTTCCCTCTGATTGAAACACTGTTTTAGTGATGGGATCTTGCTATATTGTCCAGGCTGGACTTGAACTCTTGGGCTCAAGGGATATTCCTGCCTCAGCCTCCTGGGTAGCTGGGACTATAGGCATGGGCCTGTGCCAGCAGAAACATCCTTTCTTTAGGTATGACAAGAGTACTGAATTACCCCCAATACTTAAGACCTGAGTGCAGAGCTAAAAGTAAGCAAAATTTATTTGGCTTATTAGGGATTCATACACAAACCCTGCAATTTGGCCCTAATATGTATGTTTTCAATTTTTTTTTCTTGAGACAGAGTCTTGCTCTGTTGCCCAGGCTGGAGTGCTGTGGCACGATCTCGGCTCACTGCAACCTCCACCTCCCAGGTTCAAGTGATTCTCCTGCCTCAGCCTCCCGAGTAGCTGGGATTACAGGTGTGCACCACCACGCCCGGCTAATTTTTTGTATTTTTAGTAGAGACAGGGTTTCACCATGTTGGCCAGGCTGGTCTCAAACTCCTGACCTCATGATCCACCCACTGCAACCTCCCAAAGTGCTGAGATTACAGGCGTGAGCCACTGTGCCTGGCCAAATTCATTCTTTCTTTTCCCTGGAGATTAAGCTAATTTCAATGCTCATACTGACTGTGATAAACCAAATTTTTCATCTTCCCTATTCCCTATCTCCCAAACTGTTCCCTATGTATTAGTTAGGAGTGACTGTAGAATGCTATATAAAATGGGCTGGGCACAGTGGCTCATGCCTGTAATCCCAGCACTTTGGGAGGCCAAAGCTGGCGGATCACGAGGTCAGGAATTTGAGACTAGCCTGGCCAACATGGTGAAACCCCGTCTGTACTAAAAATACAAAAAATTAGCCGGGCGTGGTGGCACGCACCTGTAATCCCAGCTACTCGGGAGGCTGAGGCAAGAGAATCGCTTGAACCCGGGAGGTGGAGGTCACAGTGAGCCGAGATCAAGCCATGGCACTCTAGACTGGGTGACAGAGCAAGACCGTCTTGAGAAAAAAAAAATGCTTTAAGTTATCGATCATGAAAAAAATGTCCTATCATTCAGTTAATAAGGTTAAATTGTGTTGCTTTAACCAAGTTTGAGTAATTGGGGATGCATATCAGATTCATTATTTGGCAATTTCTTTCATTTGTCCTGGGGTCACAATAATTCGAGAACTCAGATTCACATAAATATGTGGATACAGATGGCATCAGGTTTTTCATTACTTTACAGTATCAGAGTAATCACAGGGGAGTATGCCCAGAATACTGGCTAAAGAAATGGCATGATTAACTTTTTCAGCTACTGACAGTGGAAATTTTGGTAAGTATATTTTCTGAGTCACGGGGCAGACTAAATTACCAATCCATCAGTCAGTTTCTGTTACTCACCAAAGATTTTTTTTCAGTGAAGAAAAATGTTTTATTTGACAACTTACTATTCTTACACTATAATTTTCATCACATGTAAATGAACTAGGAGTCTCAAAGAAGTCACTGTTCTTTATCAGCTCTTCCACTCCCATACTTAATTTTCATTCAAGCCTTCTCATTATGTGCAATGAGAGTATTCAGTTTGTTTAATACTGGTTGTTTGCCTTGACAAAGTAAGCCAGCTTTCTGAGTTAGTCTTAATCATTAAAGTGAACAAGATACCCATTCACTTTATCTGCATTTTTTTTTTCTTCATGATGAAAATGCCAGTTCAATACTGGCTTGGAAAACCGATTTTCACCTTACCTTAACCAAGTCAGAGTACCTCTAGATAATGGAGCGGAATTTTAAAGTTACTTCTCATTTTGGTACAAATTTGTGTTAAAAGGTATTCAAGCTGCTGGATTTACTGAGTTTTATCATATTGAACGTGAGAAAATCCAGAGGCTAGTTTCTTGAGATAAAAGGATTTTCTGTGACCGATGCTGGACACATGCAAAGCTTTCAAAATTTGGTTCCATCTGTTCACATGTCCATACATATTCTCTGCTTAATTTCATATGTCTTGAAAATCCCACTTTCCTTTTAGAAAATTTCTTGTTACAAGTTGAAGTCTTCAAATTCACCATTCAAAAACATAACAGAGTCCAATAAAATTGCCAAATTGTTAACATTTATGCTCTTATCCAGCTCTAAGATAACAATGATCCAGGTTTGGCTGAATCTACCAGTTATTTAAGGTTGTTTTTTGAGCACATTAAAATGTATCATTAGAAATCCTTCCATAAAAATACTTTTTAAAAAGTCACTTTGCCTGCCTTTTTTTTTGTTTTCAAACGAATCCAGTCATATCTGTAAAACAAGTTTCCATCAGATCTCATTTTATAAGCAACATCCTCTTCTAAGCCACCTGAAACTGACTTTGAAGAGCTCTTCAAACCATTTCAAAAATTTGTTTGTTGGCTTGTGCTTTCTTGGGTTAATGCTTCTAGAGTCGTCTCCAAGTTTCAAATTTTGCATGGCTGCTTTTTTTTTTTTTTTTTTTTTTTTACTTCGCTTCAAGAGTCAGTCTTAAATCATGTAGGTTTTGCTTGAGGTTTGCTCGAGCAAGAGGACCTTAGGTTTGGTCTTATTTGCATTTTTACCATAACTAGGCCTACATTCTAAATAAGTAACTAAATGCCACCTATGAGTTTCATTAACTGTGGCTGCTTGCCACTTTTTAGTTCTGGTTAGGGTGGTGCTATTGTTTTCCTCAGGTTCATTAGAAACATCTTCCGTGACAGCTCTGACGCGGCACCGATTTCTGAGTGTCCAGTGTTTTCCCTACCATTATTTTCTTTGGTCTGAAGTTGACACTTAAACTGTCCAGTTTTAAACCTCCGATCCGTGTTCCCAAATGAAAACATGACTTTCATTACGAATTACACGTCAAGGGAGCAAACCAAGGCGCTCGGGGCGGCGAGAACCGCGACACAGCGCTTCGCCTGGACTGGTAAACAAACCGCCGCGCAGGCGCAATGGCAACAGGACGGTAACCTGGGTAGCCGCCAATGGGCTTTTTCGTAGAGTGAAAAGCGGAAAAGCCAAACAAAACGCTGGTTCCAAGGTGATAAACTGGCTGACTTCCTCTATTTTTACTTTTTTAAAAAATTTTGTTTCTGAAGAAGTAGTTGTGCGGCCTTCTGGGCCTCGCAGAGATCTTCTTCGTGGAATTCCTCGGCCCCAGAGAAATGCCGCTAGCCTGTCGGCTAGTTATATTAGCCTAATTTTTTGTCTTGATCTTTTTCATTTGACTGCAGCACTAATCCTAATCCACTGGGGCAGCAAAAAAAAAAAAAAAAAAAAAAAAAAAAAAAAAAAAGGGCGGGTGGGATCTCAACGCCACGGAAAACCTTCATACTAGCCGGCCATCACCAAACCACGCGAGATCTGCCTGAGGAGAAGCGCCACCCCGGGAGTGCACGTTTGCGCATGCGTCTGGCTCATCATTTTTAGCGCGCAAAAGTTTCAAAACTTTCCGCCTAGTGAGAGGCGGTCCGATTTGGCCCTTGGGGAGTGTCCGTCGCGTTGATCTGATGGATTCACGTACACAACACCACATTCTATGAGATTTTGCAGGCAAAAGTCCACAAGCTCGTATGGTCATCCCTTCTTTCCGTTTTTATATTGGCCGTGAACTCTGTGAGGGGAGGTTTCAGCGACTGAAGTAGTAAAGGAGTGGGAGCGGGAGAGCCGATTAATGAGGTTGTAGAATAAGAGAGAAATCTGAAGGGACAAAGGAGTTTTATTTATTTTTTGGCTGGTGACCAAGAGGATGTGAGTGTGAGCTAAGGTAATACAGTGGGAAGGAGAAGATGGGAAGATTTGAGAGATAAATGAAGGCAGTAGCTCTGTAGCCTACCTGGGAGGCCAGACTAGAAAGAAGTTGACAGTAGAGGACATTTTTCTTAAAAGAGTGTGAACTTATGCATGTTTGTAAACAGGCAGAAATGGCATGCATTTAGTACATGGTGTATATAAGGTGGAAATCGGGACGCCCCTAATGGAATGGAATGAGGAAGATTCTAAAAGCCACAGTCCTGAACACAGGCCGAGGTGGAATTGCGAAGAACAGTCGCGGTAACAGAAGTCAGGAATTTGGGAACTGTCTCGAGGGATCTGACCAATCTGACCTCTTTTTGTCTCTCAGGATATATGGGACACCTGCACCGGCATTGGATTTGGCCCCGCAACATCTTAAAGGTACCACCCAACACCTGAAGTGTCTGCCTCCTTCCGATGGAGCCTCCTGGCCCCTCCCACCTCTCACCAGCTTTACCCTTTAGCCAGAATGAAATGTGGATTTCATGGAATGAAATGGTGGCATTTAGCTACCACATTACTCAGATGTGTCACTGACACCTTACAGAAGTACATACTTCTAGCCTCTAGCCTCCCAGTTCACTAGATATTAGAGTCCATCTTGATATCGGCAGCAATTCTATGCCACTTAGCTACTATAATTTGATTCTTTGTATACTATCTGGAGTACAAGGCAGAAGAATGCTGATGGAATACGTAATTTTACTCCAACAAAGGAATGGCTGATAGGTAAAGAGTATCACTTCATCTGTAAGAAAAACTAAATATGGAAAGCCACAGGATTGAAGCTAGCAGTGATGGAGAAGGATCCCAGTGTGAATATATAGAATGGAAGTACTTCAGTAAAGAGCCAGGCATGGTAATCACTTACCAAGAAAGTGACTTCATTTCATTTTGGCAGCCTAAAGTATATCCTGGCAGCTGCGCTGTATGTGTGAAGTGCATAGGAAAATGCTGCAGGAAAAATCCATGGAGGCAATGGAATAGGATTTCAGGGTTGAAGCCTGGGTGTCTTGTTTTAGGGAGTGGGATCATCCAGCTCTGAGAGGCATGACATCTCGATATGATGTCATATAAAGTGTGTACAATTGGGAATCAGACCTGGGCTTTGACTTTAGGGTCTGCCAGTCACTCTGTGTGTCCTGTCTGAATCTCAGTTTCTCAATTTATAAAATAAGGATAATAGTGCCTGTGCCATAGGATTATTGTAATGACAAAATGAGGTAGCATAGAACTTAGTGTAAAGTACATGCCACCTATCAGTTGAATTGTGGATGCTCTGTGCATCGTAGGTCCGTCTGTATTTAGGGAGCTTTAAGACAGGTACTCTACCGGGTCAGGCGCGGTAGCTCACGCCTGTAATCTCAGCACTTTGGGAGGCTGAGGCGGTCGGATCACAACGTCAGGAGATCGAGACCATCCTGGCAAATACGGTGAAACCCCGTCTCTACTAAAAAAAAAAAAATACAAAAAATTAGCCGGGCGTGGTGGTGGGCACCTGTAGACCCAGCTACTCCAGAGGCTGAGGCAGGAGAATGGCGTGAACCCGGGAGGCAGAGCTTGCAGTGAACCGAGATCACGCCACTGCACTCCAGCCTGGGCGACAGAGCGAGACTCCGTCTCAAAAAAAAAAAAAAAAAAAAAAAAAAAAGACAGGTACTCTACCATGCCCACACATTAGAATCACCTTGGGAGCTTAAAAAAATCCTAATGCCCTGGCTTTTCTCTATACCAATTAAATCAGAATCTCTGCGAGTGGAGCCCAGACATCAGTACTTTCTTAAAACCCTCCATTTTGCAACAAAGGTTGAGAGCCACTGCTTTAAGAGTTCCCTCTAGGGCCAGGCACGGTGGCTCACGTCTGTAATCCCAGCACTTTGGGAGGCGGAGGCGGGGGGATCACGAGGTCAGGAGCTTGAGACCAGCCTGGCCAACATGGTGAAACCCCATCTCTACTAAAAATACAAAAATTAGCTGGGTGTGGTGGCACGCGCTTGTAATCCCAACTACTCCGGAGGCTGAGGCAGGAGAATTGCTTAAACCCAGGAGGCAGAGGTTGCGGTCAGCCGAGATCGTGCCACTGCACTCCAGCCTAGGTGATAGAGCAAGACTCCGTTTTGGAAAACACGTTTGGAGGAATGAAGTTTAGAGCTTGAGACAGGCAGATAAGTAGGGCATCATGAGCTCTATTCAGGAGGAAGGCCACTGTGATAAGAATGGGGTTAACGTACTAATTTGGGAAAGGTCATTGATAAAGCCATTAGTATAATTGCCAGGATACACAGGCTTAGCTGTAGAGATAGAAGAGTGTCAGTCTCCCAAGCTGGTCTTTTGATCTAGCACAGGCAACACAGATAATGATGTCTTTATTGCATTACACATGGTGAATCTTGGGCCATCAGCAGGGCTGATGGCAGTAGTGGGTTGGGGCGGATCTTTACAACCTGCAATACCTCATTGGTTGGGGAGGGCATCAAGGCATGATTGAAATGTGTGTTCTTTTCCAATGAGAGGCTGCTGTACATGGGAATGCATGTGCAGCAGGGCATTGATAATGAAGTGTTTTCCGGTAGCCTATCAGGGTTGATGTGGCAGCTCTGACCACACAAGTGGTTTTGTTATTATTAACAGATGAGAAAGGTGAGGTTCAAGCCTGTCTTTGTAGCCTTTCAGGGAACACAGAATCACTTGGAATACAAGTGGCATGGTCAGCAATTTCAGCTTCTAAGAGACAAGTTACTTGCTAGTAGGACAATTCTGGTTTCTAGGTTTATAAATAACTCAGAAGTTGAAATCACCATACTACTTTAGTTATTGAATATAAGACAAAAAAGGTAGTGATAATGGCCAAGAATATCTTTTGCCACATGAAGTTACCTGTCTTTAATTGGGTTCCTTTTCTTGAAAAGCAGGCACACATGAGTGACAGAGAATCTTCCTGGGACCGATAGGAATGCTAGACAGATTGGTCTCTGTCTTTAAAGGTTTTTATGGGTTAGAGTGAGCCAGGACTAGAGCCAAAGACAAGTAATGCTTCAGTTTCTTAAGGGCTTTTTCAGCTGCTGGAGGCCAGTAGTACTTTTGCTCAGAAAGCAAAGGAGAAAGGGGCTTAAGCCCAGTTGGAGAAAAAAAAAAACAAAAAAAACAACTATAATTAGGTCTTTTGTGCTTTGTGGATATCAAATACCTGTTGGACCTTTTTCAGAAACTTTCATATTGTACCAGTATGGGGTTCTGGTTCTATAAATGAGGGTATCCAGTCCGTCTTTCTTTCTGCCTCTTTTTGGGGTACAAGAAATTAAATTTGAGTCAGGCGCAGTAGCTCACGCCTGTAATCCTAGCACTTTGGGAGACCAAAGCAGAAGGATCGCTTAAGCCCAGGAGTTCAAGACCGGTCTGGGCAACATGGCAAAACCCCGCCATTAACCTGGCTAATATTACAAAAAAAAAGACAAGAGAAGCCAGCAGCGAGTCATCACTGGACCTGACCAAGATGACCACTCAAAGAGAGGAATAGACTTCAGCAGGGAAAAGCTAAAGGTCTTTCTGGAGTTAGATAAGTGGCCAGCTGGTCAAAGGAGCTATAGTTGAAAAATTCATAGAAGTAGAGTTTTGTCCCCCTAAACCCACGTAAGTGCCCATTGAGATAAGGAATCAGTCTTTAATACCTGTGAGGTACAGGGAAACTGATGGCAGCTCATGTTAGTACCAACAAAGTAAGACGTATTGCTCATCCTCCTCTCAAACCCTGGAGGGATCAGAAACTAGGAGGGGCAAGATCTAAGGAAACAAGTCAGGAAAAAAGAGAAGTGGCCACACTGTTTTGTTAAATCTACTACAGAAGGCACAAACTGGGAGGAGGGAGAAATGCCTAAACTAAGTCAGGTGCCAACTTTTGATTGTTATATAGGACTGGATATTTTAGTTATTAACATCTCTTAACTAAAAATGACCAGAAAAAGTAATGGGACCACCCAAGTTTTAATTCAGGGATAAGAGAAGAACCAGCCTTGCAACCAGACACCCTTGAAGGGTGTTTTCAAAGGGACAGTGGAAAATGAAAATTAGGTGGTTTTAGGTTAATCTCAAAAGTCATGCTTATTCAGTGTGCTGGTACACTGTCGCTGAGCACCTACTTTGCTGTTTTAGATCCTAGAGGTATAAAGATGAATTGGATGACATCCACCTTACAAGAATCTATGAAGTCAATGCAATATGACATATGCAATCGTATAAGTAGTATATATGAAAATTAAAGTACTATGGTGAAAAGGAAAATGTGACTAACTTATTTTGGAAGGATACAGAGTGGGAGAGAAATAGAACTACAGATAAGATAAAACCCAGCAGGGTTTGAAAAGAGGAGTAGATGTTCACAAAGAGGACAAGGCAGAGAAACTGTCAAGTCTAAGCCACGGAGGCAATACAAGCAGTGTGAAGGGCATGCTTGTTCAGCAGGTGACTCAAATGGAGGTGAAATGGAGGTCACAGGGGTTGAGTTTAGACCAGAGCTATTGGCAGGCTCATTCTGGAAAGTTAACGGAATTTTAGAAACAGATGCACCAAGAGACCAGTCATTTCATCTATCAGTCATTCCTCCCTCTGTTTGACTTTGCCTTTTATAAAATTGACCAACAGCCCTTTTTATTTTTTTATTTTTTATTTTATTTTATTTTATATTTTTTAGTTTGGGATATGACCTTTATTGAGCTTATCCACCAGCGTGGAAATAATGTCTGTACAAAACCAAATGTTTGTTACTATAACTTCTGCATCACAATTAAAATCCAAAGAGTTATTTAAAAACAGTCAACTCAATCAAAACCCACTACTTCAGAATCCATATTTTCTTTGAAGCCACAGTAACACTTATATATGGTTAAGACTCGAATGCAGAAATTTGGTTGATTGGAAAGCTAATTAAACTTCCAACTTGCTCAAATAGAATTACAAAAAGGCAAAATTGCCAACAGCCCTTTTTAGAGAGTGCTGAGAAGATAGTATGGGAACTCTTCTCCATCCTGTTCTCCCAGCTGTTTGGATCTGGCTCTGTATCTGAGTTAGGCTGGGTCAAACAGACTCTGCCTCCTAAGAATTTAGAGTCAGAACATTGAGAGACTGGGTCACTCTGACAGAAGCATTGAATTTATAAGGACATGTGAATTTCAGATCCAAGGCCACCATTTAGGGGCAGCCATTTTGGGGCCAGTAATACAATAAGGGACAAGCAGAACTAGTTGATCTCAAGAGAAGCTGGTGAATGCAGCTAATGAAGAAACAGAGAGAATTGGAGGCAGTAGACCATGTGGTCTCCTAGAGAAAGAGAGTCAGTAGCTACCTTGGGTCTGACCACTTTCAGGACCCTTGTCTAATCTAACGTCTGGCTGCCACTTTTTGTTCTTGATTTCCCTGCACTTCCTCTGAGTCATAATAAATCCATCTCAACCTAAGGGGATTCATTTTTCTCCTTAGACAACAGTGTTATGTGCCTAATTATGTTCTCCCCTTCTTAATGTTTTTTGTCCTAATAAAACCATGTATCTTCCACATTAGGAATACACATATATAGCAAAGACACTTATTTAACTCGCTACAGATATCTCATGAAAATGTAGGTCCTTTATTTTGTCTAGAGTTTTCACCTATTAGTCATCTATTACCGCATAACAAAATTCCCTACAGTTTAATATCTTGGAAGAATAATATCAAGTTCAACAGAGCTTAAAAAAGAAAACAAACAAACAAAAACATTATGTCATAGTTTCTGTGGATCAGGAATTTGGGAACAGCTTAACTAGGCCATCTGGCTTCGGGTCTCTCACAAAGCTGTAGTTGAGATGTTAGCTAGGGGTATGGTCACTGACTAGGGCTGGAGAATCTCCTTCCAAGGCAGCTCACTCACAAGGTTGGCTAGTTGGTGCTGGTTGGTGAGAAGCCTCGGTTTGCTATGTGTGGGCCTCTTCACAAGGCAGCTTGAGTTTCCTTATGACGTGGTAGCTGGCTTGCCCAGAGTAAGTAATCCAAGAAGGTGAGAGCCAGGTAGAAACTGTCACAGAATCACTTCTGTCACATTCTATTTATTAGAAAGAAGTAACTAAGTCTAGCCCACATTCAGGGGGAGGTGGATTAGGTTTCACATCTAAAATCTAATGTGGCAGCCAGACCTTAGATGCATTCTTTGAAGGCATATCAAAGAATTTGTGGATGTATTTTAAAACCACCACAACCTGTTAGGTTACAGGAAAAAAAAAAAGTGTCTAATCCTGTTTCAAATATAGTTCAATTCATTCAGTTCCTTTAGATAGTATTAGTATCCTATGGATGAAATGTTTCATCTTTCATAATACCTCCCAAAGAGGTCCTGTCACTTTTTTCTGTAGATGACTTTCATTTGTTTGGGGGGAAGTGGGGGTATAATTACATATCCTTGTGGCACTGATGAGAGAGAGGGTACCTCCTGGCTTCATTCTGGACCTAGAGTATGCACTGAGGTACTTTCAAGTTTCCAGGATGACACCCTCATGCAGTTTGAATATATGTCCCTGCCAAATATCATGTTGAATTGTAATACCCGGTATTGGACGTGGGGCCTGGTGGGAGGTGTTTGGGTCGTGGGACAGATCCCTCATGTCTTGGTGCTGTTCTTACTATAGTGAGTGAATTCTCTTAAGATCTGCTGTATTAAGTGTGTGGCACCACCCCCAACTCTCTCTCTTGGTCCTGCTTTCGCCATGTGACATGCAAGCTTCTGTTTTACTTTCTGCCATAAGTAAAAGCTCCCTGAGGCCTACCCAGAAGCTGAGCAGATGTGGGCACCATGCCTCCTGTACAGCCTGCAAATGTGTACAATTAAACCTCTTTTCTTTATAAATTACCCAGTCTCAGGTATTTCTTCATTGCAATGCAGGAACAACCTAATACATACCCCTTGTCTGCCTGATCCCTGGGGAACATGCTGTCCTGTGATGCTGAAGCCTGCAGCTGGTGAACTCATGGTGAACTCGTGGCCCACCTTTGGATTCAGACAAATCTCCCAGGGAGTATTGGCCACCTCCCCTGGCAGACTCAGTACCCCTGGCCCCTGCTGTGGGGTTACCTTGTCTTGGTTGTGGCAGGCCTACTGGCTGTTAGTTCAGCATCATCCTTCAAGAGAACAGAAAGGCTTAGAATAATTGATTGTCATATCTGTGTCTGACCATGCTATTGTGGACTTGGCCTGAACAGCCATAGAAATGCAAGGAATGAGGTTTGAGGGACTTGGGCAGTTGTCTCAAAAAGGGAGTCAAGGCAGAAATCCCTTACCCTGAGCACTGCTCTCAACATGGAGGTAACTCACTGTGGTAGGCAGCCTTTTATTTCATGATTTGACTTTTTGATGAGTCCATGCTAGTTCTCTTGTAGAATATTATGCATTCTTGATTTGGCCAATTATTTCCTCATAATATCTTATAACTTGTTTCTCCAACCCTTGCCTTTTTATTAAAAAAAAAAACTCGACATTATATGTACAGATTTGATTATATTCGGGTTAAACATTTTTAGAAAGAATACTTCAGTAACATTGAGTAGGTTACATCATTTCATGTTAGGCACATAATTTCAGCTTGTCTCACTATTAGTAACGCTAAATTTGGTCACTTGGTTAAGATGATGACCCCCCCTCCCACTCTCTTCACTGAAAAAGGACACACATCCCTTTGCACTTTATAAGTAATCTACAAATAACCCGTTCAACAACTTTTCATCTTATACTTTGAACACCTTTTGTGATCTTTTCCTGAGTCAATTATTTCACTGGGGGTTGCAAAAATGGTGTTCTAACTATAGTAGTCTGTATTTATTAACTAGCATTTTTCTGTAAAGAAGAACTTTCTTTTTTTAAGAGACGGAGTCTAGCTCTGTCTCCCAGATTAGAGTGCAGTGGCACTATCAGAGCTCACTGAAGCCTCAACCTCCTGGGTGCAAGCGATTCTCCCACCTCAGCCTTCTGTGTTGCTGGGACCACAGGCACATGCCACCGTGCCTGGTAAGAGCGTTGTTTTAAGAAAACCATTTTAATGAATTTCTCAGTGGACCACTGGGTAGTGGTTTGTTTCCAATTTTGTTGAAAGCACTTGGAAAGCTCTTGATTTTTAAAAGGATTTGTTACCTAATTATTGGAGCTATTCACTTTCTCAGTACTATCCCCAATATTTTCAGTTATTCCTGTGTTTGGTCCCCAGGAGGTTTTTAAATTCAGACAACGCAGGATTTGAGGTAAAGGTGGAAGAGAGATTCAGCAATCTGTGTAAGATGGAAGAAAAGCTAAGTGGAAACCAAGAACCAGCATGACATCTCGACTGCACCAGTTCTCAGAAAAGCAGTTTTAGAATGCATACTTGTAGAAGTTGAGGATCTAGAAATTAGTTCCCATAAAACTCTGCATGCTTTGGGACCCCTTGGAAAGTTTTTACCTGAAGCCAGAGGTCTATAGTACAGAACACTGAGCAAAGTCTTCCAGGTTTGGTTGATGACAAGCTAAGGGCAGAAATAAAGGAATTTAGAGACTGGCTTTCAAAACAATAGCCTGGATTTCAAGCCTATTGTCTTGTTTCTATTTTGAATTTCAGAAGCCAAATATTAATTTCTTTTTTTCCATTCCTTTTGTAACATCTAAACAGTGCCAAAACACTATCTCCAAGGCAAATGGATTCCCCAGGCAGATGAGAAGATCACATTACTCATGTTCAAAATATTACCCCAGTTGCACAAGTATTGTGGAATTTTGTGCATTTGGATGGAAGACAACTGTTTCTTTATCTTCTTCCAATGTCAAAAGTAAATTTGGTGATTATAACTTTGGCAATATATTTTAAGCAGAATTAGTATATTATGTAACATGTTTTATGACCATCCTTAATAAAATTTTGGGTTATGACTCCTTACAAGATGATTTTAAATATCATTAAGCCATAATATATACATGCAGTCATCCTGGAAGGAATAAATATGTTGGTCATTTTTTTTGTCTCAAATAATTTAAAGCAATCTTTGTGATTTCTTATGTCAAGGGGCCATAGTAGTAAGTCACAACACATTAAATTGACCAGTTATTTTAATCTAGTCTACTATGCATGATGCAGAATAGCATAGTACACTATGCCTGCTCTGGAGGCTGAGTCAGTGGTTCCAAATCCTAGCTCCCACACTATGCAGCTTTGGGCACATTACTTATTCCCCCAAGCCTCCATTTCTTCATCGGTAAAACAGAAATGCCAGTAATAGTACTCATCTTGTTGGGTTGATAGGATTAAATGACATAATGTATGTAAACACCTGGCACATGTTAAATATTAGTTGTTCTTATTGTTGTAATTATTCTTGACTAAGAGAGGAGATGATATCCAAGTCACCAACCTGCTGACTCAAAGAATTTCTTCAATATCTAACTTTTTTGATAAATGAATTTTCTTAAAATGTCAAGTGTTAAAATTAACAGTTGAATTTCTCTGAGTCTTACATAGAAAAACTAGAATTAACCTCACTCCTCCTAAAATAAAAGTAGAAAATACGATGAGGATGTTGATCCAGGAAGGACCTTCAGTTTCTTGAAAATTATACTCCAGCTTCCTTGTGCCACCTCTTTGCTTACAAAGTTTTCATTTCTACACATTGCAAGTCAGCATTCGTCTTTCAAAAAATAAATATTCTGAATTGCTTTGGTTAGGATTCTGAGTTAGAAACAACAAGTTATATGCCAGTGTTATGAGACAAATGTATAGCCAGTTTGTATTTCTGACTTGGAGTAATCCAAATGCTATCCAAGTATTAATAAAATTTGTATTTATTTAAAATAATTTGACAACTCACATTTAAAAAATTGTCTTTTCTTCCATAGTGTTATAAAGAATCCACACATTGTTCCTAGCATCGACAGTCAGGTGTGGCTCTAAAGTATCTCCCAATTAAGGCTGTTAGGACTTAGATAATGGCTTCCCAAAAGTCAGATATTCTAACCTGAGGAGAAATTGATTTCTTGAGTTCTTTCCACCACCCTGTGATGGCATTTCAGGGTCAATCTGTGAAGCTGGAATTTTCATTCAGTTGCACCTAACTAGATTTTTAAGGAAAGAAGCAGTGGAGGATGGGGAGAGTAACTATTGCAGTGTCCATACTAATTCCTAGATTCCTTTCAAGATTTAGGACCGACAGCAATCCAATTTGGCTCTGAGAATACTGTTTAAATCCCTCCTCAGCAATTCAGTCCTTTTCCCTCTTCCTTTCTTTAGTCAGCAGGCTCCCATGGCGACCGGTTTTAAAAGAAATCATCCTCTTCAGCAGTTACCTAGCACCATGGCAACTAGGACGTCAGCAAAGCAGGATAGACCCTGCACAAAACAGCTCCAAGCAGGCTCCCTCCCTGCCTCTCCAGTTCAGCCCTGCCTGAGGCCTAGGGATGGGGCTAATGACATCTAGACTTGTACACCCCAGAATTCCTATGTGTTTCTGTGGTTTTCCCCATAAGCATAGATATTTGGGCATGCAGTAAACTATGTTACAGGAATCTCCCTCCCCCCCACCAAAAAAAAAAAAAAGACCATATTTAAAGAGTGAGGATGGGTGATGGGATGGGGACAGGGAGGTAGGTATGGGATGGTCTTTTGGGTTTAAGGAAATTTGAAAATTATGTTTGTGTTTATAAGGTAACAGTAAGCTGATAGTAGGGGAAGTCAGAGCCCTAAACATATGGTGTGGTTTATGTTTAGGCACAGGACCTCAGGGAAATTTTAAAAAATATTTTTATTTACTTGAGAGTGAAATAGACAAATGGCTTTAACAAGCACTTGAAGAGGGTGTAATGCTGTCCGTGGTGCTGAACGCTCCATTGTCCCAGATGTGTGCTAAGGGGGATCCAGAGGGGAGGTTAAGGAACACCTTGCCAGGTCAGGATACTGACTGTAAGAAAGAAAGAGAGGGGTTGAGGTTAAGAAAGCATCATTTATCTCCCATACTGAGCAACTCTGAATGGTCAGGATAAATCTTCAGATAGAAAAAAAAGAAAATAGAGAAGGAAGGAGGTTTGGGTGATTGAATCTTCCCCTTTTCATATGGAGATTTTTGGTCTGAGCCAATCAAGACAGAGATTTCTGCTGCTTTGCTCCTGAAAGGAAAAGTGGGGGAAGGGAGGGAGAAGATGGCCACATTCTCCCCTTCAGCCACATGATCCATTTCCCATGTGACACATTCCAGAGCCTTGGAAAGGAGAAGGGAGGGGCAACAAGAGAGTGGGGCTGGGGGCGGGAAGATGGTTTAACAGTCTACCCTGCACAGCGTCATCTTGTCTCCCTAACAGGAAGCAGGCTGTGAGCCAAGGGGAAGGCAGAGGACAGAAATGAATGTGTTTCCAGGCTTTCCTGGTGGTTTATGGCATTCTCCAAACTCCTATGCAAGGGCTATTCCTGACCAAGAAGATCTAAAGAGAACGTCTCTGAAATCAAGTCCGGATGAAGGTATGTGATAGGGATCCCTTGGTATTGCGACTGAAATTTGGCTCAGAGGACATAATGCCTTCTTTTTTTCCAGGCAATTTGGAGATTTTGTCCTGCCTTAGATGCTGGTTAGAGGCTTTAGGTTTGTTACCAGTCCAGAAAAGATGCCTAGGTAGTTCTGTAAAATGAAAATTCATCAGAGTATGTGTCAGTTGAAAAATTGGATGGAAATTGTGTATAGTGATAATTAATGAAACAAAGCACTCATTGATGAAAAGGATTTTTTCCCCTTGAAGCCTGGAAAGAGGGGAAAAAATTACCGAAACCAACTAGGTTTCATCATCACTGTAATAAAAGCTGTTTCATCCTTTTTCAGCTGCTTATTCTATGCCCATGTTCCCAGAGGTTATTGGCAGGGCTTGGGGAGCTGAAGTGGGCAGGCGTGCTGTTCCTTTGTGCTGTGTGATCATCTTCCTTCTGATGTTCCTGGAACCAGGGGTGCTTGTGATTGTTCCCAGCTCTGATTTAGGACAGTAGACTGCCACAGAATTTCACATCTTGTAGAAATGCTAGCAACAAGACCCTGGGGAAGTTCTCAAAGGAATCTACCAAAGTTACAGGCTAAAATAATCAGCCGTGAACTCAAATTTTCATGTCTTTGACTATTTTCAGCACAAAGAGAGGAGCCCCTTTAAATTTTATTTTGTCTTTATTTAACAAATACTTAAGAAAGTTCTTTCTAATGTGCAAGGCACTGTTCTAAGCACAAACAGTCATTGAATCCTTATAACAACCCTTTGAGGAAGGTTTTATTACCCACATTTTAGAGATGAAGAAACAGAGGCACAGAGAAGTTAGGGAACTTTCCCAAGGTCACACAGCTAGCAAACAGTAGAAGCAGAATTTGGACCTACGAAACTTGACCCCAAAGCCTGTGCTCTTAACCACTGAGCTATGCTGCTTGCCTGCTCATATTATTTCAAATGATGTCAGCAGTCAATTTGGCTTCAAATTTTGTTCAGCTGACGCTACTAGAAGATTGAATCAGCTTGCTTTGCTAAAACAGATCCCCAAAGAAATCTATATTTAATCTTAAATTATCCCTGTAGTCACATTCTGTACCCCCAAGTAACCCAGTAAGTAATTGCCGTTCTGTTTCCCTTGTGCTGTATAGATCTCTGTAGTAAAACGCTATGTTACTATGGTGACCAATTGATGTCTCAAGAAAAAAGAAATCTAGAATTATATCATGGGTTTTTTAAAAAATCGAACGTAGAAACACT
Source organism: Homo sapiens (assembly GCF_000001405.40). NCBI lineage: Eukaryota > Metazoa > Chordata > Mammalia > Primates > Hominidae > Homo > Homo sapiens. Next base: position 12,683,088 of record NC_000012.12, on the reverse strand, counting down.
CTTCCATCCTAGAACCTAGCAAGGCCAGCCTAAGCATATTTTCTTTAAAAGCACCTACCTAGTTCTCAAAATAAAATAGATTAAAAACTTCTAAAACTATGTATATAAATTATAATATCAAACTGACTGGATTTATTTTTTAAAATGATATTATACCTAAAATAAGGGAATAGGTATCTTTTGCAAATTATTTTAGGTTTTTAAGGGTAAAAGAGGAGATTTGCTAATAACTTTTTTTAACTGCTAGAAATTTCTGAGGTATAAAGATTTCCTTTTTTTGATCTGTGTAGATTTCCTTCTGGCCTTTGATAATAAAAGATGACTGATCTGATTCCTATAAGCTATGGAAAAACTAAGAAAAGTTACCAGTTCCCTTCAGGGTTTCATTGCGCAGTACTTTAAGACGTAATTGTGTCCCCTACAATATTGAACTTTAGTCTTTTAGCTTAAGCATTTGATCCCTGCTGAAATCTACATTTTTCTGGAACAAGTAACACTTTGATGCTATTATAGTCACATGAAGTGAGCTTCTTGAGGGATGGTATCCTTTCCTCTTTGGATTTCTAGCACTTATCACCAGGCCTGGTTTATGGTGAACTCTCAATATACTCTTGTGAATGAAGACTGAGAAGACTCAAAACAATGACATATTCTGCTGGTGCCAATTTGGGAGTCCATGCCTGTTTTATTTTGCATGTATTTATAGAGAGGACAGTGAGGAGACACATGTGTAGTAAGAACTTGGCAACAGTCAAAATTATGCCTGAAGTTTATATAGTTAGGCTGGCCCTGGAGCAGCTACAAATTACAGTTTAGAAAGTATACATAAATTATTTCCTGGAGATCACCAATCCCCCTGACATTTTTATTTATATTTAGAATGAAGTTCTCCTGATATTTTCATTCATATCTAAATGGAAGCACCCCTAACAGTCTTATTTTCCTCTGATGTTTTGGGTGGTTCCATCTCCCAGCGTTGAAACAGTTTAATTCAGTTTGAGAGTGAATGTCTTGAGAAGTCAACTCCTGCCTCAGGCAATTCTCTCCTAATCCAGTCTGACTCCCAGTCCTTAGAACTCTGTATAGAAAGCTCACAGGACTGCAGGACTATTTCCTAGGGAACTCTGGGATCTTGAGTATCAGTGTGGGTTAGGGTCAGACTACCTTTCCCAAACCATGGCATGATTGAAGAAGATTGTCCTGAATGAAGAAGATTTTCCTGGGGCATTTTGAAAGCTTGGTCAGGATTTAAATTCAAGTTAGCAAGATAGTAAGGCTTAAAGTAGTCACCCTCCTGATAATATACACAAACATAATCTATGATTTTTCCATCTAATTAAATCATTAAGGGGTTGTGGATAAAGTGTGTGTCCTTGAATTCTACCAGCTCATGCTGCTCACCTCAAACATTACCTGCTGAGCGAGCTGCACAAAACAGACAACAGCCCTGACGGAAGCACAAACCAGCTGGCAAGTGCTACATGCCCCCCACACATGCAGGGCTTCTCAGATAAGCAGGGCTAGCACACACATGAGGCATGGATCTGGAAGCCTAGCTGGGCTTCCTACACATCCCTCTGGAGTCTAAAAGGGGGCAACCTACTCAACCAGCTAAATGGGAGGATAGAACAGAGGGAGAGAAAGTGGAGAGGCTTCCCCTTGAGGAGAGGCCTTGCCAAGTATGATTTCAACCTAGAGGTGAGGGGTGAAAGCAGAAATAAGAAGAGGGACAATGAGCATGGGTAAAGACTATGAGAAAGTGATACCTGGGTCCTGCCTTTCGGACACAACAGCTTGCCTGCAAGTAAACCCTGCCAAATGAGTCAGGGCCTGCCAGGGGAATGATCAGATCCCTTCCTAGGGTGTATGTAGGGAGGGGAGAGGAGAGAGAAGGACCAGAGTGTGGACGTAGTTTCTTCTCCATCAGCCAAGGCAAAAAATTGGATGACATGGGAGTTGTGCTGAGAGGATGGCTTAAAAAGAAAAAGGGAGGCTGAGTGCCATAACTCACGCCTGTAATCCCAGCACTTTGGGAGGCTAAGGCGGGAGGATTGCTTGAGCCCAGGAATTTGAGACCAGCCTAAACATAGGGAGACCTTAGGCCAGGCATGGTTGCTCACGCCTGTAATCCCAGCTGTTTGGGAGGCTGAGGGGGGCAGAATACTTAAGGTCCGGAGTTCTAGGCCAGCCTGGCCAACATGCTGAAACCCCATCTCTACTAAAAATACAAAAATTAGCTGGGTATGGTGGCAGGTGCCTGTAATCCCAGCTACTTGGGAGGCTGAGGCAGGAGAATCGCTTGAACCCGGTAGGTGGAGGTTGCAGTGAGCTGAGATGGTGCCACTGCTCTCCAGCCTGGGTGACAGAGCAAGACTCTGTCTCAAAAAAAAAAAAGTCATAGGGAGATCTACAAAAATAGCTGGGTGTGGTGGCACACACCTGCGGTCCCAGGTCCTCGGGAGACGGAGGTAGGAAGATTGCATGGGCCTGGGAGGTTGAGGGTGCAGTGAGCGGTGATCACTCCACTGCACTCCAGCCTGGGTGACAAAGCAAGACCCTATCTCAAAAAACAAAAAATAAAAGGCAAAAGGGCAGTTACCATCATGAATATGTTTCCCTGTTTGTGGAGTCATTTTCCCTTGGCCAAACCTTTAAAGCAGTCATCTCCTGGAGCCTTTCCTTTGGTATACTCTCCCAGACACTGCATGTCTGTCATGTTTAATTCTCATAGCAACTCTCTATGATATGCATTATTAGCCCCAATTTTAGCTGAGGAAACTGAAGCTCAAAGAGATTAACTTACCTATTCAATGTCCACAGACGGCAGGTAGAGTCAGGATCTGAATCCAGGTCTTTTTAATTCTGTGCTCTTTTTACTATATCACAAATAAAGTTCTTTTATCTGCATTCTTTTAAAACATGTTTTTGGATATTAGAGTAATACAAATATCATTCTAGAAAATTTGGAAAATATAAAGCAGTATAAAAGGATAATGAAAATAAAAATCAGTTGTGATCTTGCCACCTAGAAACAATCACTGTTAAAATGTTGGTGTATTTCTTCTCAATTTTTTTTCAATGCATATAATGAAAGCAAAAGCAAATATTTGTTGAGCACTTGCTTTGTTCCAGACATTGTCCTTAGCTCCTTTCTTGTGTAATTTATTTTATTATCATAGAAAATCAATAAAGTGAGTATTGTTATTATTTATTCTAATTTTATTGTTGAAGACACCCAATAAGCACAAACATGTAAAATAATTTACCAACAGCTACACAGATTATAAGTGACTTGAACCCCAGGCAGGCTGACTCTAGAGCAGGCTTTCTCAACCTTAGCACTATTGGCATTTGGGGCCAGATAATTCTTTGTCGTGGTGGGGGTCGGGGAATGTCCTTGTCATTGTAGTGTTTTGGGCTTTTTTTTTTTTTCCAGAGACAAGGTCTCACTCTGTCACCCAACCTCGAGTGCAGTAGTACACTCATGGCTCACTGCAGCCTGAAACTCCTAGGTTCAAACTCCTAGGGCTAACATACCCTATCTTGTGCTTGTTAGTTTTTTCCCTTTAGGTCTATGATAGTCCCACCTCAACCTTCCAAGGAGCTGGGACTGTAAGCATGCACCACCATGCCCGGCTAATTTTTTTTTTTTTTTTTTTTGATAGAGACAGGGACTCACTATGTTGCCCAGGCTTGTCTTAAACTTCTGGCTTCAAGTGATGCTCCCACCCCAGCCTCCGAAAGTGCTGGGATTACAAGCATGAGCCACTGTGCCCAAACCATTGTAGAATGTTTAGCAGCATCCTTGGCTTCCACCTACCAGATGTCAGTAACACTTCCCTCTCTCAGACATGACAACTAAAAATGTCTCTAGACATTTCCAAATGTTCACTGTGAGGCAGAATTATCTCTGATTGAGAACCACTAGTCTAGAACCTGTGCTCTCAGCCACCATACTATATAGCCTCTTCATATTAAAAATGCACATAAAGAGCCAGACACGGTGGTTCATGTCTATAATCCCAGTACTTTGGGAGGCTGAGGTGGGCAGATCACTCGAGGTCAGGAGTTTGAGAACAGCCAGGGCAACATGGCGAAACCCCATCTCTACAAAAAATACAAAAATTAGCTGGGCGTGGTGGCGTGCACCTGTAATTCCAGTTACACATGAAGCTGACGCACAAGAATCTCTCCAACCCAGGAGGCAGAGGCTGTAGTGAGTTGGGATGACACCACTGCACTCCAGCCTTGGTAACAGAGTGCGACTCTGTCTCAAAATAAAATATTAGGCTGGTGCGAAAGTAATTGCAGTTTTTGCCATTACTTTTCATGGGAAAACTGCAATTTGTTTTGCACCAACCCAATAAAGTAAAATAAAGTGAAATAAAATGTACATAAAGTTATTTTGTTCTATATCCAAAGAGAGAAATAAATCTTCAAATTGGGGGCAGGCCGTGAAACTTTGCTGGAATGTCAATAGTGACTTTATGGATCAAGAAAAGTGCTCATTAGTAGATTCTTATTAAATGCTTATTAGTAGACTCGGAGAACTAGTTATAAGCTCACAGTTGCCCAGCAGAGAGAATAAGTGCACTTTTCTCTCTTATTACCTTTCTCTGGTTCTCTGTGCCAAGCACCTTAGCCTTCAAGAATTTAGATTTCATGTTATACTTGTGGCATATCAGGACCGTGCATATCAACAAAGGTGTCAAAATATATTGCTATGTCCTAAACAGAGCATGTTGCAAATAACTGCTTACTAATAAATAATCATTGGTTTTTTTAAATTAATTGGAATAAATTTAAGGGTATATACATAACAATATTTTTTTCAGTATGATTTCTTAGATGGAGATTAAAGGGTTGGAATTACAGGTCGAGCTCCTAGAATTGCACATAATTCTGGATATATGGGGGTATATCACACATATGAACACATTTGTGATGTGTCTCTGAAGAAGAAAGGTTGAAAATTGCTTCATAGGTGATTTTTTTTTTTTTTTTTTTTTTTTTTTGAGACAGAGTCTCGTTCTGTCACCCAGGCTGGAATGCAGTGGCACGATCTCAGCTCACCGCAACCTCCGCCTCCCAGGTTCAAGTAATTCTCCTGCCTCTGCCTCCTGAGTAGTTGGGATTACAGGCGCCCACCACCACGCCCAGCTAATTTTTATATTTTTAGTAGAGATGGGGTTTCACCATGTTGGTCAGGCTGGTTTCGAATTCCTGACCTCAGGTGATCCACTCGCCTTGGCCTCCCAAAGTGCTGGGATTACAGGCGTGAGCCACCCTGCCTAGCCAGCATAGGTGATTTGAGTCAACGATTACTGAAATGCAGAGAGGATTGAATTAAGAAGCACTGAGAAATGATCATTTATAAACTGTCTAATATACTGAATATATATATTATCCATGTGAAATATATGAAAATACATGTTCAGCCATGTTTTCATATAGTCACATAATTTGTCCATGAAAAAATACATGTTAATGCGATATTAAATTTAACATCTGTGGCCAGGCGCAGTGGCTCATGCCTGTAATCCCAGCACTTTGGGAGGCCAAGGCGGGTGGATCACTTGAGGCAAGGAGTTCAAGACCAACCTGGCCAACATGGTGTAACGCAGAATTGAAAATTCTCAAATAATAGAGCAAATATACAAATATAAGTGGAAAGACTTTCATTTTTCATTTTCCATGTCTACTAAAAATACAAAAATTAGCTGCACGTGGTGCACATGCCTGTAATCCCAGCTATTCAGGAGGCTGAGGCATGAGAATCGCTTCAACCTAGGAGGCAGAGGTTGCAGTGAGCCAAGATCGCACTACTGCACTCCAGCCTGGGAGACAGAACGAGACTCTGTCTCAAAAAAAAAAAAAAAAAAAATTAACATCTGCTTCATAAACTTGAAGGTTGCTTTCTAGAAAACCCTGACTGAGGACAGTGGTACAGATCAAAATTTACCCGGAATGTTGATGTGAATAAGATGTGAGACAGAAGGTGAATGCTCCTGAGAAATAATGCTTAGTAACTTCCTGCTCAGTGCTTATACTCGCTTCTTAACAAGTCCTTCACCTCCTTTTCAAATAGCTGTAAATCTCAACTACTTCGTTGTTCTTTGCTTTGACTTTAGTAAGTCTAGTCTTTGCCTCTTGATACTGAAGTCAGAACTTAGAAATGAAACCAAACATTTACCTCCAAAACAACTGGTTCCCACTAACTCAATGAGCACACAGCAGGTGTTCAAAAAATGTTTGCTGTAGTGAATTGAATTTAGTGAGGTGCAAATTCCTTGGCCAAATTGTTTTCTTCAGAATTTGAAAGACCTCATACTGGGAAGAAACGTGTAGAAACTGACAGAGGACACTCGGGGGTTCTAGAAATGTGTCTCTTCTCTGAGAGGTTTGGTATTAGATAGAATGGAAAGCAAACACAGGTGGCAGGTCCTCTTTGACCAGACCACTTCTTGCAAGGAATCTTCAGTAAGAAGTTGTTGACACATCTAGGATAATTACTGTGGAAAGCTGGGCTGGACCCTAGGTAAAATTCATCTTTCCTTTGGAGACCCATGCTACTGATCCTTGATATCAAAAACTCTCAGTGCTGGGCCCCAGCAGCCCTAAACAACTTCCCTCTCCTCCCATCAAAATGCACTCTCAGGATGAGCTCTCTGCCAGATGAAAGTGGTGGGTTATAAATTAAATTAGCTCATCTCAGATAACAATGTCCACCTGTCACTTTTTGCTCATAGAGCTGAAATGACCTTAGAAATCATCTAGGCCAACTCATGCATATTGTAGATATGGAAACAGAGGTTCAAGGAGGTTGATTTACTTAAGGTCCTTATGCTGAAATAAAAAATAAGACCGGGGTCTCTTGACTTGTTCAGTGCTTATAATCAGAATTAGAACCCAGGTTTCTTAGCCCCCAGCCCAATGTGTAAGGTGAAGTAGAAAGCACTATACTCTTTAAGATTTTTGGTTTTCTAATATTTCAGGTGCTAGTAGGGTATTAGAAGGTGATAGAATGACTGGTATGAATTTTAGTACTCAAATTAAATTATATAAGAAATGCTACATTGAATTAGTTTCTATTGCTGCTGTAACAAGTTAACACAAATTTAGTGGCTTAAGATAACACTGTTTATTATCTCACAGTTCTGTACATCAGAAGTCTGGGTGGGTTTGGCTGAGTTCTCTGCTTAGAGTCTCCCAGGGCTAAAATCAAGATCTTAGCAGGACTGTGATCCTTTTTAGAGGCTCTGAGGTTGACTGCCCTTCCAGGCTCAGTCAGGTTGTTGGCAGAATCCGGTGCCTTGTGGTTGTAAGACTAAGATCCTATTTCCTTGATGGCTATCAGGTGGGAGCCATCATACCTCCTAGAGGCCTCATCCTGGTCCCTCTATGTGGGCCCCTGCATCTCAGAGCCTGCAATAGCATGTCAATTCTTTCTCATGCTTGGAGTCTCTCTGACTTCTCCTGCTGCTGCCAGAGAAAGTTCCCTGCATTTAAGGGCTCATGTGCTTAGATTGGGCCTACCTGGATAATCCAGGATAGTCTCCCCACTTTAAGGTTCATAACCTTAATTATTATGCAGAATCCCTTTTGCTATATAACATAACACATTCACAGGTTCCAGGGATTAGGGCATGGATATCTTTGGGGAACCATTCTGCCTACTACTCACATTATTTCCTTTAAATAACGGCAAGGCTCTATCCTACCAGGCTGATGGGAACATCAATGGCAAACATTACTGAGACTCTCTTCCCCTTCCTAGGTCCTGGGGTTCTTACACAGAACAAAATCTATGGGGATACTTTGTTCCTCTCGGCTCCACTTATCCCTCTTTCTCTCTAACCTGCTCCCCACGTGATGATTTAGGTTCTTTTGTCTATAAAAAAACCTCTGAATTGCTTCCAGGACAACAGACTATCACAACAGTCCTAAGTCCAGGCCTCAAGGAGCCTAGAACGTTGTTAAGGACCTGGAACACGGCTGGGACCCAAGGCGGCATGTTGGCTAGACTCTCTTGTCATCTGTCAGCAGCAGGGGTCCTGGAGGGTCTACCTTAGATGAGCCATTCTTCATCATCTCTGCTGCTGCTTCCATTGCCTCCCTGACCCCAGCCCAGGGGAGGGTCCTCACCATGCTCTCTTATAGCAGCCTACTCTTCTTTCATTGGACTTACTACAACTTAATACATTCATTTCTTCTTATCTGTTTACTACTCTCTACCCCTCTACAACTAATTATACTAGATCTTCATGAGGGTAGGGATACAGTTTGGTTTACCATTGTATATCTAATTATTAACATAGTACATTCTGGAGTGTAGTATGATCTTAGTGTATATTTATGGAGTGATGAATGAATTGATTCAAATGGGCACAGGTTTTCAAAAGAGATTTTTCCAAATGTACATATTCAATAGCCAACTGATATCTCTACGTGGATATCTAGTGGGAATTTAACTTGTGTATAGTAGTATTACTGATTTCAAGCTCCCTAAACTTTTTCTCTCTTGCTCTCAGGCTCTCAAAACTAGGGGTCATCCCCATTCCCTAACCCCATCACATATAAACTAATCTTGTTGGCTCTGTCTCCATAATATTTTCAATATTCATCTACTTTTCTCCACCTACACTGCCATCACCCTGGTCTAAGCCACCATCATCAGCAGTGGTGTGATCACAGCATCACAGCTTACTGCAGCCTCAACCTCCTAGGCTCAAGCAGTTCTCCTGCCTCAGCCTCCCAAGTAGCTGGGAGCCTCCCACCACAACCAGCAAATTTTTACTTTTTTTTTTTTTTTTTGGTAGAGATAGGGTCTGACTATGTTGCCCAGGCTGTAATAGCCTTTTTTTTTTTTTTTTTTTTTTGAGACAAAGTCTGGCTGTCGCCCAGGTTGGAGTGCAGTGGTACAATCTCGGCTCACTGCAACCTCCGCCTCCCAGGTTCAAGTGATTCTCCTGCCTCAGCCTTTCGAGTAGCTGGGATTACAGGCACTCACCACCATGCTGGGCTAATTTTTATATATTTAGTACAGACAGGATTTTGCCATGTTGGCCAGGCTGGTCTCGAACTCCTGACCTCAAGTGATCCACCTGCCTCGGCCTCCCAAAGTGCTGGGTGTAATAGCCTGTTAACTATTCTCCCTGCTTCTATGCTTGGCCACCTACACAGCAACTAAAGTTGTATTTTTAAAACATAAATGTGCGTGAGGGGGTTAAAAAAAATGGCATATTCATTTCACTCCTTTGCCTGAAACCTGCGATGAATTTTCCTTCAATAGACTAAAACCATGCCCTACAATGCCCTGTGTCATCCTACCTTTGCCCACCTTTCCGGTTATATCAGGTATCATTTTCTTTGGTATTCATATGCTGTAGCCACATAACAAGCTCATTCCTACACCAGGGTCTTTGCACTCATCATTTCTTCTGCCTGAATGTTATGGCGGACTTCCTGTCGTTGGGGTTTCAGCTGCCATATAACCTCTTCAGAGAACCTTTCTCTAACCACTCCATCTAAAACCAGACCCTGTTTCAGACAGGGTGCTTTCAGAGATGAGTAACAAAACTCAAAGTGGCTTAAGCCATAAAGACATTGTTTGCTTACTTAGTAAGTCTGGAGGTGAGTGTCCTAGCAGCACCACAGTGTCAGGGCACTATGTCCCGGTGAGTCTCAGGACTTCCCCTGACCTCAGAAGATACCACCCAGTGCCCTGACATCTTCATGTGACAGTTTACAGTGGCAAGAAGCAGAGAGGCAGTCAGGCCCATGAGAATACTCACTACACACCTCTTTCCTTTTATCAAGGAAGAAACATTTTTCCAAGAACCTCCCAACACCCTGCCAGGAGACTTTCTCTTGTCACTGGCCAGAAGAAGATTATATTGATGTGACCACACCTAACTGAAAGGGATGGTGGGGAAATTATTATCTTACCTTTTTAGCCTCTTAAGAGGCAGGAGAGGGAGGAGTTGGGAATGGTCATTGGGTAACCAGCTAACCAGCCATCTGCCATTCCATTTCCCGTCAATTCTTGGTCCCTCATTCTGTTTTCTTTTTCTACATAGCACTAATCATTTCTGAATTATTGACATTTTTATTTGTTTAGCTGTTTATTATTTGTTTCCCATGTTAGAAGTAAGCTCCATAAAAACAGGGATCTTGTCTGTCTAGTTATTATAATGTCTGTGTCCCCAGCAATGAACACAACTCTGGCCACACTAAGTGATCTTTTTAAAAAATGGATAAATGTTATGATTGAAGACTATTTTGCATATGCCATCATAACAAAATGGTCATTTCTTAGGGTGAATTTTTTTTTTTTCTTTTTGAGATGGAGTCTTGTTCTGTTACCCAGGCTGGAGTGCAGTAGTACAATCTTGGCTCACTGCAACCTCCGCCTCCGGGGTTCAAGCAATTCTCCTGCCTCAGCCTCCCAAATAACTGGGATTACAGGCACCCACCATCACGTCTGGCTAATTTGTGTATTTTTAGTAGAGATGAGTTTTCACCATGTTGGCCAGGCTGGTCTCAAACTCCTAACCTCAAGTGATTCACCCACTTCGGCTTCCCAAAGTGCTGGGATTATAGGCATGAGTCACCACACCCAGCCAGGGTGAAATTTTTTTGCACTTGTTTTTTTTACATTGTATCTTACTTTTCAGATTTTGTGTGAATGTAGGGAGGTAGGGAAGTTCAGTATTAAACCTGCAGCTGTGTCCTGTATACACGGAACTCTACTAAGCTACTAAGCAGCAGTTGGGAAGAGAAATATTAGATAGTATTCTTTATACATCCGTGGGGGTGGTCACCCCCAAAGAGATGCCAACACGACCTAACATTTTTGTCATGCAACATTGTTTACAAGGAATTAGGGGAGGACTGCAGCCTGTGGTCAACTTAAACCTTCATGTGGGGTAAAGCTCAGGCTCCTTTCTGTTTTATTCCTTTGGGTAGGGTAGCTACCAGTGGTTATCCATTCCTTCACAAAACTGTCAAGGAGGTGAAGTTTATCTTCTTCAACTTCACCTTTCACCCTTCACCCGGCCCTTCTCATAATGACACCCCATCTTAATTCTCTCAGTTACTGATGGTCCTCACGGCTTTTGCTTTTGGCATCTCTTCTGTTTTCATTTTCACTAATCGTAGATTTCAGAGATAGAATGAATAGGTCTCAGAAATCACTACTGATAAAATATAAAACTGAAAAAAATGTACAACTGGTCTTTAAGAAACATTTATATTTTAATAGGGATCTTCACTTTAAAGGATGATGCTGTAATTGTGAGAGAGGTTGATTTTTTGAATTCATGTGAAGGGTAAAGAAAGAGGCAAATGTGATAGGAGAGTAATAGTCCCTTAAATCTACATAGGCAGAATTTCTGAGCCAGGAATGTTCATGGTTGTTTTAAGCTATTTTGTGAAGTTAGAAGAAGCTGTTTTGAAAACATCTCTGTTTAAAAAAAAATTATGTTCCCATGAAAGCATATCGAGTTTCCAAACAAAAAGAAAATATACCCAGTCTGAGCTTGAGAAACTGCTTGATGCCAGTTAGGAAACAGTTTGAAAGGTACAGAGCTGGATTATTATGGAGGAATACTTATATATATTATATAAAAGGAGGAAAGGAAAAAGACCAGTAGAGAAAATTCCAGGCCTATAAGCTTGTGGCACCAGGAGTTTCAGGTGGTGGAAAGAAGCTCTGTTTTCATTGGTGTGAGGTTCTTTTGCAATTATTTAAAATATCTAATGGAAACAATTTTTTTTTTTTTGAGAGGGAGTCTCACTGTGTTGTCTGGGTTGGAGTGCAGTGGTGTAATCTCAGCTCACTGCAACCTCTGCCTCCCTGGTTCAAGCAATTCTCCTGCCTCAGCCTCCCTAGTAGCTGGGATTACAGGCACCAGCCGCCACACCCGGCTAATTTTTTTTTTTTTTATTTTTAGTAGAGATGGGGTTTCACCATGTTGGCCTGTCTGGTCTTAAACACCTGACCTCAGATGATCTGCCCACCTCGGCTTCCCAAAGTGCTGAGATTACATGCCCAGCCTCTAATGGAAATAATTTAAGCAGAATAGATTCTATGGGCTTTTGAAAAAGGCGTATTCAATCCAGTTGTATTATGTATTTTGATGTAGGATACCTTAAAAAGTTTGATCTGGACAACATGTCACATAAAATCATCCACAACTTGGAGAAAATGTGTTTATTTATTTGGCCTCAATGATTTCCCCCTTAAAAACATTGTTGTAAATGATGATTAGGTACCCAGGCCCCTTCACAAAAGCCATTTACCCTTGACAAAGCTAAATTATGTGACCAATGTTAGTATTATTACTATAGTATGTGATGTGTAATATGGTTACTAAAATTTGTTTGTCATATGGTTTAAAAGACTAATTTTTGAAGCAGTTGCTTTGTTCCAGACACAGAACTAGGTGTTTTGTAGAACTGTATATAAAAATAACACCTGTTGTTTTCCTCATACCAGGCAGATGCACATGTATTAACTCATCTAAGTCCTGTGTATATTCTCTCATCTAGTTATAATAATCAAATGAGATAGGAACTGACTATCTTCATTTTACAGAAGAAAACTGGAGCTCAAGAGGGTTAGGTAACTTGCCCAAGGTCACCCAGCTAGTGAGTGAGTGACAGGAATAGGATGCAACTGACTTCAAAGCCTACATACATATCCACTTTGCAGTATGCCTACACTGTGAGATTTAAAACATGAGATTTTTTTAGCAGAAGATTACATTCTGGGTGTAGGTTTGCCAGATTTAACAAATGAAAATACAGGACACCAGTAAAATGTTGCATGGGATATTGCATGGGACATACTTTTACAAAAAAATTATTTGTTATTTATCTGAAATTCACATTTACCTGGGCATCCTGTATTTTATCTAGCAACCTCATCTGAGTCGACATTGTAAGAACATGTCTCACCCTCTCTGATTTTCCTGTTACCCCACACAGTCATGCTGGTGGCTACCTAGCCTTATGTAGTTTTATAAATCACCTAATGTTCATATCAGTCTTTTCTCAGCTGGGCATGGTGGTTCACACCTATAATCCCAGCACTTTGGGAGGCCAAGGCAGGAGGATTGCTTGAGCCCAGGAGTTCAAGACCAGCCTGGACAACATAGCAAGACCTCATCTCTATAAAACACACACAAGCACACATACACCAGAGTCTTTATCTCAAGGCCACACAGCAAGAGAGTCAGTTAGGAAGCTTCAGAAGAGCTTGTGTGGCCTCCTGAGCCATTTTTAAGTTCAGCAATGTGTGTAAGTTCAGGACTTAGGATAGGCTGCCCTGAAAGCCCTGCCCTACTGGAAGTGGTGTGCGGGTAAATGTTTAACAACTGGCTCTGCAGAGGGGGGAAAAAAACAAAACTTCAATTTTTGGTGTTTGCCATACTCCTACCATGGCTGCTTCATGATGCCAACATGATGTCTTTGAGCCTGGAGTTGGGAAGAAATGTATATACAGTTGGCTCAGGGTTCCCTATGTAAGCCAGTCCCAGCCCACTAGTGTTACAGGCATTTCTCATTTTCACATGTAAACAAATCAAGCCTACACAACAATGAAGGGTTTACCTTAAAATCTCCGTACCGTGGTATTTCTTGAATTTAAACAACTAAAATTTTAAAAGATAATTTCCTACTTGGGATAATACAATTGATCAAATTTTTTCCTCATTTCAATTCAAATTGAAGTCTAGAATTCTGCTTTCATTCTGTTTAAAAGGCAACAGTTAATTATGCAGCATGTTGAAATGCCAATACTCTCACACTCTTTATTCTGAAGAAAGGCTATTTCTCCAGGCCAGCATGTCTGGCGCACTTTTGATGCTAAGCTTCTGTGCAGTGCGTTGTGGGAGTGATCATTTTTTAAAACTGTTCACTATGTCACATATTTCTGAGCTAGCATATTGAACAGATGTATCTGTGGGTAGGCAAGAGGCTATAGGGAATAACTTTGTATTCCTCTCTTTGAATGAATAGTCAAGAAAGACTTACCCATGTACAGCCAATTTGACTCTCTGAATTCAGATCCAGCCCTCTGTGGTCTCACTGGTCAGGAAACCCTGATGGTAGTTAAGAGCAAGGGCTTTGGAGTGACCACTTTCCAACGGTATGACTTTGGGGAAGAACTTCAGTTTTTTTCATTTGTAAAACAAGGCCAGTAATTTTACCTACTTTGAGGGGTTACACATATAAAGTGCCTGGCACATAGTAAGCACAAAAATAAGTATTAACTCTTGGTAGTATTAATGCTATAACTACTGTCATGATTGTAATCTTACTGCTCATTAGTAAATACCCATATGTATCCATGTAGGTCCAGCAGATACTTCCCATTCTACAGAAAATGTTTCTGTTTTTTTTTTTCAACCAAATCATGTAAAAAATCAATATTATAAAAATTCTTGTTTGACATTAAATTTTTAAACAAATCTCAAGAAATAAAAATGGTCTTTATACCTTGTGAGAATGTTTGTGAATCTTTATAATCTCAAGAGGACAAAAAGTTAGTTGTTAGGGTATTTTTAGACTTAAAAAATAGACTAACTAAAAAACCTATCCAACAGTTGATGCAGAATTGTGAAGCAAAGTTTGTCATCCATGCCCCATTCCTCTCTGTGGTCCTCCGCTCCCTCTTATTAGCTTCCAGTCATTCATCCATCCATTGCATCCAACAAAGTATGATTTTCAAAAAGTTAGAATCATGACTTTTACAAATATTGAATGAACATATGTTAAAGATTTATTAACATAATACCGAAGGAACCAATGATATAATAAAGCTGGTTCCAAGAGCATTTGAAGAATGCATCTTTATAGGCATTTTTTAAAAAGAATTTCAGCATAAGATTGCTAGGTAAACACTAAACTGGCTAATGTCCTAGAGGGCAGTAAGTCCATAACCTTTGGGGTTATTATTTTCTGCTAGAAAGAAATCTACAAGTTAACATATAAATATCTTCACAATGTCTCAGCTCTAGTCAAATATTAAATAGCAAAGTCAAGCACAGGTACATTCTCCCAGAGAGAGAGGCCCATTTAAGAATGTCCCAGCAAGATCTTAAGAGTATATGTCCTTTTTTGCCTTATTTTCAAGTATTGGATAATTTTTACTAACATATCCACCCATTCATATATTCATTAAACCTTTTTTAATAGCTATGTGCCCCAGGGATATAGAAGTAAAGACATAGTCCTTATCCTCAAGGAACTCATAACCTAATGGGGGAGACAAACATGCAAAATAAAAATTACAAAGCAAAGTGATAGGGTACATTCTCCTCCCAGGTGCCCCAGGATCCCATCATTACAGGGGTAACCAGTCCCCAGTTCTTTTTTTTTTTTTTTTTCTAATTGAGATGCAGAGTCTCACTCTCACCCAGGCTGGAGTGCAGTGGCGTGATCTCAGCTCATTGCAACCTCTGCCTCCCGGGTTCAAGCGATTCTCCTGCCTCAGCCTCCCATGTAGCTGGGACTACAGGCACATGCCACCACGCCTGGCTAATTTATGTATTTTTAGTAGAGACGGGGTTTTGCCGTATTGGCCAGGCTGGTCTTGAACTCCTGACCTCAGGTGATCCGCCCGCCTCAGCCTCCCAAAGTGCTAGGGTTACAGGTATGAGCCACCATGCCTGGCCCCCAGTTCTGTGCTATGACAACCCATCTACCATTTTCCCCACTCATGTATTAATCTTAAAGCTTGGATGGGTGAGAAGTAGATAATAGGATAAATGAATGATTCCTCTTTTAGATCATATATAGGTAGAGATAAATAAGGACCTTCAATACCTCAGCCAAGGGAGTATGTCAAATGGTAGTCTCAGAACTGGCTGGGAAGAGATAGGTCGAACAGGAAAGAGGTGAAGAAGCCTTTCTTGTCACTGCTAAAATTACTGCATATGGATGGCTCTGAACAGAATTACTAATTAACCAGATCTTATATTTCAGAAACACCCCCTTGAAGATATATTTTTATCTAAATTAATGGAGCAGGGGAGGCCTTTCTGAAACTTTACTTTGGGACCCTAGAATTTAGTTATAATATGGCAGACTTTTTTCTGGGAGGAAAGTGCAAGAACCTGTCTGAGGACACCTAAATTACCTTGGCTTTCCCTTAGATGAGATATCTGTTTCATATAGCAGTTGACCTGGTAGCTTCAGTTTCACCTGCCCTGCTTTTATCAGGAGTCATGTTTTCCCCTATCACCATAATCCCCAATGTTTCACCTCTCTGAGAATATATAGTGATTTTCTATGTGCATTTAATTCTCCTAGCAGAGGCACATAGAGTAAGAGTCATTTATTTCAGTTCTCTGTCCTTACAGATCCAATTTAGTAAACATCGAATAAGCAATTATTAATGTAAAGAACTTCAGTGGAAGCTGTAGAGCATGGAGAAAAAGAATAACATCCCCATCTCCCTACTGGAGTCCACAGTTTATTGGAGAAGACAGAAACATGGAGGTATTTCTAAAGCACAGATCTTAATCTTGGCTACACTCAGGATCACCTGGGAACTTTGAAACATCCGACACCCAGGCTGCACTCCAGAGCAATTAAATTAAAATCCCTGAAGCTGGGACTCAGGCATCAATATTTCTTAAGGCTGCCTGGAAGACTCCAATCTACTGTATTGCTAAGCTAGAGAAAAACAAACTTGGAAAATGCTGCAGTAAAGGACTAACAAGATGCTGTATGAGCAAGGGTACCACAACCATTCTGGATATGCTAATATTCTTATCCACTGTCTGACCGCATTTCTGCCCATGAATGCAGCAAATATAACCTCTCATTGTAACCAGGGGAAAAATTTAGATCAGTTTGATTGTAGGGCATTTAGAAACTATATACTCTGGGAGGCATGGTCTGAAGGAAACTATGTTTCTGAGGGGAAAAGGGCCCCAAAAAAGATCAACCCAGAAAAATGACCCCAAAATTCAATCCACATGCTATCTCTCTCCCCTGGAATGTTTTATTCACTTGTCTTCCTGAAGAAGTCCTATTCATCCTCTAAGCTCCCAGCTCAAACTTTACCTCTTCTGTGAAGCCTTTCCTTTTCTTCCCCTTACCCGGGCAAAACTGGGTCCCTATTTTTGTCTTACTTAGCTCCTTGTACAAAGTTCTGTTCTTAGCAGTGAATTATAATTATTATCAAATTGAGTTATAATATGGCACACTGCTTACGTATCTTTGTTTTCTTTTTTTTTTTTTTTTTTTTTTTTTTTTTGAGACGGAGTCTGGCTTTGTGCCCCAGGCTGCTCGGCTCACTGCAAGCTCCGCCTCCCGGGTTCACGCCGTTCTCCTGCCTCAGCCTCCCGGATAGCTGGGACTACAGGCGCCCACCACCATGCCCGGCTAATTTTTTGTATTTTTAGTTGGACGGAGTTTCACTGTGTTAGCCAGGATGGTCTCGATCTCCTGACCTTGTGATCCGCCCGCCTCGGCCTCCCAAAGTGCTGGGATTACAGGCGTGAGCCACCGCGCTCGGCCGATCTTTGTTTTCTTAATACCTAGCCCAGTTTCTCGGCTTATTGAATGAATATTCAGAACTGCAGCGATTTTAGGTGGAGTGAGAACTTATGCCACCAGCAGGGGAAATCTAGACTCAGGAACTCCTCGGGCTCCCTCGTCCTGTTTCTGAGCATTGGGATCCTCTGCTTCCAAGTGGTTGGGCTGGGGAAATGGGCAGACAGACTCATGGGTGTAAAGCAGCTGGAGGAAATGATGGAAGGGCCCCCCGCCTCCGGGCTTTAGTTAAAGCGGTGAGCTTGAGTTTCATTTGCAGAGTTTTGTTGTTAGAGGAAGAAAGAGACAGAAGGAAGTTCACAGGTTTTCAAGTATGCGCATTAAGGAAAAGTGCCTGTGTGGACTCCTGTTTTATTCAGGCCACAGGCATCCCAGAAAAGTTAGAACAGTTTTCTGTCTGGGGAAATTGTCTGTTTTAGTTTATTTTTAAACTTTAAATCTTAACAGGTTTTTTAAAAAGTTTAATAGGTTTTACACACATGAAGGCGAAAAGATGATTTCAATCTTATATGTATGAGGGTGCAGTCCAGATTTTCTAGGACAATGCTAATTTTAGATCTTATGTCCTGATTTCTTTTTTTTTTTTTTTTTTTTTTTTTTTGAGATGGCGTCTCACCCCGTCGCCCAGCCTGGAGTGCAGTGGCGCGATCTCAGCTCACTGCAACCTTCGCCTCCCGGGTTCAAGCGATTCTCCTGCCTCAGCCTCCCGAGTAGCTGGGACCACAGGCGCCTGCCACCACGCCCGGCTAATCTTTTGTATTTTTAGTAGAGACGGGGTTTCACTGTGTTAGCCAGGATAGTCTCGATCTCCTGACCTCGTGATTTGCACGCCTTGACCTCCCAAAGTGCTCGGATTACAGGCATGAGCCACCGCGCCTGGCCCTGATTTCTTATATGGAAAGTGTATGGTTGCTATTCTTACCATTGGCTATCATTTTCCCAGCATGCTTAAAGATCTTTTAGTAGTCAAAATGTTTAATTATTTTTGCTTTCTGTGTGGTGAGCAAAAACTTTTTTTTTAATTTTTAAAATTTTAATTATCTTACTTAAGCTTTCTTAAGTAAGGTTGCCTCATGGACAAAAAAGCCTAAAGATAATATAGAACAGGCATTGAGTATATTGCCTTGAGCACTAGACTTGTATTGAATATAGCTTTTTGGTGAAGATTATATATATTAACACTTCTTTCTCTACCACAAATTAGTACAAAAATCCCTCAAAGAAAAAATGAGGGCTGGGCGCAATTGCTACACCCGTAATCCCAGCACTTTGGGAGGCCAAGGCGGGCGAATCACTTGAGGTCAGGAGTTCAAGACCAGCCTGGCCAACGTGGGGAAACCCGGTCTCTACTAAAAATACAAAAATTAGCCAGGCATGGTGGCACGCGCCTCTAGTCCCAACTACTCGAGAGGCTGAGACACAAGAATTGAACCTGGGAGGGGGAGGTTGCATTGAGCAGAGATCGCGCCACTGCACACCAGCCCGGGGGACGGAGCGAGACTCTGTCTCAAAAAAAAGAAAATATTAGTCATTAAGAACCGTTCTTTCATTATGAACTATTATTTAATCCTGACTGTCACTTGAGAAATGTTTCTTTGTGAGGTGCAGACACAGGAGCCCACCAGGAAAGAAACTAGTGACTACTAGAAAAGCCTGTTGCTGGAGCCACATCCCCTTGTGCCACAGGCCAGATGGAATCTCTGCAAAATGGTGGCTGTAACCCCACATGGGCTTTTACTTTTAGTGGGCACATTTTTGAAAATATTAATGTTTATCCTTATCTTACCTTAATAACCATAATTATTATGGTTATTATGGATTAAATTGCTACTGTTTCTCTTTTTGTTTCCTGGATTCAGACCAAATTAAGCCTTTATAATCTGTGAGCAAAATCACCTCAATTTTAATTGAATGACCCACAACTATTTAATCTTTTTGCCTATTTAAACAGTGTGACTTTTTTTCTCACTGAATAATACAAAAAGTACAAAATAAAGGCTAAACTTTAAAATATTCTTTTGTATCTAAGATTTGTAAGCTTTATAAGCTTTTAAAAAGTGCTTAGTAATTTTAAGTTACTTTTTTTTTTTTTGAGATAGGGTCTTGCTATGTTGCCCAGGCTGGATTCAAACTTCTGGACCAACTGATCCTCCTGCTTCAGCCTTCTGAGTAGCTGGGACTATAGGTGTTCCCCACTGTGCTTAGCTAACAGTTACATTTTTTTGTTGTTTTTAATCACCTGACTGCCATAAGGTCTCCCGTAACCTGGTTACATTTCTTAGAGGACATCTTGTATGTTCTTCAGTCAGTATTTTATGAAACAATAACAACAGAATAGCATCAAAATATATGTCACTGGTAGGTGGCAAGCTATTAGTGCATGAACTGTATCGTCTTTTAGAAAAAGCAAGCTATTTTCAGATGTCATTAAATTAGGAGCTATTTCTGGCTCATGTAGCAGTGTTGACTGCTCCATGTGTTACCATAATCCTTCTGTGATGGAAAATCTACACTAAGTAAGGACAGCACCCTTCCCAGTAGCTAGCCTGTCTACATTCACAGACTGCTGTTAGCTACTTCCATAGTCAAAATCTGTGTGTTTTCATCTGCCCAAGCTTTCCTCTTTTGCAACCTTAGGACAATTAGGAACTTCTCACATACTTGCCCAGAATTCCAGCAGATCTTCAGTTGGTGGTAACACCGTTACCATGAGCCAGATTTGAGATCCCTAATATTCTGTGATCCCTGATGAGTGAAGGGAACAAGGATATGTGTAGGAGGGGAGCTCGGTATGACTAAGGGTCAAGAGAAGGTGAGGCCAGAGAGAGCCTGAGCTGAGATCTGCTGAAACAGCTCCTAAAATGAAAACAAAGTTGGGGCCAGAATTTTTTCTGGATAGTAGTTATGTTTTCCTGCCAACGCTCAAGTCCTACACAAAGACAAATGACAATCAATGTAAATGTCAAATAAGATCGTTAGCCTGAGTAATCATAACCAATCTGTATGACACCTTTTTAACAGGAGGCCTCATTCTTCTTTTCCCCAACCAGAATTAAGAGAAAAAAAGTGAATATGGTTTTTGCTCACAGAATGGATAACAGCAAGCCACATTTGATTATTCCTACACTTCTGGTGCCCCTCCAAAACCGCAGCTGCACTGAAACAGCCACACCTCTGCCAAGCCAATACCTGATGGAATTAAGTGAGGAGCACAGTTGGATGAGCAACCAAACAGACCTTCACTATGTGCTGAAACCCGGGGAAGTGGCCACAGCCAGCATCTTCTTTGGGATTCTGTGGTTGTTTTCTATCTTCGGCAATTCCCTGGTTTGTTTGGTCATCCATAGGAGTAGGAGGACTCAGTCTACCACCAACTACTTTGTGGTCTCCATGGCATGTGCTGACCTTCTCATCAGCGTTGCCAGCACGCCTTTCGTCCTGCTCCAGTTCACCACTGGAAGGTGGACGCTGGGTAGTGCAACGTGCAAGGTTGTGCGATATTTTCAATATCTCACTCCAGGTGTCCAGATCTACGTTCTCCTCTCCATCTGCATAGACCGGTTCTACACCATCGTCTATCCTCTGAGCTTCAAGGTGTCCAGAGAAAAAGCCAAGAAAATGATTGCGGCATCGTGGGTCTTTGATGCAGGCTTTGTGACCCCTGTGCTCTTTTTCTATGGCTCCAACTGGGACAGTCATTGTAACTATTTCCTCCCCTCCTCTTGGGAAGGCACTGCCTACACTGTCATCCACTTCTTGGTGGGCTTTGTGATTCCATCTGTCCTCATAATTTTATTTTACCAAAAGGTCATAAAATATATTTGGAGAATAGGCACAGATGGCCGAACGGTGAGGAGGACAATGAACATTGTCCCTCGGACAAAAGTGAAAACTATCAAGATGTTCCTCATTTTAAATCTGTTGTTTTTGCTCTCCTGGCTGCCTTTTCATGTAGCTCAGCTATGGCACCCCCATGAACAAGACTATAAGAAAAGTTCCCTTGTTTTCACAGCTATCACATGGATATCCTTTAGTTCTTCAGCCTCTAAACCTACTCTGTATTCAATTTATAATGCCAATTTTCGGAGAGGGATGAAAGAGACTTTTTGCATGTCCTCTATGAAATGTTACCGAAGCAATGCCTATACTATCACAACAAGTTCAAGGATGGCCAAAAAAAACTACGTTGGCATTTCAGAAATCCCTTCCATGGCCAAAACTATTACCAAAGACTCGATCTATGACTCATTTGACAGAGAAGCCAAGGAAAAAAAGCTTGCTTGGCCCATTAACTCAAATCCACCAAATACTTTTGTCTAAGTTCTCATTCTTTCAATTGTTATGCACCAGAGATTAAAAAGCTTTAACTATAAAAACAGAAGCTATTTACATATTTGTTTTCACTCAACTTTCCAAGGGAAATGTTTTATTTTGTAAAATGCATTCATTTGTTTACTGTAGTTTTTGTGGGTTTTATTTTACTTGCTTTTTATGTTTTAGGAAAAGCGTTCACTTTGAACTTTAGCCAACAGTCCTTTTACTATTAATATATTAGTTACATGCATAAAAAAGAAAATGCTTTCTTACTATTTACTGTTGGTTCAAAAACATAAACCTAAGCCATACACACAGTCTTTGATTAATGATTCAATCTAGTTTTATTTTGTTTTCTTTTTCTCCTCCTTACTGAATTTTTATAACTATGGGCTTCAGTTCCAAATGAAATCCCCGTGTCACCTATCTCAGAGATTTATATTTCTTTCACTAAGCAACATTTAGGATGAGTTAATATTGTATAGGTTGTCACGTTACCTTCCTCCAAGTAACCACTAGCCAGATCTGCTATGGAAAGCACGCCATATATTGGAACTTGCTGGCAAGTCTTCTGTGGTTGGATTTTAATCAGGATTCTTAGGGGAAGAAAGCATACGAGTTGCTTAATTTCTCTTGCTCTTTCTCTTGTTTTTATCCTTCCTTAATCTAAGCAGCTGATGAAGCCTTGAAAAATGCAAAGTTAATGCAATGTTTTCCTCACACCTGTGTCCCATCTAGGCTGTGTCTAGGACATTCACCTCCCATTTTTGAGTTATATACAAGTAAATGAGCAGGTGCTGTTGCTAGCATATCTAAAAAATGCCAAAGACAGAAATGACAGATGGCATTTCTCTGTGCTCTGCAATTCAAGCCGAGACTTTCAGCTGCGCAGCACTACCCTATACACCAGGACAGCAAGGGCAAGGACTGTCTTCCTCATTCTTGTAGAAACTGGAGGCCATTTCTCTAGCCAGAGCCTGTTCTCCCTCATCTCTCTCCAGAGCACAGCACCATACCCTGGCCAACCTCAAACTCTTCTTTGCCTGTGATAACTAGGGAATTTTTTTCCTCTGGTTCCCAGATCTCCATTATTTCAAATCGAGGACCAGCCAGCACATTTAAAAAATGTTTTTATTTAAACAATAAAGGGTTTACAGACAAGACTGGTATGCATTTTCACGCCCTAGTTAACAAGAGCTGCAAATAATAACTCCAGTTGTTCAGCAATTCTACATGCATTATCTCCTTTATCCTCTCAATAATTCTGTGATATATTTATTATCATCCCTTTTATAGATGAGCAAACTGGAACTCAATAGTTATGTGACCTGCCCAAGTTGGAATGTGACAGAGCTGGTATTCAAACTCGAGCCTCTAACCGCATGTCTGTCTGTTGCTCTTTCCTTGACATTTCAGATGTCTCCCTAGACGACACGAGGCGCCAAACCCATCCAGGCCCTGAAGGGGCCTCCTGACCACTGCCTTGGTGGAAGTCAAAGGTCTAAGAGAATGTGGCCATTCTTTTTTCTTTTTTTAATTTTTTTTTTTTTTTTTTTTTGAGACAGAGTCTCACTCTGTTGTCCAGGCTGGAGTGCAATGGCGTGATCTCGGCTCACTGCAACCTCTGCCTCCCGAGTTCAAGTGATTCTCCCGCCTCAGCCTCCCAAGTAGCTGGGATTACAGGTGCCCGCCACCATGCCAAGCTAATTTTTGTATTTTTAATAGAGACGGGGGTTTCACCATGTTGGCCAGGCTGGTCTCGAACTCCTGACCTTAGGAGATCCGCCTGCCTTGGCCTCCCAAAGTGCTGGGATTACAGGCACGAACCACCGCACCTGGCCTCTTTTTTATTTTCAATTTTAAAAAATCAGCTGAATTTAAGGTTCACTGGTGATTCTTAAAAAGGGTCTAGTTGAAATGTAATGAGCTGGCCTTCACCTGTTCCTTGGCTGTAGCTAGGTTCTTGGACTTGTGCTGCGGAATGTTTGCAATAAGGAGGGAAACCTGTGCCTTCCTACCTCCCAGACACAGGGGAATGAGACAAGATTACGTTTTGATATTTGGAACAAAGAATAACAAAATATTTAATCTACAAAACATTTACAGAGCTGATGTTTTTAAGTTGAGATGCTTTGTTCAATTGCAGATTCCAAAGAGAGAAATAATATATCATATTTTTCTTTCTCCCTTTTCCCATCCTCCTCACATTCTTATCCCATCAGCAAATGGCTCTAAAACAGCAAAATGTGCCAGATATTTACCTCACTTAGCCCTTGAATTTCATGGTTCAGACTTGTTAAAA
Organism: Homo sapiens; assembly: GCF_000001405.40. Lineage (NCBI taxonomy): Eukaryota > Metazoa > Chordata > Mammalia > Primates > Hominidae > Homo > Homo sapiens. Next base: position 12,658,904 of record NC_000012.12, on the reverse strand, counting down.
TGTAGAAGAGATCCCTGCCGTAGTTTTATTGTCTTTTTAAGTGAAATATTATTTTTTCGAGTTACAGTGTGAAAAGTTTAATTTGTTTCCATTTTGTTTTTATATATTTATAGGTCTCGGTTTAAACTGAAAAGAATTACACTAGGTGATTTCTAAGCTCTATTGTGTCTAACGTTCTGGGAGTTTACTACAGTAGGTGGATATTCAGTGAGACAATGTGATACAAGCTCTTGTGTAAACAGTTTGTTTTTTTTTTCTTTTTGAGACAGAGTCTCGCTCTATCACCCAGGCTGCGGTGCAGTGGCACGATCTCAGCTCACTGCAACCTCCATCTCCCAGGTTCAAGCAATTCTCATGCCTTAGCCTCCCAAGCAGCTGGGCCTACAGCCATCACACCCAACTAATTTTTGTATTTTTAGTAGAGACAGTGTTTTCCCATGTTGGCCAGGCTGGTCTCAAACTCCTGGCTTCAAGTGATCCACCCGCCTCAGCATCCCAAAGTGCTGGGATTACAACACGAGCCACCATCCCGGCCAGAAGGTATTTTTTAATCCCCCAAATAATGACAAATTAAGAGTATTAAGTCACAGTCAAGAGAGCCCCAAAGTCGTGTGACCTGTATTAATTCAGCTATGTTCTCTCAGGGTGTTGGTAATTCACTGTATTTTTGTTTAGCTTAATATTCAGCATTCCTGGTGTTTCTCTTATCCTGAATTTGGAAGAGGCTTTACATAATGCACAGATGGATGAAAATTTGCTTAAGTCCCTCAACACAAGAACAGCATTCACTACATCTCACATTTACTCCACAAGAACCAGAATTAAGCCACAGGGAGACAATGAGGTGCACCACACACCCAGAATCATGTGGCCCTTCAAACAGGAGTACAAGAAAGGAAACAGTTGGAAGCAGGCTCCACAGTAGAGGCAGTTCTCCTACCTGGCTCCAGGTTCTCGTAAACCGTCGGTGAGGAGGGAAGGGACAGGGATGCATCCTTTGAGTGGAATCTGAATTCTCCCTTTCTTCTCATCTTCATCGAATACGTTAATGTCCAGCCTGCTGCTGAGTCAATAAGCACATCCTGCACAGATGCGCTTGCCTGTGAGCCTTTCATCACAGGCTTAGCCCCCATGCCCGGAGCTGATACCCCGGGCCAGACTTCTCCCTCAGGAATGACAATTTTGTCCTTGGTGGAGGCCCATCTCCACCAAGCATGTGGGGAGTGGAGTCGTTTGCCAGAGAGTGCTGGCAATTTCACCTCCCCCTGTGGGCACAGACCCTCTTCCGCCCTTCCATCTTTGCTGCCATTTGCACAAGCTCACTCTGAAGTCACATAACCAGGCTCAGCTGGGGAGACCTGACCAGGATCCGCTTCCAGGTTATGCTCCTCTAAAAACCATATGTAAAAGAAGCAAGGAATTAGACACTTTCAGAGCAGAAGGGATGTTGGGAGACCCAGGCCAAGCCCTTCATTAGTTAGAAGCGGAAATTGAGACCAAGAGATGTGAAGTTAGGGCTAACCTGCAATGTCCCCTACCCACCGGTTAAACTTTCTTTCTTTCTTTCTTTCTTTCTTTTTTTTTTTTTTTTTTTTTTGAGACGGAGTCTCCCTCTGTCCCCCGGGCTGGAGTGCAGTGGCGCGATCTCGGCTCACTGCAAGCTCCGCCTCCCGGATTCACGCCATTCTCCTGCCTCAGCCTCCTGAGTAGCTGGGACTACAGGCGCCCACCATCATGCCCGGCTAATTTTTTGTATTTTTTTTTTTTTATTTTAGTAGAGACGGGGTTTCACCGTGTTAGCCAGGATGGTCTCGATCTCCTGACCTCGTGATCCACCCGCCTCGGCCTCCCAAAGTGCTGGGATTACAGGCGTGAGCCACCGCGCCTGGCCTCAACTTTCTTTCAACTTTACCATTTGGCTTGCTGTGGCTTTATTTATATATTTATTTATTTATTATTATTCAAGATGGAGTCTCACTCTGTCGCCCAGGCTGGAGTGCAGTGGTGCAATCTCAGCTCACTGCAACCACCGCCTCCTGGGTTCAAGCAATCCTCCTGCCTCAGCCTCCCAAGCAGCTGGGACTACAGGCATGCGTCACCACACCCAGCTATTTTTTGTATTTTTAATAGAGACGGGGCTTCACCATACTGGCCAGGCTGGTCTTGAATTCCTGACCTCGTGATCCACCCACCTTGGCCTCCCAAAGTACTGGGATTACAGGCGTGAGCCACAGCGCCCGGCCTGATTCATTTATTTTTTAATACATTAGTTTTATTTATTCCTCAGCACTCTGGGAGGCCAGGCAGGCAGATCGCTTGAGCCCAGGAGCTTGAGACCAGTCTGGGCAACATAGTGAGACCCCTCATCTCTACAATTAGCCGGGTGTGGTGCGTGTGCCTGTAGTCCCAGCTACCCAGGAGGCGGAGGTTACAGCTGAGATCTGCCACTGCACTCATCTTGGCTCACTGCAACCTTCGCCTCCCAGGTTCAAGTGATTCTCCTGCCTCAGCCTCCTGAGTAGCTGGGATTACAGGCCCCGTGCCAACACGCCCTGCTAATTTTTTTGTATTTTTAGTAGAGACGGGGTTTCACCATGTTGGCCGGGCTGGATGTATTCGATTTTTAAAAATCCAAACTGTGTGCAGGAGAATATGAAAGGAATACATAAGCCTTCACTGTTCATTTAACCTGCTAATTCATCTGTGAAAATGATGACCTTAGAGTGCCATAATTAGAGAACAGTGGAAACAAACCGACTTCCTCTAACAGTTTTCCAGAATGACCGCTTGATGGCACTGTGACTTGTGGGCAGAGCCCACCACCTCTTCACGATGCCTGTCACACTGGCGAATTCAGGGAAGTCCTCGTCTCATAGCAACAAGACAGGGAAAATTGCTGAGCACCCAGAAGCAGCTGTAGATTAAGTAATCAATCAGTGTGTTCAAAACACAAAGCATTTAAACACTGGAGGAAATTCCAAAATAATACCCTTTTCAGACATGAAATCACTAGTCAAAATATTGTTTTAAACCCATTCTACAAATGTGATCATTTTCAAAAAACTCCATCAGACCACCAAGCTGGCATTAGTGCCACCCACACTTGCCAGGGCCTGTCTTTTCCTTTTCCGCTCTTTTCATCATTGACTCAGAGAATTCATGGACTTTTTCATCGCAGTGTATCTAGAGTTTCCCTACAAGTGAATGTTCATATGCTGCTGGTAAGCAGGCAGTTAAATGTATTTTAAAGTAAGCCCCTACAATCCGGGCCATTCTGAACTTTTTTGGACAATTGAACACTTCAAGAGCTCTATATTTTCTTTCTCAGAAGAAGCCTCTTTTATAAATATATATATATATTTTATTTTTTAGTAGAGATGGAATCTTGCTTTGCCGCCCAGGGTAGTCTTGAACTCCTGGCCTCAATGATCCTCCTGCTTTGGCCTCCCAAAGTGCTGAGATTACAGGTGTGAGCCACTGGCCTGGCCAGAAGAAGCTTCTTTAAAAGAATTGCTTTACAGACTCTCTGTGAACCCTAATTAAGTTCTATGTGTAGGGTTATGCAATTTGGATTCACCAATAATTTGAAGAATGTGTGAGTTTAGTTCCACAGAAGAAAGACCTCCAACAAATGCTGGGCTCTGCAGTGAGGAGTTCGCATGTATCTGGTTTGAGGATTATGATGCAGGTCTGGAGGTCTGGGAACATAGGCTGGTTCCCAGCAGGCAGTCAGGAAGGCAGTTCCAGTTATTTACCCACAACCCCTAGATATAGATTCAAACTCCTTGAGGGGAATTCTGAATGAATCCTCTCTATTCTGTTTCCCTGCAGTATCTTCCAAAGAACAGTCTCCTTTAAAAGACTACTGTACATTTGGCCAGCAGGACCCTGACTATGCTTGCTCAGGAAGGACAATAAGACCATAGCATAGACCGCTGGACAACAAAATAGTAGCTGTGAAGAGTTGCATGGTGGGGAGGATGGCAGCACAACAGCTGAGAAGAACGGATGGGTCTCTGCTCATCAGTCAAGGGTCATTTCACTTCCATGCTATCTGGTTCTCTAAGCAGATGCACTGCACTTGAATGACCCTTTACAAATCAGAAAAAAAAAAAAGGTACAAAACTCCAGTGAGATAGGCAGCCAGCACAGTTGTCCTTAGTTACAGAATAGTATAATGGTTATTTTCAAGGGCTCTGGAGCCAAACTTTTTGGGTCCATGTCCAGGTTCTGCTTACCAGCTATTTAAGCAAATTGTTCTCAGACCCCGCCTTCTCCATGATTAAAATGGGGGAAATAACAGAACTTACCCATATTAGGGTTCTCCAGAGAAACGGAACCAACAGGAAATATGCATAGATGATGGTTGGGTGGAGAGTTACTCTTAGGAACTGGTTCATGCAATTATGGGTGCTGCTGGCAAGGTTGAAATCTGTGGGGCAGGCCAGCAGGCAAGATTTGATGCTGCAGCCTTTGTTTGTTTATTTTTTGGAGACAGGGTCTCACTTTGTCACCCAGACTGGCTGGAGTACAGTGACACAATCTCAGCTCCCTGCAGCCTCAACCTCCCATGTTCAAATGATCCTCCTGCCTCTGCCCTCCAAATGTAATAGCTGGGACTACAGTTGCACACCACCATGTCCAGCTAATTTGTCTTGTTTTGTTTTGTTTTGGGGCTTTTTTTTTTTTTTGGCAGCTTAAAACCACACACATATATGATCTCATAGTTTCAGTGGGTCAGAAATCTGGACACAGTTTAACTGCTTAACAGTGAATCTTCTGATTCACAAGGCTGCAATCAAGGTGTCAACCAGGATGGGGTCTCATCTGAAGGCTCAACTGAGATAGGATCTGCTTTCAAGCTCATGTAGTTGTTATCAGAATTCAATTCATCAAGGGCCTCAGTCCCTTGCTGGTTGTTGGCCCTCAACTCCTTGCACATGGGCCTCTCCAGTATGGCAGCTTGCTTCATAAAGCATCAAACGAGAGGGGCTGCTATCAAGACAGAAGTTGCTATCTTATGTAACCTAAGCATGGAAGTGACATTCCATCACCTTTCCTGTGTTCTGTTGGTCAGAAGTGAGTTATAGCTCTTGCCCATACTCAAGGGGAGGGGCCAAGCAAGGGTGTGAATATCAGAGGCGGGGAAATGGGGGCCATTTTAGAGGCTGTCTGCCCCAACAAAATGACATGTGGTGAAAACTAAATCTGTCTCTTACCCTAGGCTTGTCTCCCAGTACCTCTCTCTAGAGGTAAAGGTTATTGAGTTTGTTGTTGTTGTTGTTGTTGTTGTTGTTTGTTTGTTTGTTTTTTGAGATGGAGTCTCGCTTGGTCACCCAGGCTGGGGTGCAGTGGTGTGATCTCAGCTTACTGCAGCCCCTGCCTCCCAGGTTCCAGTGATTTTCCTGCCTCAGCCTCCTGAGTAGACTAGCTGGGATTACAGGCATGTGCCACCACACCTGGCTAAGTTTTGTATTTTTTTAGTAGAGATGGGGTTTCACCATGTTGGCCAGGCTGGTCTCAAACTCCTGACCTCAGGTGATCCGCCCACATCGGCCTCCCAACGTGCTGGGATAACAGGCGTGAGCCACCATGCCTGACTGGTTTTGGTTTTGTAGAATGTTTACATCTTTGCTCATCTAGAATTAATTTTGTCAAAGGAAAGAAGTATTTAATTTAAAATGGGGGCCGGGTGTCGTGGCTCACGTTTGTAATCCCAGCACTTTGGGAGGCCGAGGCAGGCAGATCACCTGAGGTCAGGAGTTCGAGATCAGCCTGGCCAATATGGTGAAACCCTGTCTTTACTAAAAATACAAAAAATTAGCCGTGTGGTGGTGCACACCTGTAATCCCAGCTACTCGAGAGGCTGAGGCAGGAGAATCACTTGAACCTGGGAGGTAGAGGTTGCAGTGAGCCCAGATAGCATCACTGCACTCCAGTCTGGGTGACAGAGCGAGACTCCATCTCAATAAATGAATGAATAAATAAATAAATAAATAAATAAATAAATAAATAAATCAAATGGGAACTGGCCAGGCACAGTGGCTCACTGTGGATCACGCCTGTAATCCCAGCACTTTGGGAGGCCAAAGCAGGCAGATCACTTGAGCCCAGGAGTTTGAGACCAGCCTGGGCAACATGGCAAGACCCCATCTCTACAAAAAAATTAACTGGGTATGGTGGAGCATGCCTGTAGTCCCAGCTACTTGGGAGGCTGGGGTGGGAGGATCACTTGAGCCTAGGAGGCAAAGGTTGCAGTGAGCTGAGATCATGCCTTTCCACTCCAGCCTAGGCAACAGACCAGACCCTGTCTCAAAAAGAAAAAAAAAAAAAAAAAAAAAAAAGAATCAGCCTCTATAGTACTGAAGTATTTTTGAAATATATTTATTTCATTCAGGCCATGAAAGGACCTAACGAACCATCTCAGCTCAATATTTACATGTACCTCTTTGACAACTAGACTTTTGTATGCCATATTCATAGTCTCTTTCTGAAGAGTGCTGAATAAACTCTACCACCTTCTGACTCTTTTGATTTCCATTTTCTTTGTTCTGATCATCCTCCATCTAGTCATATATTCTCATAAGAGGGCAGAATTGGTTTGTACTTAATAAATTATATCACATTTAGGTATGCTTTCTTGAGAGTCTACCAAAGTCACCTTGATTGGAATTTAGGAAGTTCTACCAAAGCTCAGTCATTTGTTTACTGATGATCTCTGGTTTATTCCACAGTTAACTGCATTCATTTGTTGTGGTAGACATTGTTGGTTGTACTTCCTAACAGCCACTCCCTTCCTTGCCAACAGCACTGATTTTGTTCAGGTGTGAAGTAGCAATGAAGTCAAGGTTAGTTGGTTTTAAGGGATTAACTGTGTTTAAGCCAATCATGGCAATTCCATTCCCTCTTATCAGTGAATGGCTTATTGGTGTTCATCTAGCCCAAACTTCTGGCCAATGAGATGTAAAGATAAGTCTGTTGAGGGGGCATCTGGGAAAGGTTTTTCTCCCTGATAAGATGAAGTAGTGAGGCAGAAAAATAGGGTCTGGAGGCAGGGAACATAAGGCTGATTCACATTTCAGCTATGACAGGAAATATCCTCTCCATAGGGCATACACTGAGTAAATGACTTTGTAACTTTACTTCATCCTCTTCATTTACATAGGTCGTACCCCAAGTAGAGGGTATTTAAGCTCACAAAAACTCTGTTAACAGAGTCTTTGAGCCCCTGTGCACAGGCCCGCTCCCACACTGTGAAGTGTACTTTCATTTTCAGTAAAACCCTTCATTCTTTCCTTGCTTTGTTTGTGCGTTTTGTCCAATTCTTTGTTCAAAACGTCAAGAACCTGGAGACCCTCCACCATTAACAGTAGCAAGAAAAAACTCCTTTTCCTCCTTAGATCATGGTTGTGAGAGTGATGCCTGGAGCAGTTGTCTTACAACCATGAGTGGGTAAGCTGAGGGTGACAGCCAATCTGCAGAGGATGGTGGAGCAGAAGGAAGGAAAGATTCTGGGTTTTTAATGTCATTTTTTTTTTTAAGTAAAAGCAAGTTTATTAGGAAGGTAAAGAATAAAAGAATGAACTGGGCACGGTGGCTCACACTTGTAATCCCAGCACTTTGGGAGGCCGAGGCGGATGGATTCCTTGAGGTCAAGAGTTTAAGACCAGCCTGGCCAACATGGTGAAACCCCATCTCTACTAAAAATACAAAAATTAGCTAGGCATGGTGGCGGGCACCTGTAATCCCAGCTACTTGGGAGGCTGAGGCATGAGAATCACTTGAACCCAGGAGGCAGAGGTTGCAGTGAGCTGAGATTGCGCCACTGCACTCCAGCCTGGGCAACAGAGCGAGACTCTTCCTCAAAATAAGAAAAAAAAAGAATAAAAGAATGGCTACTCCATAGACAGAGCAGCCCAAGGGCTGCTGGTTGCCCATTTTTGTGGTTATTTCTTGATTATATGCTAAATAAGGGGTGGATCATTCATGCCTCCCCTTTTTAGATCATATATGGTAACTTCCTGACTTTGCCATGACATTTGTAAACTGTTTAATGACATTGTTGAGCCACTGTAGTCCTCAGACTTATTATGTGAGATAGGTCTTTATTATTTGTCAATTTTAGTTGTGTATTCTTTACTTGCAGCCAAGAGATTCCTAACTGATATCCCATCTTTATGCCATATATGTTATCCCATGATGTACAATTGGCTCATACACACTTGCAAGAGCCAATCCTAAATTTTCAAAAACTTTGGGAGCTGGTTAAGAACACAGTAGCTTGAAACCAACTATGGTGGGAATATTTCCACCCCAGAAATTGGCAAATACTACAAATTAGGCCTCCCCTCAACCAAGCGTCAGGTGTTAAACATCTATCAGTACACAACTGGTTACATTTTTTACTAAAAAAAAAAAAAGCTCCTAAAAAGTCATGTTTACTTAAAATGATATTGGCACATATCAGACTTGTAGAGCCATTCTGTTTTCATCTAACCTAATAACAAATGGATAAGCACATTTTAGCTTGATGTTTTGTGTCACCTCCAGTCACATAATGGTATGCCTAATGATCTGAAAACATTAATTTCACTAAGCGTGGTCATTTAAAGGAAGCTGGGAATGGTAGCTCACACCTGTGATCCCAGCACTTTGGGAGGCCGAGGCAGGAGGATTGCTTGAGGCCAGGAGTTCAAGACCAGCCTGGGCAACATAACAAAATATCTCTACAAAAATTTTTTTTAAAAAATCAGCCAGTTATTCCCAGCATATCCATAATAGAAATTAAAAAGAAAAAAGTAGCCAGGTGTGGTGGCACACACCTGTAGTCCCAGCTACTTGGGAGGCAGAGGTTGGAGAATCACCTGAGCCCAGGAGGCAGAGGTTGCAGTGAGCCGAGATCATGCCACTGCACTCCAGCCTGAGTGACAGAGCAAGACCTTGCCTCGAAAATAGTAATAAATAAAAATAAAGGAACCCTGTGATGAGTCCCATGTATTTGGAACCATCTTCCCCAATTTCCTACTTCAAATATATCTAGCTGGTTACCCCTGTATCATCTAAAATGAGTTATCATCTCCTGAGCCCAGATTTATTATGGTTTGTTTCTTACACTAGTCTGTATTCTTCTGATTTGTGCTGAAGTCTCCCTTCTCCCCACTATTTCAGGAAGAGGACTGTTGCACTACAGTCAGCTTTAAAGACATTTTATTGGTTATTGCTAGGTAGATTTCTTACTCTGCCTGGTTCAAAAGGCTCATGGGCACATGGGTTTTTCTTTTTTTGTCTGGAGTGGCAAAAAGGTGAGGTTACTCCAACAAGAAAACAGGCATTGCCAGCTTTCATCTTTGCTTTGGCTCCTGATATGATTTGGATCTGTGTCCCCACCAAATCTCATGTCAAATTGTAATCCCCAGTGTTGGAGGTGATGTCTGGTGGGAGGTGACTGGATCATGAGGGCAGAGTTGCACCATCCCCCCTTTGGTACTGTATAGTGTGAGTTCTCACAAGATCTGGTTGATTTAAAAAGTGTGTAACATCTTCCCCACCCCTTTGGTCCTGCTTCTGCCATGTAAGACACCTGCTCCTGCTTTTTCCTGAGGCTTCCCCAAAAGCAGATGCTGCCATGCTTTCCATACAGCCTATGGAACCATGAGCCAATTGAACCTCTTTTCTTTATATATTATCCAGTCTCAGGTATTTATTTATAGGAATGTGAGAACAGACTAATACAGAAAATTGGTACCAGAAGTGGGGTATTTCTATAAAGATACCTGAAAATGTGGAAGCAGCTTTGAAACTGGGTAACAGGCAGATGTTGGAAGAGTGTGGAGGGCTCAGAAGAAGACAGAAAGATGAGAAGGTTTGGAACTTCCTAGAGACTTGTTAAATGGTTGTGACCAAAATGCTGATAGTGATATGGAACAGAGATGGCCAGGCTGATGACATCTCAGACAGAGATGAGGAACTTAACTGAGAACTGGAGCAAAGATCACTTTTCCTATGCTTTAGCAATGAATTCGGAGGCATTGTGCTCCTGCCTTAGGTATATGTGGAACTTTGAACTTGAGAATGATGATTTAGGGTATCTGGCGGAAGAAGTTTCTAAGCAGCAAAGCATTCAAGATTTAGCCTGGCTGCTTCTAACAGCATATGCTCATGTGCATGAGCAAAGAAATGACATAAAACTGGAACTTATATTTAAAAGGGAAGCAAAGCATAAAAGTTTGGGAAATTTGTAGCCTGGCCATGTGGTATAAAAACAAAGCCCATTTTCAGGGCAGGAATTCAAGCCCACTGCAGAAATTTACTTAGTAAAAAGCAACCAATTGCTGATAGTCAAGACAATGAGGTTAAGCCCTCAAGACATTTCAGAGATCTAAGAGACAGCCTCTCCCATCACAGGCCCAGAGGCCTAGGAGGATTGAATGGTTCCATGGGCCAGGTCCAGGGCCCTGTTGCCCTGAATAGCCTCAGGACTCTGCTCCCTGCATCCCAACCACTCCACCTCCAGCTATGGCTCAAAGGTGTCTGGATACAGCTCAAGCTGGTGCTTCAGAGGGTGCAAGCCATAAGCCTTGGCAGCTTCCACATGGTGTTAAGCCTGCAGGTGCACAGGGTGCAAGAGTTGAGACTTGGGAGCCTCTGCCTAGATTTCAGAAGATGTATGGAAAAGCCTGGATGTGCAGGCAGAAGCCTGCTGTAGGGGCAGAGCCCTCATGTAGGGTACTGAGGAGGGAAAGTGTGGGGTTGGAGCCCCCACAGAGAGTCCCCACTGGGGCACTGCCTGGTGGAGCTGTGAGAAGAGAGCCACCATCCTCCATACCCTGGAATGGTAGAGCCACCAACAGCTTGCACCATGCACCTAGAAAAGCCACTAGCACTTAACACCAGCCCATGAGGGCATCCATGGAGGCTGAACCGCAGGGGCAGAGCTGCCCAAGGCTTTGGGAGCCCACCCCTTGCACCAGTGTGCCCTGGATGTGAGACATGAAGTCAAAGGAGATTTTGGAGCTTTAAGAGTTAATGACTGCCCAGCTGGGTTTCAGACTTGCATAGGGCCTGTAGCCCCTTTCTTTTGGTTGATTTCTCCCTTTTGGAGTGGGAGTATTTACCCAATACTTGTACCTCTTTTGTATCTTGGAAGTAACTAACTTGTTTTTGACTGTACAGGCTCATAGGTGGAAGGGACTTGTGTTGTCTCAGATAAGACTTTGGACTGTGGACTTTTGAGCTAATATTGGAATTAGTTGAGACTTCGGGGGGCTACTGAGAAGGGGATGATTATACTTTGCAATGTGAGAAGGACATGAGATTTGGAGGGGCCAGGGGCAGAATGATATGGCTTGGATCTGGTCCCCACCAAATCTCATATCAAAATGTAATCCCCAGTGTTGGGAGGTGGGGACTGGTGGGAGGTGACTGGATCATGAGGGTGGAGTTCCCATGAATGGTTTAGCACCATCCCCCTTTGGTGCTGTATAGTGAGTGCTCACAAGATCCGGTTATTTAAAAGCGTGTGGTACCCCCGATCCCTGGTCCCAATGCTGCCATGCAAGATGCCTGCTCTCACTTTGTCTTCCATCATGACTGTAAGTTTCCTGAGGCCTCCCCAGTCATGCTTCCTGTACAGCCTGCAGAACCACATGTGAGCCAATCAAACCTCTTTTCTTTATAAACTACCCAGTCTCAGTTTTTGTTTTTTTTTTTTTTTTTTTTTTTTTTTTTTGAGACAGAGTCTTGCTCTGTTGCCCAGGCTGGAGTGCAGTGGTGTGATCTTGGCTCACTGCAAGCTCTGCCAGTTATTTCTTTACAGCAATGAGAGAATGGACTAATATAGCCCCCATATGAACTATCTTCCTCCTTCTGAAAGAAGGCTTGGCCATCTTTTGGTTTTCTTTCTTCCTTACTTTTTCAACATTCTCTCTCTTCCTTTGTGGCAGCTGAGGCCTGTCCTGGCCTGAGAATGAGCAGGTTTAGAGGTATCTATTTATTGCCACAAGTCTTGTACAAACTTTTCTTGTGGTGCTGACAAGCATGGTCTCTGTTCCATTTAAGAGGTAAGATCTGAAACTCAGTGTGGGCTTGGGACAGCCTTTTGGCCTATTTCATTCTGTACTATTCAAGCCTACCTAGCTTAGGCACATGTGTTGTCACATCCAGCCCATGGACTTGATTACACAAGGGGATAAACCTGGACTCAGGTTTATAATGTGCTTGCCAGGCACTGCTGTCCTTCTCAGGAAAGGGTTGCCGAGGCATAGTAAGATTGGATTGGGATCTGTTGGATCATGGGAAAATTTTCCTGCCCAAATATTTATCTTACTGCAAAGTCAAAATGGCCTGTAAGCCAGAGTTCACTGTCCAGCTCCAGCCCTCCTCAATCCAGGAGTGTCTGGTGAACTGTATCACAACACAGTAGGTGTATTAGTTGTGCCTGCTTTTATGCTAAGGCTTAAGAATTCAGCTGATTCGGCTGGGCGTGGTAGCTCACTCCTGTAATCCCAGCACTTTGGGAGGCCAAGGCAGGCAGATTACCTGATGTGAGGAGTTCAAGACCAGCCTGTCCAGCAATGGTGAAACTCCATCCCTACTAAAAATACAAAAAATTAACTGGGCGTGGGGGCGCATGCCTGTAATCCCAGATACCCAGGAGGCTGAGGCAGGAGCATCACTTGAACCCGGGAGGTGGAGGCTGCAGTGAGCTGAGATGGCACCACTGCACTCCCGCCTGGGTGACAGAGCAAGACTCCATCTCAAAAATAGTAATTCAGCTGATTCACTTCCTAGTCATTTCTAGAGTTGGACTGTGTATTTTTCTGTGACCCGTAACAGTTTCTGAGTCAGAACTACCATATGTCTGTGAACCAATCTGAATTTGATACGGACAACTCCAAGCTGCCTACAGCTTTATAAAAAGAGTTCTTCCAGGTCTATGTGTCCTTTAATCATACACATTTTAGGACTCCAGTGTGCCTGCTCTGGGAAATGCAATGCTAGCCTACATCGGGCCTTTTTCAGTGGTGTGTTAGAAACTGACTGAGGGGGTGGGGGATCCACAATTTGCAGCATTTACTAACTTCTATGATACAAATACTCCTACCATTGTCCATTAAAAGCTACCAACCTGATGTCACTGAACATCAAGTTGGGAAGAGATGCACACAATTGGTTCTCCTCTGGGGAGCCAGCAAAAGCCAGCTGCAACACACCACGGCTTTGCACATTTTTAAAAAGGCACCCCCTGGTGGATGTATTAAGACAGGTATCCCCTTTGGGCAAATTAGAAAAAGACACCTCTTCTGGGGAGACCTGTGCCACATGTACACCTTGGTGAGAAGGCAAGAGCCCCTTCCTCCACACGTAGCTTGTTGAGGGGAATGTGAACTAGATTTTAAAGTCCATTCGCCTCCTTAACTATGTACTTTTGTGCAGTGCAAAATCAGCACAACTTTACAAGGCAGTCCTGCCACTGATTCATGACCATCGTGTAGTTAAATAAAACGGATGGAATAGAAGACAGCCAAGTTACCTAGCAGCCTGAAAGACTACTTTATGTGGATAATTATAGGATGATATTGCCAGTTGAAGTATTAGTTGTTCTTAAAATTAGTCTAATTAATAGAAGGCTATTATTGATAAAAAGGGCCCCCGACTATACCATTCCGAAGATAGACATGATATAGCTAAAAAGACTTGGGAAATGTGATACCTACAGTACCACATATTTAGAGTCCAACTCATTAAATATATTGATCTTTAGTGACTTAAATGCTAACAATAGTCAAACACAGGCATAATGTGAATATTTAAATTTAATGTAGTTCTTCCCTATTTAACAGTTTTCTGTAACTCCTATTTAGCCTACCAATTACCCTGTGAAAGTTATCCTCCCCCCTTTTTTACAGATGAGAAAGCAGGCTGAGAGATCAAATAACTCAAGGTGACTCAGAAAATAATTCAAGGTGACTCCTCCTTTTAAAACTAAATATGTAATGGATAATATGCAACTGATTTCTTGTGAAATATAACATTTATGTTTTTAGATTTTCTTTGCCTTTAACTCAAGCTAAGTCCAGTTTAAACCTGTACTTTTTGTAATTAGCCAAATCAAATGATCATAATTCAAAGATGCTAAAACAGAATGCTACATAGTGATGCTGAGAAATACTGTCAATTAGCCAGCAAACAGTAATCTGAATTTGCGCAGGATGATCATTCTAATTTAGATATAATGGAAAGATTTTAGATAAAATAGAAAACTTTTTAAAGAAATTCAACTATATCCTAAAACTTGACCTGGTCAAACTTATTCCATATTATATTCAGTTGCTCTAATATACAGCAGGTTGATACTAAAATAATGACAGAATTTGGCTGGTCTAAACATACAAATATATTTTCCCCCTTTTCTTTCTTTGGGAAAATAAGAAAAAAAACATTACTCTGTTTACTCAGAAAGCAAGGAGAGCAGCACCTTCTCCTGGACTCCGTGACTGTCAGCCATCTTGTCATCACAAAAAGGTGAGGGGTGCCAGGATTTCACTATGCTGCTCCTTCACTGGAAAGGGAAGGAAATGCTCCAGCTGTTTTAATCAGTGACATTTATTAACATGCTTCAAAAGTGACCAAAGTGTCCAGCCAGCACAATAGCCGAGGCAATCAACGTTCTCTTAGTGTGTGATCTCCTCCAAAACACCAAATAAATAGGTTTAGGAATAACCTCAAATAAATTGTAATTTAACTTCGCCCAAAATTATACATCCTCTACTGCTCTTCCCTGCTCCTGTAAAGATACTAGCGGGAGGGGAGAAAGCTCAAATGACTCTGTAATTTAGAATTACAACCAGAGAAGAAATACTTCAAGCACAATAAAGACGTTCCATTGAAGAGCGACATTCATTCTGGAATGTTTGTTTTGAAAACAACTCTTCTGGGGGAATTCAAAAGGTACTGAACAAAGCAACATAAAGTAAGTTTTGGGTTGTTTTGCAAAATAAAAATATACAATTGAGTGGACCAGATGGCAAAAACATACCAATTACAATCTGAATGCTATATTTAAAACCCTTAAATTCTGAAGGCCTGAATATCAACAAACCTATTTATGTTTATGATCCTAAAAAGACATTAAATATTATTAAACCCCCAACTTCCAAAACATAGAGACCCAGCAAACTGGGCTAGTGGTATCTCAGTACACAGTCACACATGACTAGACTAGACTAGACTAGACTAGACTAGAGATCTGAGTTTGCAACCAAGTACAAGAGGTCTTTAGGAGCTCAGGCTAAGGGAGGCACTTTATTCAAATGCATGGCCTGAGAGAAGAGGGAAAGTACCTTGTAATCTTAAACTATGTGGTCCATCATATATTCTACCTCAAAGACAATCTAGACTACGGTATCTCCTCTTAAACTGCCAGTTCAGAACAAAATATACTTTATTTGGAAGCTAAATATTTGCTTCACTCAAGTGAAGAATAATTTAGCAGCGACAGAGAACACAACTCCTGTTTTAACCATGGGAAAGAGAAGAGAGAGTGGTAAGTATCTCGCTGGGGAAATCAAAAGATTTCTGGGTCTGTCTGGGTGTATCATATTATGAGCTTGATTCTTCAACCGTCACTCCATTTGGTAGTCAGGGAGAAAGTAAGTGTAGCTGCAAGGGGAAATGGAAAGAACTACCCTGCCCTTCTGCACCCCCAGCCAGGCCCACTAGCTGCGGTGCTGTGCACAACTCCAGTTCCAATGCTTCCCTCCACAGTGGAGGCATATCCAGGGCTGAACCAGATGCACGCCCACAGTGTGTTTCTGGCTCAGAGCCTGTCAGGAAATTCATGTCTGGGAAGAAACTAAGTGTTCTGGTGATGGCTACAGTCAGTAGATCTACCAGCAATTTGTCCCTTTTTTTGTTTCAGATTTTAAGGCAGAAACTCAATCTCAGCAGCTAATTTCATCCAATTTTCTTCAGAAACATTCTCCAATTTAGTTGAGTACGCAAGAAAAGTGTGTGAACATTCACTCCTGTCCTCCCCACATACATATATAGACATACAATAAGAAACATACATACATATATACCCTAGATTGTCAATGTATGCTGCTGAAATGCCTGAAAGGTTACTTTTCACTTAAAAATAAAATTTGATGAATTATTCTGCAAGTATGGATTTGGCCCTAGCAAATTTTTATAAATATAGTTTGAGAGGACAGCAACAAAGGTTTTAACTAGAAGCTGTCTTGAGGGTTTTCCTGATAGATATTGTTAATATGTATGTTATTTAAAACAGGCATATCCTTATGGATTATAAAAATAGAAATGTATATATTTGTTAATACATATTCACAGCTTATGCTGGAATGGCTCACAGGAGAAATCATGGTTCATGCAGAGAATAAACATTACTCAAGTAAATAAAAATAAGATTAGGTCCATAAAGGCTGAGAACTTATAGTCAGTAATCAGCTCATTTGGTTTCTCTTTGTAGGGCAATCAAAAACATGAAAGGTGGTGACACATAAAACACACACAGACATACAATTACATGAATTACATGGAAAGAATATAAATTAACCAATAAAGCAATGTGGAGTTAAGGTGCAAAAATACAATCTTCATCGATTTTCTCTACTCCTGTGTTTTCAAGCATCACAACATGTTAAATGTCATGGGTGGCAATACCAACCCAGACAGGTCTGAATGTTTGTAGATTTTCTAAGTGTTGAAAGTTAAAGCAAGATCCTTTGAGATCTACGATCACACATTTTGGTAGAAATTGCAGATTTACAGAGATGACTACTGAGCAGTAGGTAGTAAATGGAGCCAAGAAGTACACTCTTGCCCATCCATCTTCCATGGGAATCAGAATATTGGCTTCAATCACTGACTCATCTTTATATAATCTTCACCCTGAAAAATAAAAGTTACCAATGTAAGAATGTTTTTAGAGTCAATAAAGTTTGATTAATCTGTTTTAAGATGCATAAATTTTTTTTTTCAGTTTAGTATCTTCAGTAAGGCTAATTTTTAAAAATACAGACTAAAAAAAAGCTGATTTGGCTTTTTTCCATTAATTTAATTTAGATGAAGCCAAATGTTTTAATTTTTAAACATTTCAGTAGCTTTTGGGGTAGAAGTGGTTTTTGGTTACGTGGGTGAATTGTATAGTGGTGGAGTCTGATATTTTAGTGCACTTGTCAACCTAGATGAAGACAAATGTTATCTAATAAAAGTTATCAAAAAGCCGATTTCTTCAATTTTGTAAAAAATACTGAAAACATAAGAAGTTTGTTCTAGATGGGCGTGGTAGCTCACACCTGTAATCCTAGCACTTTGGGAGGCCAAGGCGGGTGAATTACCTGAAGTCAGGAGTTCAAGACCAGCCTGGCCAACATGGTGAAACCCTGTCTCTACTAAAAATACAAAAAATTAGCCGGGTGCAGTGCCATACACTTGTAACCCCAGCTACTTGGGAGGCTGAGGCAGGAGAATCGCTTGAACCTGGGAGGCAGAGGTTGCAGTGAGCCAAGATCGTGCCACTGCACTCCAGCCTGGGTGACAGAGCGAGACTTCTTCTCAAAAAAAAAAATATTGAAACATTGTTCTGTGCTCCCAGAGGTTGACCTAAAAAAAAAAAAAATAAAAAAAAATAATAATAATAATAATAATAATAATAAAGGTTTGTGACATTTCTTTATAGCTATTTAAAGTGCTCCCAGAGCAATCACAATAATGAAGAAATCAACATAGGACATATTCATTTTAAAGTCTTTCCAGTTTCTTCAACAAATGTTGCTTGGACAACTAGATACTCACATGCAACATATGGACTCCCACTTTATACCATATAGAAAAATTAATTCAAAATGGATCAATCACCCAAATAAAAGAGTTAAAACCATAAAATTCTTAGAAAACATGAGGCAGGTAAATCTTCATAACTGTGCATTTGGCAATGGAGTCTTAGATATGACACCAAAAGCATGAGTAACAAAAAAACAAAAATAGATAAATTGGACTTCACCAAAATTAAAATATTTTGTGTATCAAAGAACACTATCAACAAAGTGAAAAGAAGCCTAGAGAAGGGGAGAAAATATCTGCAAATCATGTATCTGATAAAGGTTTTATAACCACAATAAAGAACTCTGTTGCGGAAACTCAGGGACCCTGAACAGAGGGACCGGCTGGAGCCGCGGCAGAGGAACATAAATTGTGAAGATTTCATATTAATATGGACATTTATCTGCTCCCAAATAATACTTTTATAATTTCTTATGCCTGTCTTTACTTTACTCTTAATCCTATTATCTTCGTAAGCTGAGGATGTATGTCACCTCAGGACCACTGTGATAATTGTGTTAACTGTACAAATTGATTGTAAAATGTGTGTTGGAACAATATGAAATCAGTGCACCTTGAAAAAGAACAGAATAACAGTGATTTTTATGGAACAAGGGAAGAAAACCATAAGATCTGACTGCCTGCTGGGTCAGACAAAAAGAGCCATATTTCTCTTCTTGCAGAGAGCCTATAAACGGACATGCAAGTAGGAAAGATATTGCTAAATTCTTTTCCTAGCAAGGAATATTAATATTAATACCCTGGGAAAGGAATGTGTTCCTGGGGGGAGGTCTATAAACAGCCACTCTGGGAAATGTCTGTCTTGTGCAGTTGAGATAAGGACTGAGATACGCCCTGGTCTCCTGCAGAACCCTCAGGCTTACTAGGGTGGGGAAAAACTCTGCCCTGGTAAATTTGTGGTCAGACCGCTTCTCTGCTCTCAAACCCCGTTTTCTGTTGTTTAAGATGTTTATCAAGACAATATGTGCACTGCTGAACATAGACCCTTATCAGTGGTTCTGCTTTTGCCCTTTGCCCTGTGATCTTTGTTGGACCCTTATCAGTGGTTCTGCTTTTGCCCTTGTCCTGTTCCCTCAAAAGCACGTGATCTTTGTTAGACCCTTATTAGTGGCTCTGCTTTTTGCCCTTTGAAGCATGTGATCTTTGTGCCTACTCCCTGTTCTTACACCACCTCCCCTTTTGAAACCCTTAATAAAAACTTGCTGGTCTGAGACTCAGGCGGGCATCACGGTCCTACCGATATGTGATGTCACCCCTGGCGGCCCAGCTGTAAAATTCCTCTCTTTGTACTGTCTCTCTTTATTTCTCAGTTGGCCGACATTTATGGAAAATAGAAAGAACCTACATTGAAATATTGGGGGCAGGTTCCCCCAATAGAACTGTTACCACTCAACAACAAAAACAACCTAATTAAAACATGAGCAGGGGACCTAGACATTTCCCCAAAGAATACATACGAATGGCCAACAAGCATAGAAAATATGTTCAGCATCATTAGGCATTAGGGAAATGCAAACCAAACACAATGAGATACCACTCCATACCCATTAGGATGGCTATAGTTTTAAAAAATGGAAAATAAGTTGATGAGATGTGGACAAATTGGAGCAGACATACATTGCTGGTGGGAATGTAAAATGTTTCAGGTACTGTGGAAAACAGTTTGACTATTCCTCAAAAATTAAACACAGAATTGTCATATGACCCAGCAATTTGACTCCTAGGTATACATACAAATGAATTCAAAACAGGTATGAAAACAAATACCTATATGCACATGTTCACAGCAGTACTACTCACAATATCTAAGAGGTAAAAACATATGTCCATCAAAGGATAAACAACTGTATATATATAAATATTATTTGACCATAAAGAGGAATTAAATACTGATGATACATGCTACAATGTGGATGAACCTCGAAAACATTATACTAGGTGACAGAAGCCAGACCCAAAAAGTCACATACTGTATAGACTCCAGGTATATAAAATATTAATATACAGAATAGGTAAATCCATAGAGACAGAAAGTAGATTCATGGTTGCCAGGGGTTGGGGGAAGTGGGTAATGGGGAATAACTGCTTAATGGGTTCAGGATTTTCTTTTGAGGTGATTAAAAGTTTCATAACTAGGTAGACATAATGGTTGCACAACATTGTGAATGTACTAAATGGCTCTCAATTTTTATGTTATGTGAATTTTACCTCAATTAAAAACAATCCTTACGATGATGGGCTACTGCACTAGACAGCCTGGATTAGGTGAGGACAGGTTCTACCATTAAAGCTGTGTGACCTTGGGCACCTTAGCCAGCCTTTCTGCTATTTTTTCATCTATAAAATAAGTATAATTCCTTAACACAATCAATGGAGGGAATATTTAAGATAAATATAAATGAAAGTACTCTGTAAACTGTAAATCAAAATACAAATAAAAGGTATTATTATTAACAAAAAGCTAGATTCGTGCCACTCCCATTTATGGACTAAGTCTATTAATAATAAAATTTCGATAAATTTATCAGTTGCTCTTTATAGACTCCATGTAAAATGCATTTTAATATTTAGAATCTAAGCCATTTCTCTTTTTCTTTTTTTTTGAGACGAGGTCTCACTCTGTCGCCCAGGCTGGAGTGCAATGGCATGATCTTAGCTCACTGCAACCTCCATTTCCCAGGTTAAAGCAATTCTTGTGCTTCAGACTCCTGAGTAGCTGGGATTACAGGCGCACACCACTGCGCCTAATTTTTGTATTTTTAATAGAAATGGGGTTTCACCATGTTGGCCAGGGTGATCTCAAACTCCTGGCCTCAAGTGATCTGCCCACCTCAGCCTCCCAAAGTGCTGGGACTACAGGCATAAGCCACCACACCTGGCCAGAATCTAATGCCATTTCATTTGCTTATTAGTGTATTAAAAATGGCATCAACATTTTATTTAAAGACATACTAAGAAAAGTGGTCAACAGAAACCCTACCCTGAGATACCCTACCTTGAGATACCCTCTTTTTGTTCCCCCCTTTTGAGACAGGGTTTCATGATCATGGCTCACCGCAGCCTCAACATCCCTGGGCTCAGGTGATCCTCCCACCTCAGTCTCCCAAATAGCTGGGATTACAGGCATGCACCCCCATGCCCAGCGAATTTTTGTATTTTTTTGTAGAGATGGGGTTTTGCCATGTTGCCCTGTCTGGTCTTGAACTCCTGGGCTCAAGCGATCTGCCCACCTCGGCCTCCCAAAGTGCTAGGATTACAGTCATGAGCCACTGCGCCCAACCGAGACACTCTCTTAAATATAAATTCTCCCATTGATGGCACTTACAGGAATTGCTATTAGCATCTGTCTTCCCAGCCTTGGTATGCCTGCTTGAGTTCTGCTGAGATTTGTTCTGCTCTTCTCCAGTGAGTAGGGCCTTTATTTCAGAAGGGATTTTTCCTTGGTCCATTGCCATGCACCACTGCTTGTACTGAAACATATTTAATTTTAAATATAAATATAAATTTAAAACATATTTAAATTAACTTTTACTTGTCAGAGTTCAGGAACCACTGGTAGAAATCCTAGACATAGGAACTCCCATGGCTAGAGGTCACGTTCGCTGCTGGGAATCCCACCCTCCATGGTATTACCTATTTATAACTGAGGACATGTACGAGATCTGCCATCTTTCAGAAGAGGCGGAAAAACTGCTGCTGAATTGTCTTTGATGTACTGGAGTGTTGCTCAGATTTAAAAGGCCCCTGTGGTTAAAAGGACATCTCCCCACAGTGTGCCACTAGTTAGAATTAATCTTTTTTTTTTTAATAATTGTCACAGTATTATTTCTACTCCCAAAATAAAGAAATAAATGTTAGTAATTTCCTTTCTCTCTTTAACAAGTGATCATTAAACATCTACTATCTACCAGAGTGCATGCTAGGGACTTTGGGGGTATACAAAGACAAAGCTGACCAAAGATTCTGCCCTCAAGTGGCTTACACTGCAGAAAGTAAGAAATAATTGATAGCATGTCACATTCAACATATCAAAAAAATCTACTGAATAGCATATATCTGGACAATATATACAACACTGTTCATGTCCCTCCTCTTCATGTTCCAACCTTGTTGTCTTACTTTCTAAAAACCTGTAGAAGCCTGTCCCAGTTGTGTAATGATCACAGTAATATCATCTCTCTCTTCTGTCACTTCCTCCCTCAGCTCACAATAATGGAGTTTCAATTCTGTTTTATCTACTCTCTTTCACATTTTTACAGCCACTGCCCAAAGGCTGAATGGATGAGTGAATAAAACATGTAAAATAAACAAAATCACTTGGCTGGGTGCAGTGGCTGATGCCTGTAATCCCAGCACTTTGGGAGGCCAAGGCGAGTGGACCATGAGGTCAGGAGATTGAGACCATCCTGACTAATGCAGTGAAACCCCATCTCTACTAAAAATACAAAAAAAATTAGCCGGGCATGGTGATGGGCACCTGTAGTCCCAGCTACTCAGGAGGCTGAGGCAGGAGAATGGCGTGAACCTGGGAGGTAGAGCTTGCAATGAGCTGAGATCGCGCCCTGCACTCCAGCCTGGGCGACAGAGCAAGACTCTATCTCAAAAAAATAAAAAATAAAAAATAAAAATAAATAAATAAAGTCACTTAAACACAAATGGTATGCTATGCATAGTTACATATTGTTATATTGCTTTGTCTACTTAGCAATATATTGTATCTTTCTACATCAGTAAATATATGTGCATTGTGATTTTTACTGGCTACGAAGTAGTCTAATACATGGATGTAGTAACATTTATTTAACCAGTCCTTTATTATTGTCCATCTGGGTTATTTTCCATTTTCTTCTCTCATAAACAATCCCTTAGTGTTAACAGTCACGTACACTCTGCTCCCACCAGCAGTGTATGAAGATGCCTATTTGCCCCCATCCTGGCTAACAGATTAATATTCTCTCCAATGTTTGCCAACTGGACAGGTGATAACTGGTATTTTCGTATTTTAATGTATTATTTATTTGACTGTTAAGGTGATTTTTTCATGTGTTTACTGACGATTTCTTACCATTTCCAGTTCCTCTCTGAGGGCACATATAGCTCTTTCTCGACTGGATACCAACTCTTCCAAATACTGATATCTCAGCTTTTTTCGGGCTCGGCATTCTCTTGCACTCTGCCGGCTCCTCTCAAGTTTTGCTTTCAAGTCAATTTTGGCTGGCTTCCGACCACGTTTACCGGGCTTCTTTACTTTGCCTCCAACCACCTTCAGCAAGCGAGAGAAGAAATAATTTTTTCCTTAGTTCTGTGTACAGAAAAGTGAATATGGCTGCATATTAGCAAAGAGAACATTTATAAACAAAACGTGAGTGAAGCCCTACGGAACTAAGAAAGCATAATCCCATCAAATGCCTTCTGGGTCTTTCCCTAATTTATTTTCTGACACTTTTGAAACCATGAATGTGAAAGAAGAAATAATATACATTTTTATTATTTATTTGATAATAAAGTTTAAATAGCTCACCAGTAAACTTTACAAACCATATGGAGATAATAAAAACTTTATTTATTTATTTATTTAGCTCACCAGTAAACTTTACAAACCATATGGAGATAGATAAGAAAAATGTCTACTAAATATTTTGTTCATGACAATTTTTTTTTTTTTTTTTTCCAGACAGGGTCTCACTCTGTCACTCAGGCTAGAGTTCAGTAGTACAATCATGGTTAACTGCAGCCTTGACCTCCAGGGCTCAGGTGATCCTTCCACTTCAGCCTCCCGTGTCGCTGTAACTATAGGCATGAGCCACCATGCCTGGCTAATTTTTCTATTTTTGTTGTTGTTTTTAGAGATGGGGTTTCACCATGTTGCCCAGGCTGGTCTCCAACTCCTAGGCTTAACTGATCCATTTGCCTTGGCCTCCCAAGGTGCTAGGAGTAAGCCATGGTGCCAGGCCCCACTTTTTTTTCTTTTTTTGAGACAGGTTCTCGCTTACTCTGTTACCCAGGCTGGAGCACAGTGGCACCATCATAGCTCACTGCGGTCTTGAATTCCTGAGTTCAAGTGATCTTCTGCCTCAGCCTCCCTAGTAGCTGGGTCTACAGGTGAGCATCACCATGCCTGGCTAATTAAAAAAAAAAAATCGCTTTGTAGAGATGGTGTCTTGCTATGTTGACCAGGCTGGTCTCAAACTCCCGGCCTCAAGCGATCCTCCTGCCTCCGCCTCTCAAAGTGCTGGGATTACAGGTGTGAGCCATTGTGCCTGGACTCATGAAGAAGTTTTTATTGCCTTGAGAAAAATAATTGCAACAAAATACATTTAAAGAACTCAACATTCAAAACTGTAAGTTCATTATGATCTCAACATTATAAGACAATACATAGAAGAAAGGAAGTTAACAAGGTCAGTGAAGACTTCTCTGATAGGTGTAATTATAAATAGCTTTTCCTCACCTATATTTTTATGATTTTCAAATTAGATAATAAAATATAAAATATGTGTATAAAATCGTATATATATACACACATAAATATGTATCCTAAGGAATTTGGCTATAAATTCCCTCAAATTTGTTGAGCCCAAAGGAACAAACAGAAAGCCTCAACTGTCTCAGTAGATTTCTCCCTGCTCCCACTGATGTCATAAAGCAACCTCTCAATATTCCTGTTACTCAATTACCTGCCTAGGCACAATTATTAGGTGACTGCCAAAGTAATTTAATCTTCTTCATTGTTTAGCTTTGAAACCTTCCCAAGTTTTTATGCAAGATGTAACTATATGGTAAAGATGATGAATTACTAAACACTTGAACCTGAACTTACACATCAAGTAAGTGTTCTTTAATGCAGTCACCTTGAAAGGGGGTACATTTATTCCAATAATGCCACAGTTCAAAGATTTTCTGAAAAGTAGTATTGGAGCCTGTTTTTATAAGTTTTATAAGGCATAACACAATATGTTAGAACTATACACTATTCTTTAAATTCCCAATCTGATTATCCACTTTATTTTTCTGACATGGTTCTGAATGACTGATGTCTAGCTCTTTCTGAAAATCGCCCTCGAAGAATAAACATTTTATATCTTTAGTGTCCTGACAGGAATATTGCTAAGGCTTTAAAGGCAATTCTAAAAGAGAAGATGCAAAATTCAAACACTGGCAAATCATTAGAATAAATGTAGGTGCCTTCCCAGATAGCAAAACTCAAAGGGTCAATATCTGTTTGGAAACAAAAACTCTGATTTGTTTGAAATCACTATTAGTATCACATTCACAATGCTAAGTACCCTAAAAAGATGAGATCATTACTAAGTCTAATAGTTAGGTCAAGAAAACCAAGCTTTAAATGTGAATCAGCCACATTTACCAAACTTCTGTCACATCATGATGGCCAACCATTGTATCTAGCATTTTTGTGGGGTGGCTCTGAAATGACACAGATTACTCCAAGGCTCTGGGGAAAAAAAATCTGTCCTTTCCATCACCGTCTTAAAGCCAGGTTCTTCAGTACTGCTTCCAAGTTAGTTTCAAGTTTTCAAAACCTGGTCTTTTAAAGCTTTTCTCTTCTGCATCATCGTCATGTTTTTTGTTTGTTTGTTTGTTTTGAGATGGAGTCTTACTCTTGTCGCCCAGGCTGGAATGCAATGGCGCGATCTCAGCTCACTGCAACCTCCTGCTCCTAGGTTCAACCGATTCTCCTGCCTCAGCCTCCCAAGTAGCTGGGATTACAGGTGCCCACCTGAGGTGATCCACCGGGCCTGGCCCAATCGTCATGTTTTTATTACATTATAACAATATACATCTAGCTGGGTGTGGTGGCTCACACCTGTAATCCCAACACTTTGGGAGGCTGAGGCAGGTGGATCACCTGAGGTCAGGAATTCGAGACCAGCCTGGCCAATATGGTGAAACCCCTTCTCTACTAAAAATACAAAACTTAGCCGGGCACGGTGGTGGGCACCTGTAATCCCAGCTACTTGGGAGGAGGCCAAGGCAGGAGAATCGCTTGAACGTGGGAGGTGGAGGTTGCAGTGGGTCCAGATCGGGCCACTGCACTCCAGGCTAGATGACAAGAGCAAGACCCCAGCTCAAACAAAAAGTAAAAAATAAAAAATAAAAATTAAAAAAATTTATATATATATATAAAAATAATGAAACTTTCTTCAGAGCCAAATATTTGAAAGCAATTGCAGGATGACCTAGTTCATCCAGATATTAAAATGGGTTAAATTTAAAATTATGCTTATATCTCATCAATCACATAATTTTAATAAAATATTTTGAAATCAACCTGAGTTAAAACAAAGTGTATTTACTATTGAATACACTTTTTGAAAAGCTTATATATTACATCAAGAACTCATGTCTGTAGTGAAATAAATGGATAATGACATCTATTCTTCATGTAGTAAAATGAGTCATTAATCATACAACACTATAATCCAATACCTCATATATTGCTCTTTTTAATTAATTCAGGAGTAGCTGCTTTTGAGACGCCAGAAAGAGAACACAGTGTACTTCATGGACTTCACTGATTTTTGAAACAAACCTAGCAATCATAAAAATATAAAATAAAAGCTATAACCCTTTGTTTAGTTTTTATGGCAGCAAAATATTTTAATTGGAACTGTGTTATTCCTTTTTTTTAAATTAGAAAGGCTGGCCGGGCGCGGTGGCTCACGCCTGTAATCCCAGCACTTTGGGAGGCCGAGGCGGGCGGATCACGAGGTCAGGAGATCGAGACCATCCTGACTAAAACGGTGAAACCCCGTCTCTACTAAAAATACAAAAAATTAGCCGGGCGTAGTGGCGGGCGCCTGTAGTCCCAGCTACTTGGGAGGCTGAGGCAGGAGAATGGCGTGAACCCGGGAGGCGGAGCTTGCAGTGAGCCGAGATCCCGCCACTGCACTCCAGCCTGGGCGACAGAGCGAGACTCCGTCTCAAAAAAAAAAAAAAAAAAAAAAAAAAAGAAAGGCATAGTATATGAATCCAAGGTTTCTGTATTTTATGTCATTTCCTATAAAGTTACATTTAAAACTACATAATCACCACTTCTCTAGCTTAACTTTTTCTCAGTAATAAACCAAATGTTTTGGCTTTTTGTAACAGCTAATGCCTAAAGTTCTAAGAGAGTAAGTATAACACAGGATTATTGTAAATCTTAGCTATAACAATGTATATGAGACTACTTTATAAAGAAAAAAAGTATTTGGTAAAAGGAATTTGAGGAGATTAAAAAAATAAAAGAGAAAAAAGTATTACACAAATGTAGGTTAGTACCAGTTGCCTTAACTACTAAACTTTATATATTTCATAAGCCATAAAGACTGAGGAACAGATAGGGGGCGTTAATTAGGAACCAAGAACCAGCAGCTAAAACTGAAATCAAGCCCACTAATTCCTGGGCCAAAAGACCATTCTTCACAATTCATAGTTTTCACAAACTCAATGATAACCACATTGTTCCCTTGCTCTTTCCTGATAACTTCTGTGAGGAAGCATATTAATATGGGTAAACAAAATTACTGACTTTCATGTACCGACATAAACTCCAAAGAAAACTATGAAAATAACCCCACACATCTAGCTTTTTTTCCTGTTCTAATTTTATTTCTACTGACATAGAGTCATGTGAAAATTTAAACAGCTGGCTTTAAAACAGTATACCTCTTTACCCACTATCCATTTTATGTCTTTTTCTGCCCTAGAGCACATTTGTGAGATGCGGACAGTGAGCCCAAGGGAAACAATAAAGACCTGTCTCCCTACCTCCAATCACTTAGAAAAGAAACCCGCTAGCCAGTGATTTTTCTTACCCTTCACAGAGAGCTTCTTTCACAAAGGTGGGCTATTAAAGATGTTAGACATCAGTAAGGTTTCTGAAATACTAAGTCTGTCTTCATTATATGTCAAAAGTGTTAAAGTCTACTGATTACAAGCAAGACTAAAGGTCCCAATTTTCCAACTCCCTGTTTTAAACACTTTCTCTTTTAAGACAAGCTAAACTAAAGGTCATGACTTTTTCAAAGTAAGCACCTGGAACTGTGTCATATAATTCTTAGTACCTGGTAATCAGTATTTAATAAATGACAGTTAAAAAACAAAAGACATTCTTAAATAACCAATGTGTCAAAGAAAATTGTGATTATGAGAGAAATTAGAAAAATACTTTGAGGAAAATAGATGGCAATTGTGATTACAAGGGAAATTAGAAAAATACTTTGAGATGAAAGAAAAAGA
This sequence comes from Homo sapiens, assembly GCF_000001405.40. Taxonomy (NCBI): domain Eukaryota; kingdom Metazoa; phylum Chordata; class Mammalia; order Primates; family Hominidae; genus Homo; species Homo sapiens. Next base: position 12,630,797 of record NC_000012.12, on the reverse strand, counting down.
AAATACAACATACCACAACTCATGGGGTACAACTGGAGCATTCCTCAGAGGGAGCGGAACACACCTTTTTGTTTGTTTTAAAGAAGAAAGGTGGTTTCAAATCAGTAATCTAATCTTCCACCTTAAGAAACTAGCAAAAGAAGAGCAAATTAAACATAAAGCAGACAGATAGAATGTAATGATAAATAGTAGGCAGAGATGAATAAAATAAAGAATGGAAATACAACAGAGAAAAATCAATGAAACCAAAAGATTGTTCCTCAAAAGGATCAACAAAATTCACCAACCTTTAGCTAGACGGACCATTAGAGAAAGAAAAAACTCAAAAATACTAAAATCATGACCGAAAGAGACACCATTACTAACACTACAGAAATAAAAGGGATGCAAAGGAATACTAGGAAAAATTGCATGCCAAAAAAACTAGATAACCTAGATGAAATGGACAAATTCCTAGAAAGACACAAAGTAGCAAAACAGACTCAAGAAGAAATAGAAAATCTGAATTAGATCTATAGCAATAACAAGACACAATCAGTAATAAAAAATTTTATTCGATTAGTAATCAAAGAAAAGCCTAGGTTTACATGACTTCACTAATGAATTCTACCAAATATTTAAATAATTAACCTCACAAACTCTTCCAAAAAGTGGAATAGGAGAAAGCTTATTTCAACTTACTCCACGAGGCCAATATGTACTTGAAACCAAAACCAAAGATATCAGAAGAAAACTACAGACCAATATGGTCTTGTGAATTTATATGCAAAAAATCCTCAATAAAATACTAGAAGGCTGAATCTAGCAACAAAGAAGATTATACACCATGACTAAAAGGGATTTATCTCAAGAATAAATGTTGGTTTGACAACTGAGAAATCAATTACTATAATACACTGTATCAACAGGAAAAAAAGGACAAAACTTGCATGTTCATCTCACACACACACAAAAAAAGGACTTGACAGAAATTCAACATCTTCACATGATAAAAACACTCAATAACCTAGAAATAGGAGGAAACTTCCCCAATCTGATAATGGACATCTACAAAAAACCCACAGCTAACATCTTACTAATGGTAGAATACTGAATGCTTTCCCCCAAAGATCATGAATAAGGCAACAATCTTGTCTTCTCTCATCACTTCTATTTAACACTGAACTACCAAGAAAAAATAGGAAGCATTCAGGGAAAGGAAAGGAAAAAGTAAAGCTATCTCCTTGAAGGTGACATGATTTTATATATAGAAAATCCAATCCAAAAGAATTCTTGCCCCCCTGAAAAAACCTATTAGAGCTACTAAATGAGTAGAGCAAGGGTCCAGGATACAAGATCAATATACAAAAATCAGTTGTGTTTCTACACACTATCAATGAACAATCTGAAAATGAAATTAAGAAAATGACTCCACTTACAGTAGCCTAAAAAAGAATACAATACTCAGGAATAAATTTAGCATAAGGAGTGTCAAATCTGTGCACTAAAAACCACAAAATATCATTAAAAGAAATTAAAGAAGATCTGATAAATGGAAAGGCAGCCCATGTTAGTGGGCTGGAAGATTTATTATTATTAAGAAAGGAATACTCCTCAAATTGATCTACAGTTTCAACAAAATTCCTATCAAAATCTCAGCTACCTTTTTGCTGAAATTGGCAGGCTAATCCTAAAGTTCACATGGAAATACGAGGGACCCAGAATAACCAAAACAATCTTGAAAAAGACGCAAATTGGAGGGCTCACACTTTCTGATTTCAGAATTTATTAGAAAGCTACAGTAATCAAGACAGTGTAATACTGGCACAAGGACAGACATACAGACCAATGGAAAAGCATAGAGAATCCAGAAATAAATCCTTACGTTTATGGTCAATTGATTTTTGACAAGGTGCCAAAGCAATTAAATGGGGAAAGAATAGTCTCTTCAATAAAGGGTGCTGGGACAGGTGGATAGCCACTTGCAAAATAATTAAGTTGGATCACTACCTCGTACCATATACAAAAATTAAAAATTGAACAAGCCGGGTGCAGTGGTTCACACTGTAATCCCAGCACTTTGGGAGGCTGGGGCGAGAGGATCTCTTGAGCCCAGGAGGTCAAGACTGCAGTGAAGCTGGGTTTGTGCCACTGCAGTCCGGCCTAGATGACAGAGTGAGACCCTGTCTCAAATTTAAAAAAAATAGAACAAAGGCCTAAATGTCAGAGATAAAACTATAAAACTTAGAGGAAAACAGAGGATTTACTCCTTATGACCTTGGATTAGGCAATGGTTTCTTAGATATGATAAGCACAAGCTACCAAACTGTATTTCAAGGATAATCAAGGTAAAAAGACAACCCACAGAATGGGAGAAAATATTTGTAAATCACAAATATGATAAGGGACTTGTATCTAGAATACATAAAGAACTCTTACAACTCAATAATAAAAAGACAACCCAATTTTAAAAAGGGGCAAGGATTTGGATAGACATTCCTCCAAAGAAGATATACAAATGCCAATAAGCAAATGAAAAAATACTCAACATCATTAGTCATCAGGGAAATGTGAATGAAAACCACAAAATATATCACTTTACACCCACTAGGATGTTTACATAATCAAAAAGATAGCCAATGCCAGGCATGGTGGCTTAGCCTGTAATCCCAGCACTTTGGGAGGCTGAGGTGGGCGGATCATAATGTCAAGAGATCAAGACCATCCTGGCCAACATAGTGAAACCCCATCTCTACTAAAAATAAAAAACAATTAGCTGGGCATGGTGGCGCGCGCCTGTAGGCCCAGCTACTCGGGAGGCTGAGGCAGGAGAATCGCTTGAACCCGGGAGTTGGAGGTTGCAGTGAGCCGAGATTGCACCACTCCATCCTGGCAACAAAGTGAGACTCCGTCTCAAAAAAAAAGACAACCAGTAACAAGTACTGGTGCAGATGTGGAGAAAGTGAAATCCTCATACATTGCTGTGGGAATGTAAAATGGTGCAGCCACTTTGGAAAACATTTTGGCAGTTCCTCAAAAAGTTAAACATAAAGTTTATAACCTAGCAATTCCAGCCCTAGGTATATTCCAAAAAGAAAGGAAAACATAGGTCCACATTAGAACTTGTATATCAATGTTCACAGCACCATTACTCATGATACCTAAAAAGCAGAAACAACCCAAATGTCCATCAACTGATGAATAGATAACAAAAAGTAGTATATCCATACAATGGAACATTATTCAGCTATAAAATGGAATGAAGTGCTGACACACGGTACAACACTGATAGCCTTGAAAGCATTATGCTAAGTGAAAGACAAATACAAAAGGCCACATATTGTATTATTCCAAATCTATAGAGACTTAAAGTAGATTAATGGTTGCTTAGGGCTGAGAAGGGAAGAAAAAATGGGGAGTGCCTGTTAATGGCCTCAGAGTTTCTTTTTTTCTTTTTTAAATCAATAGACTTTATTTTTTTACAGCTGTTTAGGTTTACGGGAAAATTAAGAAGAAAGTACAGGGAGTTCCTATACTATCCCCTCTCCACTCTCACAGTTTCCCTTATTATTAACATCTTTCATTAGTGTGGTACATTTATTATAATTGATGAACTAACATTGATTTATTATTAGTAACTGAAGTCCACAGTTTACATTAGAGTTCACTCTTGGTGTGGTATATTCTATGAATTTTGATAAGCAGTATCATACAGAATCGTCTCACTGCCCTAAAAACCCCCTGTGCTCCATCTATTCCTCCCTCTCTTCCTCCCTCTCCTGAAACCCTGACAATCACTGAACTTTTTACTATCTCTACAGTTTTGCCTTCTCCAAAATGGCTCCTTTCACTTAGCAATATGCATTTAAGGCTCCTCCATGACTTTTCGTGGCTTGATAGCTTGTTTATTTATTTTTCTTTCTTTCTTTTCTTTTCTTTTTTTTTTTAAGAAACAGGGCCTCGCTATGTTGCCCAGGCTGGTCTCAGACTCTTGGGCTCAAGCTATCCTCCTGCCTCACCCTCCCAAGTAGCTGGAACTACAGGTACACCTAGCAACTCGTTTCTTTTTACTGCTAAATAGTATTCTGCCAGAGGGATGTACCACAGTTTGTTTGTAAGAGTCTCTTCTTGGAGTGATAGAACTGTTCTGGAATTAGATAGTGATGATCATTGCACAATTCTGTGAATATACTAAGAATCACAGGATGAACAAATTAAAAGGGTGAATTTTATGGTTTGTGAATTACCTTTCAATAAAGCTATTATTTTTTAAAAAGACATGGTTGCCTAGTGAGCCTGAAAAAGCAAAAATAGCTGAAAGGAAAGAATCAAGGTAGCACAGATACAGAAGCTTATGAGAAGAATGAGTATTCTGGAGGGGAGGGGTCAAGCATAAGGTTCTAACTCATGAGTTTTAAGGTTGAGAATTAAGATAAAACTGGATTTAATCAAGGGAGGGATTGCTGATAATTCTATAATTAACCATTACAGCGAAAGACAAAACAGAAATCAGTCTGCAAAGGCCTGAGGAAATTATGGATGGCCTAGGCTTCACAGTCAACAAGTTTAACTTCCACAGAAAGAGAACATATAATTATAGTTGCATGCTCTTTAGGAGTTAACTGGGGCTTCTTAAAATGAGGAAGCCTCCAGCACCCACATTTAATCCTATTCCAAAGATTCTTGGACCATTTACCTCCCATTTTTCAGGACAAACAGAATAAAAACATAAATTCGGGGCTAAACCAGGGTGTGTGGTCAGAAAGCGCTCATTATGAACAAGGCCTTGAGTGAGGCACTCTACACGCTATCTCATGTTATTTCACATTACCTCAGATGAGGTAAGCACTATTATCCTCATCTTTTTCAGGTAAAGAGGAGCACATTAATTCCTTTATTCAATGACCCTTTATTAAATACCCACTTTGTCCCAAACACTGTAAAACTCTAGGGATAAATACAAAACAATAGGACACTTAATCTTAATGTATTTAGACTAGTGAAAAGAAGCAGATATGAAATAAACAATAACATTGCAGATAGCAGAATATCAATATAGACAAGAATGCTGGTGGTGGAGGGATGTGTATACATAGACACAGATAAGGATATGTGATCTCTTCATTTCATAGATGACAAGATTTTAGTCCAGAGACTTCCATCAGAGCAAGGACTAGAACCCAAGTCCCTAGATTTGTATCATGGCAACCTGTCAGAAGGTAATCAAGCATGCCTATTACCATCCACATCTCAGACAGGACACATTAATCTGATCATATAATTTCCTGAAAAAGCTCTAACACTGACAGGTGCATTAAATGCACTGCTGTATTTATGCTATACAGTCATTCATTTAATGTAACTCACTTTGATATTAGGCACTCAGTTAAGGGGTGTGCTGAGGAGGTTAACTAACAAACTTTTTCATGTTACACCTCATTGAAGTTTCCCTCTGCTATTGTGATTCTCCATGCTCACCCACTAAAGTGATGCCAATGTATTCCTTTATAAACCTCTGATTTCTCTCTTCTTCTCCATTCCTACTGAGAGGGACAGGGGACAGAAAATTCTAGACAGAAAAGGGTGGGTCCCCGACAAAACCCCATCCTCAAGCCGAAAAGCCTGAAATGACGGCCCAAAATGAGAACTTACATCCCTGTTTTCCCACTCGAATGTTGCCTTTTCCTAAATCACCCATGGCCCTGCCCCACCCCATCCTGTGCCTATAAAACCCCCAGACGAGACTGGTAGACGAGACTACGGCTAGATGTCAGAGAGAAGTGGCTTGACTTCAGAGGAATGGCTTGACGGCATAACTTCAGAGAAGAGTCTGGCTGGAGACAGCTGGACTTCAAGGGAAGATTACCTACCAGTCCCATCCCCTTTTCAGTTCCCCCTCCTGCTGAGAACTACTTTCATCAGCAATAAAATCCCCTGCATTCACCATCCTTCAATTCATTTGTGTGACCTCATTTTACCTGGACGCTGGATAAGAGCTTGGGAGCCACAAGTGCAGATACAAAAGGCTGTCACACTGGCCCTTTGTCCTTGCTGGTGGAAGGCAGTTGCCTCACAAGAAAAGGCAAAGAGTCCACTGAGCTATTAACAGTTGAGCTATCCACGGATGGCAGAGCTCAAAGAGCACTGTAACACTCCCTCTGGGGCTTCGGAAGTCTCAGGCACCCCTACCTGGATGCTGCCATTGGGCCTGCATAAAGTTCACTCCTGCTAGCACCAAAGCAGCTGGCCGATTCCCGTGCTCATTCACTCCAGTTCCCTCACTCATTTGCTCACATGCTCCCTCCTGCAAGGAGTTGAGAGTGGTGGGCTGAGTATATGAGGCACCCGTTGTGAGTCCCGTGAAAGGGTCAGGGAAATATCCTGCTTCACTGACTCCCTAATACCAGTCAGGGCACTACTCACAGGTTGTTACAATAGGTTCCCAGTGCATCTCCCCACCATCTCTCCGTTTCCACCCCACTTCCCTAGTCAATTCATTTTGCAAAGAGCTGCCAGATTAACCTTTCTTTTAATAACTTTAGGGTGTTTTTCTTCCCTGTAAAAAAGTAATACCTGATCATTATAGAAATAATAAATTTTCTCTAATGGCCCCTGGCCATGTCACCCTCGAGTTCAAGAAAAGACCTCTGGCTCAGCACTACTTACTAAGTCACCATATCCAGTATACTCATTTCTTGGGGCTGCTGTAACAAATTACCACAAATGTGGTGGCTTAAACCAACAAAAATTTATTCTCTGGCTCTGGAAGTCCAGACTGGGGCAGTCTGGTGGAGCTGCATTCCCTCTGGAGGTCATGGGGAAGAATCCATTCTTTGCCTCTCCAGCTTCTGGTGGCTGCCAGCATTCCTTGACTTGTAGCCACATCACTGCAATCTGCCTCAGTGGTCACGCTGCTTCCTCATCTGTCCATCAAAGCTCCCTCTACCTTAGTCTTATAAGGACACTTGTCACTGGATTTACGGCCCATCCACATAATGGAGGATAAGCTCCTCTTCTCAAAATCCTTAATCACATCTTTTGCCATACAAGGTAATATTCATTGTTTTACCATATAAGGTGATAACCACAGGTTCCAGGGATTCAGACATGGACATATCTTTTTAGGGGCCACCATTCAGCCCACTGCATCCAGGATTCCCACAAAAAGCCAGTTCTCTCTTTCATTATCCCCAGCAGGCACCCTCTCTATCAACTCAAGCCAGTCTCCCTAGAGACCACCAGCCTGAACCCCATCCCCTGCATTTCTAACTATACCTACATTTCTATTTTCCCTCTATCCTCCCACCATCCAGAAGGGCAAATCTTGTTTTATTTTGTTAAGATCAGCTCTAGCCCTCTTTCTCTGAAGCTCTCACTGACCACCACCCTCAGTCCATAAGTCATTTTTCTTCAAAGTTCTGGAACACAGAGTTAATATCCCACTGAATTTATATGCTTTATTTTTTTTTTAGTGGACTCACACATTTTTCTATCTCCCCAAGTAGTCTGAGCTCCTCAAGCACAGAAGCTGTGTTTTCTACTTCTTTTGCAACCCCATAGTATCCAGCACAGAGCCAGGCATTTAAGAGATATTTATTAAAAGATTGATAATTTAATGAAATGAAAAAGAAAAATCAGCAATATTTTGAAAGTGATTTAAACTGATACTACTATCACCAACAACTTTAAAGAAGTTGTTACAAAAAAAAAAAAAAAAAAGAAGTTGTTACAAAGAAATGCTCCCTCTCAGGGATGTAAAATCTGAAAAGCAATTAAGAACTCTTCTTTTATCACCCTTTTTACACTTATTTACATCCTGATGCTCTAATTAAGGCAACTAATAAAAGTTTCAAGTTGTTAAAGTTAAGAGAACTACTGTATTTAGATGAAGAAGTACCAGCAGCCTCAGCCAAAAAGGAAAACAGGAGGGCTTGTTTTGTCTTTCTCTTAAAAACATAAAGAGAAAAGTTATCTCCCACGGATTAAAGAAAAATTAAGATAAATATGAATGTGGCTAGCCACTGCTCTTTACCACTTTAAAGAAAAAAAACAAGCAGTGGCGTTTTCATTTGATGTTAAGGCTCCCATAACTTCCTTCACAGCTGTGGGTTAGGCTTCTTCTCTTTTTATATTTGCCAGATCTACAGAAAGCAGCAAAGTCTACTCACATCTTCCTGCTGCTAACCTTTCTGCCAGTTTTTCTAGTCGACAGGAGAAAGATCAAGTAGGCATCTCTAGCCTGAGAGTTAACTTCTGCCTCTCCTCTCTCAACCCCTATCCCCTCCCTCATCCCCCACAACTGGTAAGTCCTCTTTTTAAAAGTCTCTCCACTCTTAGATGGCATAACAGCCCTGTCTTCTGGTTCTCTTACGTCACTGACCTCTCTTTTCAGTTTATTTTGCTGAGTCCTATTCTTCAAGAATCTTCTGATCACTTTAGAGTTTTCCAGGGTTCTCTTTAGCTCTCTATTCTCTTCACTCTTTATCTTTTCAGAATTTTATGCACGCCGCATCAACTGCAACTTACATTGTAAAGTCTCTAATATGGTCTTCAGTCCAGGCCTTTCTTCTGTGCAATCTAACCATGCCAGTGAGAATTCAAAAAAGACCAGGATTTATTGAACTCAGTATGTATTAAGTTATTTTGGTATGGGATCACACATATATTACATTTAATTCTCACAATAACTCAATAAGGTCCTTATTAACACACCCAATCCGTATCTGAAGAAAGTAATATCTGAAGAGATTAAATAATCTGTCCAAAATCACAACAGTTTGAAAGGGTGAAAATGAGATTTGAACTCCAGTCATATGCTAAAACCCATGTTCTTTCATAATCGGACCGTCTGCCTCTGGTCTTGTCCCAGTTCCTACATTTTCACCCTAATCTGTTCTCCATATAGCCATTGGCATTTTTCTTCAAAAACACAAATCAGATTTTGTCACTTCTGCTTTAAAACCCTTCAATGGCTCCCCAACATTTATGGCCTTGGTTTTCAAACCTCATTACACATAAGAGCCACTCAACTGGGAAGCCTATTAAAATTTAAATTCCCAGACCCTATCCCGAAAGAATCTGATTCACCAGGTCTCTTCCACTCTGAAAGATACTGACCCAAATTTGTCAGCCTTGTTTACCAGGTATATTGTAATTTGGTCCCTGCTTATCTTTCATCCTCATCTCTGACCACACCTCTACTTCTGCTTTACGCTGTAGCTCAGGGTTAATATATCACCGCCCTGCTGGCAACTCAAATATAGCCTGCTGCCAGTTTTTTTTTTTTTTTTTTTTTGGTTTGAGACGGAGTTTTGCTCTTGTTGCCCAGGCTGGAGTGCAATGGTGTGATCTCAGCTCACCACAGCCTCTGCCTCCCAGGTTCAAGCAATTCTCCTGCCTCAGCCTCCCGAGTAGCTGGGATTACAGGCATGCACCACCATGCCCAGCTAATTTTGTATTTTTAGTAGAGATGGGGTTTCTCTATGTTAGTCAGGCTGGTCTCGAACTCCTGACCTCAGGTGATCTGCCCGCCTTGGCTTCCCAAAGTTCTGGGATTACAGGCGTGAGCCACTGTGCCTGGCCCAGTTTTTGAAAATACAGTTTTACTGGAACACAGCCATGCCCATTCATTATATTCTGCTTATGGTTGCTTTCATGATACAATGGCAGAGTGGAATAATTCCAACAGAGACCATATGGTGTGCATGGCCCTTTACAGAAAGTCTGTCGATCCTTCTCTAGCTGTACCAAAATACTTACTTTACTGTGCAAGATGCTTTACAACAGGATATTCCATCTTTCCTGTTTTGGAGGGGACTCCAGTTCTTTAAAGATTCATTCCTACTCTGTAAACCCATGTCTGACGTTCCTCGACAGTTAAGCACCCACTCTTACTGCCCCAAAAGAACTTTGCCTCTATTGCCCTCATTTTCTACCTCACTGTATTGTAATTACTTTTCTATTTGTCTGCCTCACCCAATAAAATGTTCCCTGAGAACAGTTACAAACTCTTAATCATCTTTGCAACTCCAATGCCTAGCACAATGCCTCGTACATATCAGGTGTCCAACAAATGTTGAATGAATTAATAAATAAACTTTTCTGAAAATCTTAAGAGGACAAAACATTCTGAATAAGGTTATTTAAACTTAGATTAAACTTAGATTAAGGTTATTTAAACTTAGATTTCAACTGGTTTCTGTGGTATTTAAATTACTCCTTGGTTTCTGAATTATCTGTAGAGGTACTCAAGTTGAAATGTGCATGTAACCTAGACAAGAAAGGAAGGCGGCCGGGCATGGTGGCTCATGTCCGTAATCTCAGCACTTTGGGAGGCAGAGGCGGGCAGATTGCTTGAGCTTGGGAGTCTGAAACCAGCCTGGACAACACAGGCTGTCTCTACAAAAAATATTTTTAAATTAGTCAGGCATGGTGGCAGGTGCCTGTGATCCCAGCTATTCCAGAGGCTGAAGTGGGAGGATCGCTTGAGCCAGGGAGGTGGAGGCTGCAGTGAACCATGATTGCACCACTTGTGCCCAGCCTGGGTGACAGAGTGAGACCGTCTCAAAAAAAAAAAGAAAAAGAAAAGAAAAGAAAGCAAGCACATTAATGTCTACTGTCAGAGATTTGTTTAATAGACAACATGGCTCTTTTGTCTTGGTCTTCTAGAAAGTGTTGATGTGAGTAAGAGGACAGGAAAAGCAGAAAATGTCTGGGCTATAAGGCACGGCCCAAGGAAGGTAGCTCCAACTGCAGCAGAGGATGGTTAAGGAGCCAAAAGATAAATGAGGGAATGTCAAAGAGATTTTTTTGCCAAATTAAAATTTTTTTGAGAACCAGAACTACTCAGAACTGGAAAGAATCAGAAGACTTTGGCAGAGGGAGAGGGTTAAAAGGGTAAGGAAAGTGTAAGAAACCTCATTTCCAGATAATCACGTAGAACACAAGGTAGAAAAGAAGTGTGGAGGGAAATGGCAGCTCACATTGGCATGCTGCAGCCAGTAGTTGGCCCACTCCTGCATCAGTCCCTCAACTGGATCTTGACGCCTTAGGATATTTCAATTCATTCATGTGTTCATTCAATAAAGTCCAACATAAAATAAAAAATAAGAACCTTCTATCTATGATCAAAGCCTCTGAAAATAACACATTTCTATTTTCTAATTGAATGCAGCAGGTCAAGGGAGAAGAAACTTTCCTTTTTCCTTTGAGACAGAGTCTGGCTCCACTGCCCAGGCTGGAGTGCAGTGGCGTGATCTCGGCTCACAGCAACCTCCACCTCCTGGGCTTATGCAATTCTTGTGCCTCAGCCTCCCTTCTGAGTAGCTGGGATTATAGCTGCATACCACCACACCTGGATAATTTTTTATATTTTTTGAAGAGATGGGGTTTCGCCATGTTGCGCATGCTGATCTTGAACTCCTGAACTCAATCCACCCACCTTGGCCTCTCAAAGTGCTGGGATTACAGGCATGAGACACCACACCTGGCCAAGAAGAAATTTTCATAAAAACAAGCACTTTTTCCTAGTGGTAAACATGGAGGTGGCCTCAGGAGACTACCTTTCTCACACTATCTAACTTAATGACAGAGCTTAAGTTCATTTTATGTCCCACCCCACTGCCCCTGTCCCATCTGGAGCATAGTCTGGAGCAAAGGGTAGTGTAGGTGTTACAAATCTTATACAACAGCATATACTTAAGAATTACTAAAATGATCCCTCTCCCTCTCCCTCCTCTCCCTCCTCTCCCTCTCCCTCCTCTCCCTCTCCCTCTCCCGTCTCCCACTTTCCACGGTCTCCCTCTGATGCCCAGCTGAGGCTGGACTGTACTGCCGCCATCTCGGCTCACTGCAACCTCCCTGCCTGATTCTCCTGCCTCAACCTGCCGAGTGCCTGGGATTGCAGGTGTGCGCCGCCACGCCTGACTGGTTTTTGTATTTTTTGGTGGAGACGGGGTTTCGCTGTGTTGGCCGGGCTGGCCGGGCTGGTCTCCAGCTCCTGACCGCGAGTGATCTGCCCGCCTGGGCCTCCCGAGGTGCCGGGATTGCAGGTGGAGTCTCGCTCACTCAGTGCTCAATGTTGCCCAGGCTGGAGTGCAGTGGCGCGATCTCGGCTCGCTACAACCTCCACCTCCCAGCCGCCTGCCTTGGCCTCCCAAAGTGCCGAGACTGCAGCCTCTGCCCGGCCGCCACCCCGCCTGGGAAGTGAGGAGCGTCTCTGCCTGGCTGCCCATCGTCTGGGATGTGAGGAGCCCCTCTGCCCGGCCGCCCAGTCTGGGAAGTGAGGAGCGCCTCTTCCCGGCCGCCATCCCGTCTAGGAAGTGAGGAGCGTCTCTGCCCGGCCGCCCAACGTCTGAGATGTGGGGAGCGCCTCTGCCCCGCCACCCCATCTGGGATGTGAGGAGCACCTCTGCCCCACCATGACCCCATCTGGGATCTGAGGAGTGTCTCTGCCCCACCGCCACCCCGTCTAGGAGGTAAGGAGCATCTCTGCCCGGCTGCCCCGTCTGAGAAGTGAGGAGCCCCTCCGCCCGGCAGCCGCCCCGTCTGGGAAGTGAGGAGCGTCTCCGCCCGGCAGCCGCCCCGTCTGGGAAGTGAGGAGCGTCTCCGCCCGGCAGCCGCCCCGTCTGGGAGGTGTACCCAACAGCTCATTGAGAATGGGCCATGATGACGATGGCAGTTTTGTCGAATAGAAAAGGGGGAAATGTGGGGAAAAGAAAGAGATCAGATTGTTACTGTGTCTGTGTAGAACGAAGTAGACATAGGAGACTCCATTTTGTTCTGTACTAAGAAGAATTCTTCTGCCTTGGGATGCTGTTAATCTGTAACCTTACCCCCAACCCCGTGCTCTCTGAAACATGTGCTGTGTCCACTCAGGGTTAAATGGATTAAGGGCAGTGCAAGATGTGCTTTGTTAAACAGATGCTTGAAGGCAGCATGCTCGTTAAGAGTCATCACCATTCCCTAATCTCAAGTACCCAGGGACACAAACACAGCGGAAGGCCGCAGGGTCCTCTGCCTAGAAAAACCAGAGACCCTTGTTCACATGTTTATCTGCTGACCTTCCCTCCACTATTGTCCTGTGACCCTGCCAAATCCCCCTCTCTGAGAAACACCCAAGAATGATCAATAAATACTAAAAAAAAAAAAAAAAAAAAAAAAAAAAAAAAAAAAAAGAATTACTAAAATGAGCATCTCAGGGACCTACTGCACCGTAGTAAAGCACAAGGAATCACTGTTAGGTAATATAATAATGATAACGTGTTTTGAGAGCCTACTATGTGTTAGAGTCTGTACTAGAGCTTTAAATGTATCAACCCTAATCTTCACCAAGGCCTCACCTATTGGCCACATTTAACAGATAAGGAAATGGAAGCTCAAAAAAGTTAAATAAATTAGCCAAGATTTTTTCCTTCCCAACTAGCCTAGTAGGAGATCTACTCAGTATTTGAGCTCTGCTACTTAACACTTTCCTAAACCCCCACTTTAGAGATGCCAAATCTGTCTCTTGCTTTATTTCTCTCATTTGCCATTGTAAGTATGTGCTGGCTGGTTTGCTCAGCTGGAGCACACTGATTAATAAAGCCCGAGTACATCAGGGCAATCTCCTTAATGTCACCCTGATTCAATTCAATTCAATCTCTATAAATGAGTACTTTATGCTGTATTAGGCACACTGCTAGAAACTTGGGAGGCAAAGCTATTCCCCATTCAAATCTGTCCTGCTCTCACTCCAGCCAGCTAGATGGCAGAGTGTGGAGAACTCGCAGCAAACTCATTTATCACCACTGGTAAAAACAACTCAGAATACAAAATCTTTATAAAGGGAGGCCCTCACATTATCATCATCATGTTTCCTGACCTACTCACTCAAATACTACCTCTCTATAACTGCTGTTCCTGCCTACTCTGTCTTCTTCCTGTTGCCCTGGTCTTGCTGTCAGCCAGTTTATCATCCTTTATGCTCTCAAGGGCACAGCCACCATACTTCCAAACCCCAATCCTCATCTTCCCTTACACTGAAGAAAATGGGACGAGAGAGTGTGACTCATACAGAATGTGAGGGAAAAGTGTGTTTTGTGTGTATGTCTGTATATACTAGGAGGACAGTACAATTTTGTGGGATTATAACTAGGGCACAGAAAACGCAGGGCTGGGAGCTGCCAAAGCCTTATATAAGGACAGTTTCACACTGCCTGACTGTTGAAGGAGAGTCCAGTATTATACATGACATGTAAATATTACTTATCTACAACTACAACATGCATTCAAAGTGCAAGTAGAGTATTCCAGAGGCACTCTCCATCCAGAGACATTTAAATGAATTTTCTTTTTGATGCTCACTAAGGTTTTCAAAGCTGCTGGTTTCTAAGTACTTATAAAAACAATGAATTAATAAAGAGTGAGAATCAAATTCACTGTGCTTACCTGTGTATCCTTTAGGAAGTAATTCACGGATAGCTTGCCCTCAAATTTTAACTTCACTCTTTCAGGCTAAACAATGACATTTTGAACCTTCCTTCACCCCACCAGATTGCTAGTTTTAGAAATAACTTTTATATGATCTTACAGCTAAGTAGCCCAAAATCCTATGTATTTTTCTTCGACTTATTTGAAATTATTGAAGACTTTCAGAAAGTTGTTAAATGTTTCAAAGGTCTGAAAAGGAAAAAACTGAAAATCAGAAAGAATATATTCTGAATCTCAAGTTAGGAAAAATAAAGAACAGTATGTTCTTCTACCATCCTTAAATACCCATAACATTAGTATTATTTTCTCATCAAGATAATAGATACAGTGTTAATATTTAATTTCAAAATTAACACTGAAAGATCAAGCTACCAAAGACTTTTATGAAATATTATTTCTGCCTTTTGGCTGGAACTGCCATCTTCCAGTAATTCACCAAAATGATTAACACAAAGGCAAAGAGAAAAGGCACCAACAGATGTTCTCCAGGCCTTTTAGAACACATGGAGTTGTTCCTTCGGCCACATACATGGAAACCTACAAGAAAGGTGATATTGTAGCCAGGTGCGGTGGCTCATGCCTGTAATCCCAGCACTTTGGGAGGCCGAGGTGGGCGGATCAGGAGGTCAGGAGACTGAGACCATCCTGGCCAACCTAGTGAAGCCCCAGCTCTACTAAAAATACAAAAATTAGCTGGGCATGGTGGCACACACCTGTAATCCCCACTCAGAGGCTGAGACAGGAGAATTGCTTGAACCAGGGAGTCAGAGGTTGCAGTGAGCCAAGATCGCACCATTGCACTACAACCTGGTGACAGAGCAAGACTCCGTCTCAAAGAAAAAAAAAAAAAGAAGGTTGATATTTTAGACATCAATGGAATGGGGACTGTTTAAAAGGGAATACCTTACACAGATCACCTGAGGTCAGGAGTTCCAGACCAGCCTGGCCAACATGATGAAACCCTGTCTCTGTTAAAAAAAAAAAAAAATGCAAAAAGTTGGCCAGGTGCAGTGCTCATGCCTGTAATCTCAGCACTCTGGGAGGCCGAGGTGGGCGGATCACTTGAGGCCAGGAGTTCGAGACCAGCCTGGCCAACATGGCAAAACCCTGTCAGCCTGGCCAACATGGCAGGCTCTAATAAACCCTATCTCTAAGAAAAATACAAAAATTAATCGGTTGTGGTGGCATGCACCTGTAATCCCAGCTACTCAGGAGGCTGACGCAGGAGAATCACTTGAACCCGGGAGGCGGAGTTTATAGTGAGCCAAGACTGCACCACTGCATCAAGCCTGGGCGACTGAGCAAGACCCTGTCTCAAAAAAAAATTAGCCGGACATGGTGGCCCATGCCTGTAATCACACCTACTCGGGAGACTGGGGCTGGAGAATCGCTTAAATCCAGGAGGTAGAGATTGCAGTGAGCTGAGATCGTGCCACTGCACTCCAGCCTGGGGGACAGAGAGAGACTCCATCTCAAAAAAAAAAAAAAAAAACTAATGCCCTACAAATCTTACTATGGCAAAACTGGAAGAGTCTACAATGTTACCCAGCATTCTGTTGGCATTGTTGTAAACAAAAAAGGGAAAGATTCTTGCCAAGAGAATTAATGTGTATATTGAGCATATTAAGTACTCTTAAGAGCTGACAGCTTCCAGAAACGTGTGAAGGAAAATGATCAGAAAAAAAAGCCAGTGAGACCCTCATCTCTGCAAAAAATTAGCTAGGAATGGATGTGCATTCCTGTAGTCCCAGCCACTTGGGAGGCTGAGGTGGAGGATTGCTTTGAGCCCAGGAGTTCGAGGCTGCAGTGAGTTGTGATCACACCAACGCACCCCAGCCTGGGCAACAGTGCAAGACCCTATTTCAAAAAAAAAAAAAAAAAAGGAAACTAAATAAGAAAGGTACCTGGGTTCAATTGAAGCACCAGCCTACTCCACCAGTGGAAAACAGCCTGAGCTACTAGAACTTATTCCCTATGAATTCGTGGCATAATAGGGGTAAAAAAGACAAAAGGTGTAAAAACGTTTATCTTCATTGAGTAGAAGTGTGATGTCCTGGCCGGGCGCAGTGGCTCACACCTGTATTCCTAGCACTTTGGGAGGCTGAGGTGGGCGGATCACCTGAGGTCACTCGAGTTTGAGACCAGCCTGATCAACATGGTGAAACCCTGTCTCTACGAAAAATAAAAATTTAGCTGGATGTGGTGGCACACGCCTGTAGTCCCAGCTACTCAGGAGGCTGAGGCAGGAGAATTGCTTGAACCCAAGAGCAATTCTCGGCAGTGAGCCGAGATCGTGCCACTGTACTCCAGCCTGGGCGATACAGCGGAGACTCCGTCTCAAAAAAAAAAAAAAAAAAAAGAAAAAAAAGAAAAAAGAAAGAAGTGTGATGTCCCCTCCCCAAAGAAATATTCAAAGCAAAAAAAAAAAAAAATTACTTGCTGATTTTTCTGGAAAACTTTTAGAACGCTACCCTTCTGTCTTGGAAATACCACTTCCCCAATATCATACCCCACGAATGTTACTATAGTAAAACTGAAGAGTCTACAATGTTATCCCGCATTCTGTTGCATTGTTGTAAACAAACAAGGGCAAGATTCTTGTCAAGGGAATTAATGTGTGTACTGAGCATATTAAGCACTCTTATGAGCTGATAGCTTCCTGAAACTCGCCCCCCTTCTGTCTTGGAAATACCACTTCCTATTAAGAGGGGTTTACTACTTCACAAGCAATCCGTTCCTCTAGGTGAGTAACAATTCCAGAGTACTGCACTGGGCTTTCCCTTCCATCTGTCACTTCCTCACAGCCTTCTACATGAAGAGGAAGAGAAAACAAGAAGGAAAGAATAAAACAAGGAACACAGAGAAGTTGGAAATTTTTTGAATCTCTCTGAGGATATGTGAAACAAAAACTGCAGCAGCAGCAAAAAAAGACACCCAAACAAAGGACAAAGCTATCGTAAAGAGTATGCCAAAGACTGTGAAACAGAAGACGCTGAGAAGCACAAAGAAGGACGGTTTTTACTTTAAAAACTGGCAAATTTTAGAAGTCTGATTCCTTAAAATAAAAAAGTCCAAATCCAAAACAACCTGAAACATCAATAAACAAATCTTTGACCATCCCTATCTTCAGGAAATAAAACTAAACAACACTAATGTGGGTAGATGTAAAGAGAGAAAGGCGGCCAGGCGCGGTGGCTCACGCCTGTAATCCCAGCACTTTGGGAGGCCGAGGCGAGCGGACACCTAAGATTGGGAGTTCGAGACCAGCCTGACCAACATGGAGAAACCCCATCTCTACCAAAAATACAAAATTAGCCGGGCATGGTGGTGCATGCCTGTAATCCCAGCTGCTCGGGAGGCTGAGGCAGGAGAATCGCTTGAACCCGGGAGGCGGAGGTTGTGGTGAGCCGAGATCGCGCCATTGCACTCCAGCCTGGGCGACAAGAGCGAAACTCCGTCTCAATTAATAAATAAAGACAAAAAGGCTATACATAGATAAACTATTTGGATTAACCAATAATGAACATTATCTATTATTTTATAATCATAAAGTAAGTGATTTGGACAGGGAAATTGGATGGTGATGGGCTATTAAAGTTAACAAGAGGAAAATCAGTATTTTTTTAGAGAAGGCTTTCTAGTGGAGGTTAAACTCCACACTGGCCAAATAGCAACAGGAGCTTAGCGGTGTTCCAACCAACCACAGGAAATAGCTCAGAGGGGGAGTGAACTGATTATATGAATGGGGCATTGAGTAAGGGAGCCTGAGAGAAGGGGAATCGTCAAGGGGAATAAGGCTGGTTCAGCGTGCACTAAAGTCTCCAAACTGGAGAGAGGAGGCAGCAAAAAAGTGCAAGAAGAAAAAGTACAGTAGTTTCTTATCTCGACAGGCAAGTTAAGGACTAGGGGTTGCACTACCTGGAAAGCTAGCAAACGCCCTGGGAGTGAAAAATTTCCAGAGAGGGCCCTTCCTGGAAAAACGCAGCCCCGGTGTTCCCTGATTTCCTGGCTGGGTACCATCGGGCAGTGGACTGGAGAGGCGCAGGGATGTTTTAGGCAGGTGTCTCTTGGGTGTTGGCGTGGACTACATAGCGGAGGTTCAGCCGCGGGACTAGCATTGAGCGACAAGAAGGCGGCGGCGCGTGCAAACCACAAGACTTACCTTACTGTCATCCATCGCGGCAGACAGGCCGGCCTGGCCAGGCACTCCCTCCCGGAGCCCTCCCCCGGCTCAGCCGGCCTGGCCCGGCCCCCGCCCCGAGGAAGAAGGGGATATGGTTCTGGCTGCCTCCTCCTCTCGCCTAACAGTTCGCTTCCCTGATGCCAGAGTCACGGGGACGAGGGACCAGTTCAGGAATGGCAGAGCGGACCCTGGAGGCGGCCCCAAACGCCTCCCTTCGCCGCCGCCGCCTCCTCCTCCCCCTCCATGACAGTCTCTGGGTGTTTACAGACGCTCTGGAGAGCCGCCGAGACCGGAGGGTGGGCGGGAGCGCTGCACACGGAATGGCCCCTTCGGCTGCCGTAGCACCGCGGCATTCTGGGAATTGTGATTTTTCTTATCACAGTCTCTGCGCTACTGACTGGAAAAAAAACTACGATGTCCACATAGCCTCATTAAGGGGCAGCTGTTTTCCTTTTGCCTACTAGCTAGCGCTGAGGAGGCGGGGCTGGGCTGGAGGCCCAAAGTGCGCCTGACCTGAGGTTTTGGCTCCTAAGTGCCAGGGCCTGGAATGGCGGGGACGGGAGTTTGGTGCTCTGCGGAGGCAGCCCTGAAGGCGGGGTGCCGGAAGCAGGCCCTCCTCTGGGACGCTGAGGAAACCCTAAAGGTTCTTTATTTAAAAAAAAACGAAAAACAAAAACTAAGTATGTAAAATAGTGCAGCTACTTTGGGAAGAAATTTGGCAGTTCTTCAGAATATTGGCCACTCCCATACCCAAGAGAAATTAAAACGAGTGACTACACAAAAACTTGTATATAAATGTTCTTTCCTAGCAGCATTATTCATAATAGTCAAAAAGTGGAAACAACGCAAATGTCCTTTACTGGATGAATGGATAAACCAGTGTGGACTATACAAATTAAGAAATACTGGCCAGGGGTGGTGGGTCACGCCTGTAATCCCAGCACGTTGGGAGGCCGAGGCGGGAGGATTGCTTTAGCCCAAGAGTTCGAGACCAGCCTGGGCAACATAGCAAAACCTGTCTCTACAAAAAAATACAAAAATTAGTCGAGTGTGGTGGCACATGCCTGTAATCCCAGTTACTGGGGAGGCTGACATGAGAGGATCACTTGGGCCTGGGAGGCAGAGGCTGCAATAAGCCAAGATTGTACCACTGCACTCCAGCCTGGGCGACAGAGCCAGACACTGTATTTAAAAAAAAAAAAAAGAAGAAGAAGAATGAAAGAAGGAAGAAGAACGATGAAGGAAGAAGAAGGAGAAGAAGGAAGAAGAAAGAAGAAGGAAGAAGACCCATATAGTAAGATGCAGTCTCTACAAAAAAAATTAAAAATTAGTTGGGTGTGTTACAAAAAATTTAAAAATTACTTGGGTGTGGTGGTGGTGCTTGTAGTCCTAGCCACTCGGGAGGCCCAGGTGGGAGGATCGTTTGAGCCCTGGAGTTGGAGGCTGAAGTGAGCTGTGATCACGGCACTCCAGCCTGGGCAACAGAGCAAGACTCTGTCTCAAAAAAAAAGGAAAGAAATATTATTCAGCAATGAAAAAAAATGAAGGGATATACACACTTCAATATGTCTGAACCTTGAAAACTTTATGTGAAGTGAAAAAAGCCAGACACAATAGGCCACATATTGTATGATTCCATTTATAATGAAGTGTCTGGAACAGGCACATCTAAATAGACCAAAAAATCCATTAGTGGTTGCCAAGGGCTAGGGTTGAAGAATGGCAGGGATGGAGGGATCCTGGAAAGGAGAGTGACGGTTAATGAGTACTGGGTTTCTTTTTGAGGTGATGAAAATGATCTAAAATTCAGCCGGGCATGGTGGCTCACGCCTGTAATCCCAGCACTTTGGGAGGCCGAGGTGGGCTGATCACCTGAGGTCAGGAGTTCGAGACCAGCCTGACCAACATGGAGAAACCCATCTCTACTAAAAATACAAAGTTGGCCAGGCCTGGGAGAGCATACCTGTAATCCCAGCTACGTGGGAGGCTGAGGCAGGAGAATGGCTTAAACCCAGGAGGCGGAGGTTGCAGTGAGTTGAGACCGTGCCATTGCACTCCAGCCTGAGCAACAAGAGCGAAACTCCGACTCAAAAAAAAAAAAAAAAAAAAAGAAGAAAAGAAAATTATCTAAAATTGATTTTGGTGATGGTTGCACATCCTGTGAATATATTAAAAACCACTAAATTGTAGTTTAACTGTAGTTAAACCACTTTAAATGAGTGGATTATATCTCAATAAAGTTATTTTAAAAATAACTGGCTGTGTCCTCATTTAATAAAGTCAGTGAGCTTGTTTTTACTGTTGTTTTTGTTTTGGCCTACCTCGGGCCTTTGAGAACTTGACAAAGATTGCATATTTGTCAATGCTGCTCCTGAAGAGCCCTTTGGCTCACACCTTTTCAAAGACTCACAAAGTGCTTTCTCAACCCTTGCAAAATCCAACTGAGGTAGAGTTCTCAGATTTAGCAATATAGACACAGAATACTCAATTACATTCGAATTTCAGATAAACCGCAAATACTCTTTTAGGAAAGTGTGTCCCATGCAACTTTTTTTTTTTTTTTTGAGACAGAGTTTCGCTCTGTCACCCAGGCTGGAGTGCAGTGGTGCAATCTCGGCTCATTACAGCCTCTGCCTCCCAGGTTCATGCCATTCTCCTGCCTCAGCCTCCCGAGTAGCTGGGACTACAGGCGCCCACCACCACGCCCAGCTAATTTTTGTATTTTTAGTACAGACTGGGTTTCACCGTGTTATCTAGGATGGTCTCTATCTCCTGACCTCGTGATCCGCCCGCCTCGGCCTCCCAAAGTGCTGGAATTACAGGCATGAGCCACTGCACCTAGTAGGTGTATTAACTTCTAAAATTACAGTGTAAATCCTCAAGGACTTTATAATCCAGGAGGTGACATACAGAAAACTTAGACCATTCACTAAACAAAGCATCTGGTAAAAAATAATACAGATCAAGTTTAATATCTATGTGGTGATAAGTTGAAGGTAAGAGGATGTAAAACTTATGGTGGGCAGGGAAAGCTGCGCATCAGACTGATTAGAAGAGCAAACACAGCAAAGTGTTTTTTAAATGGTTAGGGGAAGAATGTGCTCTCAGCATCCTGGATGTGTTCTATATCTACGGTTCTCAATCTTTTTTTCCTATATCATCTTCTCAAAAGGAACCTCCAAGGCATGCAATTCCTTTAAAAAACACATACATTTCTCCTCTCTTCACTCCCTCCCCAACAGTCACAAACACATTTCATATACTCTCAGACACCCCACATAGAGGCACTGTTGGCCTATGTTGCATCAAGCCTCTGTCACTGCTATGGAGTTTCTTGTAGTAACTTTCTAAGTAGCATGGTGCACACCCACTCCTAATGGGTCTGCATGCCTCCATGCCCTCATCTATCTGTCTGCCTCCTGGTCCCCTTACCGCTGGGCACAGGTGTCTAAACAGAGCCAAGATGATCATGTTACTCCCTGGGCCACATGGGTCTTCTTGGGCTCATATCCCCTGGGGAACATCACAGAGAAAGAATGCTCATTAAAATAGCTTGTTAGGCCCAAGCTGGCTTTCCATTTAGTTTGACACTTTTTTTTTTCTTTTTTGAGGTGGAGTCTAGCTCTGTTGCCAGGATGGAGTGCAGTGGCATGATCTCAGCTCACTGCAACCTCTGCCTCCCGGGTTCAAGCAATCCTCCTACCTCAGACTCCCAAGTAGCTGGGATTATAGGCATGTGCCAGCATGCCCAGCTAATTTTTGTATTTTTAGTAGGGACAGGGTTTCACCATGTTGGCCAGGATGGTCTCAATCTCCTGACCTCAGGTGATCGGCCCACCTTGGCCTCCCAAAGTGTTGGGATTACAGGTGTGAGCCACTGCACCTGGCCAGTTTGACATGTTTGAGTCTGAAAAATTTTAAAACTGTCCAACCCTTTCCAAACATCCATTGGAAATTAAAAATGTCTGATGCAATTCTGGAAATTTTTGCTAGATCCATCTCCAATAAAATCTAGAAATAGCAATAATTTTTTTTAAAGGCCTACCAAGGAAAAGACAAAGATGGGCCGGGTGTGGTGGCTCACGCCTGTAATCCCAGCACTTTGGGAGGCTGAGGCAGGCAGATCACGAGGTCAGGAGATCGAGACCATCCTGGCTAACACGGTGAACCCCATCTCTACTAAAAATACAAAAAATTAGCCAGGCATGGTGGCAGTCCCCTGTAGTCCCAGCTACTCGGGAGGCTGAGGCAGGAGAATGGCGTGAACCCAGGAGGCAGAGCTTGCAGTGAGCCGAGATTGCACTACTGCACTCCAGCCTGGGTGACAGAGCGAGACTCCATCTCAAAAAAAAAAAAAAGACAAAGATGGCCATGAAATCTACCATGGTAACTTCTGACGCATCTTACCACACATCCTAAACTTGGGGAAGAAGGTATTCTAGAGTCATCCTAGAAATGCCCATTCATAACTTCTCTGTCTTTGGCTTGTCTTTTCAAAGAATTGATCATCCATGGCTGGGTGATAAAAAGTTTTAAATGCAGCATGGTTCGTACAGTGAATTTGAGGATAGTTCAAATCATGACACAGAGACTGAGAAAGGAAAGGAGAAAAACTATTCAAAGTAAAAAACAAACCACTAATTGAAGAAAGGTAGGGGGTGGCATGAGATTAAGTGAGGAGGGTAAGGGAACAAAAATTAACCTTATTATAGAAACCACAAACGAGGCGAACAGTACAATATTCTACATTCAGGAATGCCATGGCTACGTTGATATGTAAATCTGGCACTTGAACAAAAGAGTAATTATTGCTGCTAATATGGTAATCCTCAGAGGTACAGAGAAAAAGTGGGTGGGTCATGTGAAATTCATGAAATGCTTGAGGTGAACTCACTGTCGAAGTATTAGTCATGTTTTGTTTTGTGTGTGGTTTTTTCCAATTTATTTTATAGATAAGTCTTCCTCTGTACTTTTCGTTTTCTAAAAGTTTAGCTTATTTTCAAAAGGCTATAAAATACTCTATTGGAAACGTTTGTTTTTGTTCTAAAGGCATTTTGCAACATGCCTCCCCTCCTTTGGCCTACACGGACAAATATGCCTACATTTGCATACAGCACAGTACCTATTTACTCTCTGTATTGGTTAGAAAGTTCAGAGACAACAGTCAAAAGGAACATTTTCAGACTGAGCACATAACTCAGCCTCCAGCTTGTTAGCAGGAGCAAAATAAATAAATAAAGCCAAGAAGTACTGAAGCAGTCTGTTGACAAGGAAAAAGAGACCCAATCAGCATAAAAATAAGGAAGAGAAAATGAAGCTCAAGGAACTAAAACCTTCCAAGCTCAAACTTTCCCTCACCTCTTCCCCTTCACCAACATACTAAAAGCTTCCCTTCAAATGCAACACCAGTAGTTCTTGATACTGTACTATTTACTCTTTTCTGCTTAAAATACTGTTGTTGTTTCTTTCTTTCTTTTTTTTTTTTTTTGAGATGGAGTCTTCACTCTGTCGCCCAGGCTGGAGTGCAGTGGTGTGATCTCGACTCACTGCAACCTCTGCCTCCCAGGTTCAAGCGATTCTCCTGCCTCAGCCTCCCGAGTAGCTGGGATTACAATGTGTCACCACACCCAGCTAATTTTTGTACTTTTAGTAGAGACGGGCTTTCACCATGTTGGCCAACCTGGTCTCAAACTCCCGACCTCAGGTGATCCACCTGCCTTGGCCTCCCAAAGTGCTGGAATTACAGGCCACCGTGCCTGGCCTACTGTTGCTGTTTCTAAGCCATATACGTCCCTCGCCCAGTGAGAAAGAATAAAATGCGCCCTTATTTGAGGAAATAATAGAAAATGTATTTATTTGGCCAATAAGCAACTGTTTAAAACTGAGCAACCCTTTGTAAGAGAGGGCTTTCCAAGCATCCCTATTAGTCATTTACACTTTAGTATGGATATGCTTCTTTTTCTCTTACCTGCTCCCTAAATATTAATTTAACACAGGGTTTACATGGGGGAGAAAAGAGGAATATATGGTTTTGGAGGATGGATGTTATAAGAGGGGGAAGATCTGAGTAGATCTGATTGCTGTGGTTGGGCTTTCAGCATTTGAAGAGCAGCAAGTAGAAACTGGATACCCATGGGGGTTAGGGTCGGGGAGGTAGGAGAGAGCTGAGAAAGTATAGTCCAGTACCTTCTTTAACAATTCTCGGCCAGCCACGGTGGCTCACCCCTGTAATCCCAGCACTTTGGGAGGCTGAGACGGGCGGATCACGAGGTCAGGAGATGGAGACCATCCTGGCTAACACGGTGAAACCCCGTCTCTACTAAAAATACAAAAAATTAGCTGGGCGTGGTGACGGCCGCCTGTAGTCCCAGCTACTTGGGAGGCTGAGGCAGGAGAATGGCATGAACCCAGGAGGCAGATCTGGCAGTGAGCCGAGATTGCGCCACTGCACTCCAGCCTGGGCGACAGAGCGAGACTCCGTCTCAAAAAAAAACAAAAAACAAACAACCCGAAAAAATAAAACCAATTCTCCCTTCTGTTCCTTTCTGTCCAAAAGGAGTAATTTTCAGTTGTACCTTAGATTTCTGGTGTTAAGATTGAGTGCCACGGCGTTCATTCAAGGGGCTTATAAATCCTTCCAGTCCTTTCCCCAGGGCCACTAACACTTCAAATTCCCAGGTGTCCCTAATTTGAGAGTAACCTTCTGAGAATAGCATTAGACCCTGGCTGTCCCCTCCCTGCCAATAAACCTAATATTCCTTTCTCTACCCAGCATTTATGAACCCCTTCACCACCAAGAGCCTGATCATTTAGTTTGGTGGTGGTGGCAGCGGCCGGCGGGACCAAGGGCACCTCCTACGTACACAGGAGGAGTATTTCATTTCTCCTTAATGAAGGCTGTGGCCCTGACCCCTCAGCACTGTCTCCAGTTAGGAACACACCCAAAGCAGTTAATTAGGCAGCCTGGAGAAAACCAGAGATCCACTATAGAAAGGAAGGGATATTTATTGAGGAACAGAAGTCGTCTTTTAAAAAGTGTTTATTTTTGGCAATAAAGAGCACATTTTTCTTCTGCTGCTAAAGAAGAAAAGGTGCCTGGCCCTGTGTGTGTCTGTTGGGTAAACCCTCAGGAGATGACTGCATCAGACCTGCAGATGTCTAAACTTGCTGTAGCACGTTACACTTATCGCTTGAAACGCTTTTTTTAAAAAGCAAGTTTCAGAGTCCACTTTTGAGCTTGTTGTTTCCAGTGTAAGGTTGGTAAGCCCAGCGGTTTTGTTGAATGGAAATCTGACAGGGCTCCTCTTCTGGATCTTGTATTTTTAAGGGAGAAAAGATTGGAACCCTGAGTCGTTAGGAGGAAGTTTGCTTTTGGTACCTGGAAACTTCACAAGAGTAGCAGGGGAACCATTTCTTACTTCATAAATAGCCTTAACTGTTCCATTTTTTGCTTCAATCTTCCCCATTTCTAAGAAAAAAATACAAGGAAATTTACTATTGAAATGCTATCAAACCTACTTATGACCATAAAGATATTTTCGAAAAGCCATAAATATTTATGGGGATTTAAGTGCTAACAACATTTCTTTTCTTCTTTCTTTTTCTTTTTTTTTTTTGATAGAGAGTCTTGCTCTGTCCCCCAGGCTAGAGTACAGTGGCACGGTCTCAGCTCACTGCAACCTCTGCCTCCCTGGTTCAAGCGATTCTCCTGCCTCAGCCTCCTGAGTAGCTGGGATTACCGGTGTGTGCCACCACACCTGGCTAATTTTTGTATTTTTAGTAGAGACAGGGTTTCGCCATGTTGGCCAGCCAGGTTGGTCTTGAACTCCTGACCTCAGGTGATCCACCCACCTCAGCCTCCCAAAGTGCTGGGATTACAGGCGTGAGCCACCGCGCCTGGCCCAACATTTCTTGACTCTAAGTTATATACTGTCTATTGCTAGATGTAAATATCTCTTTCTTTTGGCTTATTTTATAATACTATGGATATTCTGATTTTTCTGTTTGGGATCATATAGTAGTCACACATATTTATTTTTTGACTTATATAATCTACATATTTTAAAGCATAAAAGCATATTTTCAATTCCTTTGACTTTTTTTTTTTTTTTTTTTTTTTTTTTTGAGACAGAGTCTCACTCTGTTGCCCAGGCTGGAGTACAGTGGTGTGATCTCGGCTCACTGCAACCCCCACCTCCCGGGTTCAAACGATTCTCCTGCCTCAGCCTCCCGAGTAGCAGAGATTACAGGCGCCCTTATTGCTTCTCGGCCTTTGGCTAAGATCAAGTATACAGGCGCCCACCACCATGCCCAGCTAATTTCTGTATTTTTAGTAGAAACAGGGTTTTGCCATGTTGGACAGACTGGTCTTGAACTCTTAACCTCAGGTGATCTGCCCCCCTTGGCCTCCCAAAATGTTGGGTTACAGGCGTGAGCCACCGCGCCCAGCCTCCTTTAATTTTAAAAGGCTTCCTTCATCTGTATAGAAAGATTTCCATCGTAGGCTTTATCTTTAAATCTTTCTGCTTGTACAAAGAATTGTTCTCCAAAACATTTGTTTAAATCTGAAGGTAGTTAATGTCATTCTTTGGTTAATTCAATGTTACATGAACAACATAGCACCTAATATTTTGTGATAAATTATAAAATTTTTAGTGATAATACCAGTTAATGGTTTCCAAAAATGTTCATGTGAATATTATCTCTTGTAGGAATGAAGGTGTTGTCACTTAGAATCTAACCTAACATGCTATTTCTGTCACCAACAACAGTTCTTTGTTAGAGGGCATAGTTGTTCTAGCTAATGTTTTATATATATATATATACATTTTTTTTTTGAGATGGAGTTTCGCTTTTGTTGCCCAGGCTGGAGTGCAATGGTGCATCTCGGCTCAACACAACCTCTACCTCCCAGGTTCAAGCAATTGTTCTGCCTGAGCCTCCCGAGTAGCTAGGATTACAGGCATGAGTCACCATGCCTGGCTAATTTTGTATTTTTAGTAGAGACGGGGTTTCTCCATGTTGGTCAGGCTGGTCTTGAACTCCCAACCTCAGGTTATCCACCCGCCTTGGCCTCCCAAAGTGCTGGGATTACAGGCATGAGCCACTGCGCTCAGCCATCCCTAAAAGTTTGATAAATTTTGCTTAGTAGCCACTTTTGGCTCTGTTATGCATATATGTGTCCAGGCTGGAGTGCAGTGGCACAATCATAGTTTACTGTAACCTCAAACTCTTGGGCTTCAGTGTTCCTCAGTGATCCTTCTGCCTCAGTCTCCCAAGTAGATGGGCTAATATGCCCAGCATTAAAAAAAAAAAAAAATTGTAGAGGAGGTGGGGGTTGGGTAATGGAATCTCACCATGTTGCCCAGGCTGGTCTCCACTTCCTGGCCTTCAAGTGATCCTCTCACCTCAGGCTGCCGGTAAAGACTTTTTTTTTTTTTTTTTTTTGAGGCAGAGTCTCACACTCTGTCACCTAGGCTGGAGTGCAAGTGGTGTGATGTCCACTCACTGCAACCTCCGCCTCCCAGGTTCAAGAGATTCTCCTGCCTCAGCCTCCCGAGTAGCTGGGATTACAGGCGCCCGCCACTATGCTTGGCTAATTTTTTTTTCGTATTTTTAGTAGAGATGGGGTTTCACCATCTTGGCCAGGCTGGTCTCAAACTCCTGACCTCATGATCCACCAGCCTCAGCTTCCCAAAGTGCTGGGATTACAGGTGTGAGCCACCACGCCTGGCCAAGATTTTTTTTTAATAGAAAAAATTAACCAGGCCTGGTGGCACGTACCTATAGTCCCAGCTACTCCGGAGGCTGAGGTGGGATGATCGCTTGAGCCTGAAAGGCAGAGGTTTTAGTGAGTCGAGATTATGCCACTGCACTACAGCCTGGGTGACAGAGTGAGACCCTGTCTCAAAAAAAAAAAAAATTTTTTTTGGAGATGAAACTGAAGGCTATAAGATTTTTAAAAATAGAAAGAAAATAAAATTATTTAAAAAAAGAAAAGAAAGATACTTTTTTTGCTTGCTCCATGAAATAGTCCTTTAAAAATGTATTCTAAGCTTATTTCAAAAAAGTTTCAGAGTACTCTTTCATCCTTATTTCATAAGCAAACCCATGCTGATTCTATGCCTACTGTTTATGGTTTTTATAGACTCACATGATGCTATTTCTCAGCTTTTACCTAGTCGAGGTGAAAGGCACTGTTCCGAAAAGATGCTTCCTCACACCTAGCCCTCATAAAGTTTTCCACTGGCCTTTTCTGAACAGTTCCTGATATCATCACCCCTTTCCAGAGACAGTCACCAAAGCTGCCTCCGCAAGCTCTTCCGTTTGTGTGTGAATGATAGTTTTGCTTGTTTGTTTGCTTGTTTTTTGTTGTTGTTGTTTTGGAGATGGAGTGTCGCTCTGTCACCCAGGCTGGAGTGCAGTGGCGCGATCTCAGCTCACTGCAACCTCCACCTCCCAGGCTCAAACAATTCTCCTGCCTCAGCCTTCCAAGTAGCTGGGATTACAGGCACATGCCACCTTGCCCGGCTAATTTTTGTATGTTTGGAGATGGGGCTTCACTATGTTGGCCAGGCTGGTCTCGAACTCCTGACCTCAGGTGATCCACCTACCTCAGCCTCCCAAAGTGCTGAGATTACAGGCGTGAGCCACCATGCCCGTCCTGTTTGGGGCTTGTTTTTAATCTGAGTAAAATAAATATTCTGTTTTCATTCCTATTCTGGACTTGGTGCTGCCCAACATTTTCTGGGGCCTTCTGCTGGAACCTTTTGGACACATAACCACAGTGATCTACAGGAACTTGGTGAAGGCATATACATATTTTTCACACAAATGACTAAGCTCTTTGTTCCTTTAATTTTCAAAAATTAGCTCTTTAGACAAACACCTTGTTTCCCCAATAAAATAGTATTATTAGAACTGGGAGTTTATATAACTATTCTGTTACAGGGATTATTTTATAACATAGCATAGGAATTTTAAAGTCCTGAGAGTTTAGAGCTACGGGCTCTCCTGACACTCCTGCTGCCCTCGCAATAATGAGATTCAAAACACGAAAGTAGCAACACCCTCCTTCCACATTTTGCCAGGAGAACATACATATCATTGTGAATTTTATAGATTTGCTTTACATTGAAGCCCTGGCTTCTAGATATTTCTCCAGAAGTAGGATAGAAAGTCATTTTGTCTTAAGTAATGCTGCCTTTCACATAAGCTTCTTGAATTGACCGCTGCCAATTCAAGATGGCCTTGTGCTGGCTGACGCAAATGCAGGGAAGGATTGCACAAGAAACCTTGATCTTTTCCCGTGGTGTTCAGCACCCGGGTCATCATCCTGGACTTAGCTCCTCCGCCACAGCTTCCCCCTTCTCCTTTTAGCACGTGGTTCTTGTGTTGTGTTCTGTTATTTCTGTTGTTTTGTGTTTTAAGACAGAAAGTTCTTGGGAGGGGGGAGCATCCTTTCCCTAATTCTTAAAGGTTTCCGCAGTTGGCTTTGCTTTGTCTCGGAAAACTTCAAGCCTTCAGTGTGTTTCCCTTTCCCACTCAGCATGGAACGTGCCTGTTCACCTGCTCTGTTCTTGCTGCTGCAGGTGAGGCCCAAATACGTGCTTGTAACCTTCCTGCCCATGGCTTCCAGAGGACGAGATCATAACTTCTCTTCATGGTCGCCCACTCCTCCCCCTATGCTGTGAGGTCTTTGAGATGAGGTGGAAGGTGTAGGCTGATTACACCTGCCCAATTTTCTGTCATACAGTTGGGTCCCTGCCTACTCCCCAGTGTGCCTCCACCACGCCCTGCCACTTCCGAACCCTCCACTCATTCATGGTTTTCTCCCTTTTTCCTACTCCTAAATCCACTCCTTGCCACTGACACAGTGCTGGGCAGCTCTCCCCAACCCCCTTTGCTACCCTTCAGGCATGAGAAAAGCTACCTCTGCAGTTTTGCCAGGTCCCCGCAAGGCAGTTCAGTCCCCAGCCAAAGTGCTAAGATGCACGGCAAGGCTGTTCTCCTGTTTCCACAGGTGCCCCTGGGAGGTGGTTTGTTGTGGGGCAGGCTCGTGCTGGAATTAGACCTTTTTCAGCATTCTCCAAGAGAGCTGCCTCTCCAGTTTTTCCTCTTTAATGTTTCCAGCAAACAGGTGGTTCCTCCACTGGTAGTAAATTCCTGGATATTTTTACCCACCACTCCATAAACAAAATGACAATGTTATTGGAAATGTCATGCAACCAGGCATATGAGTAATGTCCCCATTAATCAATTTGCCAAAGAAAACAGGTTGCTATCTAAGCTTGTCTGGAGAGATGCTAGCTATGTGAAGGAAGAAAAACTGAAGCATCTGCTTTAAAGTACACTGTCAAGATATAAATGATATATGCTTGCTGATTTAGTATGTTTTAAAATAAATGAATTGTTACAGGAACTTCACTGTAATGCTATGAGTAGTGCCTGTAGGGCAGAGGTAGAGATAACATGGAATCCAGGAGAGATGCAGGTTTTACTGCATTTGTCACTATATTAAGAAATGTCAAACTACAAAGAAATCCTTCAGCTATAGTATAACAAATTCATTCTTTTATCTATGCATTCATTTACAAAGTGTGTTGAGCAGGCAGTGTGCTATATACTAGAAATACAAAGATTAACTAGATAGGGCCTCTGCCCTCAAGGAGCTTATACACTAATGGGGATTTATTTTACATTTCATTTCCAAACTTCCTTAAGAATGTAAATGAATAACTTCAATATAGTTTGTTAAGTGTGATAATAAAGTTATTCAGAAAATATAGAGAGGAACCAGGGCAAGCCTTTACAGAAAGGCTGATTTCTGAGCCAGGTCTCAAACACTGAGTACATGTTTTTCCAAGCAGGCAGGTAAAGAAACATTTGCAAAGTCATAGTTCTGTGAAATAATGGGGGGGAACTGCAAATAATTAGATTTGAGTGTAACACAGGCATCTCAAGAGATGAGAGCAGTGTCAAGAGCTGAGGCCAAAGAAGTGGACAGGTGATAGATGACGAAGCACCTTGAATGCCAAGCTTAGGATGTGGACTTAATTTGAAGGTACTGGGGAGCTACTGAAGGTTTAAGCAGGAGAGTGACAAATCTGAGAGAACTTGGCTTGTTCACACGCAGTTGGCAGCTCTCTATACCTCTTATTTTACTATTTTATTTATTTATTAACATTTTATTACACTAGATTATACCATACTCATAATATATACTATATGGTGGTATGGCATACAGAACTGAATATAACTGAGTGTAAGGGCCTGCCATATAGTAACACTTCCCGATATCTGATGACCGAACAAAAACTCTTTAAAAGTGTCTCACCCTTGGTCAGATGGAGGTGGGACTGGAGGATCACAGGCCAAGTGTCCTGACTTCATTGCCTTCCAGATTCTTTCTGTCACATACATGCAACAAGTGACAAAGGAACCCTTGGGATGTCCCCATAAATACGTAGTGCAGCTACATGGCAATGCCCAATATATGTTCCAGAAATTATCTTAATCCCTTCTTCAATCAAAATTTTAATCCAATCTATTGTATCTGGGAAAGAACATTAACTTCTGAAATGTTAGTAAGACATGGATTTTACTCTAGAGAAGCCTTTTAATTTTGCTGAACAATATCCATTTTGCAAGATGAGTGATACCTGTAATGGACACACAGCAGTTAGACTAAAAATTCTCAGTGCACTTCGTTTTCCCAGGCCATGCCTATTAACACATATTACCAAGAACTGATGGATGGGCAAATAGAATGATAAACAGTGAGATTGAATTTAGACTCCTATCACTTACTCAATAGAGTTGAATAAATATTATTTGAGAAACATGGGCTGTTGGGCATGGTGGCTCGTGCCTGTAATCCCATCACTTTGGGAGGCTGAGGGGGTGCGGATCACTTGAGGTCAGGAGTTCGAGAACAACCTGGCCAACATAGTGAAACCCCGTCTCTACTAAAAATAAAAAATAATAAAAAATAATTAGCCGGGTGTGGTGGTGCATGCCTGTAATCCCAGCTACTTGGGAGGCTGAGCTAGGAGAAGGGCTTGAACCTGGGAAGTGGAGATTGCAGTGAGCCGAGATTGTGCCACTGCACTCCAGCCTGGGTAACAGAGTGAGACTCTGTCTCAATAAAAAAAAAAAAAAAAGAGAAGTAAAGAAAGGTGGGCTGGCCACAGTGGTTCAAGCCTGTAATCCCTACACTTTGGGAGGCCAACACAGGAGGGTTGCTTGAGCCTAGGATTTCGAGACCAGTCTGGGTAACATAGCAACCCTGTCTCTTAAAAAATAACTTAAAAATTAGCCATCTGTGGTAGAGTATGCCTGTAGTCCTAGCTACTCAGGAGGCTGAGGTGGGAGAATCACTTGAGACCAGGGGTTCAAGGCTGCAGTGAGCTATAACAGCACCACTGCACTCCAGCCTGGGTGACAGAGTAAGACCCTCTCAAAAAAAGAAAGGTGGCAAAATGAAAAAAACACCTTCCATGTTCTCTACAGACACTTTTCCTGAACCAGATGGAATTATCTTTTTCATTTGCAAAAATTAAAAATGTAGCTTATTTCAAAAGTAATACATGGCCACGGTAAAACATCCAAACAATAAAAAAAGGCCATAAGATAAAAAATAAAAACATTTTCCCCATCTCTCTGATGCACGCTCCAGAGTTAACCACTGTATATCCTTCTAAAAAGTTTCTATGCACTACAAGGAGTATAGGTATCTCCGTTTCATTTTTATACAAATGGTATTATATCATGCACACTGTTCTACATTTTTTCAATTAACTATATGTTGGACATTATTCCATATCACAGTATAGAGCACTATTTTCATCCTTCATTGTTGCTTTTCTTTCCTTCCTTTCATAATTTACTTTGTTTTACTTTTTATTTTTACTGGTTAATGCAGAAATATACAACCTTTATTATACATATTTCTGTTCTTGTGTGAATTTATATGTAGAACAGATTCCTAGAAGAGGAACCTCTAGATTAAAAGTATTTGCACTTGAATTTTTTTTATTATACTTTAAGTTCTAGGGGACGTGTGCACAACGTGCAGGTTTGTTACATATGTATACATGTGCCATGTTGGTGTGCTGCACCCATTAACTCGTCATTTACATTAGGTATATCTCCTAACACTATCCCTCTCCCCTCCCCCTACCCCATGACAGGCCCCAGTGTGTGATGTTCCCCATCCTGTGTCCAAGTGTTTTCATTGTTCAGTTCCCACCTATGAGTGAAAACATTCAGTGTTTGGCTTTCTGTCCTTGAGATAGTTTGTTCAGAATGATGGTTTCCAGCTTCATTCATGTCCCTACAAAGGACATGAACTCATCCTTTTTTATGGCTGCATAGTATTCCGTGGTGTATATGTTGCACTTGAATTTTTTAGAAATATTGCCAAATTTCAAGGCGAGACATCCCTAGTGTTGAGGGGTTGGGCCTTCCACTAATTTCAAGGATTGAACCTGACACAACCCCACCCCCTTTCCTTCCTTCTCAGGGGAAGAGAGAGTAGCTCCACTCGTGCAAGTCCCTACCCTAGAGGAGAGAGAGGAGAGGCAGAGAGGCAGTGAGGGAAAGGAAGAGACAGAAAAAGAAGGAGTCAAAGAGAGAGAGAAAGAGAGGCAGAGAGAGAGAGGAAGAGACAGAGACAAAAAGGCAGTATGTTCAATTCTTTGCCTTCTACTTTTAAACTAAACTTCCTCGTAAAGCAACCTTTTTCGATTACCTACTCCACCCTAACTCATTCTGATCACCTGCTCCACCCTAACTCATTCTGATCACCTGCTCCACCCTAACTCATTCTGATCACCTGCTCCATCCTAACTCATTCTGATCACCTACTCCACCCTAACTCATTCTGATCACCTGCTCCACCCTAACTCATTCTGATCACCTACTCCACCCTAACTCATTCTGATCACCTGCTCCACCCTAACTCATTCTGATCACCTGCTCCACCCTAACTCATTCTCTTCACTCAGTCTGATCACCTGCTCCACCCTAACTCATTCTCTCCACTCATTCTGATCACCTGCTCCACCCTAACTCATTCTCTCCACTCATTCTGATCACCTGCTCCACCCTAACTCATTCTGATCACCTGCTCCACCCTAACTCATTCCAATTACCTGCTACCTGCTCTGCCCTGACTCCCGCCAAAGCACTCACCCCATCATTCTCTTTAAATTAGCCAATCGGAATTAGTTTAGCCTGTGCAGTCTAACCCTAGCCAATAGGGGAACGACACAGCAGCAGGGGCCAAGTGCTTCTGGGATAAGAACCCCTTCCCCTCCCTTGTCCAGATGTGCAGTCCTCATTGTTCCATCTGTAAGGGCACACGCTTCTGTATAGAAGTAACTTGCCTTGCTGAGAATTAAAAGGAAATTTCCTTAAAAGAAATATTGCCAAATTTTCTCCAAAAGCATTATAAATACGTATACTTCCATTGGTAATGTGTTTCCCTGCTTGCCAGCCAACATGTTTTGTTATTAAACTTTTAAAGCTTTGCCAATTTGACTGGTTAAAAATTGCCATCTTACTGCTATTTTAATTTGCATTATTTGAATTAGCAGCGAAGTTGAGTATTCTTTTTATGTGTGCATTGGGTGCATTCATATTTCTTTTTCTGAGAAGTACCAGTTCATGTCCTCTGCTCATTCTTTTTTTCTGAAATGGAGTTTCCAGCTTTTGTTGCCCAGGCTGGAGTGCAATGGCACGATCTCACCTCACCGCGACCTCCGCCTCCCAGGTTCAGGTGATTCTCCTCCCTCAGCCTCCCAAGTAGCTGGGATTACAGGCATGCACCACCACGCCCAGCTAATTTTGTGTTTTTAGTCTCTAACGGTGTTTCTCCATGTTGGCCAGACTGGTCTTGAACTCTTGACTCAGGTGATCCACCCGCCTCAGCCTCCCAAAGTGCTGGGATTACAGGCATGAGCCACCGTGTCCGGCCTCCTTTGCTCATTCTTTTATAGGTGGTTGGCTTTACCTTACAGATTTCTTTCTTTTTTTTTTCAGACAGAGTCTAGCTCTGTGGCCCAGGCAGGAGTGCAGTGGCATGATCTTGGCTCATTGCAACCTCTGCCTCCCAGGCTCAAGTGATTCTCATGCCTTGGCCACCAGGGTAGCTGGGATTACAGGTGTGTGCCATCACCACGCCTGACTACTTTTTGTATTTTTAATAGAGACCAGGTTTCACCATGTTGGCCAGGCTGGTCTTGAACCCCAGACCTCAAGTTGATTCGCCTGCCTTGGCCTCCCTCAGTGCTGGAATTACCCCAGGCATGACCCACTGCACCCAGCCTACCTTACAGATTTCTAAAGGCTTCATCTATACTAAAGGAATGAGAACATATATAGATAATACGTGTTGCCCACTTTTCTCCCAGATTGTCAATTGTCTTTGACTTTGTTGATTGTATTTTTTTATTCAGAAGTTTTCATTTTTAAGTAGTCATATTTATTAATCTTTTCTTTATGACAACTTCTGGATTTTATAGACAAATATTGCCAAGTTTTCATACTAAGAAAAAGCCTTCTCCATGCAAGATTATTTAAAAATTCATTATTTTATTCTAGTACTTTGGTTTTTTCATTTTTATATTTAAGTCTTAGTTCTGGGATTTATTTTTGATGTGCAGAGAAAAATATGGATGCATTTTCATTTTTTCTAAAAGACTAATCACTTATACCAACAACATTTATTGAATATTTTTCCTACTGATTTGGAATGCTCCTTTTATTGTAAACTAATTTTGTTTGCATGTGGGTCCACTTTTGAGCTTTTTCCATTGATCTGTCTATTTCTGCACTATACCAACTGTTTCTTTTTTTTTTTTTTTTTTTTGACAGAGTCTCGCTCTGTCGCCCAGGCTGGAGTGCAGTGGTGCGGTCTCAGCTCACTGCAAGCTCCGCCTCCCGGGTTCACGCCATTGTCCTGCCTCAGCCTCCCGAGTAGCTGGGACTACAGGTGCCCGCCACCACGCCCGGCTAATTTTTTGTAGTTTTAGTAGAGACGGGGTTTCACCATGTTGGCCAGGATGGTCTCGATCTCCCGACCTCATGATCCGCCCGCCTTGGCCTCCCAAAGTGCTGGGATTACAGGCGTGAACCACTGTGCCCGGCCTCCAACTGTTTCAATTAATGTAGCTTTAGAACAAATTTTAAAATACAATGAAACTAATTTCCTTTTTTTTTTTTTTTTAAAGAGACACAGGGTCTCTCTATGTTGCCCAGGCTGGGATCAAGTGATCCTCCCAGCTCTGCTTCCCAAAGTGCTGGGATTACAGGCGTGAGCCGCTGCAGCCACTAGTTTCCTTTTATTATCTTTCTCTCATGTTTATATTCCCAGATGATCAATACTCAAGTTCCAGTGAAAAATTTAATTGTATGCTCTGTTTGTACAGAGTCATGATGGCTGGTAAGATAATTTAGTGATTCTTAATGCTCAGTATTTTTTATTGTTGTTTTTATTTCCATGATTGCAGCGTGAATAACATTGCTAGTGGTGAAATTTTTATTCATAATTATTCATATTTATTTTACTTATTTTTTCATACATATTACGAGTCCTTTTTATGCTTCCCCAAAATGAACTTTTGACTGAAACTACTTGACAGTGTCCCAGTGCTTACTCGGCCACCACACTGAACCCTCTAAAATGCATAAAAGCAGGCAGTACCTACTCAAAATTGGGAAAATGATGCTTGCTTTAGATGTGGATAAAGAAAACTCATATTCATCATGCTTTTCATTCCACAATCCCAATTGAGTTTAGGATTCCCAAATTAGCCTTTGTTCACTATTTTTTCCTCCATATTAGGTAACTTCCATCTATATATCTAGTTCTAGATGCAACTTTTCGATCTTGGGAGAAGAGAGATTTACCAAAAAGCACTAAGGAAACATTTAGAATCTTAGCAACTGCAGTCACCGTGGCCAAATTCTAACCCTCACGTGATTTGTCATCTACTACATCTTTCCTCTGCCCATGGCTCTCACCTACTAAAGTCCACAGGCATTCTGAAGGCCCCTTGAAACATCTGTGAGTCATAGGCAGGGAATTTAGAAATGAAAAGCTAGAAAGTTCAGACATTACAAGCAGAAGGACATGACCAATGGCTTGTTGACAAGCTCTGTCCTTCCTCATCCTCACCTTCCCCACTTCTGTCCCCACCCAAGATCTGAAGGTTCAAAGCAGGAGATCACCTCTATAGGATTTCTTTTCTTTTCTTTTGAGACAGAGCCTCAGTCTATTGCCCTGGCTGGAGTGCAGTGGTGCGATCTGCACTCACTGCAACCTCTGCCTCCCAGTTTCAAGTGACTCTTGTGCCTCAGCCTCCCAAGTAGCTGGGATTACAGGCACGCGCCACCATACCCAGCTAATTTTTTATTTTTTTATTTTTATTTTTTTTAGTAGAGACGAGGTTTCACCATTGTTGGCCAGGCTGGTCTCAAACTCCTGACCTCATGCAATCTACCTACCTCAGCCTCCCAAAGTGCTGGGATTACATGTGTGAGCCACCACACTTGGTCCACCTCTATAGGATTTGCCAAGAGAATTTCTCAGTCAGCCTCCCAACTTCTAACTCTCCGTTCATCTTAAAGCTTCAAGTGAGTATATTATTCTAACCACTGCACCCAGAAAAGATGGAGAAACAGGAACTGATAGACTCCCTGATAAAACACAATGGGAAGTGGCTGTCATTGCTTTATGTGACCATGAGCACAGTCCAAAGATACAGCTAGTTGCCTTGTGATACTGTGAGCTCTTCCTTGGATTACCTTCTGCCTGAACGGTTTCCATAGGATTCCTGAATTGGGACAGAGCTTGGACTAAATGATCTTTGAGTTGGTGTATTGGAGTCTTGGAAAGCTGGTGGTAGCTGAGCTGAATCTAAAATGACATTCAAATAGGCACAGAAAGGAGGGGAGGAGGAAAAGAGACAATGGCAGTCCCAGTAGAGGGAATAGTATAAACAAAGACATGAAGATGATGTGTACAGCACAGCAGAAGCTACAGACAGTTTGGTACTGTATTTTTGGAGTATTAAATGCCAGGAAAGGAGTAGCAGGGATAATACAGGAGAAGTAGAAAGTGGCTGGGTCCTGGGAGTCCTAGTTTACTGTGATCAAAAGCTTAGGTGTTATCCTAGTAAATATTTGTAGGTTTTTAAGCAGATAAATGACATATGGTAACTGGGATAGCTCCATATATAAATATAATGATGACCTTACCAAAAAGAATATGAGGCAATTTTGAAATTAGCTTTGTTAATGAAAGCTGGTGAGATTGTTGTCATATATATGCTAAAGGATCATTGTACCCATTATCAATTGACAAAAAGACATCTCCACCTAGCTTCTTTTTTTCTGAGATGGAATTTCACTCTGTTGCCCAGGCTGGAGTGCAGTGGTGTGATCTTGGCTCACTGCAAGCTCCTCCTCCCAGGTTGAAGCCATTCTCCTGTCTCAGCCTCCTGAGTAGCTGGGAATACAGGTGTGTGCCACCATGCCCAGCTAATTTTTTTTTTTTTTTGAGATGGGGTCTTGCTCTGTCGCCCAGGCTGGAGTGCAGTGGCACGATCTCCGCTCACTGCAAGCTCTGCCTCCCAGGTTCACGCCATTCTCCTGCTTCAGCCTCCCAAGTAGCTGGGACTACAGGCGCATGCCGCCATGCCCAGCTAATTTTTTGTATTTTTAGTAGAGACGGGGTTTCACTGTGTTAGCCAGGATGGTCTCGATCTCCTGACCTCGTGATCCATCCGCCTCGGCCTCCCAAAGTGCTGGGATTACAAGCATGAGCCACCGCACCCGGCCATTTTCGTATTTTTACTAGAGATGGGGTTTCACCATGTTAGCCAGGCTGGTCTTGAACTCCTGATCTCAGGCAATCTGCCTACCTTGGCCTCCCAAAGTGCTGGGACTACAGGCGTGAGTCACCCGGCCTGGCATCCACCTAGATTCTTAAGCCGAATTATGACACAGTTGCATTTATGTATCATAAAGTTCATCCTTATAGCATTGTGGGAAATCATTGTAAGGGTATTAGGACTAGAAGTAGGGAAACAAAACATTTTTTGGAATTGTCTAGGTGAATGGTGACAGAGGCTTGAACTAGGGCAGTAGGTGGAGACATTTGTTGAAGACAAAGCTAAAAGATTTGCTTGAAAAGACAGTGTGATGTAAGATGTTACCAAAGAAATGCACCTCATAATTGACTTACAGCCCCAACTTCTACATTCTGAAATCCATCACGGCTTCCTGCTCAGCTCATGCTTCTCGAAGGCTACTCCATGACTGAGTGCAACAGGAATATTAAGGCAGGCCCATTCCTGGGGAATGTGGGACCCCTCTAATGGGCAACTTTAGCTCCAAGATGTTACATTGTCCTTGCTGAACTTTCTTAATACTGCACAGCAGTCTAAGATTCCTCCACCCAAACTTCCTTCCACACAACCCACCAACCCTCCACCTAACCTTCCTTCCACACAACCCACCAACCCTCCACCTAACCTTCCTTCCACACAACCCACCAACCCTCCACCTAACCTTCCTTCCACACAACCCACCAACCCTCCACCTAACCTTCCTTCCACACAACCCACCAACCCTCCACCTAACCTTCCTTCCACACAACCCACCAACCTTCCTCCTAACCTTCCTTCCACACAACCCACCAACCTTCCTCCTAACCTTCCTTCCACACAACCCACCAACCTTCCACCAAACTTCCTTCCACACAACCCACCAATCTTCCTCCTAACCTTCCTTCCATACAACCCACCAACCTTCCTCCTAACCTTCCTTCCACACAACCCACCAACCTTCCACACAACCCACCAAACCTCCACCTAACCTTCCTTCCGCACAACCCACCAACCTTCCTCCTAACCTTCCTCCCACACAACCCACCAACGTTCCACCTAACCTTCCTTTCACACAACCCACCAACCTTCCTCCTAACCTTCCTTCCACACAACCCACCAACCTTCCACACAACCCACCAACCCTCCACCTAACCTTCCTTCTGCACAACCCACCAACCTTTCTCCTAACCTTCCTTCCACATAACCCACCAACCTTCCTCCTAACCTTCCTTCCACACAACCCACCAACCTTCCACACAACCCACCAACCCTCCACCTAAGCTTCCTTCCACACAACCCACCAACCTTCCACCTAACCTTCCTTCCCCACAACCCACCAACCCTCCACCTAACCTTCCTGCCGCACAACCCACCAACCCTCCACCTAACCTTCCTTCTGCACAACCCACCAACCCTCCACCTAACTTTCTTTCCACACAACCCACCAACCTTCCAGCTAACCTTCCTTCCACACAACCCACCAACCTTCCTCCTAAACTTCCTTCCACACAACCCACCAACCTTCCACACAACCCACCAACCCTCCACCTAACCTTCCTTCCGCACAACCCACTAACCTTCCTCCTAACCTTCCTTCCACGAAACCCACCAACCTTCCTCCTAACCTTCCTTCCACACAACCCACCAACCCTCCAGGTAACCTTCCTTCCCCACAACCCACCAACCCTCCACCTAACCTTCCTGCCGCACAACCCACCAACCCTCCACCTAACCTTCCTTCCACACAACCCACCAACCCTCCACCTAACCTTCCTGCCGCACAACCCACCAACCTTCCTTTGTCCTTCCTTCTACCCAGCATCTTTCTCCCTCTTGAACTTCCTTTCATTCTTCCTTCTATGTCTCATAAGGGACAAACCTGTATCATGGTCTGATGGCTCTCCTAGAGGACAATATTTATTGTGGGTAAGCTTTTGGGCTCTGGAGTCACAATAATTTGGGTGGTAATCTGGCTCCATCAATCTTTGATATATGAGTTCAAGCAAGTAATGTAACCTCTTAAAAGTGCCAATCTTCTCATCTTAAAATCCTAATTGTTTTGAGGATTCAATTAATCAGGCTTATAAAATGCTCAGCACAGTACCTGGCACACAGTAAGTACTTGATAAGTGTTAGTGATTCTTGTTATTAGATATGGGGGGTGAAGGGAAGGAAGAAGTCAGGTATAATTCTTAGGTTTCTAGGCTACTTACAATATATAAAGTAATCACAGATATTTCACTCAATTCTCCTTTTTCATATAGCACATATCCTTTTGAGTATGAAGAGATTAGGAAATCTTTCCTTTCTTTCCTCCCTACTCCTAAATTTCTTGACTCCTGCAGTTTTCATAACTGATGGAAGATAAACTACTAACCTATACATCAACATGGACATAAGAAAGGATTCTTGGCTGGGCGTGGTGGGTCACACCTGTATTCCCAGCACTTTGGAAAGCCGAGGCAGGTGGATCACTTGAGGTCATGAGTTTGAGACCAGTCTGGCCAATATGGTGAAACCCTATCTCTACTAAAAATACAAAAAAATTAGCTGGGCCTGGTGGTGTGTGCCTGTAGTCCCAGCTACTCAGGAGCCTGGGGCAGAAGAATTGCTTGAACCTGGGAGGCAGAGGTTGCAGTGAGTGCCGAGATAGCATCATTGCACTCCAGACTGGGCCTCATAGCAAGGCTGTGTCTCAAAAAAAAAAAAAAAAGAAAGGGTTCTTCTGACTCTGGAGTTTAGAGGGTAGCCTTTTACCACATTACTCCAGTCACTTCTACTTCTGGTAGGAGACAAGCTACGAAAGTTTCTTCTCCCTTATAGAGGAAAGACCCCTTTTAGAGCTCCTTCATGTAAGAAGGGAGGAAAAGTTACCAAACCTCCTTGAGGAATTAAATTAGGACAAAACTAGGTGGGGGAAACCTAAGTTAAATGCTTTTCATAAATAGCATTTTATTTAGGACAACTTAGCTATTGTCCTAATAGCTAAGTGCAGGAGCACCTTTGGGTTGTCCTGCTTTGTGGAGGCCCCCTGACCTAAGAACATGTTATATATTGATCAGGAAAGGAATTGGATATAGACTTGGAAGTGATCTCTGTAAAGTCAGAAGGAGGATCCTAGGACTGTAAGGGCATACACACAGGGCAGTGAGCAAGAAGTGAAGTTGTAGGGGAGCCGGGCACTGTGGCTCATGCCTGTCATGCCAGCACTTTGGGAGAGAGGCTGAGGTGGGAGGATCACCTGAGCCCAGGAGTTTCAGACCAGCCTGGGCAACATTTTAGAAATATTTAAATTTTTCTACATGCATGGTGGCATGTGCCTGTGGTCCCAGCTACCTGGGAGGGTGAGGCAGGAGGATTGCTTGAGCCCAGGAGGTTGAGGCTACAGTGAGCCATGATGGTGCCACTGCACTCCAGCCTGGGTGATACAGTGAGACCTTGTCTCAAAACATAATAAATAAGTAAATAAATACAAAAATAAATAAAGACAGGTACACTGTAAAGTGCACACTAGCAAATGATCTTGCCCTTTCTCAAGTACTTATAAGGCTTAAGACCGGGCCAGAATTCAAATCATAGACTGGCATATAGAGTTTAAACTAGTAAAATTAGAAAGGGAAAATGTAAACTCCTGAACAAAATGTTAAGAAATTTATGTATAAACCTGGAATGCGGAAAATCTAGCTGAGCAGTTTATATGAAAAATATTATGGGTTTTATTTAGGCTGGCTGCCAGTGCCATGGGAGCCAACAGTGTAATTTCAGCTTGTAAAGAAATGAGTGCAATCTCTGCCTGCATGGAAGTACAATATTCATTTAATAATGGGAAACTTCAGCTTTCTTATCTGCAAAATTAGACGCTAGATTAGACAATTTCCGGGTCCCATACAGTGCTACTATTTTATGAGTATATGACTCTATCACTTAGAAGTTCTAAACTTGAATTCCTGCATTTCCAGAAAATGACCATTGGAAAGAAATATAGGCTTGACTAAAACAGATAATTCATTTCTCTGGTTAACTTTATAGTTTGGATAATCTCCAAAGAGAAAACAAAAAAGATTCTTTTTCTGTGTGTGTGCTGACCTGACCCACAGATATACACCATGTCAAGCTTCACCCAGAACTATTTTGCTTCAGGTGGCAAGCCTGAGAAACCAGTTTTTCCTGAAGTTTGCCTGATAAATACGTTTATGATGAGCTGTACTGTCATTCTTCTATCTTGCCATAGCCTTGGAAGGCCCCTCCTAAGCTGGCCAATTGCCTGTTGACGTTGGTAATCAAGGATTTCAGAGGCAGACATCAAGGCCAACATGGGGCAACGACAGGAGGGACTGGGGTGCTCTGCCATATGAGGCTGCGGGAAGGCATGGATCCGAGTTTTAGCCACAGCATAATAGGCGGTCTGTGATGGTTTTGTGGGTAACCAGTGAGCTTCCCCAATTGATCGGTGCAGTTATCATTCTATTTTAGACCCCTAATTGGCATTTCCAAG
This sequence comes from Homo sapiens, assembly GCF_000001405.40. Lineage (NCBI taxonomy): Eukaryota > Metazoa > Chordata > Mammalia > Primates > Hominidae > Homo > Homo sapiens. The sequence continues at coordinate 12,586,777 of NC_000012.12, read as the reverse complement.
CAGTTTAAATATGTTTTGAGAAAAAGGCAGTAAAAGAGACTAAATCTGGGGGAAAGCAAAGCTTCAGTAAAAATAGCATTCCAAATATTTCAGCTGGGATCTCTTTGTCTAACTAACAGAGATTTGGAGAGTGGATCAGAAGGCCTGCATCTCCTTCCCCTTCTGCAATTAGCCAGGTATATGCCCGTGGGCAAGCCATTGAACTGATCCTGGGCCACTGTTTCCTTACTTACAAGATGAAGAGGAGCCCCACCTTGCTACTTCCAAGAGCGTAGGAGCTGAGCACCTTTGGGTTGCCCTGGTTTGTGAAGGCCCCCTGAACTAAGAACACATTATATATTGATCAGGAAAGGAATTCGATATAGGCTTGGAGGTGATCTCTGTAAAGTCAGAAAGAGGATCCTAGGATTCTAAGGCCATATGCACAGGGCAGTGAGCAAGAACTGAAGTTACAGGACTCTCAGGTTCCTGTCTCAGGTAAGTCCCTTCCAGGTGTTGGCTGAGTTGCTCTATGGCTCATTTTCTTAATTGTGTCAAGCAGAAGAGGTCACAGAGGGTGGAGCATTGGCCAATGTGTCATGTTCTCAAAGTTCTGAAAAAAGGACAGAGGGAGCAGAAAGGCCAGAAGAGGAGTTTCCACAGCAAACTGACCACAACCAACTATCCCATTCCCTTCCCAGACTGGAAGGGACAAGGGCACCAGGTAGCTGCAGCCTCCATGGTTTCTTAAGTATCTTCATCCCTTTAGCACCATAGCCACCAACTTAAGCAAGGAAATCAAGATCTTTAACAAACAGGGGAAGTCCAGGAGATGGTAATTAGGTGAACTTTTGGAGATTTTGGGGGAATCCGTAGATGTTTATCTTTTCAAGAGATAGACTCCCTTTTAAATTTTGGTAAAATCTACATAAATGTCATTTACCATTTTAGCCATTTTTACATGTACAATTCAGTGGAGAGGCCCTTTTTGATAACTTTCATTCTCTCCCTGTGCTGATGTAGACTGTGTACTCCCTGCTAGGAAGATTCCTGGTTGTTCTGCAGGGTCATTCTGAGGGCGTCATCCAGTTAAGTGGATTTGGCTCCTGCAATAGGGGAATACCCCAAAATACCAGAAACAGGACAGGAAATTATTCTGTGGTCATTTATCCTTGATACTGATGAGATCAGATTTGCTGCTGCATCCCTTTAATTTTTATCTCTGCATTGTCCCTAACCACTTATCTTGACCTGTGGCTTGCCCTTGGGCCTGATCTCTTTCATTATAGTGCATTTTGGTTCTCTGCTGACTCCTGGCGCATTCTGATTATTAAAAAAAAACCCTATTTTTCTTGGGATGTGACTTGTCTGCCCCTTCAGTGGTCCTTGCAGAGCTTATTTGTCAGATACTATTGACAGCTTCTGCTCTCTACCTGAGCTCCAATCCCATTTCCCTGACTGCCTACTGGCCATTTCCTCTGGAATGTGCAGGTCATTGTTCTGCCAAGCAGATTGCAACATGTCCAAAAACAACCTTCTTCTTTTTTTTTTTTTTTTTTTGCCACAAATCAGCTGCTCATATAAACTGTCAGTCCCTGTCAATAGTCCATGAAGTTATTTAGATATAGAGAAGCAAATTCCTCTTTGATTTGATCTCCTCTTTCATCACTCTCAGCTGTTCAGCCCCTAGAACAATCAGGTTTTCCTTCAAATATTGATCTTGTTTCTGTCATTCCCTCTCTCCTATGCCCATTTCTAGGTCCTTACTTCCTCTAATATCATCTACTGTTCATGTCTACCCTTTCCCTGATTCAATTACCTGTGAAAGACTGAGGCCAGACCTAGACTACCTTCATTAATCAAATCATGTCTATTCAAAACCCTGAAGTTCTTCCCTATTCATATAGACTTCTTGCTCTTCTTTGCTGTCAAAATTTCCTCTAATCTGATCTCATACTAGACAATATTTCTGCCAGGTGGCTATATTGTAATGGGAAGTTTAATGGACTTGGAGTTAGTGGATCTGCTTTCAAATCCTAGCCCCGTACTCAGCAGAATGACCTTGGGCAATTCACTGACTCTCGAAACCTTGAATCCCCATTTGCAAAACTGGGGTGATAATACCTATGTCATAGGGAAGTTTATGAGATTGTAGTAATATCTGTGGAGACAGTTTAGCATTGTGCTCGGAACCCGTGTTTGGGCTGACTTACTTGGTTCAATACTAGGCTTTCCCACTCAGTAACTATGTGACCTGAAGCAAGTTCCTTAGCCTCTCTGGGTTTCATCAGTTTCATCTGTAAAATGGATACATTACCTATGAGGTAACATATACCTCATAGGTCTGTCGTGACAATTAAATGAGATAATATATGTAAAGCACTTTAACACAGTGCAAGGCACATTGTAAGCTTTAATAGGTGTAAACTATTATAATTATGCAGCAAGAGACCTAGTGTAATCAGCACTTGATATATGTTTGGTAAGTTTGTTTGTGTGAGACAGTGTCTCACTCTGTCACCGACACTGGTGTGCAGTGATCATAGCTCACTTGCAGCCTCGACCTCCCAGGATCAAGCTGTCCTTCCACCTCAGCCTCCCAAGTACTATACTCCCTGGGACTATAGGCGCACACCTTCACACCCCGCTAAATTGTTTTGTATTTTTGTAGAGAAAGGGTCTCACTGTGTTTCTCAGGCTAGTCTTGAATTTTTGGGCTCAAGCGATCCACCCACTTCAGCCTCCCAAAGTGCTGGGATTATAGGCATGAGCCACCGTGCCCAGCCTAAGTATGTTGATGAATTCATCTTATTCAGATGATCTTAACTTCCCATTAATTTTTGCTATGTACATTCTTATGCCACCCTTCCTCCAGACAGGCTGACTGCTTTGGTTTTCCATGAATATATCTTTCACTTTTCTTGCCTTTGATAATGGTTTCCTATTATAATTTATAATTCATCACATGAAATAGTAGGTACTATATCATTTCTAGAATGTCATAATTTCTCTTTCCTGCCAATCCAGATTCTTTCCATTTTTTAAGGTCTCTCCTAAACGTTGGCTTGGTGACACTTTCCCTCATTACTTCTGTACTTATCAGTGTCTCATTTTTCTGAACCAATTACCCTTGGCTTAGCACTTGATGCCATTAATCTGTCAGGTACACTTAGCTGCTGTTTCCTGTATATTCATTTTGTGTCTTCAGCTCAAATGAAAACAGTCCTCAATCCAGCCTTGTTTCAGAACATGCAGTAAATATATAGTGACTATTAAATCTATTAGATCCAACATTCTAGAATAATTTTTCAGGTCTACAGCCTCTTATCAAAAGACTGGCCTATGAGGGTGGGCAGAGGGTTTGGGAATAAGAAGTTCCTGCTGCATTGGACAAGGTCCTTTCGCCTCTGGGCCATGTTGTCAGCGAAGTACTTAAGCACAGGGGCTCCGAAGGTGAGGGGCTGGGAGTAGACCATCAGACCATCCCTGACACAGACAGGAAAGTGTCCCCATTCAAATCTCATTCTTGCTGTGACAGGCTTTGCCTTTAACTAGTTTCTCAAACTTCTTGTACTTTTACACAACATTTGCCCTACTGAGAAACTGGCTTTGCGTGAAACTTCCCATGGCTTGAAGCAAGTCCCCATGACGGTGTTTGCATACCACTGGGGTTTTGTTCCTCCCACACATGCCAATAAAGATGAAGTGGCACTAAGATGACGTGATATGAAGGACATCACTGCAGCCTGCAAAGCAGAGAATGTTTGAACTATGTCAAAGAGTCATACCAGGGTTTCACAATTACAGAAAAGGCCAAGAAAGACTAGTCAAGAATGCAAGGTGAATAACGTTGTCTCTGCTCCAGTTCTCACGGGTGCTGTAGCCCCCACTGAACGCCCATTTCTCTGCACTCCTGTAGTACATATCATCTGGACTACACAATTCAGTCCTGCATTATACAGTGTCCTTCAAAAATTGCTTTGTGTGTTGTGTTCTCCCAGCTAGTTGTAAGTTCCTGAGAATACAGACCACATCTTATACTTCCTTGCTATTGTATATAGAGCCTTGCAATACCATTTAACTCAGTGTTGGGCACAATAAAATTCTCAACAGTAAATGTTGATGGATTTGGTTTTGGAAATGTAAATTTATAAAAAGTGGCCCTGCAAAGGAGAATGAGAAGACTCACTTCCTTTTGAGGGCTGTGGGCCTGGGAGTCCCATCGTCATTTGCAGTGTTGCCAGCAGCAGCAGCCTTCTTTCACAGGACAGGGAGTCAGTACAGCACCAGTAAGACACGTGGTTTCATTGCTTTCCCACTCAGAAGAAGACCACTCAGCACAGTGCCGGAGACCCTGCCCTGATTCCCCTTTCTCCTCCCAACCACAAAGGCCATGCAGGTAGAACTTGAGGGGCATCAGAGATTATCTGACTGAACTCCCTTGTTTTGTAGATGAGGAAACAAGGCAAGAGCAGCTGAGGGTGGTGGAAAGCATATGCATGGGCTTTGGAGTTAGGCAGTACTGGACTCTAATCCCAGTGCTGTTACCCTTTAGCTGTGCGATTGTGGGAGAGTCTGTTAACATCTCAGAGCCTTGATTTCCTCATCTTTAAAGTGTAACAATGGCGACCCACAGGAAATGTTGTAAAAACTCAGGGAAATAATATATGCAAACACAGTGCTTGGCAATAATAGATGCTCAATACCTGTTGGGCTCTCTATTTTCCTTCTCTTGAGTCTCCTGCCCAAAGTCATAAAACAATTTAGTGCTAGCCTCTCCTGTTTTTCAAGCTGTTTTCTTTCAATCAGGTACTAAAGCTAACCTCCTACCCACTAGAAAATTAGGATCAACCATTAACACATTTTTTAATGCTGAAATTTATAACAAAATTTTTAATGCTCACCAGACGTGGTGGCTCATGCCTGTAATCCCAGCACTTTGGGAGGCCAAGGCAGACAGATCACCTGAGGTCGGGAGTTCGAGACCAGCCTGACCAACATGGAGAAACCCTGTCTCTACTACAAATACAAAATTAGCCGGGCGTGGTGGTGCATGCCTGTAATCCCAGCTACTTGGGAGCCTGAGGCAGGAGAATTGCTTGAACTCAGGGGGCAGAAGTTGTGGTGAGCCGAGATCACGCCATTGCACTCCAGCCTGGGCAACAAGAGTGAAACTCCATGTCAAAAAAAAAGAAAATCCCAAGATTTGGACATATTTATTTGGAGCACTTTTATATACCTTGAGATAAAAGAACTTAAAAGATAGAAATACTAAATTTCAGTGTCAGATTCAAAGGTATTGAGGTTTTATCCATTTCCAACTACAGTGTTTGAACTTTTGGTACTCCTAAAATAGTACTCATGGCCTTTTACCCCTTACAAAAATAAAAAAAATTCTGGCTTTGGTATATTTACGTGCTTTGCTTTGCAACCTGATATTTTTCACCTGTCTTTCTTAAGACATACTCTGCCGTCCATTAATCATCAATTGGATCTAAAATGAAAGCACCGCTGTTGGGGTTCTGTTAAAAAAATAGAAACTCTCACTCTGTCATGCCGTCAGTGGCACAACCATGGCTCACTGCAGCCTCAAACTCCTGGGCTCAGGTGATCCTCCCACCTCAGCCTCCTGAATAGCTGGGACTACAGGTATTACAGGTATACCCAGCTAAAAAAAAAAAAAATAGAAACATATTGGTAACAATCATGTGTAGTGGTTTTGTTTCAGAAATAAAATACACATTCAGTCAGGTGTGGTGGCTCATGCCTGTAATCCTGGCACTTTGGGAGGCTGAGGCAGGAGGATCACTTGAGCCCAGAAGTTTGAGACTAGCCTGGGCAACACAGTAAGACCCTCTCTTTACAAATAAATAAATAAATAAATAAATAAATAAATAAATAAATAAATAAATAAATACGAAAATTAGCTGGACATGGTGGTAAGTGCCTGTTGTCCCAGCTACTAGGGAGGCTGAAGTAGGAGGATTGCTAGAGTCTGGCAGGTTGAGGCTACTGTGAGCTGTACTTGGGCCACTGCACTCTAGCCTGGGTGACAGAAGAGCAAGACTCTGACTTGAAGAAAAAAAGAAATGGACATTCATATCATTTATAAAAGTGAATGGTTGATGATAAACCTTTTTTTCCCCCATACTGGAAAGGATTTCCTGAGATCATTATTTCTTTTTTTCTCTGCCTCAGCCTCCCGAGTAGCTGGGATTACAGGCGACTGCCACCACACCTGGCTAATTTTTGTATTTTTAGTAGAGACGGAGTTTCACCATGTTGGCCAGGCTGGTCTTAAACTCCTTAACTCGTGATCCACCCACCTCGGCCTCCCAAAGTGCTGGGATTATAGGCGTGAGCCACTGTGCCTGGCCAAGATCACTATTTCTTTATGAATTTTTAGTTAACAGTCATTGTATTTAGCTACAAATAAATCTTTAAGCATGGAACAGAATCAGACTTAGACCAGAAGAAAAATATTATCATGAAAGGCCTCCCAATTGTGATTATTGCAATTATCATATTGTGATAGATGGTTCATGATTTAGAGGATCAGTTAGGTCCTGCAAGACAGAGAGACAAAGCAGGGGCAAATCTCCCTGGAGTTTTCTTTGTGGAGGGTACGGTAGGCAAAATGATGGTCCCCCAAAATGTTCACATCAAAATTCTCAAAACCTGTCCTATGTTATGTTACATGGCAAGAGAGATAAAGTTGCAAAGGAAATTAAGGTTGCTAGTTAGCAGATCTTAACATAGGGAGAGCATTCTGGATTATCCAGGTGGACCCAATATAATCACAAGGGTCTTTAATAGGAGATGAGGGAGGCAGAAGTGAACCAGAGGGATGGTTGATGAGGTGAAAAGAACTCAAGCTGCTATTGCTGGTTTTGAAGATGGAGGAAGAAGGCCATGAGCCAAGGAATGCAAGTGGCCTCTAGAAACTTAAAAGGGTGAGGGAATGGATTATCCCCTAGAGCCTCCAGAAAAGAATGCAGCCCTGCTGACACCTTGATTTTATTAGGGAGACCATTTTGTACTTCTGAATTACAGAACTGTGAGACAATACATTTGTGTTGTTTTCAGTCACTAAGTTTGTGGTAATTTGTTTAAGCAGTGATAGGAAACTAATACAGAAGTTCTCTCCAAACAAAGACTAACAGACCATCTTCCTCCAAAGATGCTGTTTGGCATTCTGGAATTTCACGAAACTATGAGTTACAAAGTTCCAAAAAGAACTGAGCCATGGGGAGAGGCTGAAAACCAAAGTTGTGGAGGCACAGTGATCAGCAGTTAGCAGAGAGTGCCTCTCATGTTTGACACCGTAAAGAATGGAGAGGAAATATAAACGAACTATTAACCTCAAGGAGAGGCATGATTAATAGCAATACTTGGTATTTATGGCCAGGTGCAGTGGCTGAGCACTTTGGGAGACTGAGGCGGGCAGATTGATTGAGCCCAGGAGTTCAAGACTAGCCTGGGCAATAAGACAAAAACCCCGTCTCTACAAAAAGTACAACAATTAACAGTTTATTAGTGGCAAGCGCCTGTGGTCCCAGCTACTTCAGGAGGCTGAGGTGGAGGATCACGTGAGCCTGGGATAGGTTGAGGCTGCCGTGAGCCGTGATGGTACCACTGCATTCCAGCCTGGGAAACAGAGTGAGACCCTGTTCAAAACAAAACAAAACAAAACAAAACAAAACAAAACAACTTGGTATTTTTATGTTTTATTATTTATTTATTTATTTATTTTGAGACGGAGTTTCACTCTTGTCACCCAGGCTGGAGTGCAATGGTATGTTCTCTGCTCACTGCAACCTCTGCCTCTTGGGTTCAAGCGATTCTCCTGCCTCAGCCTTCTGAGTAGCTGGGGTTACAGGTGCCCAAGACCAGGCCCCGTTCATATTTTTGTATTTTTAGTAGAGACGGGGTTTCACCATGTTGGCCAGGCTGGTCTTGAGCTCTTAACCTCAGGTAATCTGCCCGCCTCAGCCTCCCAAATTGCTGGGATTACAGGTGTGAGCCACCATGCCTGACCTTATTTTAAATAGTCTCATTTAATTCTCCCATCAATGCTATGAGGTAGAAATTTTTATTACTCCATTTTGTAAATAAGAAAACGTGAAGCTAAGAAAATTATTTTTCCTGCAATTAGACAACAGTAAATGGAAGAGTCGGGATTCAAACAGATCTGTCTGGTTCCAAAACCTTTAAATGCTTCACTACTTTGGTATCTGTCCTACCAGAGCCACTCAGCCGGGAAGTGTACGATATGTAGAGATTGCTTATTAGATCAGGTAATTTCTGATCGTTAAGTGGAGGTTACGGGCAGACATGTGGACATTGTGCAGCGGTATCCACCCTCCAGGTATCTGCTTCTCATGAACATGAAGTCTTCCTAAAATGTACCCACTGTCAAACATCACTGCCAGTGGTGGCTTCTTGCTGAACATTTTTAATCAACTGTCCACCATAAACCTAAATCTGACATGTCTAAACTATAGCTCAACTCTACCTCTCTACCTCAATCAGACCTTTCTCCTGACTTTCCTATTTAAGAATTTCATTATTCTTAAACCCAGCCATGTAGATTCAACATCTATAAAAACTATGACAGCCACTATTGGCTAAGAATGCATTCCTGTTTTTGTGCTAAGCATTTTAGATGTCATCCATTTAATCCTCCCAATAACCCTATGAGGAAGGTACAATTGTTAACCCCATTTTATAGATGAGGAAATTGAAATTTATATAAATTGCCAAAGGTGACACCTTAGCATCATCTTTCATTACTCATCTCCTTCACCCTCCATAGCTCGTGAGTCACCAAGTCCTGTCAATTCTCCCTCTGTATTGTTACTTGTGTTTGTTGCTTTCTTTCCATGTCCATTGTCACTGTACCAGTCTTGCCCGTTTTTGACCTATTGACCTATGCCTGAATTGCTACCATAGCCCAATATGGTCTTCCTTGTTCTATAATCTCCTTCCTCGCATCTTTCTAATTTGCTTTGGTCAGAGTAAGCCACCTAAAGTCCCACTTTTATTCCATCTATCTTCAAGTTCAAACCTTCAAACTGAAAAAGATACACCCAAATGTCCCCAGAGGTAATCTTTGGAGAGTGTTATGATAGCAATATTTTTTAAAGAAATTAAATAATTTAGCTATATTAAAAATAAAAGAAAAATGTGTTACAACGATATGTTGAAATGATAGGCCAAGATGCATATAAAGATTAGCAACCATTGTACCCTATAAAATGTGTGGTTCTAGCCTTGGGGAACTCTCACTGGCCATCTGACCATCTCAAATATGCAAATCCTTTTTTGAGAGGCAAATCTTCTTATAAAAAGAACAGTTATGTAAATGTGTTTAATGTTTTCCATGTACTTATACATTTTATTATTAGTATTAAAATAACAAATGTACGTGGAAAAAAAAAACTCAATCAAAATACTACCAAAGGAAAATAGTAACTGTGTGTGGGGAAAGATGTGTTAATTAATTTGATTGTGGTAATCATTTCACAATGTATATGTATATCAAATATTCGTACTGTATGCTTTGAATTATATAATTTCTATTTGTCAATTATGCCTCAGTAAAGCTACTGAAAAAAGAAAAAAAATTCCACCAAAGGATAAAACAATAAAAAAATTTATCTCTCAAGGTAACTATTGAATAAGGTGTTTTGTATATTTTTCTTCACACTTCTCTGTAATTTACAGATTTTTTTTTTCTTTTTTCTTTTTTTTTTTTTTGTTGTTGTTGTGACAGAGTCTCTTGCTCTGTTGCCCAGGCTGGAGTGCAGTGGCACAATCTTGGCCTGCGCCACCACGCCCGGCTAAATTTTAATTTTTTAAAGTAGAGACAGGGTTTCGCCATTTTAGCCAAGCTGGTCTGAAACTCCTAGCCTCAAGTGATCTGCCCACCTCTGCCTCCCAAAGTGCTGGGATTACAGGCATGAGCCACTGCGCCCGGCCAATTTACAGACTTTCTACAATGAACATGTATTGCTTTATAATAAAACATAAGGTCAATAAAGCATAATGTAAACAAAGGAACCAAACTCTCCGTCATTCCCTGCTACTTATAATATAAAGTCTAAAATCTTTGACTGAGGCCTGATGTAATTTGGCCCAAACTGCTTTCCAGGCTTATTATATACCCTTAAATTTAAATGTTCTGCATCAGGTAAACTATTTTAAACCCAATTTTTCCTGCTGTATCTCTGACTTCTGCTTCTTTTTTCTTCCTGAAATGAGCTTCCCCATTCTCTTTCAATATCCCAACTCAATCTATTGTTCAAGGTCTTAGACCCAAGGAGAGCCTTTCCTAAGAAGGAAGGAGTCAGTATGTAGTGTTTACTATGTGTGCTAGGCCCTCTACTTGGAGCTTTACTTGGTACTTCATGTAACCCTCACAATAACTCTGGAAGGTTGATGTTATCTTCATTTTGCAGATGAGGAGACTATGTTTCCCTCAAGCCACACAGCCAGTGTGTGGTGAAGCTGGAATTTGTTGCCGGCTGAATCTTCTGCCCCAGGTCAGCAAGTTCTCATTTTTTCTAACTTTTGTAGCTCATATCTGAATGATACGTTTTACCAGTAATCACAGAAGTGCTTTCTAATATAGTGGCATTTCCTATAATGTTATTTTTAACTAAGTTTGTGGTAATTTTTGTTGGTGGTAACTTATATTTGTACTTTTGTTTATCTTCTCAACAAAAGCTCCTTTTGGGAAAACTTGGGTTCGAGTCCTAACTTGCTACTAGCTATTTGTCTTTGAGCAAACTCTTTAACTTTTCTCAGCCTCAGTTTCCTCCACTGTAAAATACAAAATAATAATATCTAACTCTTGAGGGTTATGAGAGTTAAAAGCCCAGAATATTCCTTGTACAAAAGAGCTGCCTGTGGTGTATTTGATTTGACATGATGATAGTTTATTTTCAAATCCATTACATTTCCAGTTTCTTTATAGTAACTAGAAATATAGTAAACCACTATAGTGGTTTGAGATTTTTTTTTTTTTTTTTTCCCCAAGACGGAGCCTCGCTCTGTCACCCAGGCTGGAGTACAGTGGTGTGATCTTGGTCACTGTAACCTTGGCCTCCTGGGTTCAAGCAGTTATCCTGCCTCAGCCTCTCGAGTAGCTGGGATTACAGGCATCCACCACCACACCCAGTTAATTTTTGTATTTTTAGTAGAGATGGGGTTTCACCATGTTGGCCAGGCTGGTCTTGAACTCCTGACCTTGCGATCTGCCTGCTTCAGCCTCCCAAAGTGCTGGGATTACAGGCATGAGCCACTGTGCCCAGCCGAGATATTCTTAAAACTCAGTGACCTAAACTAGAGGTATAGATCTTTTGTGTCAAGACAATAGAAAATTGACTACATAAACTTTAAAAGTATTTTTAATTAAAATCGGTTTTCTGCTTTTTGGTCAGAATATCCCATCTTGCTGTTTAACCAACATTGAACAAGAGGTTCAGTTACTGGTTAAAGACTGTTCCTAAGGTAAATGTTTACATTTATAAACATGAATGTTGTGACTGAATGTTGTCACTGTTAGTCCAGAAAGCCACTGTGAATTTAAAAACTTAGTACACTGAGACATATGTTTACTCAGAAAATGAAAAAAACATTAAAAAATCTCTGGCCTTCAAAAACAGCAATTTTAAAAAACAGATTATTTATATCAGAAAAAAAGGAAGCCAAGCACAGTGGTTCATGCCTGTAATCTCAACACTTTGGGAGGCCGAGGCAGGAGGATTGCTTGAGTGCAGGAGTTCTAGACAAGCCTGGGCAACAAAGCAAGACTCTGTCTCTACAAAACAAACAAACAAACAAAAATTAGCTGGGCATGGTGGCACATGCCTGTAGTCCCAGCTACTCAGAGGGCAAGAGGACCACTTGAGTCCAGAAGGTTGAGGCTGCAGTGAGCCATGAAGGTGCCACTGTGTTCCAGCCTGGGTGACAGAGTGAGACCCTGTCGAAAAGAAAGGGAAAGGGGAAGGGGAAGGGAATTACTGTATTCATTCCAATTATTTTCTTCAGGGTCAGATAAAAAGAAGCAAAACTCACCTAAAGAAATGGTTCATACGGCCGGGTGCAGGGGCTCATGCCTGTAATCCCAGCCCTTTGGGAGGCTGAGCCGGGTAGATCGCCTGAGGTCAGCAGTTCGAGACCAGCCTGGCCAACATGGTGAAACCCTCTCTCTACTAAAAATACAAAAATTAGCCGGTGTGGTGGCACATGCCTGTAATCCCAGCTACTTGGGAGGCTGAGACAGGAGAATTACTTGAACCTGGGAAGCAGAGGTTGCAGTGAGCTGAGATCACACCGTTGCACTCCAGCCTGGGCAACAGAGTGAGACTCCAACTCAAAAAAAAAAAAAAAAAGAAAAAAAAGAAATTGTTCATAATTTTTTGGCTTTTACAGCATCTTTATTACCATTCTTTAATTTTTCAATTCCTGCACAGATTATTTATTTATTTATTTATTTCTTTGGAGATGGGGTCTCTCTCTGTCACTCGGGCTACAGTGCTATGGCACAATCTTAGCTCACTGCAATCTGGAACTCCTGGGCTCCAGCAATCCTCTTGCTTCAGCCTCCTCAGTAGCTGGGTCTATAGGTGCATGCCACCATGCCTAGCTAATTAAAAAAAAACAATTTTTTTTGGTAGAGACAAAGGTCTCACTATGTTGCCCAGCCTGGTCTTGAACTCCAGGCCTCAAGTGGTCCTTCCACCTCAGCCTCCTGAGTAGGTAGGCCTACACACATGTGCCATCACACCTGGCCTTTCTGCATAGACTTTCTAGTAAAGGTGCTGTAAGACCTTTACTTGCTAAACTGAATTAGATTTAATTTCATTCTGAAGTTTGTGAGAGTTGGACATAATCCTTAGGATAATTGTGGAGGCAGAATAAAAATTAGACAGGGGCCAGGCATGGTGGCTCACACCTGTAATCCCAGCACTTTAGGAGGCGGAGGTGGGCAGATCACTTGAGCCCAGGAGTACGGGACCAGCCTGGGCAACATGGTGAAACCCAGTCTCTACTAAAAATACAAAAAGTAGCCAGGTGTGGTGGCGCATTCCTGTACTTCTAGCTACTTGGGAGGCTGAAGCAGGAGGATTGCTTGAGCCTGGCAGGTGGACGTTGCAGTGAACCAAGATGGCGCCATTGCACTCTAGCCTGGGTGACAGAGTGAGACTCAAAAAAAAAAAAAAAAAAAAATAGGTATTTGCCACTTAAATTTAAATTTTTGGTGAGTTGTGAATCAACAATTGAGAAAAATTATAAGCAACTGCTAATCTTTTTAGCTTTTTATTTACTTTTTTCCCTACTACCACTATTTTTTTTAATTATAAAAGTAATTTTCAGCCTTTTAAAAGATAAATACACCTGAGGTTAGAAATGACAATTCTATTATTATTCATATTTTACTTCACTTTTATTAAAAGACTTGTCAAAATACCCTGACAAGAGCTGTAAGTGTGTGTTCCATCTAATACTGAAAATAAAGTTTCGGCTGTAAGTAGTAAAAATCTCTCCTGAGATTGCAACTAAGAAATTCTCATTTCTCATTTGTCTAATCCCTATTTGTTATGAATTGTTTTATTAAAACAAAACAAAACCTTAGACTGCTTGGCAAGTCATTAGGATTTTTGTAGGGTTTAAATATTCTACATCTGCCTCTAACAAGATTATCCGACTTTTCTCCTTCTCTGAACAAGCTTCTTGAAACAGTGGTTTATATTTCACAGTTTCCATTTTATTCCTTCTTACTCCTTCTTCGGCTCATTGCAATCTTGCCTTTGCAAGACTGCCTTCAGCAAAAACCACTCTCTCCCCAGTCAATTTATTGCTAAATCAAAGAAATACATTTTCATCTTTACCTTAGGGGACTTCCCTGAGGTATTAACCCACCAAAAACACACTCTTGCCCTGCTTGAAACTTTCTTGGCTCTCTTTCTGTAACAGCCATTTTCACTGCTTTCTTTTCTACTTCTCTAGTTTCTCCTTCTCAGTCTCCCTATGAGCTTTTTTTTTAGATGGAGTTTTCCTCTTTTTGCCCAGGCTGGAGTGCAATGGCGCAGTCTTGGCTCATTGCAGCCTCCGCCTCCTGGGTTCAAGTGATTCTCCTGCCTCAGCTTCCTCAGTAGCTGGGATTACAGGCATGCGCCACCACGCCCAGCTAATTTTTGTATTTTTAGTAGAGACAGGGTTTCACCATGTTGGCCAGGCTGTTCTCGAACTCCTGACCTCAGATGATCCACCCGCCTTGGCCTCCCAAAGTGCTGGGATTATAGGCGTGAGCCACCACACCCAGCCTATGAGCTTCTTTAAACCTCATAATTCCCTTGATTGCCAACATTTTTTTTTGCTTCACTTTCCCTGTGGTCACATCCGCCATTCATGTCTACAACTGAATATGGTGAATGAATCCAAAATCCTTGTCTCTTACCCAGACACTGCCTCTGACCTTCGGACATTGATAAATGCAATAACTCACTCCTCTTGAGGTTCCATAGGCCCCTTGAACTTGACATGCTTAAAATTCAATTTCTTACCTTTTCTCTTCCCAAAATAAGCAGCACCACCATCCACTCATTTGCTCAGAAACCTGGGAGTTACCCTTGACACTGCTTTTCCCCTTAATAGCTCATGTCTAATTGGTCGCAAGGTCCTTTTGATTCTAGCTTATCATCTTGTATCTGTCTTCTCTTTTCCATTTGGTTCTCTAACTCGTACAGTTGTTTCCTGTCTTGCTTTACGTCTGCCCCACCTAACCATTCTCTGTATGGAAAAGTGTGAATCTGATCTTTCTTGTTTAAAAATTTTTCAATGGCTCCTCCATTGCTTGCCTTGAAAAAAGTCCAAATCCTTTGATATTTTAGACAGGGTTTCACTGTGTTGCCCAGCCTGGAGTGCAGTGGCACAATCACAGCTCACTGCAGCCTTGACTTCCTGGGCTCAAGTGATCCTCCTGCCTCAGTCTCTGAGTAGCTGGGACTACAAGCATGTGCCTCCCCAACTGGCTAATTTTTTTTTGTTTTGTTTGTTTGTTTTTTGAGACAGAGTTTCACTTTTGTTGCCCAGGCTGGAGTGCAATGGTACGATCTCGGCTCACTGAACCTCTGCCTCCCGAGTTCAAGCAATTCTCCTGCCTCAGTCTCCCGAGTAGCTGGGATTACAGGCATGCGCCACCATGCCTGGTTAATTTTTTGTATTTTTTTAGTGGATACAGGGTTTCTCCCAGGCTGATCTCAAACCCCCAACCTCAGGTGATCTACCCTCCTCGGCCTCCCAAAGTGCTGGGATTACCTTACAGGTGTGAACCACCATGCCCAGCCACACCTGGCTAATTTTTTTAAAGTTTTTTTGTAGAGACGAGGCCTGGCTACGTTGCCCAGGCTGTTCTCGAACTCCTGAGCCCAAGTGATCTGCCTGCCTTAGCCTCCCAAAGTGCTGGGATTACAGGTGTGAGCCACTGTGTCCCACTGGCAAGTTAACTGTAAACTGAGAAGATTAATAGTTATGAGAATTAAATGAGGTAATATTCAATAAATGCTAGCTATTATTTATTATGATTAATATCCTCAGTCATGTCTTTGAAAATAGTACTATCATTTCCTTAAGATAAATTCTTTTTTTTTTTTTTTGAGACAGAGTCTAGCTCTAGCTCTGTCACCCAGGCTGTAGTGCAGGGGAGCCATCTTGGTTCACTGGGCTCACTGCAACCTCTGCCTCCCGGGTTCAAGCAATTCTCCTGCCTCAGCCTCCCGAGTAGCTGGGATTATAGGCATCTGCCACCACTCCCGGCTAATTTTTGTATTTTTAGTAGAGAGAGGGTTTCACCATGTTGGCCAGGCTGGTCTCGATCTCCTGACCTCGTGATCCACCTGCCTTGGCCTCCCAAAGTGCTGGGATTACAAGTGTGAGCCACCGCACCCGGCCAAGATAAATTCGTAAAGTAGAATTGTTGGGTATGCATTTTTAAAGACTTTCATAAGCATATTGCCAAACTGCCCTCCAGAAGAGTTATACCTGTTTATATTCTCACCAGTGCTAATGAGAAAGTCTGTTTCTCCATATTGTTAACTCAACTGTGGGATTACCGGTTTTTAAAATAACTGCCAAATTGATAAGTGAAAAATTGTCTAGTTTTTATAACTTATTGAGTCTGTTTAACAAATCTGCTGCAGAAAGATCAGATATAGACTGATAATATAGAGTGTTGGCCGGGCTGGTCTCGAACCCCTGACCTCAGGTGTCAGACTGGCCAAAATGGTGAAACCCCGTCTCTACTAAAAATACAAAAATTACCCAGGTGTGGTGGTGCGTGCCTGTAATCCCAGCTACTCAGGAGGCTGAGGCAGGAGAATCGCTTGAACCTGTGAGACGGAGGTTTCAGTGAGCTGAGATCGCGCCACTGCACTCCAGCCTGGGTGACAGAGCGAGACTGTCTCAAAAAAAAAAAAAAAAAAAAAGTGTTACTGCTATTTACTTTGTTTTGATTGTACATCTTAACATTCATGTTTTTCATCTCCTTCAGGACTGAGAACTTACACATTTTTGAACTCCTTTACTTCCCTCTTTCCTTCCAGTTCCTTAGGAATGAGCATGCACTTGTGTAATTGAGTTGAATAAAATTTAACACATATTTCCTATTAAACTTTAAAGCTCAATAGTCCAGTTTCTTTGTATACCTTTCCATGGGGAGCACAGAGTGCTGTGCTGAGTGTTGGTGACCTGTTTGGAATTCCTTTTTAGTCCCTAACTAGCTATACAACCTTGGGCAAGTCGTTTAACCTCTTTGGACCTTCATTTTCTTACATGTAATGTGAGATGGTACCAGGTAATTTCCTAGGTATCTTCTAGTTCTCACATCACGCAGGTTAACATTTTTCTTCCAAGAAGTTCCTTCCTACTTTGCTGTAAATATTGCCCTCCTCCAACATAGTGTCATCTCTGAGGCAGAACTTGCTTCTTTCTAGAACTGTAATTTGTTCAGTGTCATGAACCCTAAGATAACAGTAGCAGCTACTATCCCAGAAGTATAGCCAAGACTTTAATGTGAAGTAGGTCTTATTCACTTTTTTTGTGTGTGTGATAAAATCCTTTGAAAGTTTGTTGCAGCTGTGCATGGTGGTTCATGCCTGTAACCCCAGCACTTTGGGAGACTGAAGCAGGAGGATGGTTGAACCCAGGAGTTCAAAACCAGCCTGGGCAACAAAGCAAGACCCCATCTCTACAGAAAAAAAGTTTTATTTATTTATTTTTTATTTTTTTGAGACAGGGTCTCGCTCTGTCGCCCAGACTGGAGTGCAGTGGTGCGATCTCAGCTCACTGCAAGCTCCCGGGTTTACGCCATCCTCCTGCCTCAGCCTCCCGAGTAGCTGAGACTACAGGCGCCCGCCACCACACCCGGCTAATTTTTTGTATTTTTAGTAGAGACGGGGTTTCACCGTGTTAGCCAGGATGGTCTTGATCTCCTGACCTCATGATCCGCCCGCCTTGTCCTCCCAAAGCGCTGGGATTACAGGCATGAGCTACCGCACCCGGCCAAAAGTTTTAAAAATTAGCCAGGCATAGTGGTTTGCACCTGTAGTCCTAGTTACTTGGGAGGCTGAGGCAGGAGGATTACTTGAGCCCTGGAGGTTGAGACTGCAGTGAGCCATGATTATGTACTCAAGCCTCGGCAGTAGGAGACCTCATCTCATTAAAAAGGAAAAGAAAAGAAAATCTGTTGAAAGCTAGGGACCCACTCACAGAAAAACATGTATAAGCATATATACACAAAATTTTAGGGGGCTCTTAGACCCTCTGGAGCCCATCTATATACTCTCTAGGAATCCACAAATCCTAGGCTAAGAACATTTGACTTAGGAACATTCAAAGGATCCTTGGAGATTAACAAAATTGTCAAAAACTCTCTCTTCCTATTGGAAAAGGGAGCTGTTATATTACCTAAAAAATAGAGAATATTAAAACTGTTTTTGCTGCTGCAGCTGAAGCCATGCATATGCTCAGGCTTCAGAGGAAGTTTTCCTCTAATGTCTTTTGCTGTGGCAAAAAGAAGGTCTGGTTGGCTCCCAGAGACCAATGTTAACTCCCATCAGCAAATCCAGAAGCTGATCAAACATGGGCTGATCATCCGCAAGCCTGTGCCTGTCCATTCCCAGGCTCCTTGATGCCAGAAAACCTTGGACCATCGGAAGGGCAGGCACCTGGGCATAGGTAAGCAAGAAGGTACAGCCAATGCCCAAAGGCCAGGGAAGGTAACCTGGATAAGGAGAATGAGGATTCTGTGCCAGCTTCTTAGAAGATACTGTGAATCTAAGAAGACTGATTGCCACATGTATTACACTCTGTACCAGAAGGTGAAAGGGATTGTGTTCAAAAACAAGCGTATTCTCATGGAATTGTCCGCAAGCTGAAGGTAGACAAGTCCCGCAAGAAGCTCCTGGTGGACCAGGCTGAGGCCCACTGGCCTAAGACTAAGGAAGTGTGCAAACTTCATGACGAGTGCCTCCAGGCCAAGAAGGAGGAGATCATCAAGATGTTGTCCAAGGAGGAAGAGACCGAGAGATAAAGCTCCTCCTTTCTTGTCTATACATAGTGGCCTCAGTAATTACATAGACCATTCAAACAAAACAGGCTTTTATCTGCTTGAAAAAAAACCCAACTCTCTAAAACGCAACCTTTTATGCTTACTTAATTGCAAATGTCCTCTTCATAAATCAGATCATGTACTAACTGCTTAAATCTTTCAGAATAGAATCTGAACTCCATACACTATAAGGTACTACATAATCTGGCTCCTGCCCACCCTTGTTTTATACTTTTGTGCCCCACTGGCTTCCTTTGGCTCTGGGAACACACCAACTCTCTACAAGTCACTCTGTTTCTGCTGAACGGTCTTAGAGTGACCTGTTTTCTCTACCCTGACCACTTCCCCTGTTGCCATCCTTAAGGTCTCAGTTCAAATGTCCCCTCTTCATTTGAACTTCCCCCACCACCTTCACCCCTACCCCAAGTCACTCACTATCACCTCACCCAGTTTTTTTTCCCTGTGTAGTCCATCTTGTCACAGTCCAGGCCGTGGTTTTTGTTTATTGGCTTATTGTCTTCTCTCTCCACTTGAATGTTAGTTTCATGAGAGATAGGTAATCTTATTTATAACCATATTCCCAGAGCTAGGTGCAGTGCCTGGCACATAAGGGTAGTAGGCACTCAATCACTGTTTGTCAATGAATAAACTTCAGCCAGGGATGGATTAAGTAAGACCTTAAGAGGGTCTAAACACTAAGGATTATGGTGCTTCTCCCCCATATTTAATTCTAACCAGCAATTTTGGTGCTCCTTCCCCATATTTAACTCTAACTAAAAAACAGTACTAAACCACACACTTACATGTACTGAAGCAAAAATAGCTTCTTTCTAGATTATCTGATTGTAAACCTTGGACTCCCTGCCTTGCTGGTGCCCTAAGTGTATGTGCTCTTCCTCTGTCTTGGGGGAGTCTAGCACTCACTCAGTCCTCTAGATGTGTTGGACACTGTTTTAGTTTAAGATTGCTTATGACTACAAAAAACCTTGCTGGGATATTGATGAAAATTACGTTAACTCTATAGATCAATTTGGGAAGAAATGACATGTTTATTGATTCTTCCAATCCATGAATATAGTATGCCATTCCAATTATTTGTCTTCTTTAATTTCTTTCATCAGCATTTTATAATTTTCATCACACAGATGTTGTACATGTTTTGTTAGATTTATATGTAAATATTTCACGTTCTTTGGAGCAATTGTAAAATGGTTCTGTTTTTAATTTCTGTTTCCACATTTTTTATTATTATTTTTTATTTTTTATTATTTTTTTTTTATTGATCATTCTTGGGTGTTTCTCGCAGAGGGGGATTTGGCAGGGTCACAGGACAATAGTGGAGGGAAGGTCAGCAGATAAACAAGTGAACAAAGGTCTCTGGTTTTCCTAGGCAGAGGACCCCGCGGCCTTCCGCAGTGTCTGTGTCACTGGGTACTTGAGATTAAGGAGTGGTGATGACTCTTAACGAGCATGCTGCCTTCAAGCATCTGTTTAACAAAGCACATCTTGCACCGCCCTTAATCCATTTAACCCTGAGTGGACACAGCACATGTTTCAGAGAGCACAGGGTTGGGGGTAAGGTCACAGATCAACAGGATCCCAAGGCAGAAGAATTTTTCTTAGTACAGAACAAAATGAAAAGTCTCCCATGTCTACTTCTTTCTACACAGACACGGCAACCATCTGATTTCTCAATCTTTTCCCCACCTTCCCCCCCTTTCCATTCCACAAAACCGCCATTGTCATCATGGCCCGTTCTCAATGAGCTGTTGGGTACACCTCCCAGACGGGGTGGTGGCCAGGCAGAGGGGCTCCTCACTTCCCAGTAGGGGCGGCCGGGCAGAGGCGCCCCTCACCTCCCGGACGGGGCGGCTGGCCAGGCGTGGGGCTGACCCCCCCACCTCCCTCCCAGACAGGGCGGCTGGCCTGGCGGGGGCTGAGCCCCACCTCCTTCCCGGACTGGGTGGCTGCCGGGCGGAGACGCTCCTCACTTCCCAGACGGGGTGGCTGCCGGGCGGAGGGGCTCCTCACTTCGCAGACGGGGCGGCTGCCGGGCGGAGGGTCTCCTCCCTTCTCAGACGGGGTGGCTGGGCAGAGACGCTCCTCACCTCCCAGACGGGGCGGCGGGGCAGAGGCGCTCCCCACATCTCAGACGATGGGCGGCCGGGCAGAGACGCTCCTCACTTCCTAGATGGGATGGCAGCCGGGAAGAGGCGCTCCTCACTTCCTAGATGGGATGGCGGCCGGGCAGAGACGCTCCTCACTTCCAGATGGGGCAGCCAGGCAGAGGGGCTCCTCACGTCCCAGACGATGGGCAGCCAGGCAGAGACGCTCCTCACTTCCCAGATGGGGTGGCGGCCGGGCAGAGGCTGCACTCTCAGCACTTTGGGAGGCCAAGGCAGGCGGCTGGGAGGTGGAGGTTGTAGCGAGCCGAGATCACGCCACTGCACTCCAGCCTGGGCACCATTGAGCACTGAGTGAACCAGACTCAGTCTGCAATCCCGGCACCTCAGGAGGCCGAGGCTGGCGGATCACTCACGGTTAGGAGCTGGAGACCAGCCCGGCCAACACAGCGAAACCCCGTCTCCACCAAAAAAATACGAAAACCAGTCAGGCGTGGCGGTGCGTGCCTGCAATCGCAGGCACTCAGCAGGCTAAGGCAGGAGAATCAGGCAGGGAGGTTGCAGTGAGCCGAGATGGCAGCAGTATAGTCCAGCTTCGGCTCGGCATCAGAGGGAGATCGTGGAAAGAGAGGGAGCGGGAGCGGGAGCGGGAGAGGGAGAGGGCTGTTTCCACATATTTATTGTTAGTATGTAGAAAACCTTTCTTAGTAAAAGAAAGAAATGTACTCTTCGGTGAAGTAAACTTGTTTAGTGGTTTCCCCTTCACCTGCTGGGCAGGTAACAATCTATTTATTCTAACATTCAAGTACCTCCACAATGTGCCTCTGTATCTCTTAAATTTAACCTCATACCTAATTGCTAAATACCGATTTCTACTGCTACTGGGTTTACTCTTCTGTCACTTGAATACACCTTACTCATTATTCATTCCACCTCCATGTCTTGGCTCATTGCCATTTGCCCTCTGGAATCTTCCCTCCACTGGCTTCTTCACTGCAAACTAAATCTGAACTGTCCTTCAAGGATAAGGTCAAAACTCTTTATAAGGTGCCTTCCCTGATAATCCCAGCCTACATTGCTCCTTTTCTCCCCTGATGTTTTTTTTTGTTTGTTTGTTTTTTTTTTTTTTTTTGAGATGGAGTCTCACTCTGTTGCCAGGCTGGAGTCTGGAGTGCAGTGGTGCGATCTCGGCTCATTGCAACCTCCACCTCCCGGGTTCAAGTGATTCTTCTGCCTCAGCCTCCTGAGTAGCTGGGACTACAGGCGCCCACCACCACGCCTGGCTAATTTTTGTATTTTTAGTAGAGACGGGGTTTCACCATGTTGGCCAGGATGGTCTCGATCTCTTGACCTCATGATCCACCCGCCTCGGGCCTCCCAAAGTGCTGGGATTATAGGCTTAAGCCACCACGCCCGGCCCCCTGACTCTTTTAACCAATATTGTACATCACTCAATCATTGATTTCGTTTTTAATGAGCTTTAATATACGTCTTGTTTCCAGAAATAGATGAAATACCCTGAGAGACTTCTATGATAGCTATGATGGCACCACATCATACATTACACAAACTTAATTGTGTAACTGAGGAAAGGGGAGAAACGTTTCAAGCCATGTCAGTTAAAGCAAGGTTACTGGAACTTTGGCATGCAAAGGGGATACCATTAATTCTCATGAATCTTTCCTCCAGGCAAGATCCATGCTCTGTACCACTAGTAAAAGGACTATCTTCTTCTTCCTTCCTAAAAATCCCAACACCTCCAACAAAGGTCTACAGTTAGATTTTTAGGGGTTTCCTGGTAGAGCACAAATAATCCCAAGGAAGCTGCAGTAACACCTCCTGGCCACCAGAGGACAGGGAGCAGTGGGAGAGATTTGCTTCCCCTAGCAAAGTCTTCAAGAGGCCAGAGGCACAGGCTCAAAGTTGCTTCTCCATCTGTGGCCTTCAGGCTTTACCTACTACTGCCAGAGGTGCTAGGGTGCCTCCCATCTTCAAATGGGCTTTTTTTTTCCCTCCTATAAAAGATGGGCCAGAAGTTCCCAGGGCCATACCCCGCAACACTAACCTTCAATGATTACCAATCATAAGGAATGCCTTTAGTTGCAGGACTTAAAGGCAGAAAAGTAGTAACAGGGGTGTATTATCTTTCGAACCCACCCAAACCTGCTTATCAGTTCTTTTGCTAGTGGAAAAACGTGCTTTAGGCAGGGTGCACATGGATATCCCACAGCAAACAGTGCCTTTAGGGTCTAGTGTCCCAATCCGGCACATTGTAAATGGAATATTTGAAGAGTTAGATTATTCCTACACATAAATTCTGGCTCATGGAGCAGTCCACTCGCAGGGTGCTTTTCCGTCATTAATCACATCTTTGTTATGTGATATCCACGTGAGTACTTCTCAGTAGAAGCAGCTTCATGCTCAAATGCTCAAAGAACATTGGAATAAAGCTCCGATTGTCCTATTCAGTGATTCCAAGTCCTGGTTTGTCACCACCTCAGGTCTCTCGTTTTCCAAAGTGCATAATGTCATCTCAAAACAGACATTTTAATGAATTCAAATAATAAAATGCACGAGGTATGTGGAGTTAAATCAACAAGGGTTTTGTACCTCTCAAGAGGCGGTTAACCCCTGGTCTTATTTAAAGATGTTTCTGCGCTGCCTCCTGTAGAAAACATTTTTAAAGAAAATGTAGGCTGCTTATCCTTGTATTTGTAAATATAAGCAAAGTAAAGTAATGTAGGAACATTTATGTGGGGGCTTTCAACCATAAACATATAGATAGCTGAATGCCTGACAACAGTAGTGTGATTTTTCTTGAAGTACCTGTAACTTCTCTCCTGAGAGATGGCAGAGCCTTGCCTTTTGCATTCGCCAGACTTTTTACAGAGCGAGTGTAATTCTCTCAAATCAGTGTTTGCGTTTTTTGACGTTGGTGAGGCAGCTGGAAACAGCTCAAGGAGGAGGGAAAGGTTCTGCGTCTGGGTGAGGGAGAAAACCCTCCGATACCTGTTGGGGCGCAGCACTGGAGGCGGACACCCCGGCCCGGGGGTCGGGGCCGCGAGCCCGGGGGTAGGGGGCGGGCGCGCGGGCGCGGGAGGAGGAGGAGGAGGAGGGAGAGGTGGGGGAGGAGGCCGCGGGGCCGCCTCCTCCGGCAGCTCCGGCTCCTCCCAGCGGCGCCCGCGGAACCTGCCTCAGAGTCGCCGGACTCTGGAAGGGAACATGACCTGACCCCTCCCCGAGCGGCCGGAACGAGGCGCGGAGCCGCGCTCCGGGC
This sequence comes from Homo sapiens, assembly GCF_000001405.40. Lineage (NCBI taxonomy): Eukaryota > Metazoa > Chordata > Mammalia > Primates > Hominidae > Homo > Homo sapiens. Next base: position 12,562,782 of record NC_000012.12, on the reverse strand, counting down.
TCGGGCGGCCGCGGGATGGGCGAGCGCGCGGCCCCGCCCGGCGCCCACCGCCCTGCCCTCGCCTGTCTCCTCCTTTCCCCGGGGCTCCGCTGAGTTCATTCACTGGGATTGGTTTCAAGTGACGCCATCTCTTTATTTTTAAACCAATGACCTCATCCGCGCTTGAAGTTTCCTGACCAGCGACTCTTTCTCTTTCCCCCAACCCCCCACCCCACCCCCCCGCCTTTCCCCCTCTTTCTATGTATCAGTGTTTGGGGGGCTTTAATCAGTTTTTAAACGATTATTACCACCTCTCTCTCCCCCCCAACCCCCACTTTCACAACGCGGCCCCCCACCTTTACCTCCCTAAGTTCTTCATCTCTTTCGACATTTTTTTTGAAGGCTGATGGGGGGGAGGGTGGAAGAGAAAGAGTGAAGAAAAGTTGCGAGCGTCTCCTCTCTTCCTAAGCCTCCCGCCCCAACCCACCCCTCAGAGAAGGAGAAGATAATATACTGAAAAGAAGAGGAGGAGGAGAGCGACGGGACGGGACGCGAGCGGGAGCGCAGCCGCCCTCTCGGCTCCGCGGCGGCGCCTCGCAAGTCCGGGAGGCGAGGGGGGCCCGAGGGGAGACGCCGTGACAACTTTCGTTTCCCTCTGAGGGAATTGGGAGGTCGGCGGCCCCAAAAGTAAGTGGCCTTGGCGGGCCGCGCGGGGTGTGCGGGCGGGAGGGTGCGGGGCCCGGGGCGCCCTCCCGCCCGGCCGCATGGACGCTCCGCAGCGCGCCCCGACTCCCGGTGCCGGGCGCCGCGCTCCAGCCCCGCCGTCTCTGCCTTCCCGGGCGTACCGGCCACCCTTTCGGGAGGCGGCGTGGGGGCGACCGCGGCCGGGGGCCGCAGGAGCGTTTGAAGCGGGGGTGTAGGCCTGGCCGGAGGCTGGCCGGAGCGGGAAGGGGGCGTGCGGCCGGGCGCGGGGTCGCAGTGGGTGCGCTCCCGGCCGCTGCGCGGCGCTTGGACCGGGCCCCGCCGAGAGGAGCGGCCGCCGCGGGACGCGGCACCTTTGCGGGCGAAGCTGCTCACTTCCAGGCGCGACTGTTACACAACACGCCTGCCAAGTGGGGCCCTGGCCTGACTGTTCCCATTATCCCCAGTTCGCCTTTGGTGTAAGCAGCGAGGCCACCTGGGTGGTGACGGTGCTGCTTTCTTCAACCAACCAACCGAAAAAGCCCTCAATTTTCGGACAGGGGCTCGGGTCTTGGCGTTGGGGGGCCCGACGCCTAGTGACTTCTTTATTTACACTAGCTGCAAAACGTGAGAAATAAAAAAGCCCAGGGTCTGTGTATCACGTGTAGTTTCATGTAATGAAACACCACAGAGGGAAATATTTTCAGATGCTGGGTTTATTTCCTAAAGAATACCAATAATGAACCAGAGAAAAGGCAAGTAGATCTGAAAATGAATGGATACTGCAAAATCCTAAAGAAGTTTAGGAAACATCAACTGCAAGGATTCTTGGCGTTTTGAAGTCGTGGGTGTCTCAGATTGGAGAAAGCACACCTCTAACCAGCCTGTGATGAATAAGCTGGGGAGGAAAAAAACCTGTTGCATAATCTCATTTGCCGTGGGGTTTGCTGTGCCATCCCCTTGAACCAAAGGGAAGTGAGTTAAGATGCAGGGTTTTAAAACTCTCTGAAGTTTTTATTTACCCAGCGCTCTGGCTCCCACTTCTGTTTTAAAAGATTATAAGTAAATACTCTGCTCTTTCAAGTGAACCAAACCTATCAAACCTGTTTAGAAAATAAACCAGGTATGTTTCTTTCTCTTCTTTCTTTTCCGCCTCTGTGTGTGTGTGTGTGTGTGAAATTTACCATCCATGCAAAAGTTTAGGACTAGTGTTTGGGGAACTGAGACTGTCAGAAAAATGCCTCTTTATGCCACTCACCTTATGGGGCTGATGGAGAGTCCACGTAAAGGATAACCGTTTCCTCAAAGGATTTATGCTGTTTCACCTCCATCAAGAAAAGGGCTTTTTAAAGTTAAGGTAAAATTTTAAAAGAAAAGATTTCGTACCAATTGAATTAATTACTCTTTAATACCTACTTTTCCTTGAGTATCACATATATTGGTGGATACCACTTGGGAGGCTCGTGGAGTCTATTTGGTGAAGGCAGCAGCTTGGAGAAGTAAAATGAAAAGCAGAATGTATGGCTCTGTGTAGGGATTTTAGTAAAAATGTGAGTAGGCACGGTGAAAGGTTTTTGTTTTTTAAAATTGTGGAATTTACTGAGTTTGAAGACAATGTGGAAAGTTGCATTAAAATTTTTTTTAATTTGGCTAACATTTACAGTCTTATGTAAAAATATAGGCTAAATAACACCAGCCCAAGAGTTGGATTTTAGGTAAAATAATTTTTGCACTTATCAAAATTCTACATGGGGGAAAAATTAGAAATGAATTTATTTTGAATTTTGTTAGTGTGAATAGTGTTTTGAAAATAACTCGGTTCAAGTACTATAAATGTACATTCAGATAAAAAATGTAAACTGTGGTAATTAATTTTTTTTTTCTTTTTTAGTATTAACCTCTGCTATATCAGCAACTCAAAGTACAATATCTCATTTGGCTTGATTATAGTGCCAAATGATCATAGTGCATGATTATGGAGGGGGCTAGGAACAGAACTGCAGAATTATCCAGTTTTGCTCCTTTTTCAATTTAGAATGCCCTATCCTTTCGTTCAGTTTGGTGATTGTAAGTGTGTACCTATAAAATAAAAATAGACATGTAAAATTGGGGATTGGAGTCTTTGGGCCAAAAGCTTAATGGCAGTAACTGAGAAGGCAGTAAAAGAGGAGACACTGTTACCCCGGTTCTTTTCCTTTTTCCTACACGTTTAAAAATTATTTGTGGGACAGTTGAGAGTGGAAGTGAGGCTGAGATGGGAGGGGGGAAGAGTAGGTGTGAGAAGGTTGCAGAGTTTAGGTAGGGATCAGAATAAGAGGCAGGATTTATGTGTTAGTGTGTTTTGATGCTATTTTCTGTAAATCCCTGGACTGGGAATTTAATTTCATACAGTGTTTAGCATATGGGATTAATATATTGATGAAGCAGACTTATATAGCTGTCCAGTATTAAATTTTTTCAATTTTCAGCTAATCCTAAAAATCCTACTAAATATAATTTGCTAGAATTACCAGTGTAATAATTTATCCTAGAACTCCCAAGTTTTCCTAGACAAAAATAATTTTCTACTTCGTGTTACCTGAACTAAAAATTTCACTGGACATTCAGTGTTTTTAAAATGCATTAAGTTCTCAAGCAAAAGGTACTTTAATTTGAAGAAGTAAATTAATATAGGGTGAACTGATTTGGATCAGAATCCCAAGAAAATAAGGAGATAACTTAGAGGAAATAAAACAGATTTTATGACAGATTTCAACAGATGAAAGAAACTAGTTAAAAAGATTTCACAGGAAAAACCATAGTTGGTGCTTGATTGGCTTTAAAAGAAATTTACTGATCATTTAAAACGGAGATATTCACCATCATAAAAGAAAATCCGAATGTTGGCTTAAACAAAAACATAATTAGGAAAATAAGTCTTGCCCAAAGCTACATATGATAAATTCCAAAGCCAGATGTCAATTTTTTTTTTCTGATTTTCTTGTGTTGTAGACAATCTGTTATTTGTATGCATTTCATTATCCTTGATGATCAAGGGTTGGCTGTGTGAAGAGAGGTTCATAAAGGTTGGCCGAATTTAAAGAAGCAGGCTCAGGCTTTAAGAAGAGCTGGTTCTTCTACACAAATGGATTGAGACAGGGAGTTAGAATTTTAATCAAATAAATAACTGGAGGAAACAGTGGCTCAAAAGAAGGATGTAAGACAGATTACCTTGGACAGGTACAAAGAAATAATAAAAGCTTGCCAGGAGTATGATCAGTAAGGAAGGGAACAGAATACATCTTGCCATGAAAGGAAAGAGGAATAAGTGGAAAAATGCCCTCTGATACCTCAGCAACAAGAGAGAGGAATGAAACTTCACGCCCTTCTTGACTGGGGTTAGAAACATCATTATAGGTATTGCCACAAAGTCACAAGATTTTTTTATTACATTAAAAAATGTAGGCCAGGCGTGGTGGCTCATTCCTATAATCCCAGCACTTTAAGAGGCTAAGGCAGGAGGATCACTTGAGCTCAGGTGTTGAGAACAGCCCTGGCAACAAAGACCTTGTTTCCACAGAAAATCAAAAAATTAGCTAGGTATGGTAGTAGTACGCAGCTGTGGTGCCGGCTACTTTGGAGGCTGAAGTGGGAGGATCTCTTGAGCCTGGGAGGTCAAGGCTGCAGTGAGCTATGATGGCACTGCTGCGCTCCAGCTTGGGCAACAGAGCAAGACAGTGTATCAAAAAAAAAAAAACATATAATCTTGAGGGATAGTGATTGATAGGGTAAATTATGAGCATTACTTATATGAGAATGTAAAATTTAAAATTGTCAGAAATAAAAAGAGGGATTCGCTGTAATATCATGGCCTATTTTGAGTTATTTGAAAGGGAGGGATACATTATAAACTGAAATTATTAACTGAATTTCTGGATTAACTACTGATAGGAATCAAGCAAAACATTTGTTAGCAGTATGCTGTTTACATGTGCTGAGATGGATTCCAAAAGTTGGGGACACTGGCCCATGTTATGGAGAACAGGATTATAAGAATTTTAAGGGAGATACATACATATGCAAAGATAATTACCAGACAGCTGGCAAGTGCCAAATTCAGGTACAAAAGAGAAAGAGGGCTCAGGGAGGTAATCTTCATAGAGATAATAGAATTTGACCCTGGCCTTAAAGATTGGTTAACATGTGTATGGAGAGAGGGAAGTGGGGGAGGCGAAAGGCGGAAGGTATTCACCCATCTCATTCAGCAAATTTATGCTGATCCTCTACCAAGTGCTAGACCCTGGCCATACAGTGGAAAATAAGAGAAAGTTTTTGCCCTTACGTAACTTATATTCTAGTGGGAGAAGACAGGACAATAAACAAAGACAGTAAACAAGTAAACAGTACATTAAAAAAGTGATGTTAAATAGTGGTCGGTAGTAAAGGTAATGATCAGGGTCGATAAATTGCACTTATTCTGTGAATCACTTGCTTTGCCTATGATAGTCTAATGAACAGTCTTCATGTTATAACTTTTTAATATTCATGTGCAGTCCAAATGAATTTGAATAAAAATCTACACATTAACCAGTTTTTAAAAAAAGAAATGGGAATTAAAGAAAAAGAAACCTATGTGACTTTTTTTTAGGTCAAAGCATGGAAACTTAGATTTTTTTTTTTTTTTTTTTGAGACGGAGTCTTGCTCTGTCGCCAGGCTGGAGTGCAGTGGCGCCATCTCGGCTTTCTGCAGCCTCCGCCTCCCGGGTTCAAGCGATTCCCCTTCCTCAGCCTCCCGAGTAGCTGGGACTACAGGCGTGTGCCACCGCACCCAGCTAATTTTTTTTTGTATTTTAGTAGAGACGGGGTTTCACCACGTTGGCCAGGATGGTCTCGATCTCCTGACCTCGTGTTCCACCCGCCTTGGCCTCCCAAAGTGCTGGGATTACAGGTGTGAGCCACCACACCCGGCCAGAAACTTTAAATTTTTTTTTTAATGCCTTGTTAATGTATCCACAGTTCTTTTGCTGCCATTTGCTAAGAATCTCATGTTTTTTTACAATGAGATTAATGTCATTGTTTACTGTTCAGTTAGCTTTTTCACGTATTGGGCTATATTCTTAGGTTAGACTCTCTGTTAGGAACAATAATCACCATAGTGTCATAAAGTGAAGCTAAATTCCAAAGATTGTTTTGTATGGGAACATACAAAAGAAAAGATGTACAGACAATAAACTGTTAGGCTTAATTACCAATAGGTAAAATAGGGTAAGGGATGACACCTGTTCAACTCTTGTCCCTATGGCATATTGTTCCTGTATTACTACAAAAAGTAAAAACCTGAAGCAAAGATGTTCCAAAATGGGGAAGTCTTGATCTTTCCTGTAGTTATTGGACTGCCAGGTTTGTTTTGTTATTGTTTAGAAGATGTCCTTCATAGTGGTCAACTAAAAACTGATATTATCAGGAGCTATTTCATGTTTTGGGGCACATTTTGTTCTTCTGAAGCATTCTTTAAGAAATATGTGCCCTTCACTCTTTTTGCAGTTTTTAATTTTTTTTTTTTTAATTAAAGATGGGGTCTGTCTCTGTCACACAGGCTGAAGTGCAATAGAGCAATCATAGCTCACTGTAGTCTCAAACTCCTGGGCTCAAGCAGTCCTCCTGCCTCAGCCTCCCAAGTAGCTGAGACCACAGGTGGTGCATGCCACCACACCCGGCTAATTATTATTATTTATTTTTATTATTTTTATAGAGATGGGGGTCTCACTTTGTTGCCCAGGCTGGTCTTAAACTCCTGGCTTCAAGCAGTCTTCCTGCCTTAGTCTCCCAAAGTGCTAGGATTACAGGCACAAGCCACTGTGACCAGCAAAACTTTTTTATAGGTGAAATTGAGGTAAAGGATTTTAAAAAGTGTTGATATTAAGTGTGTCTATAGAACCAAATCCCTCAAGAATTATTCTGTATGCACCTAACCAATTTTCATCTACAAAATACTTGAGATAAACCTATGGGAAACAATTTTAATACAAGGTAGGAAATTCTTTAGTGCTCTCTTGATTTCCTCCTAAACTAAATGCTTAATTTATTTAATTTTTATTTTTTTGAGACATGGTCTTACTCTGTCGCCCAAGCTGGAGTGCAGTGGTGTCATCACAGCTCACTACATCCTTGACTTCCTCGGTTCAAGGGATTCTCCCACCTCAGCCTCCCAAATAGCTAGGACTATAGGCATGTGCAACTATACCTAGCTAATTTTTTATTTTGTGTAGAGACAGGGTCTTGCTATGTTGCCCAGCTAGTCTTGAACTCCTGGGCTCAATCAATCCTCCCACCTCGGCGTCCCAAAGCATTGGGATTACAGGTGTGAGCCACCATGCTTGGCCTTAATTTAGAAAAGAATTACAGCTATAAATGCTGTGGGTCTGTGGTATGTGTAATAAAAGTTAATCTGACTTGTACTCCTCAAAAATATTTGGGAAAGACAGAAGAATTCAGGTTTGTTTTAATGTCTATGTATGTTGGGGTGGGGCAAATTGCGTTTATAGAAAAAAGATGTAATGGTATGGCAAGATAATTAATATTTAATATATCCATTATTTCTCTTAAAATAAATGGGGAAAGATGTGTAGAGAAGTATATGCTACTTACAGTGTGCGTTGTACTAGTTTTTAAATACACAGTTTATATCCCAGGATAGTAGAGTAGGCTTTTGACAAATGTTTGTCAAATAATTTCAGTCAGTTCTTACACCTGTTGCTTTTTATAGCCGTTCCATTATATCTCTAGCTTAGAGCACTGTGTTTTGAGCTTTGAGTTGCAGTTTGCAAGGGGTTGACTTATAGTCTTGGGCATGGACTCTTATTTGAGCCATGTGCTCACTCTAGAACGGGGTCTCTGACCTCACCTCCAGCTTTGACCCTGTGGCTGACCTGACTTCTTCTTTTCCAAAATGATGGGTGGTTGTTTCCAGTCACCTTTTTCGGCTCACAGTGTAACAGCTCCTTCTCTTCCCGAGCAGCTGAGCTGTGTGCTCTTTGGATCACTTCTCAGAATACTAAGGTATATGTATTGCCATGCTGGCTTATTTTGTAGTGGGTTTATTTGTTGTTGTTGCTTGGTTTTTGTTGTTATTGTTTGGTTGGTGGAAAAGAAAATTCCTCGAGAAGATAGTTCTTGACTTGTTTTGTAAACTGTACATGGTATATGAAGCATAGTATTATTTCCTCTTCCTTCGTAGCTTTAGTTAAACATCTTGGGTTGACTTGAGAAAGAATTGGTAAGAATGATATTTTGATAATACCCACCAACCAAAAACTAACAAAGACTTTTTTTTTTTAATTGAGACAGTTGGGAAACTTGAAAATGGAATATATATTAGGTGATATTTAATAGTTACAACCATAATGTTTTCAGCTATAATAGTCATATTGTGGTTATGTTAAAATATTTTCATGTGTTAAAAATACATATGGATGTACTTACAGGCAGAATAAAATGATGCGAAATGTTCATTTTAAAAAACTTCAGGATGGGCACAAACACACAGAAGTGGGAAATGAATAAAAGAGTATTGATAAATTTTTGAAAATTGTTGAAGCTGAGTAATGGGTAAGTTGGAGTTTGTTATTTTTTTTACATTTGTGTATATTTGGAAATGTCCCTAATAATGATTTAAAATATATAACCAATTATAACTGTAGGGTAAGAAATTAAATGCAATAAAATTGTGTTGTTGGGTTGGGTATGAGGGTTCATTCTTATGATCCAGTACTTTGGGAGGCTGAGGTGGGAGGATCGCTTGAGGTCAGGAGTTTGAGACCAGCTTAGGTAGCATGGTGAGACTCTGTCTCTGCAAAATAAAATAAAGTAAAATTATATGCTTGGACATTTGAGCTAATTAGCTAATCAAAAGTCTGCACTTGGCTTTTTTTTTTTTTTTTTTTTTTTGAGACCCAGTTTCACTCTGTCACCCAGGTTGGAGTGCAGTGGCGCAGTCTCAGCTCACTGCAATCTCTGCCTCCTGGGTTCAAGCAATTCTCCTGCCTCAGCCTCCCAAGTAGCTGGGATTACAGGCGTGCACCACCACACCAGCTAATTTTTGTATTTTTAGTAGAGATGTGGTTTCACCAGGGTGGCCAGGCTGGTCTCAAACTCCTGACTTCAAGTGATCTGCTTGTCTTGGCCTCTCAAAGTGCTAGGATTATAGGTGTAATCCACTGCTCCTGGCCTGCACTTGACATTTTCTATAAGTTCTGTTTTTAGTAATAAAATTTTAAGAATAAGGAAAATTTCATAGACACATCGTAAGAGGCCAGGCATGGTGGCTCATGCCTGTAATCCCAGCACTTGGGGAGGTGGGCGGATCACTTGAGGTCAGGAGTAGACCAGCCTGGGCAACATGGTGAAACCTTGTCGCCACAAAAAATACAAAAAATTGGCTGGGTGTGATGGTGCACACCTGTAGTCCCAGCCACTCGTGGGGCTCAGGTAGGAGGATCACCTGAGCCTGGCAGGTCAAGGCTGCAGTAAGCCATGTTAGTGCCAGTGCACTCCAGCCTGGGCAACAGAGTGAGACCCTGTTTCAAAAACAAAGAAACAAAACATCATAAGAAGTGTTTAAAATGCTTAACTTTGAGATCTTGTAATAATAGTGTACCTTGTAGTTTATAAATTGCTTTTACATATTTTGTCTCTTTTATCCTTGGAAGACATGAGTTACCCATTTTACAGATGAGGAAACTAAGGCCTTAGAGAGATGAAGTAATTTATTGAAATCCTAAAGCAAGTAAGAAGTGGTGCTAGAATTGGAGCCAAGATCTTCTGATTCATATTCAGGTGTCCATTCTCTTGTATACATATACTTAAAAGTGCTATTTTTTTGTGGTACTATAAACTAATGGTTTTCAAACATTTTGGTCTCAGGACACATTTATACTCTTAAAAATTTCTGAGGACCCCAAAAATCTTTTGTTTATATAGACTATGTCTGTCCATACTTAACATTAGAAATTAAAACTGAAAAATGTTTAAAATATTTATTTATTTAAAAAATAACAAACATTAGGCCAGGCATGGTGGCTCATGCCTGTAATCCCAACACTTTGGGAGGCTGAGGTCAGTGGATCTCATGAAGTCAGGAGTTCGAGACCAGCTTGACCAACATGGTAAAACCCCGTCTCTACTAAAAATACAAAAATTAGCCAGGTGTGGTGGTGGGCGCCTGTAATCCCAGCTACTTGGGAGGCTGAGGCACGAGAATCGCTTGAACCCGGGAGGCAGAGGTTGCAGTGAGCCGAGATCCTGCCATTGCACTCCAGCCTGGGCGACAGAGCGAGACTGTGTCTCAAAAAAAAGAAGAAAAAACAAAGAGGGTTGATATAAATAATATGCTTTTATGAAAAAGGTATTCCAACACACACAAAAAAATCTGGTGAGAAACATGGCATTGTTTTACGTTTTGCCATTCTCTTTAGTATATTTCTTTATAGAAGATAGCTGGGTTTGCATAATTGCTCCTGTATTCAATCTGTTGTGATATGTTGTTTTGGTTGAAATACGTGAAGAAAACCTGGCTGCACACGGATACATAGTTGAAGAAGGGTGGGGTATTTTCATAGTCTTTTCATATAATTGTGAATATTTTTGTTACACCAAAATTCAACAATTGGTAAATGCTTTTTATTTATTTATTTATTTTTTTGAGATAGTCTCGCTCTGTCGCCCAGGCTGGAGTGCAGTGGTGTGATCTCAGCTCACTGCAACCTCTGCCTCCCGGGTTCAAGTGATTCTCCTGCCTCAGCCTCTCAAGTAACTGGGATTACAGGCACGCACCACCATGCCCAGCTAATTTTTATATTTTTAGTAGAGATGGGGTTTCAGCATATTGACCAGGCTGGTCTCAAACTCCCGACCCCAAGTGATCCGCTTGCCTCGGCCTCCCAAATTTCTGGGATTACAGGCGCAGCCACCGCTCCCAGCCAGATTCTTAAATATTAGTTGCACTGCTGAATCTGAAGCCATGTCAGTGAATTTTGTGTACTCTGTAACATTAAAATCCACTGGTCCATCTTGCACTTTGAATGGATCTTTGACCTGTGTGTGATTTTGTAACTGCATACATTGATCATTCAAAAAATAATGGTTTACTAAGCTGACTGGGCACAGTGGCTTACGCCTGTAATCCCAGCACTTTGGGAGGCCGAGGCAGGTGGATCACGAGGTCAGGAGATCAAGACCAGCCTGGCCAACATGGTGAAACCCCGTCTCTACTAAAAATAACAAAAATTAGCCAGGCATGGCAGTGCACGCCTGTAGTCCTAGCTACTCGGGAGGCTGAGACAGGAGAATTGCTTGAACCTGGGAGGTGGAGGTTTCAGTGAGCTGAGATCGTGCCACTGCACTCCAGCATGGGTAACAGAGCGATATTCCATCTCGGAAAAAAAAAAAAAAAAAGGTTTACTAAGTTCTGCACATCTTTGAAATGTTGGCACATTTGATTATACAATATTAAGCAAATCACAGTCATTAATATCACCATCAGTCTCATCCAAAAAATCTTTAAGAATTGGGAAGTGGTCAAGATCTTGGTGGCGAATTCAAGTTTTCCAAAATACCAGTTTTCTCTTGAAAGCTTAATTTATATCATTGGCAACAGATAGTGCCCATTTTTTTTTTTTTTTTTTTAATACAGTCTCCCTCTGTCGCCCAGGCTAGAGTACAGTGGTGTGATCTTGGCTCACTGCAACCTCTGCCTAGCTCAGATTACACGCACCACCACGCCTGGCTGATTTTTTTTGTATTTTTAGTAGAGATGGGGGTTTCGCCATGTTGGTTAGGCTGGTCTTGAACTCCTGGCCTCAAGTGATCTGCCTGCCTAGGCTTCCCGAGGTGCTGGGGTTACAGGTGTGAGCCACGGCCAGCAGCCCAATATTGCCGGTTTTTCTTAAAGTGACAGGTTCACTTTATTCATTTTAGAGAAAATGTCTGCCAGATACCAAAGTCTGAATAAGTGTAAATTGTCTGCTAGTCAAAAAAGCAAAAATGGTGTCCTATGAAAAAAAAAAATTGTATAAATGCTTTTCCCCAAGATAATCATTATACTTAGGTATGCAGCAGAAATGCTTTATGTGTGCTTCCTATTTCATCATACAGAATATGAAAAAGGCCAAGTTCTCAAGAGTTGACGTTTTAAAAATTAATACCTTTTATTATTTTATCAAGGATGTTGTTAAGTGAGACTGGCTTTTTTTTTTAATTATACTTTAAGTTTTGGGGTACATGTGCAGCACGTGCAGGTTTGTTACACAGGTATACACATGCCATGGTGGTTTGCTGCACCCATCAGCCCGTCATCTACATTAGGTATTTCTCCTAATGCTATCCCTCCTCTATCCTCCCAATCCCCAACAGACCCCAGCGTGTGATGTTTCCCTCCCAACAGACCCCAGCGTGTGATGTTCCCCTCCCAGTGTCCATGTGTTCTCATTGTTCAACTCTCACTTATGAGTGAGAACATGTGCTATTTGGTTTTCTGTTCCTGTGTTACTTTGCTGAGAATGATGGGTGAAACTGGGTTTTTAAAAAATGATAGGCAGTAAAGAATATACAAGTATATGTTTTCTTAGCTGTCAGAGTGATAGATACATCATCACCACATACCGTGCATCCTCGACCCACTGTTGTACACTCATGAGGGAATGAAAGTGAAAAAGACAGATAACATCTTCATATTATCAAAAATAGTTTTATAGATCCCTTGAAGGGGTTCCTTCCTCATCTCTGGATCACACTTTGAAAACTGCTGGTGTAAACTAGTACCATGTGCTGACATCTTTTTAGAGCAGTCTGATACACATTTTTTTTTTTTTTTTTGAGACGGAGTCTCACTCTGTCACCCAGGCTGGAGGGCAATGGCGCCGTCTTGGCTCACTGCAGCCTCCGCCTCCCGGGTTCAAGCGATTCTCCCACCTCAGCCTCCCAAGCAGCTGGGATTACAGGCACCCTCCATCATGCCTAGCTAATTTTTATATTTTTAGTAGAGACAGGGTTTCACCATGTTGGCCAGGCTGGTCTTCAACTCCTAACCTCAGGTGATCCACCTGCCTCAGCCTCCCAGAGTGCCACTGCGCCTGGTCTGATACACGCATCTAAATCAATAAAGTAACATGTCCATCTTAGTTGATGAATTTGTCAGGGAGAAGGGACTATGTTAGTGTGTAGGATGAGCCATGTGGCCAGATACTATTATGGGTGGAAGGTCATATAACATCAGAGCGTGTTGGATAAAGGGTAGACAGAAGGGAAGAGTCAGTGAGAGCACTTTATAACATAAAAAAGTGAAAATTTGCTCTCCCTATTTTTTTTTTTTAATAAAAAAGCACTGTGGCCACATATATACACACATATCTGTTCATACTTACTTATTGTATTCAAAATCCAGGGTACTGAGTTATTTTTTTTCTTGAATGACAGAATGGGAGAGATGGTAACATATGTGAGAGGAGAACGGACTGCTCTTGGCAGTCATTTGTTTCATCCAGGTGGGGAGACTGTTATTTTTTTCTTTTGGGAGAGCTAAGGGATGGCAGAAGATAAATGAAAGAAGAATGGTAAGAGTGAATGGAGTAGGCATTAGTGATTATGGAAATAGCTATAGGCAAAATGAGGCTGTGGACAGAGAGTGGAGCTAAGCATGGAGGGCACGGAGGAAGACTCCAGGATCAGCTGGGCTCCCCCATGTGCTGGGCCTGGAAGAATGGGACTAGGGAAGTGCGGGGGTGGGTGCAACAGGAGTCATGGAGATGCACATATAATTGAAGGATTTCCATCAAAACACGGTTAAAATAACTATACTAGATAGTCTGCCTTTTAGCAACTTACCAGTATTCCATTTCTGTTAGTAGGAATTGTGTATTCAGTTACACAGGGGAAAGCAGCAGTGCCACTTTTTCAGTCATCTTGATGACTGGGTTGTATCCCTAATAATGATGTCGATGGTAAAGAGGCTAAAGCTAAAATTAGGTTTTGGGTTTTGGGCAGTTACTCATATTTCATTGAAAATGAAAGACTAATTGTATTTTTATTTTAATAGAGAAAGATATACATATGTGTGTATTGTCTGTAATTAAAGTACACTCAGTACAGTGTTCTCATTTTTTTGCCCTAGGGGTTTTTCAGCTTGGGGTCTGTCACCCTAGTCTCTGCTTTTCATAGGCTGAGGGATAAAGTCATGATCATGATTAGAAGTGGAGGACAACCCACTTGAAATCCCCTCCTGATGATTTCCCCTTTTCTCCACGATTGCAGACCTGCCCTGCTTACTCTAAGAGCAGTATGTTAGCTGGCCGCTTCTGTAGGATGGTTTGGGAGAAGGAAGATAGTATCCTGGAGCAGTTCTTGACACCTTTAGATTATTAAAGGTTGGGAGGAACACAGCAAGAAAAAGGAAGAGATCTATTGCAAAATATTTCTTTTTTTTCTTTTTCTTTTTCTTTTTCTTTTTTTTTTTTTTTTTGAGACAGAGTCTCACTCTGTCACCAGGTTGGAGTGCAGTGGTGCGATCTCGGCTCACTGCAACCTCTGCCTCCTGGGTTCAAGTGATTCTCTTTCCTCAGCTTCCCGAGTAGCTGGGATTACAGGCACGTGCCACCAGGCCCAGCTAATTTTTGTATATTTAGTAGAGATGGGGTTTCACCGTGTTGGCCAGGCTTGTCTCAAACTCCTGACCTCAGGCCGCCTGCCTCGGCCTCCCAAAGTGCTGGGATTACAGGCATGAGCCACTGTGCCCAGCCAACACTTGTTGTTTTTAGCTGTCCTAATGGGTGTGACGTGATACCTCATTGTGGTTTTGATTCACATTTCTCTGGTGATTGGTGATGTTCAGCATCTTTTCAAATAGTTGGCCATTTATATATCATCTTGGGAGAAATGTTTATTCCAGTCCTTTGCCCATTTAAAAATTGGATTATTTGAGTTTTTTGTTGTTGAGTTGTAGGATGCCTTTTTCTTTAATGTGAATCAGCTACTTAGAACTCACAGATTAGATGTGATATAGTTCAGGGATACAAAAATGGAGTGAGTGGAGTACAGTAACTGTCATCTCTGCTTCTTCTGCTATTACTGGTACTGCTTAGTCAGGGTTTCATACTCCAAAGAGGATTTGGAGGGCTCGGGTTGATTCTCTTCTTCTTCCCTCTCCTCATTATATGTAAACCAGAGGGATGGACTAGGTGATATCTAAGGTTTTTCCAGCTCTAAAATTGTAAATTTTGCAAGCATTGCCTTTTACCAGCTAACCTCTTGTGTCTAAGATTTCCTTGGAATCTCAGTATTATCTAACTTCTACACTGAGAAATCTTTGTTGCCAGCCAATAGCTAGAAGGTAGCACTCCACCAAAGCTTTGTTGGATCTTTGATTTTCTAACTTTTGATCTTACTTATTTTCCTGCTTATAGCATGGTATCACCTCAGAATCCTGGGCTTAAATATTTGTTTTTTTAATGCTGCTGTACACAAGTCCTATGGTGGATATGGCCTGGAGTAGTAGAGCTTGTACTTACCCTGGAGATACACAGTAGTATGTTTTGCTTTTTTTTTTTTTTTTTTTTTTTTTTAAGCCTACTCACAGTCATAAGGAAGTAGAAGGTGAAAAGTTCATTGGACAATGTATTTTCTTTTTTTTTTTTTTGCTTTTTTTTGTTTGTTTGTTTTGTTTGTTTTGAGACCAAGTCTCGCTCTGTCGCCCAGGCTAGAGTGCAGTGGCGCTATCTCGGCTCACTGCAACCTCCACCCGGGTTCAAGCGATTCTCCTGCCTCAGCCTCCCAAGTAGCTGGGATTACAGGTGGGCACCACCACGCCCGGCTAATTTTTGTATTTTTGGTAGAGACGGGGTTTTGCCATGTTGGCCAGGCTGGTCTCAAACTCCTGACCTCAGGTGATCCACCTGCCTCGGCCTCCTAAGGTGCTGGGATTACAGGCATGAGCCACTGCACTGGCCTGTTATTGTTTTAAATACATAGAGCAAACAAAACACCAGTCCAAATTCAGTGAATTTTTATTTCTGTTAAGAACAGCTATATTTTCATGCCAGGTATAAAGAAGTATTTCTAAACTGATTTATTTGTTGTCCATGGCTCTCATATGGACAATGATATCATGATGTTAATTAAAGGTAAGAAATAATGTGATTGTGGTTGAGGCTTAAGGGTACTGCTAAGATAAAATTATTTTTAGGTTTCAAGCACTTGATGTTTTTAATTTTTTGTGTCTTATAGATAGTATCTGACAGATAGCCAGTCTTTAGGGAGCTTATTTTAGTTATGGAGTTATATATTATTGCCATATGGTGCCATGACTTAAAATGTTCTCATGCTGACAATACTATAGGAGGAATAAAGTAAACAAGCAAAATCCAGTAAACCAAATAGGAATGGGTAAGCAATATGTAGGGTGACTCAGAATGCATGAGATGTTGGTAGTGCTTACACTAGAACACAGCATGTCTATCTAGTGTTGTCTTTGTGCTTGACCATCTGTGACATCTATATTGCTTTCTGGCCTATTGCCAGGTCTTGATTGACCATTACCAGTCCCTTCTTACAAAATACTAAAAACACCTGGGTGTGTAAATAGCGGAGGTAATGGAAGGACTGAGGCAGCTTCAAAGAACTACATTGTGGAAAGTTGCCATAATGGTCAGAGCCACCCTTGTTCATTCATTCTTAACTTTGGTTATACAGTAACTCAAGGATTGAAATATATTTGGTAGCACTGACAGTTTCATTGCAAAATATTATCTAGGCCCTTTGGGGCTACTTATCACCATCCATCCCTCTGAGCATAGGCTGGACATTTAATTGTGAAAAAACACAACCACGAAACACAGGTAAAGTAAAAAAGATAAAACTAAACCATGGGTGATCATTAGTAGACCAGAATTCATTAACATAATCATTATCCAGAGGGTGCAGAATTTCCCCCCCAAATGATAGCATTTCATAAATTTATAATATTGTATAAATAACTCTCAGATGTTTTCATTATCCATTTATTTTGCATGGGAAATATAACTTATTTTTATAGTGTAATTTCATTTGGGTTTCTAAAAGTACATGATGTTACTGTTATTACATCAATATCATTTATAACAAGTTCTTTTCCATTCAGATATTCAGAATCCACATATTAAATATTAGATTGGTACATTATGGCTCTAGAACTGTGATTTGGTTACCATTTCTCTTACCGGCTTTGAATTTGGTGGGGAAAGATTTGCCAGGAAATGAGACTGAAGCTGTCATATAGTTTTGGCTAGATTGTAGTTTATAGGATATCGTTAGACTTTATTTATCCATGTACTCTCTTATCTGTTATTAGGGTAACTTAAGATTTGACCAGGATTTGTTTTTGAATTTTTTGGAGCGATGGAAACGTTCTGCATCTTGATTGTGGTGATGGTTACATTACAGTGTACATTTGGTCAAAACTCATAGAACTGTACACCAAAAAGCATTAATTTTACTTTATGTAAGTTAAAAAATAATGCTTTAAAAATAAATGTAGTGGCCAGGCGTGTTGGCTCATGCCTGTAATCCCAGCACTTTGGGAGGCTGAGGCGGGCGGATCACCTGAGGTCAGGAGTTTGAGACTAGCCTGGTAAACATGGTGAAACCTTGTCTTTACGGAAAAAAAAAAAAAAAAAAGTACACAAATTAGCTGGGCTTGGTGGTGCACACCTGTAGCCCCAGCTACTCAGGAGGCTGAGGCATCAAGCTGAGAATCGCTTGAACCTGGGAGGCAGAGGTTTTCAGTGAGCTGAGATCATGCCACTGCACTCCAGCCTGGGTGACAGAGCGAGAATCCATCTCAAAGTAAACATAAATTTAGTAAGATTACTGGATGTGAGGTTATTATACAAAACCTATATTTCTATATAACAGTAATCAGAAAATGAAATGTTTAGATGCTGTTTATAATAGCATCAAAAAATATCAAATGCTGGTAATAAATCTAAGAAAGATACCTGAAACTTTTACAGAAGTTTATATAAGTTGATTCTAAAATTCATATGGCAGTGCAAATGGCAAGAATAGTCAAGGTAATATTAAGGAAGAACAAAGTTGTAGGATTCACACTATTGAATATACAGTGTGGAATAAATGAATGGATAATGGAACAGAATAGAGCCCTGAATCAGACCCATATATGTAGATACTAATTTATGATTAAAATGGCACTTTACAGCAATGTGGAAAGAAAGATCTTTCGATAAATGATCCTACGTCAATTGCCTATCTGTATGAAAAGAAAAAGAAAACTAATTTTGGTCCTTGCTTGCCATCACTTACAAAAATAAATTATAGGCTAATTGTAGATCTCAATGCGAAAGGTTAAAAAAAACTAAAGCTTCTAGCAGTGTTCAGCCATATTCGTCATCAAAAAATGCTGAATGAAACCACAGTGAATTACCACTACACACTGATCAGAGTAGCTAAAATTGAGAAACAAACAAAAACTTGAAAATACCAGTATCAGCATGGGTGTAGAGCAACTAGAACCCTCATGTATGGATTCTGGAATTGTAAATTGGAATAACTGTGGAAAACTGGTTGTATCTATTATACTAAAGTGTTACATACTTATGCGTTTAACCTAGCAAACCCACTCCTAGGTGTATACCCAACAGAAATGTGTACTTATGCTCACCAAAAGACATGTACAAGAATGTTCATAGCAGCACAATTCATAATAACTCCAAGCTGGAAACAACCCACATGTCCATCAGTGGAAGAATAGATAAATACATTGTTGTATATTCAATGAGATACTAGGTAGAAGTGAACATGAAAAAACTCTTGCTACTTACAACAACATAGATATGAACATAATTTTGTACAAAACAGTTCAGACACAAAAGAGCTCAAAAACAGGCAAAACTCAGCCATGGTATAAGAAGTCAGGTTCGTGGTTACCTTTGGGGAGAGAGATTAGTAGTAGGAAGACATATGAAGCCAACTTCTGGAGTACAGGTGGGTTTCTATTTCTTGATCAGGATGGTGATTACATGAGTGTGTTAACCTTATAAAAATTCTTTGAGCTGTACATTCATGATTTGTGTATGCTTATTGGCATATATGTTATACTTGAGTTTTTACGAAATTTATTTTTAAATGCTTTGAGTTAACCACAGGAGTAAGTGGCATACAAGATTGTATTAGTTTCCTTTTTCATTAGTAAAGCTTGTATTATCAATGCTGTAAGGGAGAAAATTATTTGTATTACAAATACAAATAACTGGCCTCATAAATAAATAGAACAGGCTTAGCTTCTTTCTTAACCAAATCCAAACATTCCTAGGCTTCTTGAGTTTTTTATTGGTTTTGTTTCTAGGGATAAACCAATTCTTTTTTTCTCTTCACAAAAGAATATATTTCTGGAAGTCATTCTATATCAGATAGACATCTTTCTTTTTACATGTCCATATGGTATACTACATTGATATAATAATATATTTAGCCAATTTATCACTCATTAACTTTGAAGTTGTTTCTTTTTACAGTTATAAACATGTTACAGGGAAAAGTATTTCACATAATATACTTGGGCAGGTATTTATATAAGACAAATTATTGGAAGTAGAATTTCTAGATCTCAGATTATGTGTATTCTATTTACTTTTTTATCTTTTTGTTTGAAAATAATTTTAAATTTACAGAAAAAAATAAAAGAACAGCATCTACTATTACCAGTTTGCCCCCTTTGCTTTATTACTTGCTCTCTCTTCATATTTATATATGATACATTTTTCTGAACCATAAGTTGTACACATGGCCCACTATCCTCAAGCACATCAGCAGGTCTCCGAAGAACAAGGACAGTTTCCTACCCACAGTACAGTTGTCAACCCCAGTAAACCTGACATTGATTTAATACTTCTAACTAGCCCACACGTGTATTTCAGTCCTGTAAGTTGACACAACGACATTCTTCATAGCATTGTACTGTCTAGTACAGTCTTAGTTTGCTTGGGTTGCTATAACAACCTTAGACTGGGTAGCTTATAAATAACAAATTGACTTCTTATAGTTCTGAAGGCTAAAAGTCTGAGATCAGAGTGCCAGCATGATCTGGTTCTGGTGAGGGCCCTCTTCTGGGTTGCAGAGTACCAATTTCTCATCGTATACCCAAGAAAGAGAGCTCTCTGGGGGTCCTTTTTATATAGCATGAATCCCATTCATGAGGGCTCCACCTCATGACCTAATTACCCTCTAAAGGCCCCAGTTTCAGATACTATCACAATGGACTTAGGGTTTTAATTTAAGAATTTAGTGGGGACACAAATATTTGGTCTTGCATACAGGGTCCAATTGAGGATCGTGTTCTACATTTACTTGTGTCTTTAGTTTCTTTACATCTGGAGTCATGCCTTGGCCTGCCTGCCCTTTTTAAAAATGACAGTTTATTGAGATACAATTAATATACCACCAAATTTACCATTTAAAAAAAGTTGAGATATAATTTCAGTCGTAAAATTCGTCTTTGAAGGTGTGCAATGCAGTGGTTTTTGGTATATTCACAGTTGTGTAGTAATCACTACTATCTAATTCTAGGACATTTTCATCACCCCCAAAACAAACTCTGCACATTAGGTCATACACCATTTCCCACTCCTCCCAGCCCCTGGCAACTGCTGATTTACTTCCTGTCCCTATGCATTTGCCCTTTCTGGGTATTTCTTTTTTTTTTTTTTTTTTTTTCTCTTTTCTTTTTTTGAGATGAAGTTTCGCTCTTGTTGCCCAGGCTGGAGTGCAATGGCGTGATCTCGGCTCACCACAACCTCCACCTCCCAGGTTCAAGGGATTCTCCTGCCTCAGCCTCCTGAGTAGCTGGGATTACAGGCATGTGCCACCACGCCCGGGTAATTTTGTATTTGTAGTAGAGACGGGATTTCTCCATGGTCAGGCTAGTACCTAACTCCCAACCTGAGGTGATCCGCCCACCTCGGCCTCTGAAAGTGCTGGGATTACAGGTGTGAGCCACGGCACCCAGCCTTTCTGGGTATTTCATATAAATGGATTCATATAATATGTGGTCTTTGGTATCTAGTTTCTTTCCCTTAGCATAACGTTTTTGGGGTTCTCCCATATTGTAGCTGGTATCAGTATTAATTCCTTTTCATGGCTAAATAATATTCCATAGTAGGGATATACTGCATTTTGTTTATCTATTCATCAGTTGATTAATTTTTTTGGCTGTTTATAAATCTGCTGTGAACATTTTTATACAAGTTTTTGTGGGTCCATTTCCTTTCTTAAATTATTTTAGATTTGGGGTATATGTGCAGGTTTGTTACATGTGCATACATTTTCAGTGCTCTTGTATTTACATTTTAATCTGGATGTTATATCTCACTTTACAGAATTTTTTTCACAGTTATTTCTCTCTAGGGTTTGTGGTGGAACACATGTAGACAGAGAAATAGTTGTTAGGAAGACATAGACCTGGTAGTTTGTCACTCTGAAGTGGGCTGTCAGCTGAAAAGCTTGAAGACCATGGGTCTAGACAGACAGCTCATTCCAACTACAACTATCATAGATTGACCAACTCCTGAGAATTTATGCCATTTACCTACCTTACTGGGCCTTCCAATAAGATAGACTAATTTTAATAAGAGTTTCTTATTTTCCCTCCTTAACGCTTTGTGGGAGATACTGTTGGGTGGAAATAATGTCAGTGTAACCTTGTCAAGGCCTGTACCTCTTTTATTCTTCATGTTTGTATTTGTGTGGGGCAGGGGACTGTGTGTACCTGGGGTTGAAGGGAAGATGAATTGTCTTCCCCTCTGCCTTTCCCTCTAAAATCAGTGCCACAGTGAGAATCAGCAAGTGGCCAGGTGCGGTGGCTCACGCCCATAATCCCAGGACTTTGGGAGACTGAGGTGAGTCAATTGCTTGAGTCCAGGAGTTTGAGACCAGTCTGGGCAACATGGTGAAACTCCAGCTCTACTAAAAATAGAGAAATTAGCCAGGCGTGATGGTGTGCACATGTAGTCCCAGTTACTCGGGAGGCTGAGCTGGGGGGATCACCTGAGCCTGGGAGGTTGAGGCTGCAGTGAGCCATGATCAGCACCACTGCACTCCAGCCTGGGCAATCAGAGTGAGACTCCTGGCTCAAAAAAAAAAAAAAAAAAAAAAAAGAAAAGAAAAGAAAAGAAAAAAAAGCAACTGTCTGCCTCCTGAAGAAAGATGAATCTGTGCTAAGTGGCCTCCTGGCAGGAAGCAACCAGCCTTTAGGGACCAGCTGACAGGAAGTTGCCTCCAGAATTAGTAGAAGTTTGCTGGCTGGTGGTGTCGCCGCTCCCTCCAAACCTCTTGACCAGGGGTTATTTGTGAATACAAAGAGATTGTGTAGCACCCTAAGGAGTTGGGGTAGGAGAGCGTCCAGAATAAATACATAGGTGGGATTGACCACCTCCTCACCTCCTCCTGTTGACTTCTAGATGTCACCACTTGAAATTTTTCTCTCCCACTCTTGCTATGTGATCTCACGGAGCCTTATAGATATCTTATGAAATTGCTTTAAAATTGTATCCTCCAAAGATTCCTTGAGCAAAAAGCCTTGCACAGTATAGATGTTCAAAAACTGTTGTGTAAGTGAAGGAAGCACAAGTTAGACCCACTGTACAAGGGAAATAGCTGAATGAGCATTTTCTAACCTAGTGTTCCTTGTATTGGATGTTAATATGTTACGAAAACTCCTGACTCTGGTTAAATACCATCTTTAAAAATTTTTTTAATTTATATTTTTATATATTTTAAGACAGGGTCTCACTCTGTGGCCCAGGCTGGAGTGCAGTGGCAATCATAGCTCACTGCAACCTCTATCTCCCGGGCTCAAGCTCCCCAGTAGCCTTGCAGCAACCTCCATCTCCCAGGCTTAGCCTCACTAGTAGCTGGGACTACGGGCCCCTGTCAGCACACCTGGCTGATGTTTTTTTTTAGTTTTTTTTTTTTTTAAAGTAGAGTCGGGGTCTCAGTATGTTGCCTAGGCTAGTCTCAAACTCCTGGTCTCATTTTCTTTTTTCTTTTTATGAGACAGAGTCTCAGTCTGTCGCCCAGGCCAGGGTGCAGTGGTGCGATCTTGGCTCACTGCAACCTCCACATCCCAAGTTCAAGTGATTCTCCTGCTTCAGCCTCCCCAGCCTCCCGAGTAGCTGGGACTATGCTACCACGCCCGGCTAATTTTTTCGTATTTTTTAGTAGAGACGGGGTTTCACCATGTTGGTCAGGCTGGTCTTGAACTCCTGACCTCAAATGGTCCACCTGCCTCGGCCTCCCAAAGTGCTGGGATTGCAGGTGTGAACCACTGTGCCCAGCCTTTTTTTTTTTTTTTTTAAATAACTGCTGGCCCAACCTTGAGAAGGGTGGTGACGTCCTTTATTTAATGTAATATAGATTGGCTGGAGGCCCGAATCTTGGTTTCCATCATCATCCTAAGTGAAGTTTTACAGGATTGGATTAGAGAGGAATTCTAAAGGGCTGTATGCCCTTGTGATGGTGATTAGCCGTTAGTAATGGGAAATTCCTGGGTGGAGATATTTATTTAACGTGCATTCATAAGCCGGTGAACACTGAACTCTATCTCTCCCAAGCTTTAACAATCTTTCCTTGACACATCTACACCTAAACATTTGTAGATTTTTAAGAAGAAAGATTGGAAACTAGATTGCTTCACCCATAAACCCTGTCTTATTAAACCCTAATTGGGCTCTGTGCCCCAGCATATCCTTGCAGTCTTCTGTTGGGTATCATAAGTGAATTGTTGTGCTCCTTTATTATTATTCAAATTATAGAGGCTGTGACATTGGAGAACTGGATCTCTTACATAATAAAATATTCAGAATTCCAGACTTTCAACATATAAAACATCGTAAGCAATAGATTAATCACAGTGTTACATGTGTCACCAGATTTCTCCTCTGCTCTCTCTTAAACTGCCTTCCAAGTGACCTGTCCCTTGTGACAGTTTTTTAGGAGAAGGTAAAGGATCCACCTCTGCTTGTTCGTGTGAAAAATACTGATGCCTGGGCCCATTCCTCAGAGATTCTGATTTATCATTCTGAGGTACATCTGGATATTTAAGAGCTCCCAGATGATTTTAATGTGTAACTAAGGTTCAGAGCTACTCTGTTAGCCAAAATGCTCCTCCATTTAATCATGTACTGAGTTGTTCCCTTTTTAGCAAATGTTAGAATTTACAATAGGTGGGAGGATTACCTGAGCATTTATTACATGCTTTATATTTTATTACATACTTTAACTGTCTTACTGTATTTTCATGGTGACCCAGGAAGTTGACAAGCATTTGCTTCGAGGGTTCCTCCCCCTTCACTAGAGTCCTGCCGAGGCTGTTGCCTCACCATTTGGTTCTCTATTTCATGCCTGGCATTTCATCTGTAACTTCATGGCAGGCTGGCATTTTGGTGAGGGCAACTCTCCACAGCCACACCCATTAAGTGTTTAAAAGGGTGCATTATTTCTCATCTTTTGAAATATTTTGCGTTCTGTGTTTTTCAGGAGCCTATTAAAATTTGCAGAATGTTTGGTAAGCTCTCTAGGGTTGTGGAAAGCACACTCCCTAGAAGCTATTTTCTGTCTTTTACCACTGATGAATAGTGTGACTTTGAATAAATATGTAACATTTTGTAAAAGGGACATTATTAACTTGCCAGAAGACATGCACTAGACTAAGTGGAAGTCCTTCTTTGGCTATGAAATTTCAGTAGTCTCTGACTTTCTTTAATGACGTGACATGACTGACTTCCCATTTCTCCTCTTACCATTATTTTCAACTCAAATCCAGCTTTTATGCCTCTATGTCCTCCAGGTAAGAGAGACTGAAAATCAGTAGGTCTTGACAACTGATTAAATGTGAACATTGAGAGAAAGACCAAAGATGTCTTTAGGATAGATGTCTTTAGCCAGGCGTGGTGGCGCACGGGGATGCATGTTTTCAAACCTGCCTGATTCTCTGAACCTCCTGGGACATTTGTTAAATATGCAAATTCACAGGTTCCACTCTAGACCCACGAATCAATCTCCAGAGGTGGGCCTGGTTGGGCATTTTTATCAAGTTTCTAAGTGATTCTTGTGATCAGGCAAAAGTGGGAAATTGTGCTATAGGAAATTGAATCTAGTTGGTGCTCGATAAATGAACATATATATATATATTCTACTAACTCATTTAATTTTTTTCCTGGAGTTTTATAGATTAGCTAAGATCCACACCCCAGAATTAGAAGAATGAACACTATTTGCAAGAGAAAAAACTGAACATTTATTATCGTGTTCTACTTAGAGGGGCTTTCAGTCTCTGATACTTAGTGATGCTTATGTGACACTTAAATATGTTGATAGCAAATGGTGATAGGTTTCTTTTGAATGTATTTCATAATCTGTCCAGTAGAGAATTAGACTGTGGAGCTTTGTGAGCATATTTTTAGGGTCTATGCCGTGGACTATGTTTTAGATGAGATGGTGAAATTAGATATTTTGGCATTTAGCCATTGAGTTTCTTAATAGACAGTTCTATGGTCTGGTTTATATTAAGTTTCATCAATAGCAAGCTTACTGTATTTGTAATGATTTTGCTTATAATTTTAATTTTGAATATGTGTTCTTTGATACTGAAGGTTACATTTGGCAAAGGAACATTGCCTGGTACTGAATCATATATAGTTATATTGCTTTGTGTAGAATACATATGAATGTCTTTTACCTTGTAGCATTGCTGTCATAGGGCTATGTAATTACATTTAAAAACTTTTTAAAAATTTGCTCACACTATAGTCACTGTTGGATGAATGTCATGATAGTGTATTAAAATTCATTTAGGTTTCACTTTGACTTCCACATCTTTTTTTCATGACATGACATGAGTTACGTCTTATTAAAAATATATATAGTTTTCTGTTATGAAAGTTATCTATAAAATAGGAAACTTAGAAATTACAGAAAAATATATTGAAGAAAGTCATCCTTGAAGAAATGTCAACCTTCAGAGTCTACCTATTTTTCAGCCTTTTATTTCAGCCTGTTTTTTTGAGATGGAGTTTTGCTCTTGTTGCCCAGGCTAGATAGAGTGCAGTGGCGTGATCTTGGCCCACCGCAACCTCCACTTCCTGGGTTCAAGCAATTCTCCTGCCTCAGCCTCCCGAGTAGCTGGGCTTACAGGAATGCGCCACCATGCCTGGCTAATTTTTGTGTTTTTAGTAGAGATGGGGGTTTCTCCATGTTTGTCAGGCTGGTCTCGAACTCCCGACCTCAGGCGATCCGCCCACCTCGGCCTCCCAAAGTGTTGGGATTACAGGTGTGAGCCACCGCATCGGCGTTTTTTTTTTGAGATGGAGTTTCGTTCTTGTTGCCCAGGCTGGATTGCAATGGCAGCGATCTTGGCTCACTGCGACCTCTGCCTCCCAGGTTTAAGTAATTCTCTTGCCTCAGCTTCCTGAGTAGCTAAGATTACAGGCATGTGCCACCATGTCCGGCTAATTTTTGTATTTTTAGTAGAGACAGGGTCTCACCATGTTGGCCAGGCTGGTCTTGAACTCCTAACTTCAGGTGATCCATCAGCCTCGGCCTCCCAAAGTGCTGGGATTACATGCATGAGCCACTGTGCCCGGCCTATTTCAGCCTTTTATTATGTCTAATTATTCTGGTTTATAAACAATGACCTAATTAGTAAAACTTGAGCCTGTACATAGTGCTCATTTTGCTTTACATTAGCTTATGTGAAGCTGGGACAGAATAAGACATTGAGATATTTTCAGATATTATTCTGGTGCAATAATTCAATCATGTAGTCTAGATAGCCATTTTCATGGGTACTTTCAGTGCCCATGACATATAATAAGGGTATATCTTGTGCCAGGCACATTGCCTTGGATTTAGACTATTAACAGTCTCTTGGCTCTCAGGTTTTATAGTTACCATTCTAGACTGAGCGCATCCATAGGCAACTAAAACTGTATGGTACTGTAAGGAGACTAGTCAGTCAGTCTCCTTAAATCTATTCTCACCTCAGTCCATTCTGAATAGAGTTACCAGAGTGAAATTCTCTTAGTAGTGTTCTTATGTTATTTTCATAAAGCGTACAGTGGCCTAGATGGCTTTAGACTTCAGGATTCTTTACCATCTAGCCCCTTTTACTCTACCAACTTATTTTGTTACTTGTTGACATAATCTGTAGCCAGGAAAGCCTGCATACAGTTTGTTATCCCTCTGTCTTTGCTCATGCGTTTTCTGCATCTGGAATCATCTTCCTCTCTTCTCTCTGCTGGTTCATGTCCCTATTTTCTTTCAAAACTCTCTTTGAAATTTACATTTTTCAGGAAGCCTTTCTCTTTGGCTTGCTGGACATCTGACCGGCATGTTATCTTTTCATATTTGTTCAAAATGTCATTTTCAACATTTACTCAACTAATTAATATCAAGGACTTGCCATCAATTCTCTTTTTCCCTGCATTGGGTTAGAAACCTAATTTAACTTCAACACTGACATATTGGTATTTTAGAGTGGGAAATTGAGACTTTGATAGGAAGGTGTTTGTTGCTGCTGCAGGTAATGTGCCTGAACCCAACTGACATTACACCCAGAATTATAGAGGGCCAAGTATAGTACTGTGTAAAAATGACAGAATAACCTCTTAAAAAAGAAAAAATAAAAAAGAATAGCAAATAGAAACACCATTCTCTCAAACTTTGATTTGTAGAAGCAGATGTTTTGTAAAAAAAAATTTTTTTCCCCTTAGACTCATTGATATTTATCTTCTTCTATGGGATATAGCCCATTACTATTTGTTTTGCTATTAAGATTGTTTGGGAAACCCTTCTAAAGAATCAGACAACAGCGTTACTGGGAGCTGAGGTAAGGAGAACTAACAGCTCACCGAGGCTGGTGGAGGAGGATGGGCAGGGCTGAGCGGCTGAGCACTGGCACAGGTGTCCGTCCTAATGTGCCAGGCAGACTCTTGATGAAGCCAGCTTTTTCTGCATGTGCAGAGGTTATTTCTGCTTTTAGAATCTGAGCACTAGATTATAAAATAATTCAGATCTTGTTTGTTTTCTAAATAATCTAGTGTGAAAATCCTGAGAATTTGTGTCTTCCTGTGAGGCTTAGGTGGAAGTCTGACTTAGTATCTGGAACATGAGGTATTTAAGGGCTAATATAAATGTAAAATATTGAATTGATGATCTTTACTTAGTATAACCAACCATGTGTGAAACACCAAACTGGAAAAATTTTACCTTTCTCCTCCAAAATAAAACTTTTTTTTAGAGTAACAAATCAAAGATTTTAAAGGCTGATAGATGATAAAATACCTGAATTCACGGGTGACTGTCTCAAACCAGTCTGGAAAATATTACTTGTTATAATAGCAGTACATCAAGGGACTTGGCAGTTCCTCCTCAAAAAATAGAAAATGAATGTATGATAAGAGCTTAACATCAGACAGGAAGAGGCTTGGTTATACTCATGAAGAGAGAAATTAAGATGAATATGAGGATGAAGAAACAGCAAAGCCTCTAAGGACAAAAGAAGGGTCCAGAAACTACAGTTAGATGATGTGATGGAGCCGAATTATAGAAAAAGACAGTGGAAAGGACAAAGTGGAAAAAATAACCAAGGGATGAGGACAGAGAATGTTCCGACTCCCGTCTGGGGCTACTCCGCTAGCCTTTAGTGTCCTTGCTTTCCTGTGGTGCTGTGATTCTTCAGCCTAGGTCTTGGCCTGTCACTTTGTGGTACTTTGCTCCTGATACAGCTTCCTGATATCATTAACTTCCAGGGCCCCAGCAGGGGGAAGTGTGCGGACAGATGCAATGACTTAAATTAGCACAGACTAGGATCCTGCAGTGAATGAACAGCGATGCTGTTGCTGCATCTTTCTCTGCTACCTGGCCGCCCTTTCTTTTTTCCTTACCTGGTAGAGTAACAAAATCCCCAAAGGGGTCTCCTGCATACTGTGGGATTGGAAGAGAAGTGGAAATAGTTGCTCAGAGCAAGCCTTGAAAATCCCCTGTCACAAAGGAATTACCTGGAACAGTTACCCCAGAGTTACCCGTTTTAGTTTGTGTGTTGTAGGGTATAAACTCTCACACCATAATATGACTGCTTAATGATAAGTCAGCCCTGTCCCTGTTAGGAGACTTTGCTGAGAACTGAGGCACACTTACAGCAATATCTTTTTGTTCTAAGTGAAATAATCTTTAGATATTAGTGATCACTGAATTCCTCATTATACAAGTAGGAAAAACACAGGCTTGGGGAATGTCAAGTGACACTGTATACGCCATTTTAGCATTTTAGTAGATGAGTTGAAATTAGGAACAAGGTCTCCTGAGTCCTAGTCCACAGTATCTTTTAAAAACAATAACCTCACTTGTCTCTAAATTCCTAGGGTTAGTTTTGCCCTCATGGAGCAAAGAAACTGAGCAGGCCTAGGTTGTAGGTGACTGGCACAAAGAGACTGAGAGAAGGAAGCCTGTGGTGGAGTGTTCTGTGATTTTAGAGTTTTTGTAGCTCCTGCTTTTGCTGTTGAAGCTGAGCAAGGGGCCTGCAGCTACCCCTGGGCCTGGCTGGTGTCCCATTTTTGAGGCCCCAGAGTTATTTTTAGCCGCAGGGCCTTGGAAGCAGGTGTGGTCCGGGCTTGAAGGCCACGCCTGGAATGTGTTCAAACCTTGTTGTGCATGTCTGCTTAGGAGCTGAGAATAGTGACGAAGCCATTGCATATACTTTGTTAGAGGAATTTGCACTTTTCCAAGTGAGAGCAATGAAAGTCATCTTGCGTTGCATTTGTGACACTTTAAACAGGTTTATTTTGGAAACTTTATAAATTGAATGATCTTTTACAAGTATTAGTGAATATAATTAAAAAATACATTAGCTATAAATCCTTTGTATACCAAATAAACTTTTGTATTATAAGAGTCATACCCTAACTGACCTATTTTTAAAGTCTAGCTTCATAGTCATAAACATGTGATTTAAAATTTCATTTTTCTCACTTCCCCCACCCCTCAAACATTATTGCTGTTTAAAATAATTCTTTATAAATCCATTTCAGCTTTTACCTTGAGGGTAAACATTAATTTCCATACATTACATTTGTTCATCTTCTTTGTTTTTTTTTTTTTTTGAGACAGAGTTTCGCTCTCGTCCCCCAGGCTGGAGTGCAATGGAGCGATCCCGGCTCACTGCAACCTCCGCCTCCCAGGTTCAAGCGATTCTGCTGCCTCAGCCTCCCGAATAGCTGGGATTACAGGCATGCACCACCACGCCCAGCTAAGTTTTGTATTTTTAGTAGAGATGGGGTTTCACCATGTTGGCCAAGTAGTTCTCGAATTCTTGACCTCAGGTGATCTGCCCGCCTTGGCCTCCCAAAGTGCTAGGATAACAGGCATGAGCCACTGTGCCCAGTTCTCATCTTCTTAACCTTTGCCCACCCAAACTTTTATAATGGTCCTGAGAAGAAGGAGTACAGTAGGACCTGGTAATAGTTCCTGGGTCTGAATGTATGTCATGACCTTATATTAATATTTTTCATAATTTCCAAGGTTATGGAAAAGAGTATGACAATTACGTTTAATTACCTAAGTAAAACTATTACTATGTTTTATACATATCCATCGTATGTGTTTGTATGCCTGTGGGTGTTTGAGGTTCTATTTTACCTAGCTGTTCTGAGACTTGACTTTATTCTCAATATATCATGACCATCCTTGGCTGTCAATAAGTATATTTTTACACCATCGTTTTTAAATGTTGCATACCATGTTGCAGGATTTATCATAATTTATAAGTTACTTAAGCCAGTCTGTCCCTTTCTTATACATGTAGGCCTTTTCCAGTATTTTTTCATGTGTATTTTAACTGAAAGATAAAGCACTTTCTTGTAAGTCACTTTGTTTTGTTTTTTTTTTGAGACGGAGTCTCGCTCTGTCGCCCAGGCCGGACTGCGGACTGCAGTGGCGCAATCTCGGCTCACTGCAAGCTCCGCTTCCCGGGTTCACGCCATTCTCCTGCCTCAGCCTCCCGAGTAGCTGGGACCACAGGCGCCCGCCACCGCGCCCGGCTAATTTTCTGTATTTTTAGTAGAGACGGGGTTTCACCTTGTTAGCCAGGATGGTCTCGATCTCCTGACCTCATGATCCACCCGCCTCGGCCTCCCAAAGTGCTGGGATTACAGGCGTGAGCCACCGCGCCCGGCCTTGTTTTAAGATGAGTCTCACGCTGTCATCCAGGTTGGAGTGCAGTGGTGTGATCTCGGCTCACTGCAGTGTCCACCTCCCAAGTTCAAGCGATTCTCCTGCCTCAGCCTCCCGAGTAGCCGGGATTACAGGCCCATGCCACCACATCTGGTGAATTTTTGTATTTTTAGTAGAGACGGGGTTTCGCCCTGTTGGCCAGACTGGTCTTGAACTCCTGACCTCAAGTGATCCACCCACCTCGGCCTCCCAAAAGTAGTTTAAAGGAGATTCTTGAAACTACCTCCTTGTTGTGTAGACTTTTTTCATGCATATGTCTTGCTTAACATGTATTTGATATTTTACTACGTTCCATATTGTAAAACTAAGATTCTCTTAGTAGATACAACACACTTTTGGCATTGGAAAAATTCTGGGAAAAAGTGCTGGGATTACAGGCATGAGTCACCATGCCCAGCCATAAGTCACTTTGAATTTATTCTGTGAGCCATTTTGAAATTATCTTCAGGAGAATGTAGTTCAGCATTCTAATTTTATTTATTTTAGTACTAAGAGATTTAAAATAGATTAAATTATGGAATATTACTATTGTGAGCTTGAGCTTGAGTGCAGGTGGGTGAGAAGTTTGGTGTCGGTGTTGCATTCCATTGCTTGCTCCTAGAGCCTTCCAGTCCTGTTTGGAAAAATTAAATTATAACCCCTCTCCCCTTAGACTGTGTTCCAAATTGTTCAGATGTTTACTCTGGTCTTAATACCTTTAGTCAATTAGTTCTTTGTCAACAAAGTATACTATATCTTTCATGTATTGGAATTTTGTTGTTCTGGGGCTGGTGTGGACTAAAGGAGGGGGTGCATATATTAATAGATAAAGATTATAAACTTATTTTAGTGTTATCAACCCCTTCAATATAGTAATCTAACTTGTAAAGGCCTTGTGTTAAGTATTTGATCCTTCTGACAAGGAGAGAACCTTGAAAGCATTTAAAAAATTTTTAATGTAAAGATCCTTTAAACTACCTCCTTGTATAGACTTTTTTCACACATATATCTTGCTTAATGTGTCTTTGATATTTTACTACATTCCATGTTGTAAAACTAAGATTCTCTTAGTAGATACAACACACTTGTGGGGTTGGAAAAAATGTATAATATTAACATTAATAGTAATCTTTCTTGTTACAGGATTTCTTTTCATTTCTTTGCCAAGAAATGCACTGTATAGGAACCACAGTTTCTCTCTTTGTAGTTTTAAGGAAGAAATTGTACTAAATTTTCTTATATATATGTTTTTTCACACTGAAGCTAAAAGTTCAATTGCCTGCCTCAAAAGCATGGACAACAAAAGCAAAAATAGACAAATGGGATTATGTCAAGCTAAAAAGCTTCTGCACTGCAAGGGAAACAGTCAACAGAGTGAAGAGACAACCTACAGAATGGGAGAAAATATTTGTAAACTATACATCTGATAAATAGTTAATACCTCAAAAACATCAGGAACTCCAACAACTCAATGGCAAGAAAGCAAGTAACTTGGTTGAAAAATGGGTGAAAGACCTGACATTTTTCAAAGAAAACATGCAAATGGCCAACAGGTCTATGAAAAAATGCTCAGCATCACTCATCATCAGAGAAATGCAAATTAAAACCACAGTAAGATAGTATCCCACTCCTGGTAGTATGGCTGTTTTCAAAAGACAGAAGATCAGTGTTGGTAAGGATGTGGAGAAAGGAAAACCCTTATACACTGTTAGTGGAAATATGAACTATTTATAGCCATTATGGAAAACACTATGGAGGTTCCTCAAAAAAAATTAAAAATAGAACCACCATATAATCCAGCAATCCCATTACTGAGTAAAGAAAATGAGATGTTTGCATACCCATGTTTATTGCAGTGCTATTTACAATAGCCAAGATAAGGAATCAACCTAAGCGTCTATCAAAATATGAATGAATAAAGAAAACGTGGTATATATGTACACAATGAAATTCTATTCAGCCTTAAAAAATAAGGAAATCCTGTCATTTTCTACAACATGGATGAACCTGGAGGACATTGTGTTAAGTGAAATAAACAAGACACAGGAAGACAAATACTGTGTAATTTCACTCATATATGGGAGCTGAAAAAGTTGATCTCATGGAAGTAGAGAGTAGAATGGTTACCAAAGGCTGGGATGTTTAATGGGGAGGGGAAGCCTGGGGAGATGTTGGTGAAAGTAAATAATTATTTAGGAGAAATACGTTCAAGGATCTATTGTACAGCATGGTGACCACAGTTAACGAGGATATATAGTATTCCTGAAAAATTCAAGGAGTGGATGTTAAGTGTTCTCATCACAACAATGATGGCTATGTGTGGTAATGCACTTGTTAGTAGAATTAACCATTCCACAGTGTATATCTACTTCAGAATATCGTGTTGTACATGATAAATACATACAGTTTTATCCATTAATTTAAAAAGTTTGGCCGGGCACAGTGGCTCACGCCTGTAATCCCAGCACTTTTGGAGGCCAATGTATGAGAATTGTTTGAGCCCAGGAGTTTGAGACCAGACTAAGCAACACAGTGAGACCCCGTCTCTACAAGAAATAAAAATTAGCCAGGTGTGGTGGCACATGCCTGTGGTCCCAGTTACTTGGGAGACTGAAGTGGGAGGATCACTTGAGCCCAGGAGTTGAAGGTTGCAGTAAACTGAGATCATAGCACTGCATTCCAGCCTTGGGTGACAGAGCAAGACCCTGTCTCAAAAAACAACAAAAACAAAAGTTCAGTTTCCTGGAAATGCATCATTTCCAATAGATATAACCATAGTTCTGAACAAAGCATGAACACCTGCCACATCTTTTATTGGTATTTGCCCAATTCAGCATTATCTTGGCTAGTATATTCATTGGCCCCAGAAAGCTACAATCTTCCAGGTATCCACATAGCTCAGTCTCTTACCACTCTCCTCTCTCATGTTCTCAAGGTAAGGCCTTCTGTGACTACTCTGTTTACAATTTAACAGCCACCCCCGCACACCCTTTGCTCTTGCTCTATTTTTTCTCCCTAGTTCTTATCGGCGTCTATCATAGGAAATGTTTTGTTTTTGTTGTTGATCGTGTCCCCCATCACTAAATTAGAAGCTCCAGAAAGGCAGTAATTTTTGCCTTGTTAATTTATAACCAGGCAGTACATTAATAACTTATAAATTATAATGAATACTTTTTTCATTTATTGCTACATTTTCACAGTGCCTGGCACATATTAGGTGCCAAATAAGTACTTGTTAGTTGACTGAATTAGTTACAGTAGGCCTGATGAATTATAGTGATTTGGCAGATGTTCAAGAAAACCAGGATGCACGAATTAATCCCCATCTGACCTCTGTTTGGCTTGTTCTAAATCTTTCTTCTCCTGCCTCCAGCCTACCTTTACTGAAAATACCCTTCTAAAACATTTTCTCCTCAATTCTCAGATTAAGCCAATCCCTGGCCGTATTTCCTCTTGCCCAGTAACTTCATCCAGGGATCCTTCCATTTCTACCCTCCCAAGACCACCTCCATACACCGGCCCCTCTCCCAGTAGGTAGGGTCCTGAGTTTTCAGGCAGCGTGTCTGGAGGAAGCATTAAGTGTAGAGGGGTAGGTGAAGGAGCCTGTGGGCCAGGAGGAGTGTGT
This sequence comes from Homo sapiens, assembly GCF_000001405.40. Taxonomy (NCBI): domain Eukaryota; kingdom Metazoa; phylum Chordata; class Mammalia; order Primates; family Hominidae; genus Homo; species Homo sapiens. The sequence goes on along the minus strand of NC_000012.12, from coordinate 12,528,215 downwards.
CTAGGATACATACATGGGTGGCAGAGGGAAAGAGGAAGGTTGGGAGGGGGAAGGAGGAGGAGAGCTCAGGTGGGTCAGGGAAGGGGAAGCGGGTGAAACAGGTGATCATAAACAGGAAGCAGTACTAAGAAAAAGACAAGAGCTCTGATTGAGCCAATACCAGGAGGGGAGTGCTCCTTGCCCTGAACAGAAACTTTGGTGAAGGCTTCTCACAGATTTGGCCTCTGCCTGGGCTGGCCTGTGCCTAAAAGCGCAGGCATTATAGGTAGTCTTTGAAGGCTGACTGCTATTCCAGCCTTTATCTGTGGGTCCTTGAGATGTATGTAAACAACCTGAACCTCTGATTGGAGGGGCGGCTTTCAACAGTGTGGTATGTCAGTGCGAGGCAACTGGGTTCTACGGTGCGGATAACTGCTGTCTCCAGGTCTAGTATCATCTAAATAGTTTTGCTTCAAGCAGTCTCATTATTGCCATCACTTGTCAGAATATGTGTCCTCAATTTTTGGGTAAGGAAATATGATCAGACATTAATAGGCAGCTAAAAAGCACATTAAGTTTGTAGTTTTACTTTGTTTTATACTTTTATAAATAAAAGTACATATTATAAAGTATATATTATACTTTTAAGTTCTGGGGTACATGTGCAGAACATGCAGGTTTGTTTCATAGGTATACACATGCCATGGTGGTTTGCCGCACCAAGTTCTTAGCTTTCTTGATTTTGGTGAGGGTGGTTTTTTGTGTTTGTTTTTATTTTTTTAATTGAATATATTTGCCAAATACCAGAGCTCAGAATTTCTATCAAGTTTATCTTAACCCACAGCTTATGAGATAAAGTTGCTTTAATCTGTGTAGCATTGAGGCAGTCAAAGTCTAAGGAGTTCTTGTTTGCTTGCAGATATGATAGTCTCCTTTTTTCCCTTTTGATTGGTTTTTTTCCTGTTATTGAAAGCCTGTGTTTAGGGCTCTATTGAAAGGCATTTCGGTATATCTTGTTGCCTGTTTCTTCAGTTTTGTTGGAGGGAAAAAATTTAAGTCAGGCTTGTAGTTTAATAAAAGTAAACTTCTCACCTGATTATATCCTTTCCATAAACTGAGAATTTGAACTTGAGCTCTAGCCCAACCAAATAAAACTAAATCCCTCTCCTCACTCAACAGGCCTGTTAAGCACCCCATAGCTATGGGATCCTTTTCCTTTCCCTGATAATTTCTCTTTGTAAAAGAAAATGTTTAAAATGGAGTTGTGCCTCTCTGAGTGGGACCCCCCGCTTCCTCCTGGAGCCCCATCCCCTGCTGTGGGCCTTGATGCAGGCCTTGGGAGTGGGTGTTTTAGGGCAGCAGTAGCAGTAGCAGATGAAACTATTGCTGCCAGCAGAAAATAACCCATGGGTAGAAAGAAAAAAATTGTGTGTGTGAGCGATTATCACTTTTTTTCTGAGTGGGATATAGTCAGTGTCAGTATGACTGACCTAGAACCCAGGATCATGTTTGGGAAGTTGAAGAGAAAAATCATCTGGGAAGCAGAAGAAGATCCTTAATATAATCACGTAAAAATAATCTTAAAAAAAGGATTCTCTGGCTAGGCACAAATTTTGAAGTGTACAAGTAATAAAAATCGAAACAAAACATTTTCCTTTTAAGTAATTAATGGCAAATACTGGTTTTATACAGACTTTATGTTGTTCTCTTAGTTGAAACAGGCCCTACCTGTTCACTTTAACATAAAAATAGACTTACAGTTCTTAAACATAACTTATTCAGTAGCATACTTCATTGATACACCGTATTTGTGCAGAGTTGGATATAGAGTGAATTTCAAGAAATAAAACTCCAGTGATTTCTGTTATAGTCATAAATACATTTCCATAAGTAACCAAATGGAATCTAAATAAAAATAAATTACATATAAAAACAGACAAAATTGTATATTAAAGGGGGAAAGTTGTTATACAACTTGTGTTAAATATTATAAAATATAAAACATAAATCATTTGCTGAAAGGTAAAAATATACCAGAAATGGTATTTCTTTAGGAGATTTGCTGATTTTCTTCCATGATCTGTAGTCATTTTGTTATACTAAGATGTTGACTCAGTTTATCTTTATTCCTAGATAGTCTTTTAAAACCTTTATTTTGAACTTGGGATACTTTGCAGTTTTTTGTGTAGTAGCCCTGATTAAGGTTACCAGTCTTCAGTTTGATAAATACTGCCTTGCTGACTTTAGGTTATCCTTTAAAAGATAATTTCCATAACTTCATGAATGTTCACCATCACATTTTAACTTTCTTTTAAGCCAGAGTAGTTATAGAGGGTACTCTCTAACTAGTATGTCATAAAACAGGCCAGCTGTGGTGACCCCCAGCATTTAATTTGCTAACCTTTTGAGCACACTATTATGAGTTACTTGTCAGCTTCTTAGGTACTCTAGTATGTAATTCTAGGGGGGAAAATTGTGTGTGTGTGTGTGTGTGTGTGTGTGTGTATACATATATTTTTAATTTTTTGTAGAGATAGGGTCTCACTGTGTTGCTCAGGCTGGTCTTGAACTCTTGGACTCAAGTGATCCTCCTGCCTTGGCCTTCCAAAGTGCTTGGATTACAGTCATGAGCTACTATGCCCAGCTGGAGTTATCTTTTAAGTTTAAGAATTTCGCCGGATGCAGTGGCTCACACCTGTAATCCCAGCACTTTGGGAGGCCAAGGCAGGTGGATTACCTGAGGTCGGGAGTTCGAGACCAGCCTGACATGGAGAAACCCCATCTCTACTAGAAATACAAAATTAGCCGGGTGTGGTGGCGCATGCCTGTAATCCCAGCTACTGGAGAGGCTGAGGCAGGAGAATCGCTTGAACCTGGGAGGTGGAGGTTGCGGTGAGCCGAGATGCGCCATTGCACTCCAGCCTGGGCAATAAGAGTGAAACTCTGTCTCAAAAAAAAAAAAGAATTTCTACATGTTTTATTTAGATTTCCAGACATGCATATATGCAAGGCCCATGGAAATATAGATTGATTCATTTTCTAATTAAATGTTGAAAAAAATGAGATTCAAGTACTGTAAGTGAAAGAAAAAGCAAGATGCAAGACAGTGTCTATACTTTGTAACCATTTGAACAAAGAGAAGGAAAAGTGTGTATATTTGTGCTTCATTCTATATTAATTTAAAAAAATCTTTGGAATAAATTAGATGAGACTACTAAAAGTTGTTACCAGTTAGAGGGCAGGGTTGGGACCCAGGCAGATGGAGGATAATGGTAGAAGAAGGATTATGAATATATTTAGTTTTTTTTTATTTAAATGTATTTGCTGAAGTTTCAATATCGTGGCAATTTTAAACACCTTTATTGATGTATAAGTGACACAATAAACTGTACACGTTCATACTATGTATACATTTTTAGACTTTTTTTGAACCATATGAATATATTACCTATTTAAAAATCTAAAGAAAGTATTTCAACTTTAGCAGCTGGCTAAATAAATAGATAAATAGCAAAGCTGGTCTGCTCTGGATTTTGTTCTATGGACTTGAGCCTTTGTGGTTCATTGTAAAAATTTTTATTCCCCTTGACTTATAGAAATTCTGGGTAAGATTAGCTTGGTGATGTTGCAAGCAAAATATTCTCTTGTCATCTTTCAAATCTTACCTAATGCAAAGGATTTTGAAAACAAAACAGTAACTACAGAGAAATTTTTAAAATTAGACTCATAGCCAGTGATGGAGATTTAACCAAAATTCTCTAACTGTAAATGAAAGAGATTAAGGCCATTGTTACTTTACCCTCCATGATCCCTTGGCAGGGCTCTGCCTCTCACCTCACCCATTTAGCACTACAGAGAATTAGACCTTGGGCATGAAGTCCTACCAGGAGGACTCCAGCTGGCCTCAGTACAGCACTGAAAGAATGGAACTTCACCCTCACTTCACTTTTACCCCTATGCTTCACTTACATCCTCAGCTTAGAGTCACTTTGACCAGAGCCTTTCTTGGTCAGGGAAAGGGTCTTTTTATATCTGTAACTAAGCTCTGATTCTCTGGGCAAGAATGACATTCTCTGCTCTGTAGAACTGTTTGTTGTAACCTGTCTTTGGGTTTATGAGAATTGGCTGAGGGGAAGCAAAGATGAGAACTTTCTAATTCAACTTTTGCATGTTTGCTGACTTCTCCCTCCTTTTGTCCCTTGATCTGCTAACCCAGATAACTGCTTTGTCCCATCCGGATTTTATCTCTTTGAGAGGAGCCAATCAGACTCAGAGACCCAGTGCCATTGTTGGAATCAACTTGCTCTTGTTCTCGGATTTCCACTTTCTGTGCCACCTGGGTACCCTCATGGACAATTGGCATCATTCTTTCCCAGTCCAGTTCCATTATGGGAACAAGTACTTAGGGAAAACAGGGCAACCCAGTAGTAGAAGCCCTGGTTTGGGAATCAGACAATCTGAATACAGGACCTTACATTGCCGTGAACTCTGTCACTGAGCAGGCAGAACCTGATTGAGTGGTATGGCTTTGGTAGGCGCTTTGCAGAAGTTTATTAGTGGATTGACTAGGACAAATTCTCTCTTATAGTTCCTTCAGTTGAAAATAGAGATGACTTTTGTACTTCATTACCATAAAGCTATGCTAAAAATAATACATTAATGAAAGTTGTTTCTTGGAAAATAAGAAATGGAAATATAATGTATTAAATGGAGCTGGTTTGTAAAATATGGTGTGGTTGAGACAGTATCTCAGGTGCCTTCTAACTCCCTGTGTGTCAGCCTCTGTGAGAAAGGGCACAGTTTGGTTGCAGCTGTACTATAGGAGGATGGAATTACATCTGTTTTTATCTGTGAGTGATGTCTTTCAGATGCCAGATGCAAGCCAGCTTTGTTTGCCATTGGCATCTGTAGGGTATTTTTCCTCCTGTCTATGATGCATAGTTGCTTTTTTATTTACCAGCTTTCAATAAATTAGATAATTTTGTTCTCAGACCAAATTTGAAGAGATGAGGCCACTATAATGTCTCCATTTTGTAGGTGAAGAAACTGTGGTTTAGAGAGGTTATGTGATTTGTCCAAGGTTGCATAAGTAAATGGCAAAGCTACATCTCTTTATATCATGCTCCACCTTCTGTCTCCATGCTTTAGCTTCTAATTTGTAAGTACAAAATTAGGAAACATGATCTAAAGGTTTTTAAAGGCTCTGACATCCTGACCTGAAATCAGCTAATCAAATATTTATTTAGAATCTTAAACTGTTTTTGGAACAAGGAAGAATTTACCTACTATAATAATATATTGAGTATGTTATGTCCAAAGTACTGTAGAAGTAAGAAATATAATAAACTTTTGCAATCAAATATTTACCCTCTAGGCTGGGTGCGGTGGCTCATACCTGTAGTCCCAGCACTTTGGGAGGCTGAGACAGGTGGATTGCTTGAGCCCAGGAGTTTGAGACCAGCCTGGGCAACATGGCGAAACCCTGTCTCTACAAAAAGTACAAAAATTAGCTGGGTGTGGTGGTGCGCGCCTGTAGTCCCAGCAACTTGGGAGGCTGAGGCAGGAGAATCACTTGAGCCTGAGAGGCAGGGGTTGCAGTGAGCTGAGATTGTGCTACTGCACTGCAGCCTGGGTGACAGAGCAAGACCCTGTCTCAAAAAAAAAAAAAATTTACCCTCTAGAAGTTCAGTGCCAGAAGTAGACATGTAGTTTTATGTAGTAGAGGATTTCATATAAGCAGAGATGGACCAGGGGAGATAGGAATCCGAGAGTATTGAAGGTCAAGGTGAAGTCCAAGCAATAAGCGCAAAACTTCAACTAGTGTTAATTAGAAAGTGATTGATTAAAGGAGTTTGGCAAGAAAGGGAAGCACTGGGTTCAGCTTTAAGGGCTCTCTATGTCTGGGTTGCCAACTTAGAGTTCCAGGTTAAGGGGTGAGATTTTTTTAAGACTAGGAGTTAGTGATTCTCTGAAGAATGAAGCAGGAAAAAGTGAAGGATAAGCTTACAGGGCCTTAAGCAACTTGGTGGTAGGGAGATGGCCTCCGGAAGGAGACATGACAGGGCCATGGCTGTGAGCTTCAGCACTTCACAGGCCTAGCTCAGCAGCTGCTGTGACAAACATATCAGTTGTTTTTGTCCTTCCTCTTCCTTAAAAGATAGCTGAAATTTATAGAAACTCCAGTTTTCCTGCATCTTCTCTCCTCCGTGAGGGCAATTTTAAAAGGCTGCTGTTTGCGCCCTGGTACTCGCGTGAGCTCACATGTGCACACACATACACACATATACACCTACCCATTCATCGCAGGAATTCTCAAGCCATTTCAGAAAATATTTTTTTTTTTGTCCTGGTAACACAGGATTGCTAACTTTGTCCTCAGCTGCCATTCTTTGTGGGATTTCAATAAATAAGCAAATAAAATATAGGAAAACTATTTGGAATAATAATACTTCAAGCAGCTTTTTGTAGCCCTTTTAATTCAATACTACAGGTCATTTAGTTCTGAGCCCTAGGTGATTATAATTCATGATATGTCTTGTTTTGTTTTCTTTGAGTTTTTACATTTTGAGGTAAAATGGAATTATCACTAGCACATTTTTCTGAAGCCATACCAATTTGTCCTTTTTATTTGTTTGTTCAAATGAAGCAGTGCATCAAGTATGGAATTAGATTAATGGAGTAAATATTATGAATCATACACTCTCTCTAATCTGACACTCTTTCTTCTTTTTTTGACCTCACGTTTTGTTTTCTGTCTTTCTCTCTCCGCGTAGGCTTTCAGTCCAGTGTAAAGCTGTTGGAGCGCGGGAGCAAAGGTAAAGAATGATGTAATGCGCTGGCTGCTCCAAAGCATCTTTTGTTGTGGAATGGTTATTCCAGTCATCTCTTTATGAATCAAATGTGAGGGGCTGCTTTGTGGACGGAGTCCTTTGCAAGAGCACATCAACGGGAAAGAGAAAGAGACATTCACTTGGAGGGCTCTTGCTGAAAATGGGTTTAACTCTCCTTTTGCCAGTCACCACCAGCCTGACCTCATACACTTTTAGTACAATGGAGTGGCTGAGCCTTTGAGCACACCACCATTACATCATCGTGGCAAATTAAAGAAGGAGGTGGGAAAAGAGGACTTATTGTTGTCATGGCCCATGAGATGATTGGAACTCAAATTGTTACTGAGAGGTTGGTGGCTCTGCTGGAAAGTGGAACGGAAAAAGTGCTGCTAATTGATAGCCGGCCATTTGTGGAATACAATACATCCCACATTTTGGAAGCCATTAATATCAACTGCTCCAAGCTTATGAAGCGAAGGTTGCAACAGGACAAAGTGTTAATTACAGAGCTCATCCAGCATTCAGCGAAACATAAGGTAAACGCTTTCCTTTTTGCCTTTTCAAAATAAATGGACACACTGAATGAGGAATAATTTTAATTGAAGCCTCCTCTTTAAGTAGAGAAAGTAATTTGAGGAAGTTTTGGTTGCTTTTTAAATTTTGGTGCCTTGTGGTACCTCAAAATAATTTATTGTCCATATTGCCACATTTAATAATATTTCTAAACTATGAAGGATTAACTTGCTTTAGTTTGGACAAGTGCTATATTTTCTTGTGGCTTGCTAAAATGATTTTATTAAACACTATTCTATATTATCTGCAAATTTACTGAAAGGAAAGTCATTCTTTTCAAGTTCTTTGGAAAGAAAGTAGGAACTAATTATTAGGGGTGCTTTTTATGTGTCATAACACATGTGGTAACATTGGTCAAGACTTAATGATATCTTCAAGGGAAGTTATTCCTGGGATACTAAAATGTTGTCTGTGTGGTGAGGAAGTTGGTTTTTTTCTTCACAAATACAAATGAGCTCATGTTTTAATTTAAATAAACAACTGATTTCTTTGTTAAGGTGTAAAAGTCATTTTAAAAAAAGTTTGTTTAGGTCCAGGGTTATGTTTATTTTGCATATTGTTTGGTTTATTATGAACTTTACCATTTTATAGTATAAAGGATTTAAAACCAGGGAATCGTGAGATCACCTACACAGAAATAGCATCATTTTGGTTTTTAAGAGTTTTGTATGTGTCTGTCTCGTAAATTGACTACATCTCATTTTTATTCAAATTATTAATTGAAAACAGGAAGCAATTATTCGCCCCAGCACTGGTAAATGTGAGATCTTAAGCAGTAGTTTGAGATTACTTTTCTCACCTTCTTCCTAACAAGCCTCATGTTTGCATTTCAGGTTGACATTGATTGCAGTCAGAAGGTTGTAGTTTACGATCAAAGCTCCCAAGATGTTGCCTCTCTCTCTTCAGACTGTTTTCTCACTGTACTTCTGGGTAAACTGGAGAAGAGCTTCAACTCTGTTCACCTGCTTGCAGGTAAGGCTCGTGATGGAATTAAAAGGACTCAGAATCTTGCTGAGCTGTATGAGTAAGCATATTTCACTGTGAACTCAGTACAATAGATCATCCCAACTTTGCTGTGTAAAATGATTTATTTATAGCTTTTGATTGATGTCACCGTTCTATTTAACTTGAATACTATATCATTCTTCCACATAGGTCAGTGTATTTTTGACTTGGCTCAAGTGCCTCTTTGCTTGCTATTAACTGGTAGTGCCACATAGATTTGCACACCCATATGGATAGCTCAAAGCCAGCTGCTTCTGTCTGCCTTTTTCCATTCACCTGTGATGTAAGAACACCAAATGATGAACATCTCAGCTCCTGCTAGTTCCCACCCCTGTGGCAAGAACCAGACCAATATTACAGTGTCAAACTCTTACTTAACATTTATAGTTGGAGCGGACTCCAGAGATAAGCCTTATGGTCACCTTTCTGGGCATTATAAACAATGAAATAGGGGGAGAATGTGTGCAGAATGTTTCTTCTGGTAATTAGGGGAATTGTTTTAAAAGTTACTTGTATATTTTTATTTGTTTTATAATTAAAAAAAAGTCTCAACGTAGAAATGCTAAGCAACCAGATGATCTTATAAAGTGTGTGGGAAGGACCAAATATTCTATATCTCTCCTGGAGGACGGCATTGTAGGAGTTAATCCCATCAAATTCCAAAGAAGGCTATTCATCCTTTGCTTCTCGTTTTGCAAATGAAAATCCTTTCCCTTGCCCTGTGGGCTCATAGAGCTGGGAATATAGTTTGACAACACACAGTAACCTTAACATAAAGCTGCTGTGTTGGGCGGATTCAGCTTCAGTGATAGGCAAGAGTGCTTTTAAACATTTGGTCTAAGAAAAACAAAACATTAAGATTAATTAGTTGTTGGTGTGTTAATAATTTTAAACTCTGGGCAGGTTTAGATAAGATTTCCATGTCTCCAGTTCTCTCTCACAAGCTTTTCCTCAGTTCTCTAAGAACAAGGATAGTTCATCTTTTTCAGATTGTCTATCTGTACACCTTTCATTTATGCTGTGATTCCGTCTGATCTTTCAATTAGTGTTCTTAAGTGAAGCCAGCTTGTCTTAGAATGTAGTTTTCAGAAGTCTGTAACTGAGAATTATAATATTAGATTCTGTCTCTGTTGATAGACACATTCTTTTACTGGGAGTATGAGTGTGTTAAATGTAACAGCTATTATTAGCATTTCACTAAACTAATTGGGTGAGTTTAGGAACTCATTTCATGTTTCAGGTGGCCACTGTGTGAGGGACTTTACCTTGGAATCCTGTTAATGGGATCAGGGTTTTTCTTTTCTTTTTTTTTTTTTGAGACAGAATTTTGCCCTGTCGCCCAGGCTAGAGTGCGGTGGTGTGACCTTGGCTTGCTGCAACCTCTGCTTCCCAGGTTCAAGCGATTCTCCTGCCTCAGCCTCCCAAGTAGCTGGGATTCTGAGCACCTGCCACCACGCCTGGCTAATTTTTGTATTTTAGTAGAGACCGGGTTTCACCATGTTGGCCAGTCTGGTCTCGAACTTTGACCTCAGGTGATCTGCCTGCCTCGGCCTCCCAAAGTGCTGGGATTACAGGCATGAGCCACCACACCCAGCCAGAGTCTTTCTTAAAGAAGCAATATGCCAAGATGTGCTTCGTGACAGAGTGGTTATCCCACCATGTTCTTGTTTGAGTTACTTTTACCCTATGGGGAGACCTTACTCAACATCTCGGTCAAGTAGACAGCCCCCCAGAGGAGTGAGCTCACATTGAGTTTCTAGCACAGGTGCTTTAGCTACTTGTACCCTTTACTCCTTTACCAAAGAGCATTCCTTTGTTACCTGGGAAGGTTCTTAATCTATCCTGTGTAGCCTTGGGAGGGGCATTCACTGGGCAATAAGGAAGAAACAGGACTGCCTGATTAGCTATGTCAACTCTAGGGACACGTGGTGTGACACACTGAGTCAGAACACCCTGACATCCCTGTTTCAAACAGGAAGTGTTTCTTAGGCCTAACGGCAAGTCCATGGAGGCAGCACCAGGAGCCACATTAAATGTATTAGTAGCACCATATCTTCATCCATACCTCCAGAATCCTGTGTTTCTATTAGCTTAGGAGGTGACTTCAGAGTCTGAATTGCTTGTTTGGGAATTTCTGAGCAGCTGGATTTCTTGTGACACCTAAGAGAGGGTTCTAGATGATTAGAAGCCTTCCCAATCATCCAAAAGCAATTGGGGATTCTCTTGGTTAGTGAATTTTTTCGTCAGGGTAGGTAGATAATTGGGGTAAGTGGATAACAGTATTGGAGAAGGTTTGGCCATCAATTCTTGGGAAACTGTTTTATTGCAAAGGTCCAGCTGCTCAGAGGACAAGCCAGGGATGTGGGACAGAAGGACATATTGACAAAAGTTTCTTAAATATTTTGGTTGGGGAGAAATAACTGAAAAGCACCCTAGTTTCTCACAGGGGCTACTGTAAGTTACAAGGTCACTGGAGACAATTTTCACTACAAACTGCCCCTGTGACTTTCAACAGTTGGAGATTGTTGTCAGTCTCGTTTGGACATGGTAATAGAAAGACAAAGTGGTTTCTTGGAATAATTTTTCCATCGGTTTAGAACTTTCAGCCACCTTGAGAAAAGAAAGCATCAGATATGTGAGATGGTTTTTATGGTCATTAGCTATGGCAGTGAGGAATTGTGGCCCCACATCTACTCACACTCTCAGGGCTACCTTACCCACGGAAGAATGACTGTGAATAAGGAGAACAAGAGGACTCCCAAGAAATTGATAGCAGTATCTTAACGAGCTCTTTTCCTTCAAACAAGAGGAGACTGACACTTACCTGGAGGACCTACTTACATGGTCATGAAAAATGAAGGATTACTGAAGGAGAAGGAAGTGGGATTTGGGGAACCTCTACAGGAATGCAGTGGGCTTAGTTTTTTAATATGGACCAGGTCTTGTTTACCTTTGTGTTCCCGCAAGGCCTAGCCCTTCTTAAGTTTTCAGTAAATATTTTGATATTAGCTTACCTGAAGGTTTTATATTGTTTATATTTCCTATGATTTATCAGTCTAGAATATAAGCATATTAAGCAGTGATGAAGTCTGAAAGTAGAGAAAACTTCAGATTGTTTCAAAATAGGTGATTTGGAAGGTGTATTTATTCTGATAAAGCAAATATATAGCTGCGATGGGAAAATATCTAATATGAAACTTTCTTCATCCATATAAGCAGATGTGAAGATGGTATTAAAATCTGATGAAAATGCTGCTGTAGTGAAACAGTGCTAATTTTCTGTGGTCCTTAAATACTGATATTTGATAAAGAGCTAACAACCCTAGAAATCTAGCTCCACTCATAGGAATACGCAAGTCCTTGAATTCATGTTAATTGAGAACAGTCAGAATAATTATTGTATTTTTAAAAATGTAAATGTAAATTGATTGCTCTAGTCATTAGTAAATAACCTACTAACCAAGTCAAACTAAGCCATAGCATTGTTTCACTCCCAGTGGATTAAAGGGTTTAATATCAGTAGCAGCTGGGTGTGGTGGTGCACCCCTCTATTTCCAGCTACTCGGGAAGCTGATGGGGGAGGATTGCTTGAGCCCAGGAGTTCGAGGTTACAGTGAGCTGTGATTGCAACACTGCACTACAGTCTGGGTGACAGAGAGCCTGTCTCTAAAAAAACAAAACACAAAATTATCAGTAGCAATCTCATCTTAAAAAAAAAACAAATTTGGATGCTTTAGAAAGTTCTCCATTACTGCCCGGCCATGGTGACTTACACCTGTAATCCCAGAACTTTGGGAGGCCGAGGTGGGTGGATCACCTGAGGTCAGGAGTTCGAGACCAGCCTGGCCAACATGGCAAAACCCCATCTCTACTAAAAATATAAAAATTAGCCGGGCATGGTGGCATCTGCCTGTAGTCTCAGCTACTCAGGAGGCTGAGGCAGGAGAATTGCTTGAACCCGGGAGGCAGAGGTTGCAGTGAGCCAAGATCGCATCACTGCACCCTGGTGTAGGCAACAGAGTGAGACTCTGTCTCAAAAAGAAAAAAAAAGTTCTCTATTACCATTAATGGGTAGGTAATGGCAAACCATTGTTTCCTTTTTTTTTCAATTTTGAAGTCAGGTTATTGAATAAGTACAATTTAAAGACCTGCATATCTTCCCCACAACCCCCCTTGAAATTTAGACTTAAGAATTCATATTGGCCAGGTGCGGTGGCTCACACCTGTAATCCCAGCACTTTGGGAGGCCGAGGCGGGCGGATCACCTGAGGTTGGGAGTTCGTAACCAGCCTGACCAATGTGGAGAAACCCCGTCTCTACTAAAAAATACAAAATTAACCAGGTGTGGTGGCGCATGCCTGTAATCCTAGCTGCTCAGGAAGCTGAGGCAGGAGAATTGCTTGAATCCAGGAGGTAGAGGTTGCGGTGAGCCAAGATCGCACCATTGCACTTCAGCCTGGGCAACAAGAATGAAACTCCATCTCAAAAAAAAAAAAAAGCATATTAATAGAGTAAAAAAATGGGTGTAACATAAATGTATCATAATAATGATTTTATAATCTAGGATGGGCTTTTGGAAGGGAAAAATGCTGTAATTCCTATTTGGCTAAAAAAATTAACTGGGTTTCTCATAATTTGAAAAGAATCTAATTCTATTGAGAATATTTCAGGAAAGCTTATATAATTAAGTATATTAAATAATTAGAATTATAGGAAAATATTGGCAGAATAAACTATATATTTTTTCTTTTTAATAAAGTCCTTTGTGTCTGATAAACTATATTTTGAACTTGTAATGAGAAGTCATAAACGTAGAGAAGACCAACTTCCTGGGAGCAATAGGTAATCTGGGTATAGAAATTGTACAAGGTGCCAGGCATGGTGGCTTATGCCTGTATTCCCAACACTTCAGGAGGCTGAGGCAGGAGGATCACTTGAGCTCAGGAGTTTGAGACCTGCCTGGCCAACAGAGAGAGACCTCGTCTGTACTAGAAATTTAAAAAATTAGCCGGGTGCGGTGGTATCATACCTATAGTCCCAGCTACTTGGAAGGCTCACTTGATCCCAGGAGTTTTGAGGTTGCAGCGAGCCGTGATTGTGCCACTGAACTCCAGCCTGGGCGACAGAGCAAGACCCTGTCTCCAAAAGAAGAAAAAAGAAATTACACAAGGTAGAGCTAGAGAGAGGTAGTGCCATGCTCTATGCCATGTGCCGGGCCTGTTCTTGTTTTTTCTCCTGCAGATGTAAGATTTAAGATTGAGGGGAAGGGGAGAGATGGGGATTGGAGAATCCAAAAAAGGAACCATTTTCAAGGGTTGGTAATATCTTTCGTGTTACTGCTAAACTTTAGATATTGACTAAAGAAAAAGGATCAGAAAAGAGCAGGAGGAAGAAAAACTAGGTCCTAGTGGTAAAGGTATTACCTGAGCACAGGCTCTGTATCTGCATCTGCAGAAGGTTTCAGGGTCTTCTGATCAACTCAGTGCCATGCCCACACCCATTCCCTAGGTGATCTAACATCTGCATTGAGGAAATCCCTTTAAGCTGGAAAGAACAATGGACTAGGGGTCAAAGCTGTAGCCTGTGTTTTCTGTGTGTGTCTCTGCTCCTTATGGCAACTTTGGATAAGTCATTTAACCTGAATTATCTTGTATTTTTTCAGCTCCTAAAAAGAGATAATAACGCTTGCCTTATTATGAGGATTGTATTAGACAATGGATGTGAAATTTCTGTATCAATAGTCTAAAAGACTATCCTTCAAAAAAAAATAAGAAACTTATCAGTATGAGTTTGAAAACCCAAAAAATCAGTTGCCAACATTGATTTATTGAGCAACTTTTTTGGTGTTTTCAACAACCTGCAGAAAACTAGTTCTCTGAAAAATAAACTTGTTTCTTGGCTTTTACTTATTCACTATGTATCAGTTTATTCTACTTGTCTATTTCTAAGAGCGCCAGATTAGAAGTAAATATATGTGAAAAAAAGGAAAACTATTGAATTTGGGCTTTTATTTTATGCTGACATATGGAAAAGAGAGTAAATGGGTTAATTTAGTAGAAATAAAGATCAACCTGCATGTGAAAAATGCTGTTCTACTATGTCCTTCTCTTTCCCCAGTACAGCCTGAGTAAAAGCAAAAGGGCTCTGCCAGGCTTATTAATTCCACAGCACTCCCTTCTGTCCTGTGATGCAGCACAGAATAACCCTACAGCGATTGCGGGAGAAAACCATAAATGAACCACAGACTTCAGCCCTTTCATTTACAAATGAGGAAAATAACAGAGCTGCTGAGTGACTCTCCCAAGCTCTTGCTGCCCAAGGCCCACATCCACAAGTAATTCCAGAGTCTTCTGGAATTTTGTCAGGAGGCTAGATTGGGAATCAAGGGTGCCCATTTCAGATCAGGCTTATTCTGAAAGGCTCTTTTTGTAATAGCTCTTTCTCAGTCTTTTTGAGAATTTCAGTCATATTCTTCATACTTTATAGAATATAGCAATCTATAAAAATACACTGTATATAAATTGTTTTAAAGCATTAAACTATGTTAGCCAGAAGAGATCATCAAGTAAAAGTCTACTCTGTTTTATGCTGGTGTATAGCTGTGAATAAGGATAGAAGATACCATTTATTAAGAACACAGCAAAGGTCTTCGATTAATGTTTGCTATGGTTAAAGGCCAAATACTCATTTCTTCGTTTTGAGTTGAACTTAACTATTGTAGTTAGACCTACGAGTGAACAAAAATGTATTAGACTCTACACATTTTCAATTTAATAAGGATCTAGATTCTGATGACAGTTCTGTGTAATAAATGTATACTTTTGGTTTAATAGAATTGATTACTGTCCTTCCTCATGGAGGTATGATAGAACCTGATCTTCCTGGTTATGGATTTTGCTCTTTGTGCTATTACCATAAATTCTGTTATCTAGTTTGGTGTTTCTTCTCCTTTGTCTGGAGAAGGGAAATCTTCAGTAATTCCATTTCGAATCCTGTAGAACTTGGTAAATGAGATTGAAATTAATGGATTTCAGTAAAAGTATGCCAATTATTAAGGAACTGGCTGCTCTTGGGTCTAAAAAACTACAGTGACTGAGAGTCACTGAAAACAGACTAAAAATAGATGCTGTATGCACACATACACACACAATGGAATATTCAGCCTTAAAAAAGAAGGAAATCCTACCATTTTGCAACAATATGGGTGAACCTGGAGGACATTATGCTAATTGAAATAAGCCAGACACAGAAAGACAAATACTGCATGGTATCACATGTGGATCTAAAAGAGTCAAACTCATGAAAACAGTAGAACGGTGGTTACCAGGGGCTGGAGGGCTGGGGTAATGGGGAGATGCTGCTTAAAGAGTACAGACTTTCAGTGATATGATGAGTAAGTTCTAGAGACCTATTGTACAGCATGGTGACTACGGTTGACAATAAACGTACCATATACTTCAAATTTGCTGAAAGAGTAGATCTTAAGTGTTCTCACCACAACAAAAAGAGCATGGCTATGTGAGGTAAGGTAGTCATTCCAAGTGTATATGTATATCACATCATCATGCTGTACACCTTAAACAGATAAAATTTTTGTTTGTTAATCATACTTCAATAAAGCTGGGGAAAAAGGTGCTGTTTGCTCACTGGCTGCTGTGTATTTCTGGCTCTGTTTCTGAGTCTCAGTTGGCATGAATTCGTCTAAATTGGATCATCTTTTCTCCGATTGCTATCTGCCAGTGTGGAGAGTCAGTCATGTCTCTTCCCAGCTACCAGTGGCTAAGACACATGCTTGAGATTGTCTTTTGAAACAAACAGACTAGAGAGCCAACTAAAGCTTAAAGATAGTCCTTTGGTTCCCCATCCTGATATTGTGCACAAACCAAACAAAAGCATCCCAGATGACAACAGTGACATCAATCTTCCCTTGCCCCAGGTGGGGCAGCTGTGTAGTCTAGAGAAACACCAGGTCCAGCATATTCTTCAGCCCTTTCACTCACTCAGCCTCTCAATATTTGATGGGTGCCTCCATGGCTGTGCCTTGGACTGGGCTCTCGGGGGTGAAGATATTGGAAAAGCAAAAGGCTTGCCCCTGCCTTTGAGAATGTAGTGGTTAATTTGGGGAAATGCACCTAAAGTGGATGAAAGAAAGAGAAGTATATGATCATTTGCTAAAATGTATGATACAGTGATAAGGGATGATTCAGAGTAGTCTGCAGAAGTCAGGGAAGACTTGATTAGGGCAGTGGAATTTTAATCAAACCTTGAAAGATGAGGAGTAAGATTTGGGTAGGGAGGGTTCTGCGCATTCTGAGGGGGAAAGAACATGATTAAAAATGTCAGGAATGAACATAGATTTGGAGGGGCAGTGAGCAGACCAGAGTGGATTTTTTGTGAAGGAGAGAAATGGGAATTGAGAGGACATGAGATCAAATTATGTAAGCTCTTTAAATCAGAAGGAAGAATTTGTACTTTAAGGTGATGGGTATTGTGAGCTATTGGAGATATGGCTGCAATACCTGTCATCTCTTAGTCACCAGATCTTTCTTCCAACCTCTTCGGTCTGTCTGGTTTTCTGGTCTTCTGCTACCATGAAGTCAGTTGAATGTTATTCCTCCCCCAGGTTGCTCCAGGAGCCTCTTAACTGATCTGTTCACATGCTCTGTCTTGCCACCTTCCAATCCATTGCTCACACTGCAGCCAAAGTTACATTTTTATTTTGTGTTTTTAACTAATTCAGATTACATCACTTCCCAGTTTAATATGCATCAATAATATGCAGTGCTCTTAAGATAAGTTACAAAATTTTTAACTGATTCACAAGGCCCTGCAGTGGCTGGCTTCTGCCTACCTTGCTAACTTCATCCAGTGCCACTTTAAGTCCTCAGTTGTTGTTTTGCCTCAGCTCCTTAGGCCTCCTCCCTGTTGCTCTAAACCTAAGACATCATGCACCCTGGGCCTTCACAGAGGCTCTGTCCTCTGCCCTGGGCTCTTCTCTCTGCTATTTACCTAGTTGTTTTCCTGCTAGATTCAATGTGGTTGTCAAGCCTTCCCTAGCTACCAGGCAAAGTTGGTTTCCATATGCCTTTGGCCACTTACCATAATTAGTTAATTATTCATCTAATTATTTGGTTAAAGTTTATCCCATAAAACTGTCAACTCCAGAGAAGGCTCTCTGTCTTGGTCACCACTGTTCCATTACCTAGCGCTATGTCAAACTCATAGTAGGTGCTATTAAGTGTTTTTTGAACTTATATGTGAAACGCAGTTATCCCTTTCTCCCTCACTGCTCTATGACGTCTCTTGTCAAAATGTGTAGTTGGCCAAAGAGGAGGACTGTACACAGAGTGGAATATACAGAAGTGGTCTTAGGGGAGAGCCTGTGGCTAGATGGCTTAGAAAGCTTTGCGCTTCACATGGATAGCCTGAGAAGTGAGCTGTATAGTGTGATTCATGGACAGTTTACAAGTTAGTCAGATTTTATTCTTGAATAATTCTCCAGACACTAGACTTGTATTCCTTTTTCCTCTTGACTCATCAAGTTTCCCCTATGGATAATCTCATTTCATTATCCATTTTGATGATGATTATAGACATGTCCAGCAGCCACACCATCCTCATCTGGGGTATAATCATAGTTGGTGTCTCATTGGTTTCCTATGGGATGTGCCCTGATTCCCTGAGCCATGGAGATATATTACGGGACTCTCCACACCGGTGTGGAGTCCTGCGCCATTTAGGGGCATCAGAAAAAATTTTCTTTCCCTTTTATGTAAAGTCCTGTGGATACAGCAGAATCATAGTAAGGATTCAGTGTCGCTTTTGGATAACCAAAGTGACACTCGCCAATTTTATCTTTTTTCCTGTAGTAGAAGAAAAAATGTTTTTTTCTTGCCCTGTGCCTCCTCACTCACCCTGAGAGTCTTCTGGGGCATTGTGGTCTAGGAATAGGAAGCAGATTTTGTGCCCCCACCCACACCAACTAGCTTTTGGCTTTGAATGGAATCAGGAAATCCTTCGGAACACCAAAAATATACAAGACTTATGTCCATCAACAGCTATTCATTGTAACAAGGAAGGATTCAATAAACATTTATTGAATTCTAATTATGTGCCAGGCACTATGCTAAATGCTGAGGTAATTACAAAGAATTATGGATAATTCTTATCCATAAGCAGCTCACAATAGCTGGAGAAGTAAGACGGGTCACAACACATACACAGTTATTTCACAGTTACTAGGTCAGTGGTAGGTACTGCCAAATGATTGGTATAAATTTTATAGAGCCTCTAAGCTGGACCATGTCTAGATACGCTGCTCAAGGAAGTTTGTTTTTTTTTTTTCTTTAAACGCAACAGAATTAGGGAAGATAGTATCATGAAACTTTTGTCTTAGTGGTGAGTATGTGTAGGTGTTCAGAGGGTTTGAGTGTAAAATGTATTTTGTTGATCCTGGTAAAAAAATTTTGGGACCATACTGCTATAGAAGAGGTGTAACTTGTGCTTGCCTGTGGTTTAGAAGGAAATACAAAATGGATTGGAAAGGTTGACTTTTCAAAAGCCTAAAGGCGGGAAAGCACAGATGTGTTAGGAAAATAGTAGGGAGACTCTGTGACTCTGGCTCTCCTACCTACAGAGCTTGTTAATTCTGTTCAGCCAAGTGGTAGATTCTGGCTGTATTCCTTTTGATGGGTTATTCTGGTTGCAGTCTTTAGAACAATCTTTGTTTCAGGACGTTTAAGAGGAGTTTTTCTGGGCATAGTTATGTATTGCCAATTTAAAAGATCAGCAGAATAGTTACCAGTCTACATCTTCTGAGAACTCTTCCTTCTTGAATAACACATCTGGATGTTGCTGATGGAGTTGATTTAAATATTATCCTGAGTTATAAGATCTGGACATTCTGAGTCATAAGAAATTATAAGTTGCATAATTTTAGTGTTTAGTGATTTGTCTGCTGGTGCTTTGAAAATTTTTCATTCATTTGTTGTGTATGTCATAACTGTTGTGTATGTCATAACTGTTGCATATGTCCTAATACCAAAATTAGATAGAATTTCCCATTTCCCAACTGTGTCACGTGATAGGGTTGTTTAATATAGGGCAAGCTCTTTTGGAGGTGTCATTTATGGGATAAGTTTTGTGAGATGTAGGCTACTTGTCAGCCTTCCTGAAAGAGAAATGCGTATCTATCCACTCTCCTCTTGGTCTGTGCTCCAGTAGATGGGGGTGGATGGAATAAGAGCTTTAAATTAATGCTTTAGATCATTTGGGATTTTTCTCTTTAGTATGGCTCAATTGGAGAGTTGGCTATATGGGAAAAGGTGGAATGCTGCTAATGCTGTGGAAAAAATGCTATGCTCTCTACCTTCCTAGGAGTAATTTACCAAACCTGTGTGGCTTGGCTTATCCAGACCAAAGTATCTACATTGAAACATTAGTTACATATTTTGTTTGCTTTCTTTAGGGGTATGAAATTATGTTGCTTTTTTTTTTCTTTTCTTTTCTTCAACTAGTTTCAACTCTCCATGTTTACTGTCTGCTGATCCCGAAAGAATTGTGACCATACTTTAGTCTGTTTTTGAGTGTCTAGAGAATAAAGTTGCCTAAATCAGACATGTCAGACTGAGGCATAACAGAATTACTCTTAAGAGCAATTAAAGTACTTTACTGCAAAATAAACATTTTCAGTATTTTCCATTTTTAATGTTAGAGTTGTCTCCTTTGTGTGATGGTAAAGCAACAGATTTTCTTTCCAGTATGGAGAGAAGAGAGAACTGTCCTCTACAGGTGAAGGTGTACTCTAGTTTTTCACATATATTCTAAAATAAGCAAATGAAAGGATTGTGTTTATGTTACAAAAAGGGAGTTTTGTTTTACAAAAGAATTAAACTACTTGAGAACTACAAAAGAATTTAATGGCTGGGCACGGTGGCTCACGCCTGTAATCCCAGCGCTTTGGGAGGCCAAGGCGGGCTGATCACCTGAGGTTGGGAGTTCGAGACCAGCCTGACCAACATGGAGAAACCCCGTGTTTACTAACAATACAAAATTAGCCGGGCATGATGGCGCATGCCTGTGATCCCAGCTACTCGGGAGGCTGAGGCAGGAGAATTGCTTGAACCCGGGAGGTGGAGGTTGCGGTGAGCGGAGATCGCACCATTGCACTCCAGCCTGGGCAACAAGAGTGAAACTCCATCTCCAAAAAACAACAACAACAAGAATTTAACCGCATAGTTCAAAAACTGTGAAACCATATGAACTATATGCAGATGATTTAAAATACAAAAGTTAAATTTGCATATGACTTTTTAGGAAAATGTCTTCCATAAAGTAGAGCTTTATATCAATATTATTTCTTTGTATAACCATGGAATCCATTCACAATATAGGGTGGGAGGGCAGTTCTCTTTGATTCTGCCTTCCTTGAAGGCGGCTCTGCCAGTTGATAAATCCCTAGTGACTTGCTCCCTATTTAAATGAAGGCATGAGTGGAAAGGCCCTCTGTCTCTCCCTGCAGGAAACCATCTTTAAAGTCATGGAACTGCTAAAAGGAGAGGGATCTATTTTTAGAACTTTGGCCTTAAAAACATTTTAAGAATATCAGTAAGCCACAGTAAAGTGCTACTTTTGTTTATTATGTAAATATACTTTCATTTAAAGAAAATACTGTGATATATAACTGATTGCATGGGTGAGAGGGAAGAGAAAAGAGTGACTAATTGGAATTGTTTAGTAGAGTTGTTATATGTATTTTATTTTACTTGGCAGATTTTTCCCCCCCAAAATGGAATGGTGGTTCACGTTTGCTTTTACAGAAAATCATATTTATAATTGGAATTGTGAAGGAGGTGATCTTAAGGGAAGACGTTTTCATGGCTGAATTAGGAGAAGGTGTTATCTAAATGAGGAATGCCTTAGAAGCTGTACCAGATGTTTTCTGTGTCGGAAGTAGTATCTATGTTTTTATTTGTAAACATGCATTCTTTTGGTTGGATTTATGGAAGACTAACAGAAACATGGGTTTTAGCATTGCGGTCTGGCTGCCTGTGCATCCACAGCTGTAGAGGCCAAGACGCTTCTCTGCCTGCAGGGACTGCCCATCCCTGTTTCTCAGCAGGCTGGAAATAGCTGTGTATTTGTCTTCCTTCCTCTTAGCACAGATACTTCCAGAGTAGGGGGCACAGTCATTCTTAGGTTCAGGTCCATGTTAGGGAAACACATGTGGGTTACTATGACTTTGTTTTCTGCATTCCCAGATGATAAACAGCATAAAATTAGGAATAGGAGAAACTTGGCAAGATTGGACAGTGAGCCAAGTCTTCAGACAACTTTAAAAAATAGGCGCAAATTTTTTCAAGAAGCTTATCAGTTTTTCGGTACTGCTTTTCACAGTAAATAGCGGATAACGGACTGATGTTATGTCTTGTAATGGAATCTAGCTTGGAGTCCCTGGGACAACAAAGTTATGATAAGGGCAGATAAGAGGACGCTTGATTCTTTGTCTCCGTTAGCCATTTGGAGCAGAACGTTTGCATAAATGAACTTTTCTTCTGAAGTGGATCTTGTTTGTAAGAGAACTTACGAAAGGAAGAGGGACATTTTAAGCATGTTTCAAAACTGAGTTGCTGGTGAGGCCACAGTTAGTTTTTAGAGGTCCAAGGGAAATCAGGCAGTGTCTCATCTGTTGTTAATTAATGAAACGAAACTGGAGTCACTAGAGTGCAGCAGTGAATGAAAGGTCAGTGAATGGAAAAAACTGTCAATGAAGGAGGATGTCAGCAGAGTGGAACATTGTCATAGATAAAGATCAGTGAAAATGTGCTCTGGCTGAGGTAGGGTTTTCTGGAAGTGACTGGGAGCCAGTCTGGGACATTTCAAGCCAAACTGAGCACTAAATGAATGTTCTGATTGCAGCTAAATCTGTTAAATATTTTTAAATATTTGTTTGAGTTTGTTCTAGATATCAGTTGAGAAAGATTTGTGAAAAAGAGGCTTCTTTTTGTTTTATAATGTGTTTTACAGTGTAGTGTTGTTTTGTTTGGCTCTTTTGTTTTGAAGCTGAACAATGGTTTCTTTCTCTCCTTTCTGTTCTCTGTCTTAGAACTTTCTAGAGCCACACTTACTTTTGAGGTCCACTGAAATCAAAGTGATCTAGGATCACTGTACCAATTAACGATAGAACTGGACCTCGAACAGCCTGGCTGATGGCTCAGTTTATGATTATTGCAGAATTGCATCTCCTCTGAAAGTTGTTCTGTGGGGGGTGACCTGACAGCCAAGGTCTACTACCAACTTGTAAATGGTGGTCATGAACAAACCAGTGACCATATTTACATTTCAACCAGTTCATCTGTAAACTTTGTTATTGGTGTCATGTGAAATTGCCTTTAAAGAGATTCTCCTTTCTCTGTTCTTGTCGGATCTTCTTCCTTCTCCCTCATTGAAGCCTTTGAGCGATATAGCTTTGGGGAAACAAGGCTCTTCCATCAGTTTGGGAGAGGACCATGGCCTTTTTAGCCTGGTCACAGCTGGGGAGGCCAGGACCCCATGAATATCATCAGCAAGGCTGTCCCTGCATCCAAGGGAGAGTTGAAAGTAATTCCATAGGATTTAGAAAAGTAGACTTATAACCTGGCTCTTCCGGTTATTATATTACGTGATTCTGAGCCTATATTATGTGATTCTGAGCCTTATCTATAAATGGGATTAGTAGTAACACCTATCTCATAGGGCAGCTGTAAGAGTGTGTAAATACCTATAGAGTGCTTAGAGCAATGTTTGTCACGCAGTAAGTGTTCAGTACATTCTAGGATTACATACATTATTTATAAAAATAATCATTTATAAGGTTCAAATGAAATTCAAGTGGTGTTTCCTTGGATTCTCTGTTTTCTCTTTGAGAACATTTATTGGAATATTGTTTTGTTGGATGTATGTATGTATTTTTTTGAGACAGGGTCTCACTTTGTCACCCAGGCTGGAGTGCAGTGGTGCGATCACAGCTCACTGCATCATCAACCTCCTGGGCTCAAACAGTCCTCCCACCTCAGCCTCTCAAGTAGCTGGAACTACAGGAATACTCCACCATGCCTGGCTAATTTTTTCTTTCTTTCTTTTTTTTTTTTTTTTTTTTTAACAGAGATTGGGTTTATCCATGTTGCCCAAGCTGTTTTGTTGAATTTAAATGACAACCATTCCAGGAACTGTTTTAGAGCCAGAATTGAAAAATATATGAAGACAGTTCTTTAGAGAAACACCAGAACTGGCAGGGCGCAGTGGCTCATGCCTGTAAACCCAGCACTGTGGGAGGCCAAGGTGGGTAGATCACTTGTGCCTAGGAGTTTGAGACCAGCCTGGGCAACATAGGAAGGACCCTGTCTCTACAAAAATACAAAAATTAGCTGGGCGTGGTGGTGTTCCCCTGTAGCCCTGGCTACTCGGGAAGCTGAGGTGGGAGGATCACTTGAGCCTGGGAGGCAGAGGTTGCAGTGAGCTGAGATCATGCCACTCCAGCCTAGGCAACAGAGTGAGACCCTGTCTTTAAGAAAAAAAAGAGAAACACCAAAACTACATGTTAATAGACACCACATTAAAATTTAACATCATACAATTTAATTGTAATTAAAATAGTGCCTGACAGTTGTTAGGTTGGGTAGGTGTAAGAAAAGCAAAGAATGATGAGAATCTTTAACATTTATTGTTACAAGAACTACCTTGGGGAAAAAACTCACTTAAATAATGACTGTGTTATTCAATTAGAGAGACTGAAAAGGAACAAAACACGAATAGAAACAAAAGCATAAATTCTAAACAGTGGGCACTTATATACCAATATTGGCTGACCCCCTTTTTTTGAGATTGTCTGTGGGTTGTACTTGTAAGTACAGGAGTTCTGATTGACTCCATTTCAGTAGTTGCTTTGACCCTAGCGTAGCATTTTGTAAGTGTGAATTCTACTAGCTATTAATATATTTTAGGGGGAATTCCATGGTCAGATAAGTTTGGGGAAACTTACTAGACTTCAATAAATGAAACCAGTTTCTTTGAAAATACTTTTTAGAACCTTTAGTAAGTTAACATGTGCTCTGACTCTGCCAGGGAGCTAGGATATACAATATTTCTCTCACTTTTTAGACCGCTATCCTGTCTGTCAGCTTCTTGCAGGACGCCAGTGCTCTGGGGCACACTTTGGGAAGTTAACCTTACAGGCATTCCTTTTTCCACTTTTTGTCTCAGATGAATACTAAGGAGGTGTAGCTAAACAGCCGCAGCTCAAAGGTGGAGGAAGGCCCCACAGATGGCGCTAGATACTGAATGTTTGATCACCGTAACAAAAAAACGGGGAGGCCGAGGTGGGCAGATCACCTGAGGTCAGGAGTTCATGACCAGCCTGGCCAACTTGATGAAACCCTGTCTCTACTAAAAATAAAAAATTAGCCAAATGTGGTGGCATGCGCCTGTAGTCCCAGCTACTCGGGAGGCTGAGGCAGGAGAATCGCTTGAACCCGGGAAGCGGAGGTTGCAGTGAGCCAAGATCGCGCCACTGCACTCTAGCCTGGGCGACAGAGTGAGACTCTGTCTCAAAAAAAAAAAAAAAAAAAGCAATAACCAGTGATACCTCCTGAGTGCTTTACTATACGCCAGGCACAAAATACTTTTGATATACTAACTAATTATCTCAACAACTCTGTGAGATAGGTGTGATCATTATCCTCATTTTATAGATGAGGAAATTAGAGTAGGAGGGGCTTAAGTAACTTGACAAATCAGACAACTAGAAAGTGGTAAAGCCAGGACAGGAACTCAGGTACAAGGGCTTGTGTTCTTACTTCCTCTGCTGTATGATCATGGGGCTTGCCCACATGTGTATGCTGTATGTACCGTGGCTTCTACGTGTGCATGCATGGGGCGGTGTGAGGGTGGTATTCTTGGACAAGAGAACGGCATGGAAATGTGAAATAACAATGAGTTTTATGTGGCTGGAGGTCATCATTGGAAACGGTAAGAAATGAAACTGGAGGCCAAGGCAGGTGGATCACCTGAGGTCAGGAGTTCCAGATCAGCCTGACCAACATGGAGAAACCCCGTCTCTACTAAAAATACAAAATTAGCCGAGGGTGGTGGTGCATACCTGTAGTCCCAGCTACTCAGGAAGCTGAGGCAGGAGAATCTCTTGAACTCGGGAGGCGGAGATTGCAGTGAGCTGAGATCATGCCATCGCACTCTAGCCTGGGCAACAAGAGCAAAACTTCGTCTCAAAAAAAAAAAAAAAAAATGAAACCATGAAACTGTAAGGTGCAGGTATCCTGAGGGCCTGTGACACAAAGGAATTTGTGATTTCTATAATGGATCCATGTATTCTGCCTATCAGATTACCTTAAGAACTTCAGTAAGTGGAAGAGCTTTAACTGCTTCTGTGTTAAAAAATATATAGAAAGACACTTGGTCAGGTTGGAGGCCAGGCCACTCTTTTTACATTCTGCAGGTGGCATAGTTGTCAACTGCCTACCATTCTAACTTGTTGCATTGAGGACCCTGCACTGAGCCTAGACAGTAGAGACAGGCGTCTGGCTGAATTATGCTTGAATTAAACATAATACAGGGCATAATGAAAGATGATTCCCTCTCAACTTCCTGCACTTCTAGCAGTTTTCAAGGGCATATTTTGTGTGTTTCTTGAAGTGGGAGAAAGTCTAATACAATATAACTCAAAGAGATGAAGATAAATACTTGAGTCAGATTTCAGGATCTTGTTCAAGGCTCAGTTAAAAAGGTACTATCTTCTAATAAGACTTAACATGTTATTTGTTGTTTTTTTATTTTTATTTTTGTTTTTGAGACGGAGTGTTGCTCTGTTGCCCAGGCTGGAGTGCAGTGGCGCAATCTCGGCTCACTGCAACCTCCGCCTTCTAGGTTCAAGCGATTCTCCTGCCTCAGCCTCCTGAGTAGCTGGGATTACAGGCACCCACCACCATGCCTGGCTAATTTTTGTATTTTTAGTAGAGACGGTTTCACCATGTTAGCCAGGCTGGTCTCGAACCCCTGACCTCAGGCAATCCGCCTGCCTCGGCCTCCCAAAGTGCGGGGATTACAGGCGTGAGCCACCGAGCCCTGCCTTGTTTTTAAATTTAATGTTAAAAATATACGAGGATCCCGTCATCCAAATCTCCTTGATTCGGACTTAGTGAATAGCGAGGGTTTGAATAGCAAGGCGTATATCTGAAAATTTATCAGAATCTGTTTGGTGTTTGGGTTTGGACAGCAAGGAATATTTAGATTGGAAAGCAAATAACCTTACTCATTTTTTCTTTTCCCGGAGGGAGTGAAAGCACCTCCTTTGGCTACATAGATTTCACTCCATTGAGTGGTGGCAAGACTGTGACTTAGTGAAGGTCATAGAGCAGATCATTGTAAGGACAGGACTAGAAAAAACTGAATTCTTCTAATTCTGAGTTCAGTAATCTTGCCACAAAGCCTTCCTGCACCCTAAGCAATTAGTCTGTCAGCACTTCTTTATAGTGCTTGCTGAGATGAACGGGAGCTCTCCAGACATCAGTGGTAATTATGGAGACCTTGACTAACTGCCCAGGGAATCCCCAGAACTTGATAGAATATTCGTAGGTGGGAGTATGTTTGTGATACCTTTGCAGTAAAAAATTTGTATGGTAAGAAGATTTAAAGTTAGTTGTAGAAAGAATTTTTGACTCGATCAATTTTATTTTGAAGAAGTTGCATTCAGCCTCAGTTTTCATTTCTTACATCCCCATTCTGCTTCTGTGAATTATTGGCTTGGTTACTTGCTACTAACTTTAAATCCTCTTTATGTTTTACAAAAAAAAACATTTGCATGGGGAGTGGGGAGCAAATGTTGTAGGGTATGTGAAGATGAAGAGAATATCTGAGAGAGAGGAGTCATTCATTATAAGTGCCTTCAGGACTTGCCTATCCCCATGGTAGCGTTATAGGCCAGGCCTAGTGCTGGATTATGCTTCAGTCTTAGCATCAGCAGCTGTAGCCAGGAATAGGTGTGCAGTGATATCCACTTGGATTCGTGGGTTTAAACTGTTTGAGCAGTTCACAGAAAGCTGGTTTTTATTTTGTGCGTGGCATAATTTTTTATAATTTTATAATGTTTATTCTTAGGTGGGTTTGCTGAGTTCTCTCGTTGTTTCCCTGGCCTCTGTGAAGGAAAATCCACTCTAGTCCCTACCTGCATTTCTCAGCCTTGCTTACCTGTTGCCAACATTGGGCCAACCCGAATTCTTCCCAATCTTTATCTTGGCTGCCAGCGAGATGTCCTCAACAAGGTGGGTGCTTTGAAAATATCCTTCATTGCTGGGTTTATATTGTTAGCTGGAGAAACAGCAGTTACCCATTATGTCATTTGAAACACACCCCAATCTCAGGAGCTGCTATGCCATTCTCAGTGTGCTCCCCAGGTAACAGTTGCGTCATCTCTTGGAGTGTTAATTTGTTTGATGTTACTTTTTACTGCAGGAAACCTAAATTATTGTCATGTCTACTTGTTCTTAATAGGTCCAAGAGAACTGAAATAGGACAGGATTTTTCAGAAGTTTAGCCTTATATTCTTAGGGTATTAATTGATCTATTATAATTGGGCACTCTCAGGCTGTTAGTTCCTGGATTATCACACATTTAGAAATATATTTATTTATTGCAACATACTAGAAAGGGATGCAGGTTGGGCTTGGATTGAGGAAGGTCCTCATGATGACTGCTGGCTGGGGGTGGGGAAAGGTGTTAAAAAGATGGTGAGGACAAAGGCTGAAACTATGCACTGCCAGCCTCCCTGGGTTAAAGCTCTTTGGAGGAGTTTGGTTGAGAAGGAAGAGGGAAGAGCATGGATTATTGATGAAAAAGACACGGGCCCTACTGGACAAAGCGTGCCCTAATGGAGGAACACATTGGATTGAGTGAGGCCTTTGTATATGATGGTACAAGCAGAACAGCAATAGAACTATAATCTGACTCCACAGCTTGTATGCTCTTAATTAGTAATGCTGCAAAATAGTGCTCTTACTGCGTGGAAAAGTGATTTTTCTCTAAAATCTCTTAATTTACATCACCACAAATTGAAAAAGCAGTCAGAGATCTTAATTCAACTATTGGTGATTTACAAGTGCTATTTTCCTATGCAAAGGGAAGAACCCCTTAACACGTTCTCCTTGAGTAACTAGAAGAATTGGGCTGATTGTAAAAATAAGCTTCCAGACTGGCTTTCTTTAGCACCTGGAAGGCAAGGCTTTCTAGGAGGAAGAAAAATACCCGATCATCGGGTCATTGGGTAGCAATAAGGCATTCTTTTGTGAGTGTGTGTATGTTTAAAACTCCTGCCTTTTCAAAATTTTGCCTCAACACTGTGTTGTTAATATGTCTGCTTTTACTGTGAGATCTGCCGATTTGAGATTTAATAGCTTATGCTTGTACCGAGCCTTTCTGGTGGGGTCACAATGCCTTTGAGTGTGCAGTTATTATTAATTCTTTTTAGAGATAAGCAGGCTATGTTACAGAAAGCAAAATTAATTTCTTAAAGTCCCATGCATTCCTAGGGCAAAGCTGGAGCTGGTTTATTTAATCTTCAGATCAGAAAATAAAATAAAATTCCTAGTTAAGAATCCTGTTTAATCCTGGTAAACCTTAACCAGCCATCAGCAGGTCATTCCACAAGTAATTGTGTTACAGATAGTTTTTGTTACTTTTGACACTCAGTTAAATGACACATTCATTTTGCTGTATACCTTTTTCAGATTTAATAAATATGTTGGTTAAAAAAGGTGACAGCAGTTAAACCAGAATTTGGAGTTGAGGATGGGAAAAATAGTAGTTTTCTTTTTTTAACTCTGGCTTCTAAACATATACAGCACTAAGCAGGATACATAGGTAGATGTATCGAGAGGAAATATTTGCAGTGGGGAGAATGGGTTTGTGGAAGTTTATAGGACAACACCTTGGGCAAGGAGTTATTATAGAAGGCTTGTCAGGAAGCACCCCTAAAATAGATGTATAGACTTTTATTTTTATTCTGCAAGGATGGTGAGAAATAAGAATAAACTATTAAGCTGGATAGCTTTGAAAGCAGTGAATATAAATTTATATTTGTGGCTCACACACTTTGGAATCCTAGCACCTTGGAAGGGTCAGGTGGGCAGATCATTTGAGCTCAGGAGTTTGAGAACAGCCAGGACAACGTGGCAAAACCCCGTCTCTACAAAAATTACAAAAATTAGCCGGGCTTTGTGGCCCTAGCCTGTAGTTCCAGCTACTTGGGAGGCTGAGGTGGGAGGATTGCTTGAGCTTGGGAGGCAGAGGCTGCACTGAGCCCAGATTGTGCCAGTGTACTCTAGCCTGGGTGACAGAGCAAAGCCCTATCTCAAAAAATAAATAAATAAATAAATAAATAAATAATAAAAAATAAAATAAAGAAATGCATGTTTGACCTCTAGGTTCGTTGTTGACAAAAACCTTAGCGTTGAAGGAGATTTCAGAGATCATTTAGTCAGCCACCAGCATTTGATAAGTGAGGAAATCAGTATTCCAAAAATGTTACATGAATTCCCCAACATTATCCAGTTGAGTTTTAGAACTAGATTTGCCTCTTTTTTACAAATAGTATTAACTAACCTATCATCCTGCTGAACTTCGTGATTTATACTTTCCAAGAGAAATAATATGCTTCTTTTTTTCCTAAAGATCTCCAAAAATGAAAATTTTATAATCTTCCCTAACAGTACAGTTCTTTTTATTAAAATTCAGAAGTTGAAGTCTTTACAAACAGTAACCATGAGACCACTAATATTATTAGTGTTTTGTTTTGTTTTGTTTTGTTTTGTTTCTTTGAGATGGAGTCTTGCCCTGTCACCAGGCTGGAGTGCAGTGGCATGATCTCGGCTCACTGCAACCTCCCCCTCCCGTGTTCAAGCAATTCTCCTGCCTCAGCCTCCCGAGTAGCTGAGACTACAGGCACGCACCACCATGCCTGACTAATTTTTGTATTTTTAATATAGACGGGGTTTCACCATGTTTGCCAGGATGGTCTCGATCTCCTGACCTCGTGATCCGCCCGCCTCAGCCTCCCAAAGTGCTGGGATTACAGGCGTGAGCCACCGTGCCTGGCCTATTAGTCTTTTTTTTTTTTTTAAATGAAGTGCCACCAAAATATGTTAGAAGCATGTCACAGAAATTTTCTTGGGAGAATCATAATGTTTCCCATTTAAAATGCTGGGCTTTTTATATTATTGCATTTAACCCTCATAATAGGATTAGGAGATACATTTGCCCTGAGCTAAGTCACTTACCCGAGATTATGTCATGGACTTCAGAGCTAGTCAGTGGCACAGATCAAATGTAAACCGAGGCTGCTGTAATTTTAAGTCCCATGCTTATATTACACCAAAAATGCCCATCTTCTGGAAAAAGGAATTCTCTATAGCAGGCTGTTACGAAGGACTGAAATCTTAAGTCTATTGAGTCACAATGGAGAATTTCTTTCCCTGTTTTTTCTGCAACATCATCTATACCAGTACCGTCCAACAGAAATATAATGCAAGTCACATACATAATTTAAATTTTTCCAGTGGCCTTTAAAAGTAAAGAAATGGGCAAAACTAATTTTAATGTTTAAAAATAACATATTTAACCTAGTATATCTAAAATAGTATTTCAACATGCAATCAGTATACAAAATTACTGAGATATTTTACAGTCTCTTTTTGTACTGAGTCTTTAAAATCTGGTGTGTATTTTATACTTACAGCACATCTCAATTTGGAGTAGTCACATTTTAGGTGCTCAGTAGCCATGTGTGGCTTGTGGCTGCTACCTTATTGGACAGTCTAGGTCTCAGCATGTATTAATTTTTACTGATGTTTTAAAGACATGGTTCTTTTGTAGAAGACCATAAGAGGTCATCGGTACCAAAAACATACTTTTATTTTCCTTTTCCCTCACAACTGTACTTTGTTTCTCAGAGTGTGTTCTTTCATCCTCTAGTCTTTGTACTAGAGCTGAAATGGGAGCAGCTTATTGTACTAAATAAAAGTCATCTGCTGATGCCTAGTTCATATTTGAAATGAGTGGGATTTGAGAAAGAATCTCTGGTTACTCTGTGAAAGACAAAAGTTCTTGATTGCTTTTCTCTCTTATCAGTTACAATTTCAAATGCAGACTTTTGTTCACATTTAAATATATGCAGCATATGACTGACTTACCTATTGGGAGTAGTTATTAAGCAGAACTGTATCTGAGGTGAACCACTGCAGCTTCTTTTCTAAAGGAGCTCTGCTGCCTGCTCCTTCTCCATTTAAATAATCTGCTGTCAACATTTTTTGTATAGCTTCTTATTTCAGCCTCTTAACATGCAAAATTGGTTTTCCTAGGCTTTCTTATTGTTCTGCCTGGTACACAGTAGGAAGACTGACTGCTACATTCTCTGTTGTTTTCTTAGAAGAGTTAGGCAACAAATAGCCTAAACACAATATAGGCTAAGAATGCTTTCAGAGTTTCCAGTGGAAATATATGATCTAGGAACACAAAAGCGTGTCAAAATTATCAATAAAATATTTCTTCAATGTCTATGATGTCACTCTATGTAGAACACCATACAGTGTTCAAGTTGGTTAGACAAGACCTATTCATTAAACAACAATTGACATGACAAGGTGACTACAGTGTCCCTCCCAGTGTGGAAGCAGCACGGCATGATGGTTGAGAGCCAGCTTTAGGGGTGGACAGTTTTGCATCCCAGTTCTCCACCTTACCAGCCATATCACTTCAGCTGTTACTGCATCTCAGTCTCTTTACCTACACGCCACAATAACTCCGGCCTCCTGGTGTTCATGTAACATTCAAATGAAATGGCATATGCCAAGCACAGTTCCTGGTTTATAGGGACACTTGTCATTGTCATCTTAGGGTAGACTATGCAGCCTACTAGGGTGAGTAGTAGATACAGTGTGTTTTGTCGTTTGAGGAAGGCTTGATGGAGTTAAGTAGGACTTGAGGCCAGTTTTGAAGGCAAATGGATGGGCAAATGCAAAATTAGTCATGGAATTGACTTCAGAAAGAAAAATTACAATTCTTTTATCTAGAATTGAAATGCCTGTGGTTATTTAATGAGATCTCTGTCCTCAGCCTCACTGAACAGAGAGAATTTGACCAAACAGAGCAGTTTCATTAAGGCCATATATTAATCTGTTCTCTCTGTACTACTTCACAGTCTGCATCAAAGGATCATAGAACTCATATTTAGAAATTAGTCTGACTGCAGGAGAAAGCTTATTTCAGGGTTAGGAGAGAGAAAGTTTTCAAGGGAGAAAAGTTGTGAATGGAAATCATAATAATAAAATGAAATTTGTCTTGGTTTACAGATAATCATTTTTGAAAGTTTACTCAACTGTGTGTTGAAACTAGAATCACTATTTAAATCCTTAGGGGGAGTATGTCTTCACTTTGCAGATGAACCTCGCCTGCTGTATTCAATGTAATTTCCCTACTTAACACCAATTAGGAGAAAAGACAGTTTGGATTAGTGAAAAATATACATCATGGGCTTTTTTTTTTTTTTTTTTTTGTAATGGCTTTACTGAGATATAATTCATATACCATACAATTTACAAGCAATTTTTACAACAAGATAAAATAAGAGAACTAACATTTCAGGGGACCCTATATTATGTGTCAGGCACTTTATTATCCTCATACTGGCTTTACAAAATACACATCATTAGCCTTATTTTACAGGTGAGGAAATTAAAGCTACCGGAGGTTAGGTAACCTTCCCAAGATCACCCAGGCGATGAGTGGTAATGCGCTGGGCTGTGCTCTGGTTTTTCTGGGGCCGTTACCCATGTACTTTACTTTATTCCGTGCCACACTGAGATTCCACACTAACCACTAATGAATTGTTTCCAAGAAGAGATCCTTTAGGAGTTTGCTTTAATAAATCGATCAGTCTTCTCAGTATGGCATTTGATAAAGTTCTGTAGCTTGGCAGTAAAACTCTTTAGCTTGATATTTAAGACCTTCCAGGACCTAATACCACCTTTTTAGTTCTTACCTCTCCTGTTCTCTTCCTCTGCTCATCCTCTTTCAATGTCTGGACACACTCACCTAGTGAGTGCACCCCAGATATTTCTGTCCTGTCCTTGGTCTTCATTCATTTTCTATACTCCATCTGGAATGCCTCTACCGCCATCTGAGCTTCAGCTGACAATTTTAGTTCCCATTATAAATAGTCTTCTCAGAATCCTTCCCTTTGGTTTTACTCCTGTTTTCCACTGCCATTTTGTTTATCCTGCTACATTATATTCATCGGATACCTCTTTGTATCATCATTATTCGTGCAACTGTCTTACAGTTGCTAGTAGACTATTCATCCCTCAGTGAGAACACTTGCTTTTTTATGCCCCAGAATACCTTGATGCATAGTAAGCCCTTGGTGATTATTTTTCAAAATAAATAGTTATATCCTAATTTGTAACCCATGCAACTTGTATGAAATGTACATGTCCTTAAACATTAAGTAAACACACCTTCTGTTAATTTACTCAGAAAACCTTCTGTTAATGAATTTGAGAATCTAAAATTTTCAACCCAGGAAAAACAGTCTTTTTTAAATTATGAAATGAATGTAAGTTAATGATATTTTACAGTGACTTGTAAAATGAAAATGTGCAAGGAACATATATGAAGGTTTCTCATTAGAAGATGCTAATAAACCAGTTACTAGATACTGATTTTAGTCAGCTTCAGGGATAAGGGTTCGTTCATGTATTCGCCCAACAAATGTTTATTGAGCCTCTACCATGTGCCAAACAGTGTTCTAGGTGCTGGGGGTACACCAGGAAATGAGACAATAATCTCTGCTTTCATTAGCTTACATCCTAGGAGAAAGAAACTTGATAGGAAGCATAATAAATAGGTAAATTACATAGTATAGTACAGTATGAGTGCTATGAAGAAAACAGGGTAAGAGGGCTGGGGATTACCTGTGAGGTGTGGGTTGTAATTAAATGGGTGATCAAAGTGGCCTAATTGAGATAGAGGCATTTGAACAAACACTCAAAGGAGGTCAAAGAGTAAGCCATTTGAATATCTGGAGGAAGAGCAGTACAGGCAGAAGAAGCCACCAAGGCAAAGCACATGTGGTATGCTAAAGGAAGAGCGAGGCCAGTGTGGCTGGAGCAGAGTGAGCATGGGAGAGTGTCGTCAGAGAGGTAACAGGAGCAGATCCAGACAATACAAGATTTCTGCATAGGACTTGGAAAGACGGGAGCTTTTACTCTGAGAAAAAGAGTTCAGAGGGAGTCATTGGAAGGTTCCAAGCAGAGGAGCAACATAATCTGACTTACATTGTTAGGATCACTTTAGCTTCTGTGTTGAAAATAGCCTGAATTTCCTACTGGATGGAAGCAGGAAGGCCGGTTAGGAGGCTCCATGGTAATGTGTTGAAGTCAAGGTGGCAGTAATGGTGAGATTTGGGCTCTATATTGAAGGTATAGCCAATAGGATTGGATGGTAGGGGTGTGTGAAAAAGAGAGGTGTCAAGGAGACTCGGAGATGCAGTTGCCATTAACTGAGATGGAGTCTGTAGGAAGGGCAGGAGTCAGTTCTGGACACGCTGAGTTCGAAATGCCTGTTATACTTCCAAGTGGAGATGTTGAGTAGACAGATGGATGTATGAATGGGGCAGGGGGATCCCTGAAGGAGGAGGTATAAAGGTGGGAGTCATTAACATACAGACAGTACTTGATGTCATAAGAGATGATCAGATAATTACTAAGAGGCAAAATATAGATGAGAAAAGGATTGAGCCGTGAGCACTCCCACCCTGAAAGTCTGGGGAGTTGAGAATGACCCAACAAAGAATATTGAGAAGTAAATATTGAGGAAGGAAGGAAATCAAGTAATCAGGGAGGCAAATAAACAACGTGTTTTCCAGGAGGAAGGAGCAGTCGAGTGTGCCAAGTAGTACTTTAGGTCAAGAAAGATGAAGACTGAGAATTGGTCATTGGATTTAGCAACATGACTATCGCTGGTGATCATTGAGCAGTTTTGGTAGAGTGTTGGGGGTGAAAGCCTGAATGGAGTGGGTTCAGGAGATAACAGGAGGAGTGGAGCTGGAGATATCAAGTAGAAGGGGTTCTTTCAAGGAATTTCAAAGATATGGGGTAATGGCTGGAGGGAGACGCGAAGCTGAGAGGAGATATTTTTAAGGTGGGAGAAATAATGGTTTGTTTGATTGCAGGTAGGAAGAATGATCCTGTACAGTGGAAAATTGATGTAGGAGAAAGGAGAATCACAAAGCTATGTTCTTGAGCAAGAGGGGATGGATTTATTTAGCAAGCGGAGGGATTGGCCTTACGAGTATGGACAGTTCGCCCAAAACAGCAGGTGGGAAGGCATTATATCTGGGCGCATTTGCTGAGAGATGGGTAAATGTGGTGATGGAAGTCTATCAAAATTTGCCTCTGACTGTTTCAGTTTTTCCATTGTAGTAGGAAGCAAGGTCATTCTTCAGCTGTGAGTGAAGATGAGTGGGGACATATAGGGAGTTTGAAGAAAAAGGGAAACAGAATGGCATATGGGAAAGAGAAAAAGTGAATGGACTGGGGAAATACAGAGATTGCTGAGGAGTATGAATTGAAAGTTAGATCAGGTAGCATTGTGGAGTGTTTTTCTCTGGCCATGTTCAGTGGCATGGGCAGTGCTGACTAGGTGGAGAATTAGACTTAACTAGGGTTGTAATCTTGCCAAGTGAGTACGAACAATTGATGAGGGCAGAGGAAGTTGGGGTAAAAGGAAAGGAGTGATTGTAATAACTGATTATAGAATTTACATTGGGCAAGGAAGGCAGACAGACATCATGGGGATGAAGGACAGAGAAAATTAGTAGATCATCAGACTGTAGGTCCTCCTGCAGGGGTTTACAGATTCTGGGTGTAGTGTAGTATAAGAGATCTTGAGTGAGCTGGAAAGTGGAAGGGTGCATGAAATCAAGATTATGGAGGGTTTGTGGTAATTGGTAATGACAGAGACCAGGCTAGATCTCATGAGAGTGAGAGGCCAAGATGAGGAGTTCAAAGAACTGTGAGGCCAAGGTGTTGGAAGGATCTTTGAAGGCCAGTGAAGAAGGATTATCTAATCAGTAGAAAGTGTGTATTTGCAGACTTAGCACAAAGTTGAGCTAAATATTTAACAGCATATGGTGACTGCTCTCTAGAAGCTTAAAGATTATGATGTTTAATTATAGGGCAGAGTAAATATTCAGTTGTGTATGTTTTATACAGCATGCTGAAACTAAACTGAATGAATTATATAAATATCTTTTTATAATTTAGTAAGAAGTCATTGATACGTATCTATAAATAAAAGCAATCCTTATTCCACAAAAGAATCAGACTCATTCTTCATAATTATAGTTCCATCTCAGTTTCACCATTACAAACAATAAGATGAGTCAGGTATGGTGGCACACGCCTGTAATCCCAGCTACTCGGGAGGCTGAGACGGGAGGATCACTCGAATCCAGGAGTTTGAGGTTAGCCTGGACAACATGGTGGGACCCTGTGTCTTAAAAACACCAACAAAAATTAAGATCCCCTCCCAGCCATTTGTATTGAAGTTTGTAAAAAAAAAAAAAAATTAAAAAAATCAAGAGAGCAAACTAACAACAGTTACATGAAACTTTAGAAACTTTCTTAACTGACTCCAGAGATTTCACGACATCTTTTCCCCACATCTTTGGAAGGTGAATGCCTGCTGCATGAGTGGGCTCTTTGCTGTAGCACGTCTGCCTCCACCATTTGAATAGTATACTTACCAAGAATCAGTTGTGTTTGTTCTCGAACTTTAGGCCACTGGACTTGTTATTATAATTATGTATGTTAATTAAAATAGGACATACACCAATGAAATGTGAAGGAAGAGGGATGCTTTTCTGTGACCTAAGTCAGGTGTTTTGGAAAGATTCAGGAAAGACAGATTGCCATATATATGTTTGTCAAATTAGGTGGGAATAAGGGAGCTGTAAAGTATTTGGGGGACAGTTTTAATCTAGAAGGCTTTGGCACTGATAGTGTTTTACAAGTTCCTGCTCTTCTTTAAAAAATGAAAAGTAGAAGTGGTAGATGCACTTAGGTGTGATTTGCTTACGAACTCCAGTCAGCTAACCTAGAAAACAAGAAGCTGTGGTCCTGCATCAGAAATCAGTGTATTCATGCATGTTTATTTGTTTTAAGTTAAAATGATGTTTCGAGTATGTATATATCATTTTTAATGATTTCCCCCTTAACTGACTTTTTCCACTGACTACCAATCCAGATAAGAAGGCACTTATTTATGATATTTAATTTAGTAGCCAAATTATATTAAGTATTTAAGGGTTTTTTTTTGTTTTTGGTTTGTTTGTTTTTACAAATTGTACTTGTTTTATTTATCAAGTCCCATCTTACTATTCCAAAAAAATTTTCAGGTAGCATCTGGATAGTAGATTTAATCAATAGACCTTTTAAGCTAAAAATTTTATAAATAAAGCCATTGAAATTATTTAATTTTTTCTCAGTCCATTTTGCGTTTAAAATATTTTACTAGCTGCATACAGTAGCTCATGCCTATAATCCAAGCACTTTGGGAGGCCAAGGTAGGAGGATCGCTTGAGGCCATAAGTTTGAGAGCAGCCTGGACAATACAGCGAGACCCTGTCTCTACAAAAAAAATGTTTAAAAATTTGAGGGGAGCAGTGGCACATGCCTGTAGTTCCAGCTACTCAGGAGTCTGAGGCAGGTGGATCACTTGACCCCAGGAGGTCAATAATTGAACCCACATCAAAGGGTGGTTGTGAGAATTAAATGAGACAGTCCATTTAAATGCTTAATACAGTACCTGGCACATTGTAGGCATTCATTAAATGTTAGATATGATTTTCTTAATCAGTACCGTGTGTCATTGTCTAATTAAAAGGTCTCTAACAAAGGTGCTCAATAAATATTTTTTGACTTAATATAGGTTGTCATTTCTTTAAAATGTAGGCTATTAAGTTTACTTGTCAGAAGTGTACATCGTATTTTTTCTATGGAAAATCAATTTTGACAGTCCTTATTGACTTGCAACATGTTTTCTCTTAGAATTTCCTGTTGTCTTTTGATTGTGTACAGTGTGTAACACTATTAGAGTCACCTCATTTCTCAGAAACTTCTGTAATTTCTTCATTATTGAATTGAGTGGATAGGGATATTACTAATTCCTTTACTTTTAATTTAACATATCTGTAGTACCATTGGTGGAAAGGAGAAAAATGTAGTACCGTTGGTGGAAAGGACTATTGGTGAGAAAGTCCTCAAAGGCTGATTTAACTCCAGTGACCCACTTCTGTTCTTACATGAGTGATCCTGAATCAGTTTCTGCACCCTGTTGTTGATCAGATAGTACTAGATAAACTCACCTTGGGTTCACACATAGAAAAACAAATGTAACCTTTGCTACATGTACAAAAGTTTAAAGGTTGTAGTAAATACCATTAAGATCTACGTAGCCTGATTGTTAACCTAACAGAAGCATGAGACCATCAGAAGACTTGGGCTCTGGCATAGCTGAAGGGTGTTGGCCAATCTAAGAAATCCACCTAGTTCCAAAAGCTGTTTATTGACATTGTCATCTCAGAGATAAGAGATGGTTGCATACACAATCTGGATTTATGCTGTCCACTTTTTTGTTTGTGTGTTTGTTTGAGATGGAGTTTTGCTCTTGTTGCCCAGGCTGGAGTGCAATGGCGCGATCTCAGCTCACCACAACCTCTGCCTCCTGAGTTCAAGCGATTCTTCTGCCTCAACTTTCCCGAGTAGCTGGGATTACAGACATGTGCCACCACACCTGGATAATTTTGTAGTTTTAGTAGAGTTGGGGTTTCTCCATGTTGGTCAGGCTGGTTTCAAACTCCCGACCTCAGGTGATCCTCCTGCCTCGGCCATCCCAAAGTGCTGGGATTACAGGCATGAGTCACTGCGCCCGGCTGCTGTTCACCTTTTATGTAAAATAAAGTATATTTATTGTGCCAAATGTAGTAAATGAAGAGATTAGGGAACTGGCATGTTTCAGAAGGGTAATATAGGAAGAAAATTGCCCATTTTCTTTCAGGTAGTTGGAAAAGATTTGTAGAAAAGGTAGTATTCCAAGAGAAGGAAGAAATGACCAAGATTGCTTAGACTAAGATAATTATTCCAGGCTTGGAACGTCTCCTGAGAGGCAGCAGGGGGATGACTAAATGAAGCGGGTTTGTGTGGGCTTGCCTGCTAAATGGTGGATGGATGTCAGTTGAACAGATTGTTTTGAGTGCAATTCTATAGCTGGGCTGAAGGTGCAAAAACAAGACGCGGTCCAAGATCTTACTCATTACTTCATTACATAACAGGGGAGATGAGAATTATCTGTTAATGGTAACACACTATGGTAGGTGCTTAATTAATGGTGTGAACAAAGTACTTTGGAAGGACAGAGAACTGAATGGTTAATTATGCATGAGTGGGAAAGAGTTCACAGATGAGGTTAAAGTAGGAAAAGTGGGAAGAGTGTCTTCTGGAAGAAGGACAGGGCCTTCTAAGCACAGGAATCGTGTGAACAGAGGGTGGGTATACATTTGACGTTGGGGGTGCTATATGGGACAGGAGCAGGAAATGAGACTCAAGGAAATGAAAAGAATGTGGATAAAGCACCCAGCTTGGGGTTAATCATAACAAAGATTCCTCTAGTTGTTCAGAACATGGTTTGGAGAGAAAACCACTGCAAACTTCAAGAGCTCCTGGTGGCTTTTTTGGTTATCTTGGCTACTGAGCAGTGAATGGGTATAGAGAGGAGAGAGGATCAATGGAAGAGGTTATTCCAAAAGGATTTGGCAGCCATTTGGATGAGGGTCATGGGGAAGAGAAAGGAGCCCCATTTTATTCTCGAGCTTAGTTGGCTGGGTCGATGTTATTACCCTAAACCAATTTGGGGATTACAGAGAGGAGGCAGGAGTTGGGGGCAGAAAAGGGAAAAAGAGAATATGTTTAGTTTCTGACATTTTGAATGTGAAGGGCCTGTGGAACATCCTGATAGTCAGTAGGTAGTTGGAGATACGGGTTGGAAATTTAAGAGGACACACACACACACGCCATCAGCATGTAGAACTGGTAATTAAGACTACAGAAGTAAGTGCAGCCTTCAAAGAGAGTATTTAGAGTGAGAAGAATGACTAGAATTGTATCTTAGAGAACCAGCGTGTTCCGTGTGGGAAGAAAATGTTGTGTGTCCATATATTCTAAAATCATATAAACTGTTGTTTTCTTTTGTATTCTTTGTTCCACTTCTCTCTCTAGTAATGAAGATAATAGAGACTTGACTATATGAATGATGTGTGGGCTTCAAGCATACTATTTTAAATAGCGTTTGTTGTCCTTAAATTTTTTTTTTTCTTTAAACTTGTCTCTAGATGTCATTTTGCTAGGTTTTTGGACTTCACTGATCTGAATGAATTATATTTCAAGGAAACTGGGCATTTTTATCATCACATTAAACTTCACTCTTTCAGAATGATCATGTTTACTATATTATTAGTCACTTTAACTGCTACTCTTTCTCTCCATAGGAGCTGATGCAGCAGAATGGGATTGGTTATGTGTTAAATGCCAGCAATACCTGTCCAAAGCCTGACTTTATCCCCGAGTCTCATTTCCTGCGTGTGCCTGTGAATGACAGCTTTTGTGAGAAAATTTTGCCGTGGTTGGACAAATCAGTAGATTTCATTGGTAAGTAGCTCAAATAATATTGCAGGTCCTGTGGGTGATCGTCTCATGTGTAGGTGAACCCCCTCAGCCCCCCATTTTTTCTTTAGAGAAAAGGAGCCTATTTCAGAGATTTCAAAAGTCTGAAAACAGCACGTGGTGCAGCTTACTCATCTGGTGGTCAAGGTGACGTGTGTGTCACACTGTCCCTAAGGACTGGCCTTGTGACATTCTAGCTAACATTTAACACCACCAAGGTTAAGCTTCACAGGATCTGTAATTATGTATTTGCAGGTGTTTGAAAATCAGTTAAGCTTTTAGGGTTAAATTCTTCCCCCAACTTTTTCAAATCCTATACAAGCCTTTGGGAAACTTTGGTAATATTCCCTGTTGCCTTGTTGCTGTGTTTTTTACAGAGAAAAGTCAAATCTTTTGAAAACAAATCCCATTACATTTAAGTCTTTATGTCAGTGTTTCTGAGCCGGGGTCCACATGCCAATAATTTCAGGTAGTGTTTGATCTAACAGAATTTTCACACACACACACACACACACACACACACACACACACTCTCATTTGGTTATTTTCCTGGCAATGGTCTTGACGGGATCTCATCTGTGCCATACTTTGTTGTGCTTCCTGGGCTTGTTCAATTCTGGAGCTTCTCTGGCCCCTGGGTACTTACTGCTGAGGCATTTTGGTGCCACAGGATCAGATCTGCTGGGTGGTAACTTGGTGATGTGTATTTGGAATGTGGCTTTAGTGGACAGTGGCTGAGCAGAGGAGAAACACTGCTAGCTCCTGAGCAACATACCACAGTGACTCTTGATGTTCCATGTAAGGAATTTTTTTTCCCCCAGTTACATAAGTTGGAGCACCCTAATCCATAATTACTCTGAATTGGTTACCATTACCATAATTAAAAATAAAAGAACTAGTTCTTTCAAAAAAGTGGAATTGGCCAGGCGCGGTGGGTCACGCCTGTAATCCCAGCACTTTGGGAGGCCTAGGCGGGTGGATCATGAGGTCAGGAGATTGAGACCATCCTGGCTAACACAGTGAAAACCCATCTCTACTAAAAATACAAAAAATTAGCTGGGCGAGGTGACAGGAACCTGTAGTCCCAGCTGCTCGGGAGGCTGAGGCAGGAGAATGGCATGAACCCGGGAGGCAGAGCTTGCAGTGAGCCAAGATTGCACCATTGCACTCCAGCCTAGGCAGCAGAGTGAGACTCTGTCTCCAAAAAAAAAAAAAAAAAAAAAAAAGTGGAATTGGCCAGGCACAGGGGCTTATGCCTTAATCCCAGCACTTTAACAAGCCGAGGCAAGCAATCACTTGAACCCAGGAGTTCGAGACCAGCTTGGGCAACATAGCAAAACCTTGTCTCTACCAGTGCACCTGTGGTCCCGCCTACTCGGGAGGCTGAGGTGGGAGGATTGCTTGAGCCAGGAGGCGGAGGTTGCAGTGAGCTGAGATTGTGCCACTGAACTCCAGCCTGGGCAGTAGAGCCAGACCCTGTCTCAAAAACAAAAAGTGGAATTATGTATATTAAGCCCCATATTATAATTTTCACCTGTGAGGGGAATA
The DNA here is from genome assembly GCF_000001405.40 of Homo sapiens. Taxonomy (NCBI): domain Eukaryota; kingdom Metazoa; phylum Chordata; class Mammalia; order Primates; family Hominidae; genus Homo; species Homo sapiens. The sequence goes on along the minus strand of NC_000012.12, from coordinate 12,485,464 downwards.
TTCTATTTAATGCTTTTGGAACTTTAAGTAATTCCAAAACACTTGCCTTTTTTTCAAGATTTCCAGGTTGCTGAGGGTTTCATCTTCAATTAGGATTCATTCTGTGAAACATCTGAAGATAAATGACTTAGTTCATATTAAAGTAATCACAAACAAATGGCCAGGTAGCTCACGCCTGTAATCCCAGCACTTTGGGAGGCCGAGGCTGGCAGATCACCTGAGGTCAGGAGTTCGAGACCAGCCTGGCCAACATATAGTGAAACCCCACCTCTACTAAAAATACAAAAATTAGCTGGGCGTAGTGGCACATGCCTGTAGTCCCAGCTACTTGGGAAGCTGAGGCAGGAGAATTGCTTGAATCCAGGAGGCGGAGGTTGCAGTGAGCCAAGATCGCGCCACTGCACTCCAGCCTGGGTAACAGAGTGAAACTCTATCTCAAAAAAAAAAAAAAAAATCACAAACAAACCCCCACAAGTTAACACACACCCTCCCATTGTACTTCTAAAAAACATTCAGCAAATCATTGTTTTTGTCTCTTTAAAAAATAACAATTGGCTGGGCATGGTGGCTTACGCCTGTAATCCCAGCACTTTGGGAGGCCGAGATGGGGGGATCACCTGAGGTTGCTGGAGTTTGCGATAGCCTGGCCAACACGTCTCTACTAAAAATATAAAAATTAGTCGGGCATGGTGGCGGGCACCTGTAATCCCAGCTACTTGGGAGGCTGAGGCAGGAGAATCTCTTGAACCTGGGATGTGGAGGTTGCAGTGAGCCGAGACCACGCCATTGCACTCCAGCCTTGGCAACAGAGTGAGACTTTGTCTCAAAAAAAATAAAAATAAAAAAAATAAATTACGGTTAATGTTCCCATTGCACGTCACTTCCAGAGACATTGGCTCTAATTTCAGCTAAAAATCAGATATCAAAATCTACCTAGAAGAGAACATGATTTTCTTAAGTCATGACAATGTGTGGGCTTTAGGAGACAAAGTTTAGTAGAAAAGAGAAGAGAATAGAGAATATGAATAACTTTGCTCCCAACTTATTTTTTCCTTTCATGGAAGATATTGGGGTCATCCTGCCACTTTCATTCATACAAAAGAACTTTAACTACTTTGCAACTTGGTTAAACACATACACACAAAATACATATTATAATTTATTTGTAATATCTGCAAATACTTATCAGTATTTCATTTGCTTGGTTCTATTAGAGCCATCATCCTTATCCCACCCAAGTAATTCAAGGCAAAATCTCCAGGCCACTTTTTGAATTCAGCCCATATTCACTACAATTGCTAAGTCTTCTCCTCTGTGGGGTTTTTTGTTGTTGTTCTTGCTTTTTATTTACTCAAGCAGAAGAAAGACACAAGAATGATAACCCACATACATACAGAGTAGTAGAATGGCAAGAGCTAATTATTCTCAAACACAAATTCTTAAAGATAAATGTAAAATTTTTTTTTAATTTTTAAATTTTTTTATTTTTATTTATTATTATACTTTAAGTTTTAGGGATCTGTGGGGTTTTAAGCCATGGTTAGTGATAGCATGTCATTTGAAGATGTACCCCCTTAATGACTTACAGGCTCATAGTGATTTTTTCTTTTTTGTTGTTGTTATTTAGATTAGATTTGGGTAAGTCTCCGGGTTGGTTGGAAGGACTCAGGTTTATGTGGAGTTTTGTCTTTTAGTTAATGTGCCAGTAACAGAGTTTGCCCGTTTGTGCTATGGGATACTCATGAGGTGCCCCCAAACCCAGCTGGCTACATATACAGCCTCTTGCTTCCTCTTCACTGTCTCCTGGGCTCTTCCTCCAGCTCTCCTCATGCCAAACTCGTGACTGCATGGACACAACATAGGGAGGTGATTAGGACCATGTATTTTGGAGGCAAACTGTCTGTATTTGAGTCCTGCCTACCCTGGTTATTAGTGAAGTGGTTTGAGTAAGTTACTTCAAACTTCTGTGCACTTCAGTTTCTTGATCTGGAAACTGAAGGTAATATACCTACCTTACAGGGATATTGTGAGGATTAAAATAGATAATGTAAAATGAAAAAAAAAGAAAAAAAGTAAACCAAAAAGATAAAATAAAAATAAGTAAAATAGATAATGTCCATTGAACACCTTGTAAAGTACCTGACTCATAATTGGCTGTTAATAAGTATTTTAAAAATTGTTATCTGAAGTTCCTCCTTTTTTCTGTCCTTTGAGCTGGACTCTGTAACACCTCTTAGTATTACTTCCTTCTTTTTAGCTTTTGTAACTTCTCATCCTCACTGCATCTTTGCCCTTTTCATTTGCAGTTCTCTCTCCCCTTTCTTAACCTAGATTTTAGCCTTAATTGCGGTAATGGCCACCTGCTTGTTTCCAGTTTTCATCATCATTGCCTTCTCGTTCTTTATTCAGAAACCTGAAGAGGCTTCTTAGTTTTCTGCGTTAAAAAGGTAGCCTTGGCCAGGTGCAGCGTGTGTAATCAATCACAGCACTTTGGGAAGCGGAGGCGGGAGGATTGCTTGAGGCCAGGAGTTTGACACCAGCCTAGTCAACATAGCAAGATCCTGTCTCTACAAAAAATTTTCAAAAATTAGCCAGGCATGGTGGTGTGCACCTGTAGTCCTAGCTGGGAGGCTGAGGCAGGAGGATCGCTTGAGCCTAGGAGCTCACAGTTACAGTGAGCTATGTTTGCACTATGGCACTCCAGCCTGGATGAACAGAGTGAGACCCTGTCTGAAAAAACAAATGTAGCCCTTAGCCTAACATTCCCACCACCCTCAAACACCTGCTTCCCACCTTTGAAACCTTCTCAAACCTTCTCTCTGGTTTCTTCTCCAAGGCAGGCTGTTTTCGAATGAGCACTTTGCTCAGTCCCACTGCAGGGCTTTCTCGCACACATTTCCCTTCTCCTCTCTGCCAGTTGTGTGTGTTAAATTAATTCCTTTGCTTGAAGACACAGTTTAGGGCTCATGTCTCCCAAGATGCATGCTGGTGAACCTCAACTCCAGTATAGTCACTTGTTTTTTTCATTTTTAAAAGACGTCATCAAAAGAGTTGTGGTTATAAAAACAGTTGTAAGCACATTGCAGAAAATTTGAAAAACAGAGAAAAGGAAACCTATAACCTCAACATCGTAACGCATGTTACTGTCATTGTTTTATTTCCTTCCAGCCTTCTTCTTTTTTTATTAAAATCTCTTTTGAAAATATGTATCAGCCAGTATCAGCTGGATGCCTACCATGTGCCTAGCGTTAAGTCTTTTGGGGGATTGTTAGAAGCAAGCAAGATCCTTCTAGGTCCTTATAATCTAGGTTTTGAGATAGATAATTATTAAAATTAATGAGAGAGTATTGTCAACATTAAAAAACAAAAACCCAGACTCCTTCCAGTAAGGATTTGAAGCAGTTTTCAATAATAGGTTAGAACCAAAAGATACACATATTCTCACACATACACATTATAATGGTATAAAGGAGCAATAATCAAGTAATAGGGGCTAGGAAATGTACAGTAACTGACAAAAAGTCTGAATTGCTACTTCTTATTGAAATTGAGTAGAAACCTTAGCTTTGAGCTTCTTAGCAGTAGGGCAGAAAGGGAAGGAAACACTGAGAGTAACGTGGGGTAAATGATAGCTGAGAAGGAAGGGGATGCTGGAGGCACAGGAAGGCATGAGACTGTGTACACGAGTTTATATGTTCTTACTTGTATAGCATGCAATTCTTTGTTTGAGTGTTGCTTGGTATTCATTTGTTAGTGTTTTATTGTGTTTGGTTTCCTGATCTAGAAGGGAAGCTGCTTGCTGCTTAATTATTCATATGCTACCCAAAACCTGTATGTTGCTTTATATATGATGAATAATTATGTTATATATAATAATCATTACACTAGAAACTTATATTTATAGCATAGGCAGTGAGATTGAATAGCTTTGTATTATTCAGCTGCCAAAGTAAGATTCTTTGCGCATCTGTTAATCGCAAGAATTTTAACACAAGGTTCAGTAGACTTTTGGTAGTATCTACCAAGAATGAAAAGGGGAGAATTCAGCTTCATGACTGAGCACACATGTAATTATTTAGAATTGAGGCAGTCATGGAACTGGCCAGAATGTTAGTAGCTTCCAGGCTGTGTGGAATAACCTCGTCCCCTGCCACATGTACATATTGTTAAGCCCCTCAGCAGTGAGAGATGGCAGCACTGCTTGGATTTCCTTGGTTCTTTGGTTCTAACAAAGTGTCCGTGAGTCCTTCCATCATGTTGTGGGGAATTGAGATAATGCCATAAGACAATAACTCCTGGTATCAAGGAAGGGATAAAAGTTCTCTTGGATCTCATTAAAGTGACCTGCTAAACCTGATTCATAGCCTATACAAGGTTTTCTTCTAAAACTCAGTAAATAAAGTTGAGCCATTTTATGACATACAGAAAAGTTGCTTAAAATAGGGAGGCCAGGGGCAGTGGCTCACTCCTGTAATCCCAGCACTTTGGGAGGCTGAGGTGGACGGATCACTTGAGGCCAGGAGTTAGAGACCAGCCTGCCCAACATGGTGAAACCGCAACTCCACTAAAAATAGAAAAATTAGCCAGGCGTGGTGCTGCACACCTGTAATCCCAGCTACTCTGGAGGCTAAGGCAGGAGAATCACTTGAATCCGGGAGGCGGAGATTGCAATGAGCCGACATCGTGCACTCCAGCCTGGGCGACAGAGCAAGACTCTATCTCAAAATAGTAATAATGATTTTAAAAAATGTAATTATATTTCTTAGGTAATCAGGGAAAAATTTGAAGTGTCAGATAACAGGAATATATTAAATATTACCCATATCTTAGGGGAAAATACTAACATAAGTCAGGAAACCTGAGTTAGTAGTAGCTTGCTTATTAACGAATTGCTTATTAACAAACAGTTTTGGACCCCAGTTGTCCTGCATGTCAGTGGTGAGGGAATTATCTTCCCCTGCCTCCTCAAAAGAATATTGCGAGGATAAATATGATATACACAGATGAGATTTGCGTAGAGGTTTTCAGGTGGAAGACACTGAGTAAGTAAATGGAAACAAGATTTCACTGCTGAACAAAATAGTTAGTAGTGACCTTTCTTGCATTTGACTTATACAGAGAAAGCAAAAGCCTCCAATGGATGTGTTCTAGTGCACTGTTTAGCTGGGATCTCCCGCTCCGCCACCATCGCTATCGCCTACATCATGAAGAGGATGGACATGTCTTTAGATGAAGCTTACAGGTGAGGGCAGGAAAATGTCTTCTGTGATTGGCTTTTCATTTGACCTGAAACATAAAGAATGATGAGGATGGGTAACCAAATTAAAGCAGATCATGATTATTTTAGTCACATTTTTTACAGGTTACTGTGGATTTTTTAATGGTCTTGTGAAGATTGGAAAAGAATGCTGTTTTACTATTTAGCATTAATTCTGCCTTCACATGTGTCAGACTCATCCTCAGCCACTTTTTATGTTTAAGGAACAACAGATCCAGGCAGAGATCTCTATCCTGTTACATGAGTTTATTGCTTTCCCTAAATGCAAAAGTATCCTTTGTTTTAATTTGCATATGATGGGGGGAAGCTCTAATAGAATGCTCACTGCAGAATCTCTGTTCTGCTTCAAACTTTGGATTGCTGGGAAGAAAAAGCCTCATAAATGCAAATATGAACCAGATTAACTGTCAGACTCCATTCTTCAGTAAAATTTCCTACATTCTAGAGTCGGCCAGATTGTGTGTGTGTGATTTTGACTGGGTTGCCTCCAGTCTCTGATTTGTCTGACTCCCCTGCATGTATCGTTGGGTAGAGATGGTTCATTTTTATCTGATAAGGAATCAAAAATATAGAGACTCATGGAGCAGGCCTGATTTAACAGTTGGATTTTTTTTTTCTCAAATTGCAAAGTTTGGAAAACAGAAATGAGCTGCCCAAACAGCTTCCCATGTTAAGTCAGCAGCCTGGAGGACGTGGGTCCTCTGGTCATCTGCACGAGCTCTCATGCCGCCGTTCAGACCTCCCTGAGGTCCTCCTGCTCCATGTAGAAATCAGAAGAAAAGGCACCCTTCTATCACGTTATGAAGTCTCATTATGAGCACCCTACATTTATACTTGTTATTCTTGAGCCAGTTATTTCTATTTTTGTGAATTTGCTTTAGGTTACTTGATTTCCAAGTTTTTTTTTTCCTTGTTCCTTATTCAAATGCAAATTTTCAGTGTAGTTCTACTCCTCCATCACCTGAAAAGTATCCATGAGGTGCAGGGGCCGCTGAAGAATTGGTCTGTCATCTCTGAGTCTTTATTTCCTCCATGAAACATGAAAGCCATCTAGTATTAGTTTTGATCCTTTGATGAATCTTTTTTTTAACATAGTGGTTACAAAAATGGACCCAGATATTTGACCAGCCTGGTTTTGAATCCAGCACCATCATTTAGTAGCTGTGTGATTTTGGGCAAGTCACTTAAGGATTCTGTGGAGCTATATGATGGGGATAATGACACCCACCTGATAAAGGGTAGTTCTGAGGATGAAATGATGATTCAGTGCATAAGCACAGTGCTTAGCACACAGAGACCACTTTGTCTTGGTTAGTCTGTCATGTTGACTATAAAAAGAAGTGTTGCTTTGATACTTTGATCATCTGATACCATCTTCTTTTTGTCATTAAATTTAAAATGTGAACTGTCTTGAGAAGTGACTGGTGACTTTAAGAGGGGATGACATTGGAAATTGAAGAAGGAGAGTGGCTGTTATACTGTACTTTTGATGGTAGCACTGGTGTGTGTGTGTCAGGGGTGTCCTTGGTGGTGAATAAATAATCATCTCTTGGCCAGGCATGGTGGCTCACACCTGTAGTCCCAGCACTTTGGGAGGCCAAGGTGGGAGAATCACTTGAGCCCAGAAGTTCAAGACCAGCCTGGGCAACACAGTGAGACCCTTTCTCTACAAAAGAAACTTTAAAAATTAAAATTAGCCAAGCGTGTAGTCCTGTAATCCCAGCTACTCAGGAGGCTGAGGTGGGAGGACTGCACGTGCCCAGGAATTCGAGGCTGCAGTGAGCTATGATCATGCCACTGTATTCCAGCCTGGGCGACAGAACAAGTCTCTGTCTCTTAAAAAAAAAAAAGACCACCACCAACAAAACCCCATACCATCTCTTATCAGCTGCATTGGGAGCCCTGGGCCTTTGAAAATAAGGAGACAAAAACTAGAGCCTTTGGGGCCCAGCTGCCTCTTCTGGCATACTCCAGGATGTGTGCAAAGCTTCCCCAGTGCCTAGGGCCTTTGTATTCTCCACCTTGAAGCATCTCCCCGAACTTGTAAACCAATCATCTTCCAAAGTTTTTGAGGTCTGCCTGATAATTCCCTATCTCATTTATTCACTTAATATTCTTAAGATAAAGTGTAGTTGTAAAATTCGGGTTTTTGTTTTTTCCTCTCTCTGCAGATTTGTGAAAGAAAAAAGACCTACTATATCTCCAAACTTCAATTTTCTGGGCCAACTCCTGGACTATGAGAAGAAGATTAAGAACCAGACTGGAGCATCAGGGCCAAAGAGCAAACTCAAGCTGCTGCACCTGGAGAAGCCAAATGAACCTGTCCCTGCTGTCTCAGAGGGTGGACAGAAAAGCGAGACGCCCCTCAGTCCACCCTGTGCCGACTCTGCTACCTCAGAGGCAGCAGGACAAAGGCCCGTGCATCCCGCCAGCGTGCCCAGCGTGCCCAGCGTGCAGCCGTCGCTGTTAGAGGACAGCCCGCTGGTACAGGCGCTCAGTGGGCTGCACCTGTCCGCAGACAGGCTGGAAGACAGCAATAAGCTCAAGCGTTCCTTCTCTCTGGATATCAAATCAGTTTCATATTCAGCCAGCATGGCAGCATCCTTACATGGCTTCTCCTCATCAGAAGATGCTTTGGAATACTACAAACCTTCCACTACTCTGGATGGGACCAACAAGCTATGCCAGTTCTCCCCTGTTCAGGAACTATCGGAGCAGACTCCCGAAACCAGTCCTGATAAGGAGGAAGCCAGCATCCCCAAGAAGCTGCAGACCGCCAGGCCTTCAGACAGCCAGAGCAAGCGATTGCATTCGGTCAGAACCAGCAGCAGTGGCACCGCCCAGAGGTCCCTTTTATCTCCACTGCATCGAAGTGGGAGCGTGGAGGACAATTACCACACCAGCTTCCTTTTCGGCCTTTCCACCAGCCAGCAGCACCTCACGAAGTCTGCTGGCCTGGGCCTTAAGGGCTGGCACTCGGATATCTTGGCCCCCCAGACCTCTACCCCTTCCCTGACCAGCAGCTGGTATTTTGCCACAGAGTCCTCACACTTCTACTCTGCCTCAGCCATCTACGGAGGCAGTGCCAGTTACTCTGCCTACAGCTGCAGCCAGCTGCCCACTTGCGGAGACCAAGTCTATTCTGTGCGCAGGCGGCAGAAGCCAAGTGACAGAGCTGACTCGCGGCGGAGCTGGCATGAAGAGAGCCCCTTTGAAAAGCAGTTTAAACGCAGAAGCTGCCAAATGGAATTTGGAGAGAGCATCATGTCAGAGAACAGGTCACGGGAAGAGCTGGGGAAAGTGGGCAGTCAGTCTAGCTTTTCGGGCAGCATGGAAATCATTGAGGTCTCCTGAGAAGAAAGACACTTGTGACTTCTATAGACAATTTTTTTTTCTTGTTCACAAAAAAATTCCCTGTAAATCTGAAATATATATATGTACATACATATATATTTTTGGAAAATGGAGCTATGGTGTAAAAGCAACAGGTGGATCAACCCAGTTGTTACTCTCTTAACATCTGCATTTGAGAGATCAGCTAATACTTCTCTCAACAAAAATGGAAGGGCAGATGCTAGAATCCCCCCTAGACGGAGGAAAACCATTTTATTCAGTGAATTACACATCCTCTTGTTCTTAAAAAAGCAAGTGTCTTTGGTGTTGGAGGACAAAATCCCCTACCATTTTCACGTTGTGCTACTAAGAGATCTCAAATATTAGTCTTTGTCCGGACCCTTCCATAGTACACCTTAGCGCTGAGACTGAGCCAGCTTGGGGGTCAGGTAGGTAGACCCTGTTAGGGACAGAGCCTAGTGGTAAATCCAAGAGAAATGATCCTATCCAAAGCTGATTCACAAACCCACGCTCACCTGACAGCCGAGGGACACGAGCATCACTCTGCTGGACGGACCATTAGGGGCCTTGCCAAGGTCTACCTTAGAGCAAACCCAGTACCTCAGACAGGAAAGTCGGGGCTTTGACCACTACCATATCTGGTAGCCCATTTTCTAGGCATTGTGAATAGGTAGGTAGCTAGTCACACTTTTCAGACCAATTCAAACTGTCTATGCACAAAATTCCCGTGGGCCTAGATGGAGATAATTTTTTTTTCTTCTCAGCTTTATGAAGAGAAGGGAAACTGTCTAGGATTCAGCTGAACCACCAGGAACCTGGCAACATCACGATTTAAGCTAAGGTTGGGAGGCTAACGAGTCTACCTCCCTCTTTGTAAATCAAAGAATTGTTTAAAATGGGATTGTCAATCCTTTAAATAAAGATGAACTTGGTTTCAAGCCAAATGTGAATTTATTTGGGTTGGTAGCAGAGCAGCAGCACCTTCAAATTCTCAGCCAAAGCAGATGTTTTTGCCCTTTCTGCTTCACTGCATGGATACAGTTGGTAAAATGTAATAATATGGCAGAATTTTATAGGAAACTTCCTAGGGAGGTAAATTATGGGAAGATTAAGAAAGGTACAAATTGCTGAGGAGAAGCAGGAAACCTGTTTCCTTAGTGGCTTTTATCCCCTCGGCATGCGATGGGGCTGATGTTTCTATGATTGCCTCAGACTTTCACATTTACTAGTAGGGCTGAGAGAGGCTTTAGTGAGGAAGGAATATTCAGAATAAAACGGTTGAGAAAGCTGAGAAGACCATTGAGTTTTGATCAGTTGTGAATAGAGTGCAAAGCCATGGCCAAGCTGTTTTTGGAAACGCTGGCCGGCGTGTCTTCAGTGGAAAAAGCAAATCAAAATGGAGCGAGAGCAAAGGGGCGTCCTCAGTCCTCAACCTACAATCACTGTATGGAATCGGTCCTGGCAGCTGAACATAGGAGGTCACTGGAACAAGTGATAGTGCAGATTGGCTTTCAAACATCCTCCTGGCTTGAGTTTTATCAGCTACAATGTGGGTCCTCTTTTGAAGCCTTAATTCACAACAGCAGCTTTTTGGGGGTGGGGCTGGGCGGGTGTTGTCATTGTTCTTTCCCTTCCTGTAAGTGTCGCTAGTTGCTGCCTCGTATCTCAGGTTTTTCTCTGTTTTTGAGAAATGGACAGTTTTTTGACCAGGATGTGACTTCATGTTTCCTATGGTGACTTCTAAAACCAGCACAGAATGATATGACTCAACACAGACCGACTTGGTTATGGGGATGATGAGCCGCACAGACCTCACTAGTTGTGCACAAATAATGTGCTATGATGGGGTGTAAAGTGAAGGCAGAAGAGGGTCAGCCGCATTGTTATGATACTGGGAAAGTGCTGGTCAACGATTTGAGTTAGTTTTTAGATATACATTGAAATCTTTAATCAGACATTCTCAAGTTTCACACAGTAGTTTTTGATGTTATGTACACACACACCAAATGTGTAACAGTTCACCACTTCCAGAGTGTGGTCATGCCCAAAACATGTTTAAGAAAGGAAAGCAGTAGCTCCTTGCTAACGATGTTTCAGGAGGTTTGGGGGACTTGGTTTTAATGAGCTTCTGTCATTTAGGGCTTCTCTTGGCCATGGTCCCCCTTCCTTCTGGAACTGTGATGTAGTCACATCCTACAGCCTTTAGTGCTGGTTCACTAGTGTCAGATAATCAGTTCTTGGAATCGAGACTGCCGTGGCGAAGGGGTGGCCTCGGAGGCAGGCTCTGGAGCTGCTTGGATGTCTTTAGGTGGGGTGGTGGCTGGCTCTCTTCAGCATGTAATTGGGGAAACCCTCGCGTCTACTAGGGGTGATACAGATGGTGATTTTAAAGAGCAAAACTAGACTTCTATGTGAGAAGTGCTGGAAAATGATTTAGGACATGTGTAAAGTTAGATGGAAAGACTGTAAATGTTTAATATGAATATAGTGTTCTTTTGAAGTAAGGCCAGCTGTTGAACGGTTAAACTGTGCATTTCTCATTTTGATGTGTCATGTATGTTAATGTATGAAATGATTAAATAAAATCAAAACTGGTACCTGTTTATACATAAATACGAGAAAAGACCTATCTTTGCAGCCATAAACTCGGTGGGAACACCACCACTCAAGTTGCCAAAGGAGGCAGTGGTGAAACCTGTCCTGTTCTCACTTAAATGAGGATTTAGCTCAAAATAAAGTGGTGGTGTCATCAGGTTTATTCCGTGTTCTGTCATTCACATGGAACACCGGATGATTAGCTAACAGTTTAGTGCCAGCCTTCATTCTTTACTGTGTACGTTAAATGCACACTACAGTGAAAAAGCCTAAGACACTTGGTAAATATTTTCTAGCTGACTGATTCCAGAACACACAAGTACATGGTAGGAAAAAAAAGGCCAGCTACACACACATGGCCCATTTCGATATAACATGTAAATGATGTTACGATTCCTACAGGAAAAACAGGAAGGGCAATTGTTGAAGAGCTGTCCTTTGTCCTTGCCACATACATCTCAACAACCTCTCTGCTCATGACACTAGATTTGATGACTTATGAGACTAGAAACTTAGTCTCATCAGTTTCATAAAAATTAGGCATTGAAGGAATAAAGCTTCAGTGCAAACAGATGGAATATTGACTACAGAAAGAATCACAGGTGACCTTGAAGTTGGTTGAGTTGAAGTTACATTTAAGAAAATTTATAAGAAAGATTGGGCCGGGTGAGCTAGACTAGAAGAGCTATCTTGGCCAGGACCCTGCAGAAAAAGAGGTGGAAGTGAGATAGAGGAATAAAGGGAATTAGAATAAATCAGCCTCCAGAGATAGAGGGTAACAGGAGGAACAGTTGTTTCAGTGAGAGGCTTCCAATGAGAAGATGCAGATCTTGGGAGAGCCTGAAGTTCAGGCCAGTTGCTGACAGTGCTCGGAGCCCCTTCATGACCAGCCTCAGCAGGCTATTGTTGGAGGACTGGTTTGGATGTGACAACTACAATTAGACCAGGAATTAAACTAAGAGGGGAGGCTGGGGGCGGTGGCTCACGCTTGTAATCCCAGCACTTTGGGAGGCCAAGGCAGGTGGATTACCTGAGGTCAGGAGTTTGAGACCAACCGGGCCTACCTGGTGAAATCCCTTCTCTACTAAAAATACAAAAATTAGCCAGGTGTGGGTGCCTGTCATCCCAGCTACTTGGGAGGCTGAGGCACGAGAATTGCTTGAACCTAGGAGGTGGAGGTTACAGTGAGCCAAGATTTCGCCATTGCACTCCAGCCTGGGCAACAAGAGCGAAACTCCATTTTAAACAAAAAATAAACTAAGGGGAAATTAGTGAGAGGTGACAGCGCACTGGCAGCCCTCACACCCCTCACTCACTCTCAGCACCTCCTCTGCCTGGGCTTCCACTTTGGCGGCACTTGAGGAGCCCTTCAGCCCGCCGCTGCACTGTGGGAGCCCCTTTCTCGGCTGGCCAAGGCGGAGCCGGCTCCCTCAGCTTGCCGGGAGGTGTGGAGGGAGAGGTGTGGAGGGAGAGGCATGGGCGGGAACCGGGGCTGCGCACGGTGCTTGCAGGCCAGTGCGAGTTCCAGGTGGGCGTGGGCTCAGCGGACCCTGCGCTCGGAGCAGCCAGCTGGCCCCACCGCCCGAGCAGTGAGGGGCTTTTAGCACCCGGGCCAGCAGCTGCTGTGCTCAATTTCTCACAGGGCCTTAGCTGCCTTCCCACAGGGCAGGGCTCAGGACCTGCAGCCCGCCATGCCTGAGCCTCCCCGAACTCCGTGGGCTCCTGTGCGGCCTGAGCCTCCCCGAGCGCCGCCCCCTGCTCCACAGCGCCCAGTCCCATCAACCAGCCAAGGGCTGAGGAGTGTGGGCACAGGGCGTGGGACTGGCAGGTAGCTCCACCTGCAGCTCTGGTGCAGGATCCACTGGGTGAAGCCAGCTGGGCTCCTGAGTCTGGTGGGGACTTGGAGAACCTTTATGTCTAGCTCAGGGATTGTAAATACACCAATCGGCACTCTGTATCTAGCTCAAGGTTTGTAAACACACCAATCAGCACCCTGTGTCTAGCTCAAGGTTCGTGAATGCACCAATCAACCCTCTGTATCTAGCTACTCTGGTGGGGCCTTGGAGAACATTTGTGTCTAGCTCAGGGATTGTAAACACACAAATCAGTGCCCTGTCAAAACAGACCACTCGGCTCTACCAATCAGCAGGATGTGGGTGGGGCCAGATAAGAGAATAAAAGCAGGCTGCCCGAGCCAGCGGTGGCAACCCGCTCGGGTCCCCTTCCACACTGTGGAAGCTTTGTTCTTTCGCTCTTTGCAATAAATCTTGCTACTGCTCACTCTTTGGGTCCACACTGCTTTTATGAGCTGTAACACTCACCGCAAAGGTCTGCAGCTTTACTCCTGAAGCCAGCGAGACCACGAGCCCACTGGGAGGAATGAACAACTCTGGACGCGCTGCCTTAAGAGCTGTAACACTCACCGCGAAGGTCTGCAGCTTCACTCCTGAGCCAGCGACACCACGAACCCACCAGAAGGAAGAAACTCCAAACACATCCGAACATCAGAAGGAACAAACTCCGGACACGCTGCCTTTAAGAACTGTAACACTCACTGTGAGGGTCCGCGACTTCATTCTTGAAGTCAGTGAAACCAAGAATCCACCAATTCCGGACATATTAGGAAGGTGTAGATTGAGATGTGAAGAAAAATAAGACAAAATTGGAGCCGAGTGTCCAAAGAGATTATGTGAAGGGTAGAGGGTGCATATGGGACTAGTTGATGGAAACTTTTTAGTCTCAACACGTTCACTGTTACTTTATCTTAAATACTCCTTTGGTTTTGTTTTTCTGAGAAGCAGGAATGTTTTAGATCTAGTAAACAAAATTTGTCTACGTAATTTTTCTGTGAATATTAGTCTTCTGCATCTAGAAATGGAAGCAGGAAGTAAACTATTTCTAGCTTCTGTGGGACCCATTCATCCTTGAACGGCCTAATTATACTTGGTTATATCTTTAAAGTTGCAGAATCAACTGGAAAATCACAGCATTGTCCTGGAAGATATTTACAAGTCAGTCATATTGTTGTACTTTATTTGCAGAGACAGCAATATGCACTTATGTAAAAACAGTTTCATTCTTTTGGTTCCAGCTCAAACACTAGAATCCGTTTGAAAATGCTGTCCCACAGGAAATGCAGGATGTGGCCGGTAGAAGCAATGTGACAGGCAAATAGGGTAACCTGAAGAGCATTCAGTAATGGTCTGTGTTCTCTGTCAGAATTATGACAATTCCAAAGACCAGAATGAAAGTACTTGGTGCAGAAAAGCTTTTCGCATAACTCATGCCTCAAGGAATGAGCCTTGATTGGTGAAGAAAATTGAGTCAACGGTAAATTCCATCAGATCTTACACTGACATTGATAACCCTGGAAAAATCCCGGAGGCATGGACACGCACACACCAGCATAACGCTGGTCATCCTGGCAGGCAACTAGATCTAGTTGCCAACTTTTTTATCTTTTTGGTTTGAAGCATGTGGATAATTATCTGGCTACCCTTTCCCTCTGTAGCCATAGCATTTGAATGGAAGAGACATGCCTGGTGTGTCAAAAAAAAAAAACCCACATGAAATTCAATGTTATTTATGACAGCAGTCCCCAACCTTTCTGGCACCAGGGACCCATTTCATAGAAGACAATTTTTCTACAGACAGGGAAGCAGGGGGATGGTTTCTGGATGAAACCGTTCCATCTCAGATCATCAGGCATTAGATTCTCATAAGGAGCGCAAAACCTAGATCCTTCACGTGCGCAGTTCACAATAGGGTTCACGCTCTTAGGGGAGTCTAATGCTGGGTCTGTTCTGACAGGAGGTGGAGCTCAGGCAGTGATGTGAGTGATGGGGAGCAGCTATAAATACACACGAAGCTGGCCAGGTGCAGTGGCTCACGCCTGTAATCCCAGTACTTTGGGAGGCCAAGTCGGGCAGATCACGAGGTCAGGAGTTTGAGACCTGCCTGGCCAACATGGTGAAACCCCATCTCTACTAAAAATAAAAAATTAGCCGGGTGTGGTGGCGGGCACCTGTAGTCCCAGCTACTCGGGAGGCTGAGACAGTATAACTGCTTGAACCCGGGAGGCGGAGGTTGCAGTGAGCCGAGATCGTGCCACTGCACTCCAGCCTGGGCAACAGAGCGAGACTCCATCTCAATAAACAACAACAACAACACGTGAAGCTTCACCTGCTCATCCGCCGCTCACCTCCTGCTGTGCAGCACACTTCCTCACACGCCACAGATGGGTACCAGTCTGTGGCCTGGGGTTTGGAGACCCCTGATTTATGGTAAGTTAGTGAACAATAATGCCACCTCCTCAGAGGCACTATATAGTTCTTAACAAAGGAATGAAGCGAAAGGTCAGGGAAAGAAAAGCAAAACTACTCTCGTGATTAAATTTCATACCTAAAAAGTCCACAAGAAGAAAAGTTTTCATTTCTCCCTAATCCATCCTTCAATCTTGAGTATCAACATTTTGAATAATTTCTGCTGAGCACTATATATCTGGGTTTGGCTGAAGTATAAACAAATCAGGAAGACCAAGTTTCCCAATTGCACTAGAATTTTAATACATGTCTGGTCACGTCTCTGACAATTCCTGGTTTTGCCTTGGGAATTACTAGGGGAAATGCCAAAGCTAAGTAAGTTCTACAAATCAACACAAAAGTGGCATACGTCATTCGCCCCAGGGCCATTAGTTTATGTAACCTTGTAAAACCGAGTTTGTAATACCTATAACGTAAGGGTAACAGTACCAACCTCTTTCATAACTGAAGAAGCCGCAAAGAAATACTCAGGATACAGAAACATATATACAGACGCACACATACATAAAATCAAACTTTTTTACTCAAAAAGCAGATTCTCCCAGACTAAACTCATTTCTAAACGGAGTTTCACTCTTGTTACCCAGGCCAGAGTGCAATGGCACGAACTTGGCTCACTGCAACCTCCGCCTCCCAGGTTCAAGCGATTCTCCCACCTTGGCCTCCCAAGTAGCGGGGATTACAGGCACCAGCCACCATGCCCGGGTAATTTCTGTATTTTTTTTAGTAGAGATGGGGTTTCACCATGTTGGTCAGGCTGGTCTGGAACTCCTGACCTCAGGTGATCCACTCGTCTCGGCCTCCCAAAGTGCTGGGATTACAGGTGTGAGCCACCGCGCCCGGCCTAAACTCATTTCTTGAATGTACTCCTATATCAGGGTATGGAGTCCTTGAAACTCATTTAATGAAATGTTTACTCTGTGCAGAGAATACTGGGTAGGTATCTAGGTTCAAAATATATTTCATATTTTAAGGATGTTATCATCTAAGACACAGGAAACTATATATGTGTGGTCTATAAAACCATATATAGCGTTACTAAGAATAAAACTTTGAGGGAAACAAAGACATGAAGGCCAGTTTCTACCAACCTTCCACTTTGACCAGGGAAACCAGGAGACTGCACATAGAGGCCTATTTGACTGTGTTCATCAACAGAAATGAACAGATTGCAAGATAAGCAAAACAGGCTCTAGAAAGAAGCAGCCAATGAACAGCTAATTTATAATTAAAAGGAAGAAAAGCAGCTGCACCTTGGGAGCTCGGAATTTAGTCACTACCAAGACCCAGGGCCACTGCTCAGAGACAAAAGGTAAACACGCTCATTGTAGTCAAGATGTATCGGAATCACAGACTTGGAATCTTAGAGCTGAAAGGGGCTTGAGAGCCCACCCAGACCTGCTCACGCTGTAGGAAGGCGGAAACTGAGGCTCAGGGAAATGAAATGGCTTGCCAAAGATTAAGGCTAGAAACGTCCAGCCAAGGGCTCTTTCACAACTCCTATCCCTGAAATATCCCATAACGGCCAGATAGGTCATGGGGTATTAACCAACAAAGAGATCCAGCATAACTGCTTCTTGAAATACAAATCACTCAGACTCCCAGGTTCCATCAGGAAATAGCAAAACATGAGAGGGAAAGGACTGGTAATGCCATGTTACCAGTCAGAGGTTCCATCAGAAAAGAACCACTAGGAATGATGTAGAAAGAGAGGATTGTGAAAGCGGTTTGAGCAATTAGAGGGGCTGGTGAAAGTCTCGGTTCGGCTGTTTCTTCTTCACCAGACCACAGGCCAGGCGGTTGGAAAGGATGGTGAGGGAGAGCAAGTACGACTGAGACCTGCAAGCCACAAGCTGGGACCTGCACCTGTCTCTCATCAGAGCCCGTGCTGGTCTCTCATCCCCAAACCTTCATCCTTGTGGCTGCAGACCAAGAAGCTGGTTCTCATACCCGGCCCAGGGTCTGGAAAAGCCAAAGGCAGAGTTCTGCGGGAGTGGGAGGAGCCGTGGGCCCAGCGGCTGCCCACACCACAAGTGCAGGAGATCCATGGTAACGTGCACGTGATGGAACAGGGCCTGACCTACATCCACTTCCAGTGAATACACATGGCTGTTGCTCTACTTCCACTTCCAAACCTCATGCAAATCTCTCTCGTGGCCAACCCTCACCAGAGAAACAAACAAGGAAGGGAATTCTGGGAACACAGTTCAGTTTAGCCAAGTTCACGACACTGCAGAAACCACAACATGCCATCAAAATATTAAACTAACTAGAATTCTTTCCGGGAGTATTGAATTTGCCTATTGTTCTTCTGCCATACTTCTCCGCTTCCACCCAGTAATAAGTAGCCTATCACCTACTCAGGACCCCAGTCTAAGTGAACCCCATGTTTTGTCTAACTTCTACTTTAGAAGTAGACACAGTTGGCTGGAGAGCTGGCTGACTGCGTGGTTTGTTTGTGCTGCACTAGGTCTGCCATCCTGCCCTGTGCCAGCCACTAACAGCTGCAGCAGTGGAAAGGCTCGGCCCTCGCAGGCTTGAACTGCCACCCACTCTGTGCTTTCATGTGTCACCTGTATTAAGTGCAGTGAGGATAATGGCACCTAAGCTATTTTTGTAGCTCTGTAAACAGCCCTTCATTCCTCGAAGCTACAAACATATCCCTGTGTTCAGAACCAGGTTCTGTATACTCCAGAAGAAAGACAATGATGGTGATGTCTTAAATATACCACTTTTTGTCAATCTAGGTGAAAGAAATATGAATATTCATTGTATTATTCTTTTGAATTTGAAAATGTAAAATTAATTAATTTTTTTTAATTAGCTGGATTTGGTGGCACACACCTGTAATCCCAGCTACTCAGGAGTCTGAGGCGTGAGGATCCCCGGAGCCCGGGAGTTTGAGGAGTCAGTGTGCTATGATTGCGCCACTGCACTCCAGCCTGAGCAACAGCACAAGACCCTGTCTCAAACCAAGATTAGAATCAGATCAAGTTTAGCCAAGATACATTAAATTAAGCGCATCAATTTTAATCTTGTGAATCTACTGAAGGCTCTTTCTGGTATCTGAAAACACACCTCCCGACGCTTGCAGGAACTTAGGGAACAGGGTACAGGCCTGCATGCCGTCCTGGCCCCAGCGACTCCCTTCAGCTCTGACTTTTAGTCTCAAGGTGTCTGCCTAGGTCTGCTCCTCACATTCCACTCTTTGCTTCTCCAGTCCTTGCTTCCATTAGAACACCTATGATGTGTAAAGTACGACACTAAGCACTTTTGTTGTTACTCAAATAACTTCCTTTCCTAAACTCCCAGAGAAATTCAGCAGCTTTTTGAGCTTTTTTCTTTTCAGAAATGAAGGCCTGAGGCTATACGGCCATATTTGTATCCCTGGCACAATATTGGACACATCAAATGGGTTCAAGAAATGTCTGTGGAATGAGACATCTCTGCAGTCAAAGAAAGCTAAACTATGTCTGCATCAAGGAAACCGGTTATCAGTGGAGATGAATCTGATGAGGGTGTGGAAAGGAAGGCTTCAGCTTCTGATGACGACTAAGGGACACCTAACCTGACAGTCAACAAAATGCCAGTGTTCCACCTGGGCAGGAAGACGCGCCCCAGATAAGGGCTTGGTGTGACGGAAACAGTCAGGGTAGAAACAGGAACAATACAGAGACCTAGATTCAATTAGTTTTTCAAGTTGACCACACATAAACCAGACAGCCTACTGAAAAGTTCATGAGGGCGTTGAGAACACAGAGCTTCGTAAAATATTTTCCCCTTGTCTCCATATTTTTATTCCGGTACCTGGACTGGACTATATACTCTCAATTAAAAAAAAAAAAAAACTAAATAAAAATAATTCTCAATGCAGAGTTCTTCAAAGAATTCCTAATAATTCACACGTTCCAGCTTCAGTTATCACCGAGAACTGGTTAGGTTCCTTCCACACCGGGAAACTGCATCAAGGAAAAGAGCTGGGCAAAGTCAGATTTTCATGCCAGCCGGACTCCTTCGCACCCACTTTCAGGGAGCCTCCCGCCAGCCTCCAGACCTGGTCAGATGATATGACCTTAGCTCCACACGTCCTCAGGGTGTCGGTGTCTGGGGCTCCCAGCCCCAGGCAGGCCGGGCAGCAGCTACAGCCTGAGCTCGCGGTCGGGCTTCATGCTGAAGGGCTCCAGCCGCTCGCCCTCGGGCAGCATGCTGTTGAGCCTGTCCAGCAGGGGCACAGTCTGGTCGATGCCCATCTGTATGCGGCGGAGGATGGCGGACATCTCGTTCACTTTCTGGATCTGCTCGGCATACTTGGCGTATCTTTTCTGGCGCTCCTGCATGAAGCTGAACAGAGTTTCTACAGACAGATCCATCTGTGGATGGGAAAGAGAAGTACATTATACCTTGTTTAATCAAGTCCTCTCCGCAGGGCCGGGTGTCCAGCCTGTGAGGGACACAGTCCCGCAGATCCAGTGGAAGCTGACAAGTTTTACAGGAAGCACCCAGGGCTAAAAAGCCCTTCAGGGACACAGCTTTATCAACTGTTGTGCCAGAACCACCTTTAGAAGAGAACTGAGAGGGGACTGTCCCTGGCTCTATGTTCTGGGAATGTGCGTTATTTGTACCTTGTTGAGATCCTGAGATTTCTATCTCCCTATATGAGGGGAATTCTGGATGTGGAAATCAGTCAGGCCAAGGCTGAATCTGGCTCTGTCACGTGTATGAGCTGCTAATGCTTATCCTTTGTGTCTCAGGTTGCTTATCTAGAAAAAAACTAGGAGCAGATGGGCGTGGTGGTGTGTGCGTGTAATCCCAGCTACTTGGGAGGCTGAGGTGGGAGGATGGCTTGAGTCCAGAAGGTCGAAGCTGCAGTGAGCCATGATCATGCCACTGCACTCCAGCCTGGGCGACACAGTGAGACCCTGTTTCTAACAACAATAACAAAAATCCCAAACCCCAAAATGCATGTTCTTCACTCAATCCTTCTCTTCCCTGGACGGCTGCAGTTTGGCGGACACTCGGGGAACACTGCAATGGAAGGGAGGCTCTCCCTGCCAGGGCCAAAAATGCAACCAAGGCTCCCGTCCTTACAACACACCACATTTGTCAAACTGTGAGGACTATCTCATGTGCCCTTCTCCCCCATTAAAGAAACTGCGGGCTCTGGGCTGCCCTTGCGTGACTTCTTCTCTTCCCCTTACAGAGGCTCTTTAGTACCCATCACCCAGATAAAAATAGAGAGAGAGACCGCCATCGTGTTGGGCACTTGCACCCCTTCCTCAGCATGGACCCCACTTCCACCCCCTCACCCCTTGTTTCTTTCCCAGGCCAGGAGAAAACAGCTCAACTACTGAGGCCCACACTCCTATCCCAAGGTTCCCAGGCTCCTCCAGCCCTTCCTTCTGGTTTATTCCTGGAGCACGCCCCTTCCCGACCTTGCATCAGGACAAGGGCTCAACACCCGGTACCAGAGAGCCTCTGAAAATGGCTTCGAGAGACACAAAAACAAACTCATGAAAACACGGGGGACCAAAGCCAGCCCCAAGAAAAAATAATTTCCCTTTTGCTATCATCTGTGGGGAGGGCAGGAGGGGCGGGAGGCGACCGAAGCACATCAGTGTTGCTGTCCTCTGGCGGGCCTCTTGCTTGAGTGCCTGCAGGGCAGGAGGAGCAGCTAGTTGGGCACGGGGAGAAGGAGAAGAGAAAAAAAAAAAAAACATGGGAGTGAGAAACTCCAAATAATGTGGAAACAATGCACACTTTCCGGGGTTCTCTGCAGCCCTGTCTGGCGCTCAGCACTTTGGAAGTAGTGAGCCAGGAGAGTCCTGTGGTCCTGACAGTCACCCGCTGGGCCTTTTCAGGGTGGCCTTGCAATGAGCACTGAGAAACACTCCACACACCTGAGAGACAGCGGGGCTCGTGGGAGCCAGGTGGAATCCTGAATTGGGAACCTTCTCGGGCATCACATTTTACTTGGCAGGGCATTCCTGGCCCTCCACCCCGCAACCCTACCAGACTAGATAGATGCTTGAAGAGTTTCTATCTGAAATGGCCTCCAAGGCTCTAACTTATCAAGTCTAAAGTCCTTGGCAGTCAATCCATCCCCGATTCACACCTGATGAAGACTGTTCACAGCCATCTTCACAGGTACTTGTCAAATGGCATGTACTTCCCTACATGTTTCCACATCCAGCTGGGGCCCGTGTTTAATGTCTCCAAAGCTTTTGTAAAGGCACTTTCTGTTAATGCTGAGATGAGCACACTGAGTTCAAACAGGTTGTTCATGCGTGCTGACATCATGTCTTACTTCCATTATGCTCCATGGAAGAAAAAAACCGCAAGAGGAAACTTGAGTTTGCGTGACTTTGAAGATCTCACAGTGACAGAACCTACACTGGACCCCAGCTCTCCGAAGTCCAGCAGCTCCCCTCTTTTACACATATTTCCTGAGCAAGACCCTGTATCACTGGTGCTTTATGAGACTTTTGTTGGCACGTGGCACTGCATTAAAGAAGACTAGATCACATGTAGGGAAAGTTATTACCTTTTAAATGTTTCCCCCATTCTTTGTTGCAAAGAAAGTCTCAACTTGGTGCAAGCAACAATGGACTATCTGGAAAAGGATGGTAAAACTGTTGATGCCTATTTTTGATGTCTCTGACCTTTGCTCTTGAGGTAACATTGTCCTTGATCCATAATCCCTACCTTTACTCCACGAACCCCCAGACACATGCTCATTGTAACACATTTGATGTGACTGTAGGCAGTAAACCAGTATCTCACACAATTCTGAATCACCATTTTGACAATCTAGGGATATATCCTTATTTGCCTTTCCTATTTCTATTTTTGGCACATGGATTCTAACAAGATAACATATATACTAATTGTCTTCTGGATAAGCAGAGGTGTTATGATATCACCTAGGGTTGCCTCACTGAGCACCCATAGCCATTCAAAAGACCCAGCTTGGCCAGGCGTGGTGGCTCATACCAGAACTTTGGGAGGCTGAGGAGGGCGGATTGCCTGAGCTCAGGAGTTCGAGACCAGCCTGGGCAACACGGCGAAACTCCGTCTCTATTAAAATACAAAAAATTAGCCGGGCGTGGCAGTGTGCGCCTATAGTCCCAACTACTTGGGAGGCTGAGGCAGGAGAATCGTTTGAACCCAGGAGGCAGAGGTTGCAGTGAGCCAAGATCGCACCACTGCACTCCAGCCTGGGTGACAGAGCGAGACTCCATCTCCAAAAATAAATAAAATAAAATAAATCCAGCTTCAGACAGGGCAATCTAACCATCCAAGCTGGAGCTAAAGGGCAACCACGAAGCTGTTTGTGAAATGGATAGTCACAATTTTTGTTCACCACACTCATCAATCCATTCATCTACCAATAAAACAACGGTTAAGATTGCAAGTTCAGGAGTCAGACCACCTAGGTTTAAGGGCTACCCTCGACCCAGTATCTATGTGATTTTAGAAAATTACCCAGAAGGCTGATTCCATGAGAGCAAGGATTTGGTGTGCTTTAAACCCTGCTATATCTCCAGTACCCAGCACATAGCAGGTCCTGAATAAATATTTGTTGAATAAATGAATGAAAATATACGTAAGCCTCGGTTTCCTCATCTGCAAGGTAGTGGGGATAACAAGAGTGGCCACTTAAAAGACTGTCCTGAGGATTAAATGAGATTCTGCAAGGAGAACATTATCATCCTGCCCAGCACACAGTGAGCACTGGGTAAGTGTGAGCTATTACCACACAGGCAACAGACAGTTATTGAGTAGCATCACGTGCCATGTGCCATGCACTATGCGAGGTCCTAGGATAGATATTGAGAACCAAAACTACTTACACCCACACAGCTTACCGTGTACATTAACATGAATTTTCTTTTCCACTGTTTCTGTTAACATGACTTTACTATTCCAGGAAACTCAGGCCCAGAAACATATAAATTGCAAATAACTTTGTTTCAGGAACTTAAGAAAAATTAAATGAATAAACTAGCTGATTTTCAAATAGAAAGTGAACAACTCTTTATTCTCCACAACTCTTGCCTCAAAACCCTCGCCTTGCCGTGACACATGACCAAGTTATAATCAGTGGTGTGTGCATGCAGAAGTCTCTCCTGGCAGCTTCCAGGCACCTTCCTGGAAAGGCAGCCGGCATGCACTCTTTGTTGCTTCTCTTCTTCACTGTCCCCTCCTCCACTCTGCTGCTGCTGAAATGCAGGTGCACCCCATGTAGACCATGAGAATAATGAAGGTTACATCTTTGAGTTGGCAGATCATGAGCTAGAAGCAGCCTGGGTCCATGAGGATGTTTATGTGTAAGAGGAGACCAGGCCTGAGAGAGATGAATAAACTTTCATTTTGTATAAGCCACCATCATTTGGGGTTTCTGTAACACTAGTTAATATAATCTTATACTGACAGATAGGAATGCTGGCCAGGTGCGGTGGTTCATGCTTGTCATCTCAGTACTTTGGGAGGCTGAGGTAGGAGGACCACTTGAGCCCAGGAACTCAAGAGCAGCCACGACGACACACTGAGTCCTCATCTCTACAAAAAATAAAATAAAAATTAGCCAGGTGTGATGGAACACACCTGTAGTCCCACCTGCTCCAGAGGCTGAGGTGAGAAAATTGCTTGCTCTCAGGAGGTCCAGGCTGCAGTGAGCTGTGATCACACCGCTACACTCCAGCCTGGAAAAAAAGAGCAAGGCCCTATCCCAGGGGGAAAAAAAAAAAAAAAAAAGAATGCAATAAAGCCTTTGTCTTCAAGGAACTCATCATTTACTCAAGCTCATACTTCAAACTTTGCCCTACAGATTCATATACCATCTCTGGGGCAGTCCATTTCAAAGGACAAGTGAAAAAGAAGGGGAGGTTATTTGAGCATAGAACTGCAGGCCTCACTAAGGTTATTAGGCATCTGTAGAATGTGCTCAAAGTTGTTCCAAATACCTTATATGGATGGTGCGGGCCCATCTGCCTACTTGGCTGGTCCACTCAGTACATGAACTCAAAATATTAACAAATAAAATCCAGAAATATACAAAAAGGATAATACATTATGACCAAGCAATGCTTATGTCAAGGAGACACACTTTTTCGACATCTGAAAAATCAATCAAAGTAACTTGCCATTTCAACAGAATAGAGGTTAGAAATCTATGATTGTCTCAATGGATATAAGAAAAAGCACTCAAAAAACTGAACATGCATTTATTATGGAAATTTTCAGCAAAGTAGGAACAGAAGGAAACTTCCTCAACCTGATAAAGTGCATCTATGAAAAACTTCCAGCTGACAATACAGTTATTGGTGAAAGACACTTTTCTCCCTAAGATTAGGAACAAGGCAAGCATGTCTACACTCTTACCACCTCTATTCAACATTGTACTATATGCAGTAGCCAATGCAATAAATTAAGTAAAAGGCAAAGAAATTAGAAAGGAATAAGCAAAAGGGTCTTTATCTGCAGATGACATGATAATACACTTAGAAAATCTTTAAAAATCTACTAAAAACTACTAAAGTGAAGTTAGCAAGGCTGCAAGATACATGGTCAGCATACAGAAATCAATTGTATTTCTACATAACAATGAATGACAGGACAGTGGAATAAAAGAATACTATTTACAACTGCGTCGGCAACATGAAATACTTAGGGAAAAATTCAGCAAAATATGTATAAGATCTGTACACTGATATTACAAAACATCGCTCTGAAAAACTAAAAGGGATCTCAAGAAATGAAGTATATCATGTTCATGGATTGTCAGATTCAACACGGTCAAGGTGCTGATGCTTGCCAAATTGATTAAGAGGTTCATTTGCAATCCAAGTAAAAAGTCTAGAAGGCATTGTTTTACAGGAATTGGTAAGCTGATTCTTAGTACACAGAATGGCCAAAATAATTGAAAGAACAAAGTTTGAAGACTTACAGTACTTGATTTCAGGACTTACTATAAAACTACAGTAATCAGGATAGTGTGGTGCTGGCATAGAGACACACAGATCCATAAAACAAAAGACAGTGTAAAAATGATCTAAAAATATATTGTTAATTGATTTTTTTATTGTTGTTACAAAGATCTCAAGGCAATTTAATGGGGGAAAAAAGTTTTTCAACAATTTGTGCTAGAATATCTAGATATCCACAAAGAGAAAGAATGAACCTGGAGCCTTACATCTCACAGTGCATACACAAGAAATTAATATGGAATGGATCACAGACCTAAATATGGAAGCTAAAACTATAAAACTTCTAGAAGAAAATATAGGAGAAAAATCTTTGCTACCTTGGCTGGACTCAGTGGCTCACGCCTGTAATCCCAGAGCTTTGGGAGGCTGAGACGGGTGGATCATCTGAGGTCAGCAGTTCGAGACGAGCCTGACCAACATGGTGAAATCCCGTCTCTACTAAATACAAAACATTAGCTGGAGGTGGTGGTGCATGCCTATAGTCCCAGCTACTTGGGAGGCTGAGGCAGGAGAATCACTTGAACCTGGAAGGTAGAGGTTGCAGTGAGCCGAGATTATGCCATTGCACTCCAGCCTGGGCAACAAGAGCAAAACCCTGTCTTTAAAAAAAAAAAAAATTGCTACCTTGGGGTATGCAAAGATTTCTAAGTTTCAAAAAGTGTTAACCATAAAATAAAAATGGTTAAATTGATTTTCATCAAAACTAAAAACTTCTCTTAAAAAGATACCATTAAGGCCGGGTGCGGTGGCTCATGCCTGTAATCCCAGAAGTTTGGGAGGCCAAGGCAGGTGGATCACCTGAGGTCAGGAGCTCGAGACCAGCCTGACCAACATGGAGAAACCCTGTCTCTACTAAAAATACAAAATTAGTCGGGCCTGGTGGCACATGCCTGCTAATCCCAGCTACTTGGGAGGCTAAGGCAGGAGACTATCTCTCTCTTTTTTTTAATTCTTTTTTGAGACGGAGTCTGGCTTTGTCACCCAGGCTAGAGTGCAGTGGCGCGATCTTGACTCACTGCAACCTCCACCTCCCAGGTTCAAGCAATTCTCCTGCCTCAGCCTCCCGAGTAGCTGGGATTACAGGCGTGTGCTACCATGCCCAGCTAATTTTTTGTACTTTTAGTAGAGATGGGGTTTCACCGTGTTAGCCAGGATAGTCTCAAGCTCCTGACCACATGATCCACCTGCCTCGGCCTCCCAAAGTGCTGGGATTACAAGCGTGAGCCACCGTGGCCAGCCAGGAGAATCTCTTGAACCCAAAAGGCAGAAGTTGCAGTGAGTCAAGATCGCACCACTGCCCTCCAGCCTGGGTGACGGAGCGAGACTGTCTCAAAAAAGAAAAAAAAAAAAAGGAAAGAAAAGAAAAGAAATAAAATGAAAAGGCAAGCAGCAGACTGAGAACATTTCATAATATTTTATTCCCTATGAAAATAATGGGCAAAAATAAACAAAGAAAGAAAAAATTTCACTATATATCAAATGACAGTCTTACATCCAGAATGAATATATCAATAACTCTTATAATTCAACATTAAGAAAAAATCCAAAATTTGGGATTGTTTCAGGAGAACTGAAAACATTACTGAATTATTGTTCTTGAGGGGGAAATATGGGCTAGAAATGGGTTAGAGGCTCAGGGAAAAGTCCTGCAGGAGATCACCTGGAAGTGGGATCTCACCTTCTTGGGACAAAGGAGCCAAGGAGGTGTTAAGAGTAAAACTATTAACAGTGTGAAGCTTGTGCCCTTGGGCACTGTTAAGCAAGATGGACTACAGATCAGGAAAACAAAACAAAACAAAACAAAACAAAAAACAGTAGGCAGATGTTACCCAGACAATTGTCACAACAGAACTCCTTTGCTAAAGCCCTGACACAGTGTGGAAAGAAAAAAATTCTGTTCAGTTTTCAAATTCCTCTAAGGACTCTGGAGACTTCTAGCTTATGACCACGGTTATCCCGAATCCTATCCTTTGTCTCTGGATAGTTACTGCTGCCAAATGAGGAGCGGCTATTCATGACACTGATGCCCACTGAGGCTGTACATCTAACCTCAGAGGGCCCTGTTTCAGGGAAGCAGCTGTCCTGCCTGAGCTGGAGTGGCAGAACAGAACTCAATTGCCTTCAGATCCACTGGCTTAAATTTGCAATGGTTCAAGATTGAGCCAGAGCTTTTACCTCCTCTGTGGGCAGACTACCCAGACCCTGCAAATGACCTGTTTAGACATCTGAAATCATTCCTGAGCTCAAGCTGAGTGACTCAGAGTTTGTGGGGAGGGGAGAGAGCTTCTATGGAGTGCAGTGGCGCGATCTCGGCTCACTGCAGGCTCTGCCCCCCGGGGTTCACGCCATTCTCCTGCCTCAGCCTCCCGCGTAGCTGGGACTACAGGCGCCCACCACCTCGCCCAGCTAATTTTTTGTATTTTTAGTAGAGATGGGGTTTCACCGTGTTAGCCAGGATGGTCTCGATCTCCTGACCTCGTGATCCGCCCGCCTCGGCCTCCCAAAGTGCTGGGATTACCGGCGTGAGCCACCGCGCCCGGCCAAACATTCCAGTTTTCTAACTAAAATATACATACATCGCTTATGGATAACGACAGTAGCATCAGACAGAACTGAGTCAAAATCTTGCTTCTGCAGATGACTGATTACCTTCATGACCTTAAGCCAGTTACTTAACCTTGCTGACCCTCAGCTGCTCTGTCCCCTAAAATTGGTGAAATTGACAATGCCTACGTCATAGGGTTGACGTGAGAATTAAATGAGATAAAATGTATAAAACTCCTAGAACAGTTCCCAGGAAAAAGGAGCTCCATAAGTGATAAAATATATGTGAACTGAAACAGAAACTCTGTCTAGAAACCTCTTTTACATGAAGAATGAAAAAGCAAGATAAGAAATGTAGTACATGAAAGCAGAATAAAAAACCGAATGACATTTTGTGATATCCAAATAGACACAACATATCTATTGTGAAGGCAGGAGCTTATGTGGACGCCTCATCTCGGTTACATTAACTATCTTCAAGGCTTACACAATCACTCAGATGACAACTTACCATTGTGTTTTTTGCTGACATGTTTTATTTTTGTTCTGTACTTCTGCTACTGAAAATCTTACAGCAGAGTCACATTACTCATCCCACAGTTTCCTGATAGAATCATTTCGCACTACGTAATAACTGAAATCATTATTTACCTACAAGTCCTTCCATGTGTTTTTAATCTATATGTTTAGCCATGAGAATAACTATTACCACTGTTTGATGCTATCCAATATGGTAAAAATAAAAATACATAGGCGTACATGCGTACATGTATATTTTTCAAAAAATATTTTGAAAGCAAAACCAAAAGCTTTAATAAATGATATCCTCTCCAACAAGAGAGTACGGTGCTTCAAAAACTTTTGTTATATAAATTTTCCTCATAAAATAAGCTTTGATGCTGGTTTGAGGCAGATGGGTCATCCTATGAAAGATGTCACTGTGGTTTGTTATTTGGAGACAGGGTCTCGCTCTGTTGCCCAGGCTGGAGTACAGTGGCCTGATCATAGCTCACGGGAGCCTTGAACTCCTGGGTCCGAGCAATCCTCCCATCTCAGCTTCCTGAGTAGCTGAGACTACAGGCACATGCCACCATGCCTGGCTAATTTTTATTTTTTGTGGAGATGGGGTCTCAAGATGATGCCCTGGCTGATCTCCAAACTCCTGGCCCAAGCCATCCACCCGCTCAGCCTCCCAAAGTGTTGGGATTACAGGCATGATCTACCACACCTGGCCTCACTATGCTTGATGTAGTTCTTTTCAAAGTAAAGGTAAATTTTCCAAATTAGTGACATACTACAAGGGCTTATTTTAAGTTAGAAAAGATGTGCAACATAACAGTAAGAACTTCATAAAGATAGTGTACAACTTTTAAATTCTAAAAACTTAAGATGTAGATATGCATGAAATGATCAAAAGCAAATTTAATAACCCTCATGGTCAAAAGAAAAATGAGTAGGTAAGCTGTGTTTCACAGTTAACAAAATTCACATCCATATGATCAATAGACTTATTTTTCTATCCCCAAAATACTTAAGTTTAAAAGAAATGTTAAAAACAAAAAAGACTGCATATGGACTTAATCAAGACTGCTTTTTTTTTTTTTTTTAAGACCGAGTCTCACTCTGTTGCCCATGCTGCAGTGCAGTGCCACAATCTCAGCTCATTGCAACCTCCACCTCCTGGGTTGAAGCAATTCTCCTGCCTCAGCCTCCCAAGTAGCTGGGATTACAGGTGTGTGCCACCACGCCTGGCTAATTTTTATATTTTTAGTAGAGACAGCGTTTCACCATGTAGGCCAGGTGGTCTCGAACTCCTAACCTCAGGTGATCTGCCCTCCTCGTCCTTCCAAAGTACTGGGATTACAGACGTAAGCCACTGTGCCCAGCTCAAGACGGCATTTAAAAAGTCACTCATCTTTCCCACCCTTTAAAGGTAATGTTTAGCTTTTAATGTGGTGTCTGTCAGTTAATGTTAGTCTCAAGGTCAATTTTTATTTGATCTCAATAGATATCTCACTTTCTCTGCACTCGTTCTACATTTAAATTCCTGTTCCCCAAGGATGTCAGTTTAGGAATATGGAGGCTGGGAGGAGGAGGCATGATGGATGGTTCAAGGTCAGCTAACCAAAGGCTGCCTCTTTTTAGGGTTCTAAATCCATTCCCAGCTTTGTTCTTTCTTTGGGTGGATTTCCTTCTGGGTTCAAAATGTAATGAGCAGGCAGTGATATGTAATTCTGCTCTTTTATTGTAAGTACTTTGTAGCTAAAGAGGCTAAATGGAAAAGTAACAATTCATCCTGTTTTACAGCTATTCAAATAATACATTCTGAAGTCAGTAACAATCTGTTATTTGAAGATGGGCATATTGCTGATTTTTAGCAATGTAAGCTCACCCTTCAAATCCCTGACATCACTAATAATTCATTACCATTAACAAAGTAAGTCAGAAGGCCTGAATTTAAATTCTACTAGTTGGTGAACTTGGGCAAATCACAAGCTGACTCTCAGCTTCTACTTTTTAAAAGTGGGGATAATAATGGCTAATATTCATCCTACCTCACGGCAGTGTTGTAATGGTTATAATGAGATAATATATGTAGGATGATCTGAAAACAGAACACTGCTATAAACATGTATGTTTATATTATTCTAACAATGAATGGCAAAGTATGCTTGGAAGTTCTGTTTTTCATGGTAGTAAAACTAAAAAGTTCCCAAATCATAATCACATTAAAAGAAAACTGCTACATATTTTATATAAAGCTTCAATATCCACCCTTCTCAGATGTTTCTGAAATTCAGAACTACCAATTCTCCCAATTAGGAAGCAGTCAGCCTAACTATATAAATCAGTACTGTCCCTAGGGCAAAATCTGGCCTTGGAATTATAACTGAAGCCATTTATCCAAAGAAGATATACAAATGGCCAGTAAACACAGGAAAAGATGTTCAACATCACTGGACATTAGAAAAGTGCAATCAAAAGCAGAAAGAATACAACTTCACACCCACTGGGATGGCTCAAATTAAAAGGCAGACAATGACAAATGTTAGTGAGGGTGTGAAGAAACTGGAACCCCTGTGCATTGCTGGTAAGCATGTAAAATGGGACAGTCATTTTGAAGAGCAGTTTGGCCGTTTCTCAAAAAGTTAAACATAAAGTTACTATACAGCCAGCAATTTCACTTCACATGTATTCCCAAGAGAAGTAAATTATATGTTCACCCAAAACCTTGTACACAAATGTTTATAGCAGCATTATTCATAATAGGCAAAAAGTAGACACAACCCAAATATCCATCCACTGAAAAATGGATAAACAAAATGTGGTCTATTCATAGAATAAAATATTGTTCATCCATAAAAAGATATGAGATACTGATATAAGCTACAACATGGATAAACCTTGAAAACATTATGCTAAGTAAAAGAAACCAGACACAAGGGCCACATATCACATGATTCCCTTTATATGAAATACCCCCAACAGGCAAGTCCAGAGAGACAGAAAGGAGACTGGTAGTTGCCAGGGGATAGGGGAATAGAGGTATGGGGAGTGACTGCTGATGTACATAGAGTTTCATTCTAGGCAGATGAAAATGTTCTGGAATTACATAGTGGTGTAGCTGCACAATCTTGCAAGAATACTAAAACCACTGAAATGCACACTGTAAAAGGGTGAACTACGTGAATGATAACTCAGTTTTAAAAAATAATAAAATAAGTGTATTCAAATACATTCAATTCCTTCTCCCAGACCCCCGACAGATACCAGTAATGCATCATGGTTATTCTTTAAATCTGACTTGGACTCAGAACCCTTCCTGACACTGAACCCCAGATGGCCACTTTCGAGTTTACGAAGATGAAGAAACCTATTTGGGAATCCAGGACTAGGCACTATGAAAGTGGCTCTAAAACAAATTGTTGAGGCTAAGTAAAACATTTTTAATCCTAAAGGAAGGTGGTAGCTGAGTCTGCAAGAGGAACAGTCCAAGGTAAAAAGCTGTGTTCATAAGATCCTGGATCTTTACATTAGCCATACCATGCATCGACTAACCCCAAAAGGAAGCGTGAGATGCCAGTTCTCAGCAATTTCCTTGAACCTTTAAGCCTGCTTATTTTTAAATGGACTCATACTGACAGCATTCATTTTTTAAAAAATAAAAACTATATATTTACAGCACACATGTTTTGACATACATATACATAGTGAAATGATTTCTATAGTCATGCTAATTAAAATATCCACCTCCTCACATACTTACCATTTTTTGCTTCTGACACCTTCTTCAAGACCTTTCTTCCAGTTTGCAAACCCGGTGCTTGTGTTTTTATACATCGGCTATCCCGATTTGGTCTTTGACTCATGGTATTAGCTGTCTCCACTCCGAAGAGTAGGAGGCCCATTGCCACAAATCAAGATATGGCACGTTCTAGCCCACCTGCCACCTCTATCCCCACCAGACCATGGCTACTTGACCTGCAGTAGAGATTCAGACAGATTATAAAGGTTAGGGTATGACAGGCTGCAACAAAACCTTTCAGGGTCAACTATGTGCTTTCTGGCTGTCCGACCCTCTCCAGATCACCACTCCCATGGAGGGTTTGGGAGTATGAATCTTTCCTGGACGCCTCTCTCTAGCACAATGGACAACAATGGGCAAATGTTTTCCTTAATTACGCCACAGGCTGAATGGCACCAATTACCACATTCTGGACACTTTGAAGTGACCTTGTTTCTGAAGACAGTAGTTTGCAATGGCAGCCTGTAAGAATAAACTCTTGCCGGCGTGCGGGAGGGAGTGGGTGGGGAAGGATCGCCGGCAAGATCACGAGGCGAGGCTTGCGCGCCGGCCCGCACCCTGGCCCCCAGTGCCTACCCGGTGGGCCCGACCCAGCCACGATCAAGGCGATCCTAATCTTAACAATCATGGGAAACCGCGGCTCTCCAAGTTCTACCAGCCCTATGGATTTGTGGAAACATTAGACAAATGTTTTGAAAATGTTTGTGAACTGGATTTGATTTTCCATGTAGACACGGTTCACAATATTCTTGCAGAAATGATGATGGGGGAATGGTATTGGAGACAAACATGAATGGGATTGTTACACAAATTGGTGCACAAAATAAGCTGGAAAAATCTGAGGCTGGCTGAGGGGGAGCTTCAGCCTGTGCTGAACCTGTATCAGCTGTAAAAAATGTGAATCTTCCTGAGATCCCAAGAAATATTAACATTGGTGACATTACTATAAAGTGCCAAACCTGCCCTCTTTTAAATAAAAATTTAAAAAGGCTACTCCCAGGTAAAATCCAGGGGGGAAAGTCACGTAAGTTTACCAAAAATAGAGGAGGACAGTCAAGTTTTGCTCTTGGATTTAAGTCAAGGTACTGTATAAAAGCTGTGTAAAATCAATATGAAAGTTCAATGCTGCTTTCCTTTTTTTTTTTTTTTTAATTTTTTTTTTTGAGAAAGAGTCTCGCTCTGTCGCCAGGCTGGAGTGCAGTGGTGCGATCTCGGCTCACTGCAAGCTCCGCCTCCTGGGTTCACGCCATTCTCCTGCCTCAGCCTCCTGAGTAGCTGGGACTACAGGCGAGCGCCACCACGCCCAGCTAATTTTTGTACTTTTAGTACAAAAAAAGTACTTTTAGTATTTTTAGTACAAAAATTAGACGGGGTTTCACCATGTTGGCCAGAATGGTCTTGATCTCTTGACCTCGTGATCCGCCCGCCTCGGCCTCCCAAAGTGCTGGGATTAGAGGCGTGAGCCACTGCGCCCAGCCAGTTCAATGTTGCTTTTCTTGCTCAGTGATTTTAAGGAAATTGAGTAGTTCCTATGTGATTTATTTATTTTTCTAAACTGCATTCCTGTGCCTACCTACGGCATGCCTCTATGTATTGGCTACTACAGTGTTTTAAAAAGTGTTTGAGATATTTCTTTAATTATGTACAACCTAAAGTGTTGGTGTTTTGTATGGATCACAAGTGCGGCATTCCTTAATTCCTTCTGCTGTTTGTCACACAATTGTTAAAGAACCAGATATGTATCGCATGAAAACATTATGACGTTTTTCTCTTAGTTTAAATAAACTCCAAGGTAACTGGACTTCTAAAGCACCTTTCTGTTTGCCTGATACCTACTTTAGCAATAATTTTTTTTACAACCCTCTGACTCAACAAAGTAAAGTATATTTTATCACTGTTAAAAAAAAAAAAAAGAATAAATTCTTGCCATGTATTCTCATAGGCGTACCTTTGATCTGTCAACCAGAAAAGAGAAATCCCTCTCTGGTAAATCTCACTCCACACACTCTAACAGAAACAAAACTGGCATCCATACTGGAGGACTATTTCTTTTGGTAATCAATGCACATCATATTAGAATGATTTGGTAGATAGAACCCAGTATATAATATACACAAATTCTCTAGTTATTTTAATTATTGTAATAAAATAATGTATAACAGTTACAGCTGCTATCCATTAAGTATCTACTAACTGTCAGATACTGTACTGTGCAGTTTACATACATTATCTTTATACCTCACCACACTCTCATAGGGAAAGTGTCCCTCTCCTATTAGAGATGAGAAATTAGAGATTCAGAGATGAGAAAAGGTGCCCAGGGTCACACAGCTCGTACTAGCAGTGAAGCCAGAATTCAAACCCATGCTTTTCGGCTCCATTTTTGCCTATTTTTTCTAAAGAGCTAATTAATTCAAAAGTCAGCTCATTTCAATTAAATACATACCATGTTGAGCAGTGTGTTTAATGCCTTTTTGAAATCCTTAAGAGATGAATTTAAATGGCAATTTGTTATGCTGTCAAGCGGAATGGAAAAACACTTTGGTGTTTACTTTTCTAATAAAAAAAATAATAAATTACCAGACAAAACATGGACAATTACAAAACAAAAACTGAGAGGAGACCAAAGGGAATAAACTGTTAGCAGATAAACTTAAATGACATTTTCACTGGCAGTTCGTCTGTACATTTTGTACTCTTGACATCTCACTTGTACAAACATTTCACAATTCTTGACCTCACCAAGGGGGCTTAGACAAAGCAATCTTCATCTGTAAAAGGAAGGAGGTGCAAGGGTCCTGAGCAACCCCCTCCTTTTACAGATGAAGGCTGCTCCCAGAGTGGGCAAGCACTATCCCTAAGCTCACACAGCTGGGACTGATGGGGCCAGGACAGAACTCCAGATCTCCTGATTCCAAGGGCCACCACACCTGTCCTAAGCGACCAAAGTCTACCAATGACATTTCCTTTTCCATAGTTTGTTCTACTATGCTTTACCCAATGAATTATAACTGTGTGTGAAAACTATGATCTAAAGTGAAGCTTTTCAAGACAATTATTTCTGACCATAAGGGAAATAAAAATCTATCATTAATCAGTGTCAAAAATCAAATGACAAAATCCAATCAGACATCTCCACGTCCATCAGGAATAGGAACCTGCTCGGTGAGCCTGGATCTGCAGTGAGAAGGGCATCAGTCAAAACTGCACACGTCTGCTTCCTTCTGAATTACGTAAACCTTCCCCGGCTCCTTATTAGTGTACCACCTCCTGTTGCACAATGACAAACAATGAGGCCGACTGTCGCCAATGTTTTCATTAATTACACCACAGGCTGAACGGCATCGATTTCCACATACTGGACATTTTGAAGTCACCCTGTTTCCTTTGTTCAAACAATGTATCTAAATGTCTCAGAAAAAGAACACATTTTATTCAGGTCTTCAAAAGAATTAAGCGATATCAGAACGGCAGGAATTTGAATTGTATGACTGTTCCAATAATTACTTTACGACTTGCCCAGTTTCCCCGATGCCTTCTTACCCTTGGCATCACGTCTAGGTGGGAAAGTGGGACAGAAATCCTAAAACCTTTAAGCAGCTTCCAAAACTAAACAGGCAGATTATACCTCCTCCCCACAAAAGGCCTTGCAAATGGCATTGATGGCAGCAAACCAGGAAAAGAAAAACATCACAAGTAAAAATAAAAGCCTGAGGGACAGAAGTCCCACTCCTCCCGTTCCTTGGGAGAGCTTTCCTCGGGTCCCATGAAAGACAGCGGTGTAGGGCACGTAGACATCTGAGATCTTTTGCCTCCTGGAAAAGGCCCCGTCTGTAACCAAGCACCCCAGCCCTTTCTGACTAATTCGAGGCTCCCTCTCTGCAACCCCTCCAGAGTGGCAGTGGGGAAGGATGAAGCTCCTAGGCATGAGTCCACTCTCTGTCTACCTTCTGTACCACCACAGTCCTCTGAGACACTGTTAAAAAGCCCCATTCTCCAAAGCACGGTTGGAAGTATAAAGAAGTTACCTGCAAGGTAGGCGGAGTTGCCACTTCAAGAACGTAAATGTGGGGTCTTCAGGGCTATTTTAAAGTGTGGTTGCATCCTATAAAGACTGCTTTTGAGATGCTAAGTATACTGTGACACTATGCAGCGAGTATTATAAAGGAATACAGGGTAAGGGAACATGCTTGAACATTGGGCATGAGCAGGAGACAGGATGAAAGAATAAGACCTTAAAGAATTGAAGACACGGCCAGGCACAGTGGCTCACGCCTGTAATCCCAGCACTTTGGGAGTCTGAGGCGGGAGGATCACTAGGTCAGGAGTTTGAGACCAGCCTGGCCAACATGGTGAAACTCTGTCTCTACTAAAAATACAAAAATTAGCCAGGCATGATGGCAGGCGCCTATAATCCCAGCTACTCGGGAGGCTGAGGCAGGAGAATCGCTTGAAACCAGAAGGCAAAGGCTGCAGTTAGCCGAGATCGCCACTGCATTCCAGCATGGGCGAAAGAGCGAAAATCTGTCAAAAAAAAGAAAAAAAAAAAAAAGAATTGAAGACAAGGTCAGGCACGGTGACTCACGCCTGTAATCCCAGTACCTTGGGAGGCCAAGGCGGGCAGATCAACTGAGGTCAGGAGTTCGAGACCAGCTGGCCAACATTGTTAAAACTCATCTCTACTAAAAATACAAAAATTAGCCGGGTGTGGTGGCAGGCACCTGTAATCCCAGCTACTTGGGAAGCTGAGACAGGAGAATCCGTTGAACCCGGGAGGCAGGAGTTGCAGTGAGCCGAGATTGCACCACTGCACTCCAGCCTGGGCCACAAAGAGCAAAACTCCATCTCAAAAAATAAATAAATAAATAAAAATAAAAGAATTGAAGACAATGGACAAAGAGGTGGAAAGGAAGCGCGGCTTTAGAGTTTCGAAGGTGGACGTTAGCTCTGAGCCTGCATCCCAGCTCCACTTCGACAACTGTGTAACCGGGAACACATTCAGGTCTCTGAATCTCAGCTGATCGTGAAATATAGCTGATATATGCAAAATGCCTATTCTAGACCTGGCACATGGTAAACATGTAAAAACGACAGCTGCAACATTATTGCTGCTGTCACTACCACATCAGGTGAGGGGCTGGAGAAGCCTCCACAGATGCAGCAGGTGGATAGTGAAGGAAAGGCTCCAAGCCACGCCACTAACCTGGACTCCCTTTTCCGATGTCCAGAATTAAAGAGAGGTAAAAGTAAGTTTGTGTGACCAAAGTGACACACTTAACATCTTAAAACCTCAGCTAAGGTAATGAAACAATAGAAAACTGGACTATGTGCTCTGTAATTCCCTCGTGTATGCACCCAAACCATGTGTGAACACAACCCCTTTTTGACTCAGAGAACAGAGCTTAGCAGTGGTGCGTGGGTAAATATTTTACAGCTAAAATCCTCCACCCCGTGCCTGAAGAAAGAACCAAGATACCGCACATGGGACAATGATGATATTGGTCTAATGATTTGGTATACTGCCACTGGGGCTGCCTTGTGCTCCCGGGCAGGATGATAGATGGCTGCTCGGGACATCAGGCTGGAGCCTGATCTAGAGTCCAGAGGCCCATGTCATTCCTCATGCAGATGGCTGAGGCACCGACTCAACTTTACCACATAAACGGTTCCAGCAAACACTTCCTGTGCACCAGGGAGGCATAAGGAAGGAGGTCCCTTGTGATCAAGGGAAACCGGGACCTCTGCATGTGCCAGGATGTTGGCGGTTGCTGATGGGAGAGCAGGATTCCTCAGGCAGAGAAGGGGAGCAGACACCAGCAGGAGGGGGCACAGCAGAAGTCAGGGAGCAGGAGTGGAGGCTGGACATTTCAGGCTAGAGCCATGTGAATTTCACGGATTTTGCAGAATACAACTATGACTATTACAATATCTGATGGAGAGGCAGGTGAGTGACAGACTCCAGAGAATCTAAGTCTCAGCAAGGGCAAAGAGAGAATTCGTAAACTTCCAGGTAGAAAGGGGAAGAGAGGAGGCTGGGGGACTTTGGGATACAGGAAGAAACCATCACTGTAATGATGCTGTATTACGCCACTAATGCTCATACTTCTACAGAATAACATTTTGCAATCCCTCCTTGTCTGGCTGCATTTGATATAAATGACTCTTACACCCCCAAAATAATCCTTTCTTTTACATAGCTCCGTATGGTCCTGCAGAGTCCTTCCACATTCATTATGCCTTTTGCTCTGGGCTGCAGGTTGGCTGTCATGGGCAGTTTCCAGCAATGGTGTGAAAGGACCTTAGACAAGTGAAATGCTCTCTACTCATGTGTAAATGAAAACTATGGAGGATCGCCAGGACGTCAACTAAAGTCTTATAATACTATAGTCAGTCTGTCAACGTGGGCAGAAGAAAATTAAATGCTGCTTCAAGC
Source organism: Homo sapiens (assembly GCF_000001405.40). Taxonomy (NCBI): domain Eukaryota; kingdom Metazoa; phylum Chordata; class Mammalia; order Primates; family Hominidae; genus Homo; species Homo sapiens. The sequence continues at coordinate 12,446,646 of NC_000012.12, read as the reverse complement.
TTTAGGGACACCTCCTGATGAAATCCTTTGGGAGTCCCTGAGATCTAAAACAATTCAGATGTTTTTAAAAGGAGTATAGATCTGCAAGTCTCCTACCAACTAACAACAGAGATAGCAAATAAGACTCTAGTTCAGAACATTCAGATAAACACGACAGTGAGCAGGGTGATAGTAAAGAACAGAATCTTGGGATTTGGGGTTGCCATTGGTCAAATAACCTGATAAATTTCAGATCTAGACAGAGTTATAAAGAAGAGTCTCCTGGCTAGCTCTGTACTGACCAGCAGGTCTTTATATTAAAAGTTCCTTTCTGGGAAGGCCTTCTGTGTCACCCCATGTAAAATTTCTACCCTACTGACATTTTATATCCCCTTACTTTTTTTTTTTATTCTTGTATTTACCATCTTACATGCCATCTATCTTATTTTTTTACCGTGTTTATTGTCTGTGTCCACAATGGAATGTAAGGTCTCTGAAGGAGGGATTCTTGTCTGTTTTGTAGTGATATTTCCTCGACACCTACAACAGGGCCTGACACAGAGCTGACTAGTTCATAAATGAAGCAGACATGTAAAGGCATGTGCGTAAAAAGTTCTCAGAGGCATATTCCTATCCTGGTGAGTCAAAAAGCTGCAGGCAGGGAGATGGAACTCTTATGAGATTCACATACTGTGAGAAAACAAAACAAAACAAAACAAAACAGAAGCTAGGTATGGTGGCTCATGCCTGTAATCCTGGCATTTGGGAGGCCATTGTGGGAGGACTGCTTGAGGCCAGGAGTTCAAGGTCAGTCTGGGAAACCTAGCGAGACCCTGTCTCTACAAAAAAAAAAAAAAAAAATTAAAGTCAGCTGGGCATAGTGTCACGCACCTGTAATCCTAGCTACTGGGGAGGCTGGGGCAGGAGGATCACTTGAGCCTAGGAGTTTGAGGCTGGAGTGAGCTATGATTGTGCCACTGCACTCTGGCCTAAGTGACAGAACAAGACACTCTCTGTAAAAAAATTAAATTAAAAAATAAAAGAGCAAGTACCAGGCCCTACTCCAGACCCACTGGCTCAGAATCTCTGAAGATGGAGCCTACCCATCAGTTTAAAAAAAAAAAAAAAAAAAAAAAAAGGTATTTCAAATTGAAAAAAAAAAAAAAAAAAAGCAATGCATGTTCAAGATAGAAATCTTGTAAAATACAGAAAAACAGAAGCAGGCTAAAACAAAATACCACTGATAATCTCATCTCTAAAGGGCAACCACAATTAAGTCACTGTCATGTTACCTTCTGTCTAATCATTTATTAAGAATATTTAACATAGGCAGGCACGATGACTCGCACCTGTAATCCCAGCACTTTGGGGAGGTGGGTAGGAGGATTGCTTGAGGCCAGGAGTTCAAGACCAGCCTGGGCAATATGGCAAGACACTGTCTCTACAAAAAAATTTAAAAATTAGCCAGGTAGGTGGCACACCTGTAGTCCTGGTTACTTGAGAGGCTGAAGTGGGAGGATCACTTGAGCCCAGGAGTTTGAGGCTACCGGAAGCTATGATTGTGGTATTGCACTCCAGCCTGGGCAACAGAAGGAGACCAGGGAGACCCTGTCTCTAAAACAAGATTGTTCGGCCGTGGGCTGCATGCAGTCCAGGACAGCTTTGAGTGTGGCCTAATATAAATTTGTAAGCTTTCTTAAAATATTATGAGTTTTTTTTGTTGTTGTTGTTTTTAAGCTCATTAGCTATCCTCAGCATTAATATGTTTATGTGTGGCCCAAGACAATTCTTCCAATGTGGCTGGGAAGCCAAAATATTGGACAACCCTGCTCTAAAATAAACAAACAGAATATTTAACACAGTTGAAATCATATTGAATATAAACTATTATAGCTTGATTTTTTTTTAACTTATTGTTAGATCTGTTCCTAATGTCACTTGGTTTTCATTGGCAGGAGGACTTAAACCAAGCAAAATTTACCATGGAACCTTGCATCAGGCCTTCTGAATCTCAAAGCTGGGCTGCAGATGCATTTTAGGAATCTAAGTTCGAAGATGACACAGATGTTCAAAATTTAGTGTACCCCTGGGCACACAATAGACTGTATTTCCCAGCCTCTTTGGAGTTAGCTGTGGCCATGTAATTGAGTTCTAGCCGAAGTCATAGGCAACACTCATAGGTTTGGCCCGTAAGAACCTCCTAACTGTGCTAGTCCACTCTTTTTTCCCTTTTGCCACTGGACACTATCAGCAAGGTGGTCTTTGGGGACGGCAGAGCCACAAGATAGAAGGAAACTGAGTCCCTGAACTCAATGGAGGAGAGTCACCTGCTAACCAGAAACACCCACCTTGAACAAGAGCAACAAATAAACTTCTGTTGCATTTGATCCATTACACATCTTTGAGTCTACTTACAGCTGTAGCCTAGCTTACTCTACCTAATGCAACCCTCATAACCTTTATTTTCTCTGATAGAATGAGAAAACTTATCAGTCCCTAGGATGAGATAATTGAAGAATATAAAGTTGTTCATTAAACAAGTATTTATTCAACATCTACTACATGCCAGGCATTGTTCTAGGCACTGCAGCAATGTTCAATTTGCTAAAATTCTTGTTTCTCTTCATTGGAAGTGATACAGGACAGGGAATATCTTTTCCCAGCCCTGGTTTCATTTCCATAACCCAGGAGCCCTCAATACTGGCTAGTTGGCTTAGAGACTACAGGTGCTCTGGGGTTCCTCACAAGAGAGGAGGCTGCATGGGACCTCTGACACTGCCCGCTCTGGTGGACTGGAAATGAGCAGGGGAGGGAGAAGAACAGGGGCTCTAGAACCTGGCACTGGGAAAGCTGGCAGAGCCAGCTGTCTGAGGGCATGTCTAGGGCAGGCAAACTGGGGGGAAATGGGGCTGCTGTTCACACATGCTCATATGTCATTGTCCAAAAGCGGAATGGAGTTAAATCTCAGAGCAGTCAAATAACCGGGCTCTGCTCATGCCTTGCCAAAAAACACAAGCCTACATTTCCAACAGGCAAGTAATAAACTAGATTCGGCCCTCTTCCAGGATTTCTGGCTTTTGGCAGGACAGTGCTGGTGCAAAGGAAGTGTGGGGCCAGGCCCAAGGAAGCCCTGTGCAGCATACCTTACAGTCCGCCGAACCAGAAGCAGCCCACTCCCCCACCTGGATTTCCTGCCACCCAGGGGACCAGTTGTATTTCTTACAGAAAAGAAAGGTTGCCCAAAGGACAAGAAGGGGGGAAACTATAATTACACTGTAAGGTTTCAACCTGGAATTGATGCCAGAGTAACTTGTGACATTCTATGGGAACATAAAATTTTCTTGAAATGTCTTGCCTCAGGATTTCAGCAAAAAGAAGCCGACATCTCAATGTTCTTGTCAAAATTTGCAGCTTTGCAATAGGTACTCCCAACTCATTTTATAATTTCAGGTCAAGAAAGAAGCAACTGAAGCCAAAATATATTTAAAAGCGGCCACAGGACTCTAACAATGTTGTCATTTAAAGGAGATTCGGTTCACAGTGTCAGGGCGATAGCAACAGTTTCACCTGGCCAACAGCTCACGCTAACCAGGCTTTTAACCAAAGGAGCTCAAAGTGAATGCTAATGCCAGTTCAGACAGTGATGCTCTGTGCAACACTCGGAACTACTCATTTAATCTGGATCAGTCTCTCTCCCTGGGAGGACACACAGTACAGGAAGTCAGGTCAAATACTTGGAAAATGACTCCAGCTGGGTCTTAAACATTACGGTACCGATGACAGAAAGAAATCCCTGCCCAGCCCTGTGTGCAGGCCCATGAATGGCAACTCTCGTGCATTCCTTCAAACACCAGTTGAGGACCTACCATGTAAAAAAAGGAATAACCAAAAATGAAATGAAGGACTCCAAAGAGGCAGAACATAAGTAGTATGGTGCAGTGGAAAAGATGACTCACCTTCTAATACCATCTTAGTCATTATCTAATGGAAAGATACCCAGCAAATCCCATATACACTCGAAGATCCTTGGTTTCTTTATTTGCACAATGAAAGGGCTAAATTAGAGAAACCTTAGGGCCTCTTCATAATCCTGTGTAATCATATGGCTTTCCAAGGATTGCAAGTTTTTCTTACCAGTTCATCTGAACCCCCTCCATGCTTCATACTGGTTTATGTCAATACACTATGCTTATCAACACATCTAAGAATTAAAACAGGAGTTACTAGAATCATATCATGAATGTACTCTCAAGGCCTTCAAGCAAGCACACAGGAACTGTAACAAAATAAAGCTTGTGGCTTTATCTTAGTTACAAAGGCGTTCTAATCTATGACACATTTACCCACTGACAGCAACTAGAATGAGGCAGAAATAAGACCCAGGGCAGTGACAAGAGAAGCTCCAAAAGTCTGTGCTGCAACTTGTTCTAATCTATGAACACATTTACCCACTGACAGCAACTAGAATGAGGCAGAAGTAAGACCCAGGGAAGTGACAAGAGAAGCTCCAAAAGTCTGTGCTGCATCTTCCTGGGGCTGCGTATTTGCCACCAGCCTCATCCCTCGCCCCCAGGGAAACCACACCTGGGGAGGAAGCACACTCCTTTCTGGTTGGCTTTTCAGTTACCCCACATTTCAATGATAGATGTAACCTAAAACTAAGTGTCTGTCAACTTGAATCCTTAACTAGAAATGAGGCAATATACAGGAAATCCCCCAAATCAGAGGCAGCCATGTATCCACAGCCTAGAAGCCAAGGACTAATGGTTTGCCACCATCCAGCTTCACATTTCTCAAGACCCATGTTCCCCAGGCACGAGTATGCTATCCACAAAGCAGAATAAACAGTTAAATTCACTACAGAAATTCCAAAAACTACATATTCATGGCATGAAAGAAATCCTGCAGGGTTTGAAGGAAACCACAGTGGGCTTAAAAAAAAAAAAATTTTTTTTTTGCCTTGCCTCTATTTAGTGCTTATACTTGGGTTGTTAAGAGCAGAACTTAAAATGGGGCAATATTTAGACAGCTGCTGGTATCAAGTAATTTCAAATGGGCCAATTCATGGCAATTAGGATAGGCCTTTCTCCTTAGTCATCATTTATATTTAAAGCAATAACAAAGAGCTAACACTACAGTGTCTACTACATGGCAGGCGTGGTCCCTAGAACTGTACCAAGAATAACTCATTGAACCCTCACGAAAACCTGAGGTGGATGTCATTCTGTTCTCACTGAACAGAAAAGGAAACTGAGGCTCAGAAGAATTAAGGGACTTGCCTGAGGTCACACAGGTAGTCAGAGATGGAGCCAGGATTGAACCTTGGCAGTGTGGCTCTGGAGTTTACGCTCAGAACCATTCTGCCAAATTGTCTGCAAATACAAAGAGCAAATACAAGTTGCCCTGCCTCAGCTGAGCCCTCAATGCCTAATGGCACTCATTACTGTACCCAGTCACCATGACCACTCAACAAATGACCTCCCTCTTCTCCACAGAGGATACAAGCTGCTGGGTGTGACCGATCTGTGCCAGGGACCCTCCTGTCATAAACTTGCCTGCGTCCTCCCTGTTCTCTCAGAACAGATGTCCCACAAGGCTCCAACTCTTGCCTCCTCAGGGATCTTGCTCTAAGAATCCCCCTTTCTCCTTCATCTTTGATCTTGTCTCATCTGCCTCTTCCCCCTCATCCTGTAAACATGTTCAAGTGCACCACCTGCATAACAAAAAATCCCCTTTGATCTTCATCCACTTTTAACTTAATTTTGGCCACTACCTCACTGTGTGACCTGGGCGAAGTGCTTACTTTCTGTAAAAGCCTTTAATTTCTGCATCTGAATAATGAGAGCACTGGACCAGAGGGTCTCTAAGGTCCTTCCAATTCCAACATTCTGTGGTTCTTAATGCAGAGATTTCTCTGAGCAAGCTCACTGAAACTCAGGCCAGTTTCTTCAGTGTCCCTGAAGCCCCAAAGTTAATTTTCTTCTAAGACTGTCAAGCTGTTCCCCTGCAGCAATGCCCCCCTCTTCCTCTCATTTCCCAAATCCTGGTTTTTTTTTTTTTTTCAAAGACCTAGCTTAAACCCCGTCTGCTCCAGGATATCCCAATCTTTAACTCTTACAGAACTTTAGTTATAAATAACAAATGAGCATTCCCCTTCAACAGTGCCTTTTTCATATTTCTGTTCTGTATATCTTCATTCCCTCAGCGAGGCTAAACTCTCAAAGAGCAAGGACCATGTTACATGTCTCTGGAACCCCCAAAGGACCTCCCCACTAGGTGGGTCTGCAATAGCTGCTCAACAGTGCTGGCTGAGGGGTCAGCCTATCGCCATTAAAGAAACTAGTAGTTAAGGTATGTCACTAGACTCCCTGATTGCAAAGTAAATTACCTCCGTTCTTCTCCCTCACATACACAAATCTATAAACATAAGCTTTTCATTCAAGAGCATCATCCAAATTTAACATAAGGAAAGCTGAGCTAACTCTCTGATTTTCCTTTATCTGAATCAGAAATAGTTATAGCCATGTTTCCCTTTGATCCAGACTTAAGTGATCACAGGTACTGTAATCTTAGGGACCTCTAGTTGATCCCGGTTATATACTTCCACTAACACATATTCTCCATGGTTATTAAGTTCCCTCACTTGTCAACACATAGCATTATGTTACTTCCTCATCTTTCCAACCAAATTTCCAGGAAACATCTGGAATAATATCAGAGAGTTGGTGTTTGATCAAAATGACATCCTCTGCTTTACTCATTTGGAAGTGACTAATTTCAACCCTTAGGTCTGAGGTGAACATAGACGGACGGATATGATTCAGGAGTTTGCTAACACTCACCAACAGAGATAAGACGGACACATTACGCCACCAATGAAAGCCCCAAAACTGCACTCACCTCCTCTGCCCGAGCACGCTGCTGAGGTATTGCTCAGTACTGTGAGTGCTGGTCTCTGTTTTGCAATAATCCTGGGTAATTACTGACTATTCAAAGTGAATCCCAAAGTTCTTCAAACAGAATTTTAAACTGTTTATTTTATTTTTTGAGACAGGGTCTTGCTCTGTAGCCCAGACTGGAGTGGAGATCTCGGCTCACCGCAACCTCTGCCTCCTGAGCTCAAACCATCTTCTCACCTCCCAAGTAGCTGGGACTACAGGCACGCACCACCATGCCTGTTTGTTTTTTTTCTTGGTCTTTTTTGTAGAGATGGGGTTTCACCATGTTGCCCAGGCTGGTCTTGAACTCCTGGGCTCAAACAATCCACCTGCCTTGGCCTCCGAAAGTGCTGGGATTACAGGCATGAGCCATGTCGCCCGCCAAAGTCAGTTTATTTTTAAATGAATGCTCCAAAACACTGGTTCTCCCCTGGTTACATACTAGAATCACCTAGAGCACCTTCATAAATACCAATACCCAACATCCCACCGCCCTAACCCTATCACCCTTCAAAGATTTTGATCTAATCGGTTCGGAGTGAGACCCAGACATCAGAATTTTCTTAACAGCACCTCAGCTATGCTGAATGAATTAAGGTATCATTGTTAAATATTTTAGGTATAACAGCATTATAACTACATCTTTCAAAACGACTCAGTCATTCATTCGTGGAATTACTGGTAAAATTCAAAATAAGGCCTCCATTTAATTGCTAGTATTGTACCAAGCTAATTTCCTGGTTTTGATCATTGTACGAAGGTTATGTAAAGTGTTAACTTTAGGGGAAGCTGCATGGGGCAGGGTATATAGGTACTCTCAAATTATTTCTGTGACTTTCCTCCAAGTCTAAAATTAATTCAAATTTAAAAGTTATTTTTTAAAAGAATCCTTCACTTTTAAAGATATATACTTAAATATTTATGAATGAAATAATGTCTGGGGATTTACTATAAAATATACAGTTGAGGGTGGCAGGGAGTGGGGATATGGATAAAACAGGAGTATTTGCAAGCTGATGATTGTAGTGGCTGGTAATGAGTACATTAAGGTTCACTGTGTTACTCCGCCTTCTTTTACCCTGTCTTCTTCAGTATATGTGTAAAATTTCCCATCATATATATTGGAGGAAAAAACTTCCGAGTAATTTTAACATGTAACCAGGGCTGACAAACACTGCTCTGAAGTCTTGAAAATGTGCTATAATGAGAAGCTCTGTCTGGTACTTCCAGCTACAAAACACTTTCCCCAGCTCTCTGATATAGAGCTAGTCAGTTAATCTCTCCGTACCACACTTTACTAAACTGCAAAACAACAGATATGGATTAGAGGTTTTTGTTGTTGTTTTTCGTTTTTTTTTTTTTTTTTTTTGAGATGAAATCTGGCTCTGTCGCCCTGGTTGGAGTGCAGTGACATGATCTGGGCTCACTGTAACCTCCACCTCCCAGGTTCAAGCGATTCTTGTGCCTCAGCCTCCCGAGGAGCTGGGACTACAGGCATGCACCATCACACCTGGCTAATTTTTGTATTTTTAGTAGAGATGGAGTTTCACCATGTTGGCCAGGCTGGTCTTGAACTTAAAGGACTTTTTAAAAAGAATAAGCATCAAAAAGCCAATTTATTATAATTCTAAGATCTCCTCTCTGAGAGTTAATGTCATAGTTAATTAACTTCTAGCACAACTGTAAAAAATGGTAGAGTCTGGCTAGGGGCAGTGGCTCACACCTGTAATCCCAGTGCTTTGGGAGGCAGAGGCGGGAGGATCGCTTGAGCTGAGGAGTTTGAAAACATCCTAGGCAACATAGCCAGGCGTGATGGCATACACCTGTAGTCCTAAGCTACTCAGGAAGCTGAGGTTGGAGAATCGCTTCTGCCCAGCAGTTAGAGGTTGCAACGAGCTATGAATGTTATCACTAAACTCCAGCCTCGGTGACAGCATAAGACTCTGTTTCTAAAAAAATTAAAAAGGTAAAGTCTTATGTCTACAATAGCATTTCCCAAAGAATGTTCTAAAATCACTACTTTATGGGACATTAATAAATGTTACCTAAGATAAGTGTTCTGAGGTCAACTAAGTTTCAAAAGTCTGGCTTTCTTTATTGTGAGACTCCTAAGAACTTTAAGTGAGATAATACGCTTTGTGACTTTCCAAGGGGTGGTGAGGGAATATGCAAATCGTTTGACCTCTTTATATGGGACTAGTTTTGTAGAACTTATTTTAGAAATAGTGCTTAAGACCACTGGTTCCCAAATCCTGGGTAATAGAGGGTGGCATTGTATCATTTGGTAAACTTATGTATTAGTCTGTTCTCACATTGCTAATAAAGACATATCCAAGACTGGGTAATTTATAAAGGAAAGAGGTTTAGTTGACTCACAGTTCCACATGGCTGGGGAGGCATCACAATCACAGCTAAAAGTGAATGAGGAGCAAAGTCACATCTTACATGGCGGCAGGCAAGAGAGCTTGTGTAGGGGAACTCCCCTTTACAAAACTATCAGGTCTCATGAGACTTATTCACTATCATGCGAACAGCATGGGAAAGACCTGCCCCCATGACTCAATTACCTCCCACTGGGTCCCTCCCATGACATGTGGGAATTATGGAAGCTACAATTCAAGAGGAGATTTGGGTAGGGACACAGCCAAACCATAACATCTTATTAAAATAATGATTCACAGACCACACCTAGACTTACTGGGAGGAGGGGAGAACTCAGTATTAAAACAAACAAAAAACTCACATGATGCCAATGAATAGTCATGTTTGGAAAGTAAAGCTTGGTAGACCATAATATAGTAAAATAAGTTTATAATATTTGCAAAGCCACATCAATGAAAAGCAATATCAAAGGTCATGTTTAATAGTTTTCCAAATAATAGTATTTAACCCATGAGAGAAGAGTATATGCATGCAACATTTTATGAAAGCTAAGCACTAAAATGTTGGAGGTGTTGGCAAATTTAAATCTGTCAATATAACTAATGACTGCTTTGTAATCTCAAGGATACACTACCTCCATTGCTAAATACAAATTGTTAATCTGCAGTGATTCTTGCTCCATCACTTGTTTCTCCATGTCCATCTTCTCTCACCAGAGTTAAAGGGCCACTTTGTTAAACAAATCTGGGAGTGCCATTCACAGAAGTGGTTTCTCCAGTAAACAGCTCCTAACATTTCCTTGATATTACAGTACATCAAGGTATCAGGAATATAAAGTTTTTCTTGACTGGAAACTTTGGAAAATGTACTTACTTATTCCTTTATGCCCCTAGAACTGTGCTGTGCAGCAGCTGGTCAATGATACATTTAAGTGCTTAAAGGAAGTACCTATTTACTGAGATTGATAATTACACAACATTTGCATCATGTGCTTCAGTTTACTAAGTACTTTCACATGAATTACATTGCTTCTTTCCTTTAAAAACTTTGCGGGTTAAATAGGCGTAATTGTTTCCATAAAACCATTAAGAATCACTGGAGCTTTTCGTATCAAAGCTCCTGCTTTGAAAGAAATTTTAATCTACTGGGAAACAAAATATAAATTATACACAGGAAACAATTAAAGTCAATTCAAAGACAGAATGGTGGCTAGAGCAAATTAGTATGGCAGGACTTTACATGCACTAATAATAGCTAACACTTACTAAGCAATCTGTCACTCAACCCTTGGGGTAAGTTACTACTATTAGCCCCATTTTTCACATGAGGAAACTGAGACAGAGAAGTTAAGCAACTTGGCCAAGCAAATCAGTGGTGATCAGAATTCAAACTCTAAATTAGCCCAGCTCTGTGGACCACTTTTTTCATCATCACATTTTACTGCTGGGAAAAAGCAATCTCCTCAAAGCAATAGTGACAAATGTCAAGTCTTAAGATGGCATCCAGAGTTGCAGAGAATCACAACAACCAGTCAGCAATGTTATTTTCCCGCAGCACATTACCTCTTTGATTCGTTTAACCAAAGCATTCTGGTCAAAAGCAACGGCCTCTGCACACTGATGCAGGTGATCTTGATATCGGAGGCAGAGCTGCAACACCTGCTGAGAGTCCAGTTTCTCCAATTTGGCATTTGTTGGGGAAGTCTGGCCACTCAATAGCCCTTCAAAGGAGAAAAAAATGAAATGAAATTAAAATTACTGCTAATAAACTTGTGAATAAAGTAGTTTAACAAGTTCACTGAAGACAGGGTAAGACTTCAATTTAATCTTGCATCTTTTGTTATATGTTAATGACAATCGTTGCAATTATTATTTATGGGGCATCTGTTATGTGCCAAGCACTTTTGCTAAGTGCTTCTTGTGCACGATTTTTCGTATTCACAGCTGCCCTGGAAAGTGAGGTATTATTAGCTCCATTTACACAGGAGGAAGCCAAGACACAGAGAAGTTAAGTAACTTTCCAAACGTCACATAGCTAGTAAGTGGTTTCTCCAAGAACAGAGCTCCTGACCTTATCACATCACTTCAAGGTACTAGGAATATAAATCCCTTATTAATTGAAAATGTGGGAATATAATTTTTAAAAATAATTAAAATGGTTGTCTGAAAAACTGAGAAAAAGAAATCAAATGTATACAGAAACTGCTAGGAGATGCTAAAATGGAGACATTTAACAAGTAAACAGACTGTCAGCTAACAGGCCAGAAACTCATTCTTTACATTTTCTTTCAACACCAGCTTAGCCAGGTAACCATTAATCTCCCCTGTATTTGCATAGGGGATTATATTTTTATAGGTATGTAGCAGGGCAATTAATAGCATTTGCAGGAGAAGAAATCAATTGAAGAGGCCAAATGATGCCCACATTCACAAAGCAAAGCCCAGTCTAGAAATTAAGCCTATTGCTTTCTGCCAAATCAACAGTTCTCAATTATCAGAACCTCTACACTCTCAAAAATTACCAAGGACCCCAAAGAGCTTTTATGTGAGTTTTATCTTTTGATATTCACCTATAAAAATTAAAACTGAGAACATTCTTAAATATTAAATCATTTAAATATAATGATAACCCCTTTATACATTAACAAAAATAACATTTTAAGGAAAATATTCTTCCAAACCAAAAAAGTGAAATGATGCCACTGGTTTATTTTTATTAATGTCTTTTTAATGTCTGCCTTAATAGAAAACAGCTGGAATATCATAGCTGCTTCTGCATTTAATCTGTTGCTATTTCACATCATTTAGCCTCTGGAAAACTCCACTGGACACTTCTGTAAGAGAATGAGCATGTTTTGCAAATAATGTCTAAGTATTATTACAAACATAGTTTTGACCTCAGAGATTCCCTAGCAGGGTCTTGGGGATCCCAGTGATCGCCCTACCACATGCCAGACCATTCTGTCTCACAGCAGAGCCAATGCTACAGCACAAGGAACACAGAATACATATGACAGTAGGTCACGTGCAGGGCACAGCAAAGCTTTTTTTTTTTTTTTTTTTTTTTGAGACAGAGTCTTGCTCTGTTGCCCATCTGGAGTGCAGTGGCGTGATCTTAGCTCACTGCAACCTCGACCTCCTGGACCCAAGCAATCTTCCTACCTCAGCCTCCAGAGTAGCTGAGGCCACAGGCACTTGTTACCACAGCCAGCTAGTTTTTGTATTTTTAGTAGAGACAGGGTTTTGCTGCCCAGGTTGGTCTCGAACTTCTGGGCTCAAGCGATCCTCCCGCCTCAGTGTAAGCCACCTCACCTGGCCAAAGCTCATCTTGGGAACCCTTCCTCACCGACCCCAACCACCAATGTCCACCCCTCACTGTCCCCAACCACCAACATCCACACCACACTGTTCTGATATATTAGAGCTGAAGCCAGTATTCTCTCCCTCCAGACAGGCTGTATGAAGGGCTACCCAGCTAGGTTGTCCCAGAGAATCCTGGGAAATGCTGGTCGATGCTCTCAGATCTTCTGAGACAGAGCAGCATACAGGGCTGGAACCCGAGGCACTGCTAGGCTCCTCCACATTCCACTGCTCAGCTGCTGCACTACAAGTCCTAACACAGGAGAGCACCAGTTACTTGACCTGAACCTGCTTCCAGGCAGTATGTTTTGGTGAATCCAGTATTAGCAGAAATTGGGAATTTTTTAATTGAAATTTTTATTGAGATCCTATGTATAGGATCCCGTGTCCCCTTTACCCAATTTCCCTCAATGGAAACATCTTGTAAAACTATGGTACAATATCACAACCAGGATATTGACATAGATATAATCTGACCTTATTCAGATCCTACCCATCCCTCCCTTTTTTGGTTTAGAGATGGTATCTCCCTCTGTTGCTGAGGCTGGCCTCAAACTCCTAAGCTCAAGAGATCCTCCCACCTTGGCTTCCCAAGTAGCTGGGACTACAGGAGTATGCCGCTGCACCCGGGCAGATTTCCTTTTTTTTTTTTTTTTTTTTTTTTTTGAGACACAGTCTCGCTCTGTCTTCCAGGCTGGAGCACAGTGGAATGATCTCCTCAGCTCACTGAAACCTTGTTCAAGCAATTGAACAAGGCCCCTGAGTAGCTGGGATTACAGGCATGTGCCACCATTCCTGCCTAATTTTTGCATTTTTTAGTAGAGACAGGGTTTCACCATGTTGGCCAGGCTGATCTCAAACTCTTGACCTAAGGTGATCCAGCTGCCTCAGCCTTCCAAAGTGCTGGGATTACAGGCATGAGCCACTGTGCCCAGCCCAGATTTCCTCATTTTATTTGCACTGATTTGTGTCTGTATTTAGTTTTTTTTCCTATACACAAGTTCATGTATTCATCACCATGGTCAGATGCTGAAAAGTTCCATCACCACAAAGAGTTCTTGTGCTGCTTTTGTAACTATACCTACCCCACTCTTTCTCTCATCCCCCTTTCCATCTTTAAAACACTGGCAACCATTAATCCATTCAACATTTCTAAAATTTTGTCCTTTCAAAAGTGTTATATAAATGAAATAATACATGATGTAAGCTTTTAGGATTGAATCTTTTTAGTTGCCCAACATAAAACTTTAGAGATGTGTCTATGTTGTTGATATATCAATGGTTAATTCTTTTTTTATTTCTGAGTAGTATTCCATGGTATATATGTATCAGAGTTTGTTAAACCATTCACCCATTGGAGGACATTTGGACTGTTTCCAGTTTGGGGCTATTACAAACAAGTCTGCTGTGAGCAGTCATGTACAGGTTTTTGTGTAAACATAAGTTTTCATTTCTCTGGGATAAATGCCCAAGAATGCAATTGCTGGGTCATATGGTAATTGCATGTTTAGTTTTATAAGAAACTGTCAGTTTCCCAGAGTGCCTGTACCAAGAAAATGGGAATGCTACAGACCACTAAAATCTCCTAACAAAACTATCAAGGGCTACCCTATCACTGACAAGAAATACATTTCCAGGAACGCAAACTTGGGAGAAGATACCAAAAGCATTTTGCTGTCAATCCGAAATTGAAAGAGGAAAAGAGGAAGGAGGCACCATGGAAAAAGGAATGAACGATTTTGTGCCATTAACAGTGGACCAGGATAATGCAAAAGCCATAAAGGAAACACTGATAAATTCAACAATACAAAAACCAAGACTCCTCATGACAACAAACACAAGTTAAAATTTAAAATACAAAAAGAATACCCAAAATCTGAGGAAAATAAAAAACCTGCAGAGACCCCAGGAAGCCTTTTTCCTCCTATTGTGATAACTCATATCACATAGGGTAAACTTCCTAATATATAAAGAGTGCCTAGAAATTGCAAATAAGGCTGGGCACAGTGGCTCATGCCTATAATTCCAGCACTTTGGGAGGCTGAGGCGGGCAGATCACCTGAGGTCAGGAGTTCAAGACCAGCCTGGCTAACACGGTGAAACCCCATCTCTACTAAAAATACAAAAAGTAGGTGGGTGTGGTGGCATGCACCTGTAGTCCCAGCTACTTGAGAGGCTGAGGCAGAAGAATCTCTCGAACCCGGGAGGCAAAGGCTGAAGTGAGCCAAGATCCAACTCCATCTCTAAAAAAACAAGAAAAGAAATTGGCAAATTAAAAACTAGCAAAAGGGCCAGGCGCAGTGGCTCACGCCTGTAATCCCAGCACTTTGGGAAGCCGAGGCGGGCAGATCACGAGGTCAAGAGATCAAGACCATCCTGGCCAACATGGTGAAACCCCGTCTCTACTAAAAATACAAAAATTAGTTGGGCATGGTGGCAGGCACCTGTATTCCCAGCTACTCAGGAGGCTGAGGCAGGAGAATCGCTTGAACCCGGAGGCGGAGCTTGCAGTGAGCCGCGATCATGCCACCACACTCCAGCCTGCCGACAGAGCAAGACTCCGTCTCAAAAAAAAAAAAAAAAAAGAATTAGCAAAAGAAAGATGAACAAAAGTTATGAAAAGATATTTCACAGAAAAGGAAATACCAATACCTCAACTATAAGAAAAGATGCACAACCTCACTTATAATAAGAAAAACAAATTGAAACTTTACCACAAGCCCATTTTTCACCTGTCAAATTGGTAAAAACGAAAAGCATGAAAAATACTTTGTAGGTGGAGCTGTGAGGAAAGAGGTTTTGCTGCTTAGTGTGTAAGTTGTTAACACCCTATGGAGGAGGGCAATTTGGCATGGATAACAAAATTACAAATGCATAGCCTCTGATGCAACAGCTTCACCACTAGGAATTTACACACACAGTAGCACACAAGCTAAATGATGTATATACAAGAGTATTCATTGCAGCAGTGACTGTAACAGCAAAGGTCAGCAAACACCACAATGTCCCTGAATAGAGGGCCTGTTAATTAAATCAGGGTATATCTATAAATAGTATTACATGAACAAAGAAAAGAATGAGGGCGCTCTCTATGTACTTACATGGAAAAAAACCTCCATAAGATAAAATTTTTAAAAGGTATATAGATGCATAGAGTGTGCTATCATTGCATAAAAATGGGGGTTGGGGTGCAAGTAAACAAGAGTATATGTTCAGATTTACTTATATT
Organism: Homo sapiens; assembly: GCF_000001405.40. Classification (NCBI taxonomy): domain Eukaryota; kingdom Metazoa; phylum Chordata; class Mammalia; order Primates; family Hominidae; genus Homo; species Homo sapiens. The sequence continues at coordinate 12,430,759 of NC_000012.12, read as the reverse complement.
TACATAAATAAACTCTGAAATGATATATAAGAATTAGATGGAGGCAAGGGGTAAAGAGGGGGAATTTCATAGTATACTTTTAACAGAACTTTTTTTAACCAAATGAATGCATTTCCCCCTTAAATATTTTTTAAATAAATAAACTCATTTTAACAAAAAGCTGAGGTTTTTCCTCATCTATGAGTAAGAACTTCAGGGCAGTTCTCCCTTCTTCACCCATCCCAAGTGCCCCCTACTCCATAAGTAAAAACCTCATCTTTAATTCTCACCAAAGTTCATATGGCCGAACACATCTTAAAACATTTTATCGGCCAGGCACAGTGGCTCACGCCTGTAATCCCAGCACTTTGGGAGGCCAAGGCAGGCGAATCACGAGGTCAGGAGATCGAGACCACCCTGGCTAACATGGTGAAACCCCGTCTCTACTAAAAATATAAAAAAATTAGCCAGGCGTGGTGGCAGGCGCCTGTAGTCCCAGCTACTCGGGAGGCTGAGGCAGGAGAATGGCGTGAACCCAGGAGGCAGAGCTTGCAGTGAGCCGAGATCTTGCCACTGCACTCCAGCCTGGGTGACAGAGCAAGACTCTGTCTCAAAAAAAAAAAAAAAAATTTTCTCTAAGGTGATTAAAGTGGTATAACAAATGGTGAGCTGGTTGAAGACAGGGACCACGTTTTGCTTATCTTTTTATCTCATGTCTAGTAGAGCACCTAGTACATAAAAGGTTCTTGATTAGGGTACGAGTATGCAGTTCTATTGCTGGAATTCCAAGGAAAGCATAAGTCTAGGAAGATATTAGGAGGAAAAAGGCTTCCCAGGATCTCTGTAGGCTGCATATATGCCTAAGAGCGAGTCCTTGTCTCAGTCTGAATCTGCTCTTCTAAGGTGCATGAGGAAGCTCTCCGGTGCTTCAGAAGACTATTGGGAGCCTGAATCGCAGAATGAAGTGGAGGAAGGCTACAGGGCCAGCCCAAGCTGCCAGGTGGCTGAAGCAGAGGGCCCAGAACCCAACCTTAGCTCACAAAACAAAACTCTCACTTCTACCTCTTGAGAAAAAGGTGGAGGGTGAGGGAAACGAGGGAAGTAGGAGGGGGATTTTGAGAAGGTTGCCAGGTCTAATAGGCACACTAGGATGTTCAAATTAAGTTGCCTAGCCAACTTCAAAATCAAAGGAATTACACTTTAAGTCATTCTTATAAATCACAATTGCAGCCTCCCTCTAACCATCTAAAAACAAAACCCAGGTGCATGACTCTATCCTCAGAATGTGCTTCCTTGACTCATAGGAATCTCCATAAACCCACCGCAAATCCTGCCCCGGGTCATAGCAGGAGCAAGACAGGACAGAGAAAATAAGAAGATGGGCCACATTTTCCATTCCTGAAGCAACAAAGTTGTGGCAACCCAGGCAAATTCTAGAGGCATTGAACACAATGTTTTCCCATCACCCTCTTGTGCCAGGAAACCATCTCCCTCTCGTATTGATAGCTACGCCTCTCCTGGATCTTCTGAAAAGAGGGAGAAGGACAGAAAGCTGGGCAAATTTAGAGACGGTAAATTTTGTCATTTTTAGGAGACCACAAACTTCCAGTCCTCTGAAGTGTTTCATTCTGAATGAGCATTAAGATTTTTTAAATTTTTGGAATGCTTTCAATGAGTTGTGCACTTGCCTGTTTGCTCAGTCCCCACCATCTCCCTCCTGTCCAATGCCCGGCAGCTCCACTCACCCACATTACCTGCCTGGCCTCTGCGGGCTTCTGGATTTATACTCCTATTTTAATTATTTCCTACCAACTCCAATACCATTAATAGAGAATGAACCTTGAAATTATTTTTTGTATAGTTTTATAAATGTTTTTTACACTTAGGATTTTTCTGCTTTACCCTTTATTATGAAAATTTTTAAATGTAGAAAAGTAGGGGAAAAATGTATACCCAAATACCCACCACCTAGATTCAACAACTAATATTTTGTCATATCTACTTCATCTCACTATATAATTTTTTTTCTTTTGCTGAGCCGTTAAAAACACCATAACATCATGACACTTCACTCCTAATACTCCATAAAGAAGAACGTTGATCCACATACTTATGGTTAGTTTTCCATGTTAAAGAGAAGAAGTTTCTAAATTACATGTTCCTTACAGTTAAGCAACAGGGCCATTGCCTTCAGTTTTCTACTTCTTCTTTAGTTTAATACGGGGATGCACCCAAAGATGTTTACTGAGTTAAAAACCTGATCTAACAGATTCCATATATTAAGGGTTAGGTTTGCAAATGGTAAATACTGGAGATATTTCCTAAGACCCTGTTTAAACCACTTTGCTTATACAAAAATGAGGAGTAGGCTCCAGGGAGTGAGTGAAGACCAAGACTGAATATTCCAGAGATCCAGCAAACTACCATCTGTACCTACCTCTTTGTGTAAAATGTTGAGTGGAAAAATCATCAGGGTTAGAAGTGTGGGAAATATTCTGCAGAGTGATCTTTTTCATTCTGAGATGTCAGGTGGGGGGAAACCCACAGTTTCTCTATAGCACAGTGCAGAGCCATATGGCTATTAGCTTAGCCTATTACCAAACCGAATTCCTTAACTCTGAGAGGCTTAGATACTTCTAGGACTAGAAATCAGTATTACAAATATTGGGACACATAACGAGCTCCATTTACTGCTACAGAATCCAGGAAGTAGAAATTAAATATAACTTTGACAAAAGTTACTGTGAAGGTATAATTAAACAACAGATTCTGAAAAAAGAAAATTCCCCCGTATGGACTGAATGTTTGTGTTTCCCCAAATTTCCTATGTTGAAATCCTAATCCCCAGTGTAATGGTATTAGGAGGTGGGGACCTTAGTGGGTGAGTAGATCATGAGTATAGAGGCTTCATGAATGGGACTAGTGTCACTAGAAGAAGAGATGTGAGAGCCTCCCCTCACTCTTTCTGTTCCCAGCCATGTGAGGCCACAGCAAGAAGATAGCCATCTGCAAACCAGGGAGCAGGTCCTCGGCAGAGGCAAATCTGCCGGCACCTTGACCTTGGATTTCCCAGCCACCAGAACTATCAGAGATAAATGCTTGCTGTTTAAGCCACCCGGTTTATGGTATTCTGTTATAGGAGCCCAAATTGACTATGATACCCCCAAAAACAATAAGAAATTTTCGAGTCTATTGGTCATAGTATATTTCAAAGATAAAAGCACTTAAGCTATATGTATCCTTTACTTAAACTCTAGTTCTCAAAGGCACTCCCTTCTCTTCTTAAAGAAAGGGAAAGTCTGGCCGGGCGCGGTGGCTCACGCCTGTAATCCCAGCACTTTGGGAGGCCGAGGCGGGCCCATCACAAGGTCAGGATATCGAGACCATCCTGGCTAACACGGTGAAACCCCATCTCTAGTAAAAATACAAAAAATTAGCTGGGCGTGGTGGCGGGTGCCTGTAGTCCCAGCTACTTGGGAGGCTGAGGCAGAAGAAAGGCGTGAACCTGGAAGGTGGAGCTTGCAGTGAGCCGAGATTGTGCCACCAAACTCCAGCCTGGACGAGAGTGCGAGACTCCCACCTCAAAAAAAAAAAAAAAAAAAAAAAAAGAAAAGAAAGAGAAAGTCTAAAACCATCTTCCCAACTTGGAGAGAATTTTGTGATGTGCGTTAGTGATTGATTCCTTCGGGATACTTAGAAAAAGTGTGCTTTCTAAGGCTGATTCCTTCAGAACATTTATCCCCACCCTGTGACCTCAGAGGAGTGCTAACCTCGAGGGGGCAACGGCAGTCATCATTGCTCTGGTTAAACCATGTGGCAGAAGAAACTGCAAGTGCAGAACAAGCCCCATGTAAGATGCCACCCACCACAATGTTTGGTGAGGATACAAACATTTCTCCCAGGACCTCCGAAACCCACCAGAGGGCAAGACAGAGGAACTTTTTAATGGAGGCAGCATGGAAAAAGCTGAATTCAGCTCCCTTATTTATTAGCTGTGTGAATCTGGACAATTTATCTTACATCTTTGAGCCTCAATTTTCTCATATGTAAAAGCAAGATAATAATCATGTCCCTTCTAGGGTTTGCCTAGCACACAATAGGATTTTGATAAAACTCTGTTCCCTTTATTCTTGCATTTCTTAAGTCTCAGAGAAGTAAAGGGTTCAAGGGAATTTGTGGTAAGCAATGAAAAGCACTTCATCCTTCTGTGTTAGGCACCCATTTGGCCATGGCCAGTGGCCCTAATTTATGGTACCAAAGAAACAAGAACAGAGGATGTCACACCCAAAAGTAGACACAGTATTTCCAAAGGTCATCAGTATCCACAAACGACACACCTCAGTGTCTTCGAGGAATCCTGTTCACTGCTATAAAATTAGCATTTCACAATCTCTACCTTTTCCTCTTGAATAATTAAGTAAAATGGAATAGGCTGTAGTTACCAACTACTTGGTATGCAGAGGTGAGAGGACTGCTTAAGCCTAGAAGTTCAAAGCCAGCCTCGGCAATATAGCACGATTCTCTGTCTCCTATTAAGTAAATGTTCAACTGCTCATCTGCCCTAAACAATTTCCAGGTTCGCAGGCTTGCTCTCTGTTTGAACTTACCAGACTAGGGAAGGGAGACCACATGGTATAATGAAAAAGTTTGGAGTCAGGTAGACCCGGAATTGGAATCCAAGGATTGCCATTTAAAACCTGTGTGATGTTGAGGGAGTCTAAATTTAACTTCCCTTAATTCAAATCCTTCATCTGTAAGTGTGACATATTAAAGGAGTATTATGGGAACTATATAAAGTTATGCCTACCACAGCACCTAGCAAAGAGGAGGCACACAATTCGTGTTAATTTCCTCACTGTCTCAAAGTCCCCAGTCACCAACTGTAGTAGTCAATTAAGCAGGCTTTCAAAAGCTGGCTGTATGACTGGCCTATCCTACCACTATAAGTGTTTACCAGGCACACACTACTATGTACTAGCACTGTAGGAAATAGCAAAGAAATGATCTCATTCCTCAAGCAGATTACCAGAAGAAGCAGGAGTTATTTATAAGGAAGGCAAATATGAAAAGGAGCTAAATTTAAAAAGATAAAACAACAAACCACACAATTGGGCAAAGGATTTAAATAGGCATTTCTCCAAAGGAGATATACAAACAGCCAATAAGCATATGAAGGATGCTCGACATCACTAATCATGAGGGAAATACAAAACACAATGAGATACCACTTAATCATTAGGATGGCTATTATCCAAACAATGGAAAATAACAAGTGTTGGCAAGGATGTTCTCCATATCCTTGGAACCCTTGTGCATTGCTGGTGACAATGTAAAATGGTGCACCTGCTGGGGAAAACAGTATGGGGGTTCCTAAAAAAAGTAACTAAAAAGGGAATTTGGGGAAGACTGTGGTAGGAAGCACCAGGAATTTATCTTCCCAACTAAATAATTGCACTGGTGCACTCTGTCTGATGTAACTATTTTGTAGCTCTAGAGTCTATTGAAGGCTTGCAACATCCAGAGGAAGGCCTGGATGATGAATTATAATTACTTTCAGTCTATTTCAGCTGTCATCATAATAGCACCAGCCATCTCAAAGCTCCCATCCCCACTGCAGGCAGCTACGCACTTATTCCTGGAGTGGCTTGCACACAGTTTGTGGGAGACAGCAGGGGAGAAAAGGACCCTGTCCTCTAAATATGAATCTATGCTCTGATCAATGTTGGCTGCTTCTGATCACAAAGGTGCAGACAGAGACACAGACGGTAATCACTGTTGTTGCACCTCCACCACACTGCTGCAAGGTCTTCCCACTCACGCTGAAGTGACTTTCAGAGGATTAAAGGGGGCAGCATTTTTTTCACCCTCCTTCACTTTTTTCTTTTTCCCTCTCTGGGACCCGGACATTAAAGACCAGGATATTCAAAAGCAACCACATATATAGGGGAAATTAGAAAGTTGCTATGCATGCCCAGGGAAGAGCACAGGCTCAGAAAAGATCTGAGGAGACCTAACATGTATACCTCTGGCTGATTCTTGGCACAGACACATCCTGTAACAATCAAAATACCAAAAATAAACCCAAAAAACAGTAAACCCAGAGAAGGGGGAGAATCTGTTTCCACAGTTACCATATTACTGGATTTAAATGTCCAATTTTCAAAAAAAAAAAAATCACCAGTCATACAAAGAAACAGAAAAGTATGGCTCATTCAAAGGAAAAATATAAACCAACAGATACTGTCCCTGAAAAAAGACAATGGCAAATCCACTAGACAAAGACTTTAAAACAACTGTCTTAAAGATGCTCAAAGAGCTAAAGGAGACATGGAGAAAGCCAAGAAAACAATGTATAAACAAATGGAAAATATCAATAAAGAGACAGAAAACCTAAAAAGAAATGAAAAATAAGTTCTGGAACTGAAATAACTGATACGAAAAATTCAATGCAGGGATTCAAAGGCAGATTTGAGCAGGCAGAAGAAAGAATGAGTGAATAATGAGTACAATGAATACTATCTAGTCTGAGGAACAGAAAGAAAAAAGATTAAGGAAAAGTGAACTGATCTAAGGGATTGATGAGACACCATCAAGTGGATAACCGTATGCATTGTGGGAGTCCCAAAAGGAAAACAGAAAGAGAAAGGGAGAGAAAACATCTGAAGAAACAATGGCCAAAAACATCCCAAATTTGATGAAAGAGATGAATACAAACATCCAAGAAGCTCAACAAACTCAAAACAGGATTCAGAGACCCACACCAGGACACATTATAATCAACCTTTAGAAAGGGCCAGGCACACTGGCTCACGCCTGTAATCCCAGCACTTTGGGAGGCCAAGGTGGGCAGATCACTTGAGGTCAGGAGTTTGACACCAGCCTGGGCAACATGGCAAAACCCCATCTCTACAAAAAAATATAAAAATTAGCCAGGCGTGGTGGCAGATGCCTGTAGTCCCAGCTACTTGGGAGGCTAAGGCAGGAGGATCATCTGAGCCTGGGATGCAGAGGTTGCAGTGAGCTGAGATTGCACTACTGCACTCTAGCCTGGGTGACAGACTGAGACTCTGTCTCAAAAAACAAACAAAAAGACAACGAGAAATTTGAAAGCAGCAAAAGAAAAACACCTTATCACATAAAAGGGAACCTTAATAAGATTATCAACAGATTTCTCATCAGAAACCTAGGGGGCCATAAGGTGGTAAACTGCTAAAAGAAAAAAAAACAAAAAACAAAAAACCTGTCAACCAAGAATTTTATATCCAGTAAAACTATCCTTCAAAAATGAGGGAGAAATTAAGCGTATCAGTCAGGAAAAAAAAAAAAAAAAAAAAAAAAAAAAGCTGAGGGAGTTTCTTAATACTAGACCTGCCCTGCAAGAAATGCTAAAGGGGGTCCTGCAGGTTGAAATGAAAGCACACTAGAGAGTTGAGTGAAGAAATAAAGATCTCAGTAAAGGTAAATATATGGCAAATTATAAAAGCCCATGTACTGTTCATGCCTGTAATCCCAGCACTTTGGGATGCCAAGGAGGGTGGATCACGAGGTCAGGAGATTGAGACCATCCTGGCTAACACGGTGGGACCCCGTCTCTACTAAAAATACAAAAAAATTAGCCAGGCGTGGTGGCGGGCGCCTTTAGTCCCAGCTACTTGGGAGGCTGAGGCAGGAGAATGGCGTGAAGCCGGGAGGCGGAGCTTGCAGTGAGTCGAGATCACGCCACTGCACTCCAGCCTAGGTGACAGAGTGAGACTCCATCTCAAAAAATAAAAAAATAAATAAAAAATAAAAAAAAAAAAGCCCATGTATTTACAGGGGTTTTTGTAACCATGGTTCGTAACTCTTTTGTAACCATGGTTTGTAGCTCCACTTTTGGCTTTCTGCGTTAAGAGACTGATACATTAAAAAAAATTAGTCTAAAAGCTAATGTTATTGTAACTTTAGTTTATAACTCCATATTTTGTTTTTTTACATAATTTGAGAGATTACTGCATTAAAAAAGTATTAGTTTATATTTTGGACACACCCTGTATAAAGATATTATCTTGTGACATTAACAACTGAAAGGGATGGAAACTAAGCTGGAAAGGAGCAGAGTTTTTCTATGTTATGAAAGTTAAGCTGTCACTGCTCTGCCTCTGGAGGTCATTCCTTATTCTTTTACTTTTTTTTTTTCTTTTGAGATGAAGACTCACTCTGTTACCCAGGCTGGAGTGCAGTGCCACGATCTCGGCTCACTGCAACCTCTGCCTCCTGGGTTCAAACGATTCTTCCAAGTAGCTGAGACTACAGGCATGTGCCACCACGCCTGGCTAATTTTTGAATTTTTAGTAGAGATGGGGTTTCACCATGTTGGTCAGGCTGGTCTTGAACGCCTGACCTCAGGTGATCTGCCTGCCTGGGCCTTCCAAAGTGCTGGAGTTACATGCGTGAGCCACCGCATCCGGCCTCCTTCACTTTCTTAATAAACTTGTTTTCACTTAAAAAAAAAAATAAAAGAAAAGAAAGCTAAGCTGGTATAAATTCAAATTATTGTGTTACCACGTTAGGATCTTAAATATAATCCTCATGATAAGTGCAAAGAAAACAGCATAAGCACTAAATGCCCACAAGAGAAAGCAGGAAAGATCTAAAATCGACACCCTAATATCACAATTAAAAGAAGCAAGAACAAACAAATTCAAAAGCTAGCAGAAGGCAAGAAATAACTAAGATCAGAGCAGAACTGAAAGAGACAGAGACATAAAAACCCTTAAAAAAAATCAATGAGTCCAGGAGCTGGTTTTTTGAAAAGATCAACAAAATTGATAAACCACTAGCAAGACTAACAAAGAAGAAAAGAGAGAAGAATCAAATAGACACAATAACAAATGATAAAGGGAATATCATCACCGATCCCACAGAAATACAAACTATCATCAGAGAACACTATAAACACTTCTACACAAATAAACTAGAAAATCTAGAAGAAATGGATAAATTCCTGGACACATACCCCCTCCCAAGACTAAACCAGGAAGAAGATGAATCTCTTAATACACCAATAATAGGCTCTGAAATTGAGGCAATAATTAATAGCCTACCAACCAAAAAAAGTCCAGAACCAGAAGGATTCACAGCCAAATTCTACCAGAGGTACAAAGAGGAGCTGGTACCATTCCTTCTGAAACTATTCCAATCAATAGAAAAAGAGGGAATCCTCCCTAACTCATTTTATGAGGCCAGCAGCATCCTGATACCAAAGCCTGGCAGAGACATAACAAAAAGAAGAGAATTTTAGACCAATATCCCTGATGAACATCGATGCGAAAATCCTCAATAAAATACTGGCAAACCGAATCCAGGAGCACATCAAAAAGCTTACCTACCACGATCAAGTCGGCTTCATCCCTGGGATGCAAGGCTGGTTCAACATACACAAATCAATAAACGTAATCCATCACATAAACAGAACCGACCACAAAAAACACATGATTATCTCAATAGATGCAGAAAAGGCCTTCAACAAAATTCAACAGCGCTTCATGCTAAAAACTCTCAATAAACTGGGTATTGATGGAACGTATCTCAAAATAATAAGAGCTATTAATGACAAACCCACAGCCAGTATCATACCGAATGGGCAAAAACTGGAAGCATTCCCTTTGAAAATCGGCACAAGACAAGAATGCTCCCTCTCACCACTCCTATTCAACACAGTGTTGGAAGTTCTGGCCAGGGCAATCAGGCAAGAAAAAGAAATAAAGGATATTCAATTAGGAAATGAGGAAGTCAAATTGTCCCTGTTTGCAGATGACATGATTGTATATTTAGAAAACTCCATCATCTCAGCCCCAAATCTCCTTAAGCTGATAAGCAACTTCAGCAAAGTCTCAGGATACAAAATCAGTGTGCAAAAATCACAATCATTCCTATACACCAATAACAGACAAACAGCCAAATTATGAGTGAACTCCCATTCACAATTGCTTCAAAGAGAATAAAATACCTAGGGATCCAACTTACAAGGGATGTGAAGTACCTCTTCAAGGAGAGCTATAAACCACTGCTCGATGAAATAACGAGATAAAAGAGGACACAAACAAATGGAAGAATATTCCATGCTCACGGATACAAAGAATCAATATCATGAAAATGGCCATACTGCCCAAAGTAATTTATAGATTCAATGCCATCCCCATTAAGCTACCAATGACTTTCTTCACAGAATTGGAAAAAACTACTTGAAAGTTCATATGGAACCAAAAAAGAGCCCGCATTGCCAAGACAATCCTAAGCAAAAAGAACAAAGCTGGAGGCATCATACTACCTGACTTCAACTATACTACAAGGCTACAGTAACCAAAACAGCATGGTACTGGTACCAAAACAGAGATATAGACCAATGGAACAGAACAGAGCCCTCAGAAATAACACCACACATCTACAACCATCTGATTTTTGACAAACCTGATAAAAACAAGAAATGGGGAAAGGATTCCCTATTTAATAAATAGTGCTGGGAAAACTGGCTAGCCATATGTAGAAAGCTGAAACTGGATCCCTTCCTTACACCTTATACAAAAATTAATTCAAAATGGATTAAAGACTTACATGTTAGACCTAAAACCATAAAAACCCTAGAAGAAAACCTAGGCAATACCATTCAGGACATAGGCATGGGCAAGGACTTCATGTCTAAAACACCAAAAGCAATGGCAACAAAAGCCAAAATTGACAAATGGGATCTAATTAAACTAAAGAGCTTCTGCACAGCAAAAGAAACTACCATCAGAGTGAACAGGCAACCTACAGAATGGGAGAAAATTTTTGCAATCTATCCATCAGACAAAGAGCTAATGTCCAAAATCTACAAAGAATTCAAACAAATTTACAAGAAAAAAACAAACAACCCCATCAACAAGTGGGCAAAAGATATGAACAGACACTCCTCAAAAGAAGACATCTAAGCTGCCAAAAAACACATGAAAAAATGCTCATCATCACTGGTCATCAGAGAAATGCGAATCAAAACCACAATGAGATACCATCTCATGCCAATTAGAATGGCAATCATTAAAAAGTCATGAAACAACATGTGCTGGAGAGGATGCGGAGAAACAGGAACACTTTTACACCGTTGGTGGGAGTGTAATTTAGTCCAACCATTGTGGAAGACAATGTGGCAATTCCTCAAGGATCTAGAACTAGAAATAACATTTGACCCAGCCATCCCATTACTGGGTATATACCCAAAGGATTATAAATCATGCTGCTATAAAGACACATGCACACATATGTTTATTATGGCACTATTCACAACAGCAAAGACTTGGAACCAACCCAAATGTCCATCAATGATAGACTGGATTAAGAAAATGTGGCACATATACACCATGGAATACTATGCAGCCATAAAAAAGGATGAGTTCATGTCCTTTGCAGGGACATGGATGAAGCTGGAAACCATCATTCTCAGCAAACTATCACAAGGACAGAAAACCAAACACTGCATGTTCTCACTCATAGGTAGGAACTGAACAATGAGATCACTTGGACACAGGGCGGGGAACATCATACACCGGGGCCTGTCAGGGAGTGAGGAGCTGGCGGAGGGATAGCATTAGGAGAAATATCTAATGTAAATGACGAGTTGGTGGGTGCAGCAAACCAACATGGCACATATATACCTATTTATCAAACCTACACTTTGTGCACATGTACCCTAGAACTTAAAGTATAATAATTTTAAAAAAAGAAAACAGCTATATAACATACACAAAAGGGAATGAGAAAGGAATATAAATGTTTCACTGCAAAAAATCAACACAGAAGACGACAGCAATACAGAAAATGACAAACAAAAAAAAGCTATAAGGCATCTAGAAAACTAATAGCAAAATGACAGAAGTAAGTGCCACTGTATCAGTTAAGTACTTTAAATGTATATGGATTAAACTCTCCAATCAAAAGACAGGGATTGACAGAATGGATTAAAAACCTGATCCAACTATATGCTTGTCTACTAGAGACTCAATTTACATCTAAATACACAAACAGGCTGAAAATGGATGAAAAAGATATTCATCCAAATAGTAACCAAAAGAGCTATACTGAAAGAGAGTCTCACGCTGTTACCCAGGCTGTAGTGCAATGGCATGATGATAGCTCACTGTATCTTCGAATTCCTGGGCTCAAACAATCCTCCTGCCTTAGACTCCCAAGTAGCTGGGACTACAGACATGCGCTATCACACCTGGCTAATTTTTAAATTTTTTTGTAGAGATGGGGGTCTAACTATGTTGCCCAGGCTAGTCTCAAACTTCTGCCTCAAGTGATCCTCCTGTCTCAGCCTCTCAAAGTGCTGGGATTATAGGAGTGAGTTACTGTAGCTGACCAAAATAGACCTTAAACTGAAAGCGGTTACAAGAGACAAAGGACATCATATATTAATAAAAGGTTCAGGCCGGGTGTGGTGGCTCACGCCTGTAATCTCAGCACTTTGGGAGGCCAAGGTGGGCAGATCACGAGGTCAGGAGATTGAGACCATCCTGGCAACACAGTGAAACCCCATCTCCACTAAAAAAACAAAAAAAAAAACAAAAAAAAAATTAGCCAGGCATGGCGGCAGGCACCTATAGTCCCAGCTACTCAGGAAGCTGAGGCAGGAAAATGGTGTGAACCTGGGAGGCAGACCTTGCAGTGAGCTGAGATTGCGTCACTGCACTCCAGCCTGGGCGACAGAGTGAGGCTCCGTCTCAAAAATAAATAAATAAATAAATAAATAAATAAATAAATAAATAAATAAATAAATGGTTTGATATAGCAAGAAGATAAAAAAAAAGAATTATAAATATTCAAATCAAGTGTGGTGGCTCATGCCTGTACTCCCAGCACTGTGAGAGGCTAAGGCAGGTGGACTGCTTGAGCTCAGGAGTTCGAGACCAGCCCAGCCAACATGGTGAAACCCCATCTCTACTAAAAATATAAAAATTAACTGGGTATGATGGTACTAGTCCTACCTACTCAGGAGGCTGAGATGGAGGATCAATGAGGAGGCAGAGGTTGCAGTGAGCCAAGATCTCGCTACTGCACTGCAGCCTGGGTGACAGAGTTAGACCCTGTCTCAAAAAAAGATTTAAAAATTATAAACATTTATACACCTAATGAGAGACCATCAAAATTTGTCAAGCAAACACTGACAAAATTGAAGGGAAAAATACTTCAATAATAGCTGGAAGTCTCAATATCCCACTCACAATAATGACTAGAACCACCAAACAGAAGATAAGTAATAAAGTAGAGGACTTGAACACACAACAAACTGACTCAACTTCACAGACAGACAGAATAATGTACCTAACAACAGAATACACATTCTTCTCAAGTGTACATGGGACATTTTTCAGGATAGGCCATATGTTAGGTCACAGATTAAGTCTCAAAAGATTTCAAAAGATAGATATTATACAAAGAATCTTCTTCCACCACAATAGAATGAAGTTAGAAATCTACAACAGAAGAAAAACTGGAAAATCCACAATTTGTGGACGGTAAAGAACATACTAAAACAACCAACAGATCAATGAAGAAAACACAAAGGACACTGAAAAAAACCTAAAGGTGAATTAAAACAAAAACACAATATACCAAAACTTATGAAATGCAGTGAAAGCAATGCTAAGGGGGAAATTTATCAATGTTTACATTAGGCTGGGCAGGATGACTCACACCTGTAATCCCAGCACTTTGGGAGGCCAAGGCGGGTGGATCACTTGAGGTCAAGTGTTCAAGACCAGCCTGGCCAACATGGTGAAACACCACCTCTACTAAAAAAAAAAAAAATACAAAAAGTAGCCAGGCATGGTGGCGCCTGCCTGTAATCCCAGCTGCTCTGGAGGCTGAGGCAGGAGAATTGCTTGAACCCGAGAGGCAGAGGCTGCAGTGAGCTGAGACTGTGCCACTGCACTCCAGCCTGGGCAACAAAGCAAGACTCCATCTCAAAAAAAAAAAAAAAAAAAAGTTTACATTAAAAAACAAGAGTTGGGTGCGGTGACTCAAATCTATAATCCCATCTACTCAGTAGGCGGAGGTGGAAGGATCGCTTGAGCCCAGGAGTTCGAGAAGAGCTTGGGCAACCTAGTGAGACTCTGTCTCTTTAAAAAAATAAGTAAATAAATAAAAATTAAAAATTAGCCAGGCATAATGGTGTGTGTCTGTAGTCTCAGTTACTGGGAGGCTGAGGTAGAAGAATCACTTGAGTCCAGGAGTTCGAGGCTACAATGAGCTATGATTGCACCACTGCACTCTAGCCTTGGCAACAGAGTGATACCCATCTCTAAAAAATAAAATAAAATAAAAAATAAAAAGAAAGATCTCACACCAGCAATCTAACTTTACAACTTAAGGAACTAGAAAAACAAACTAAACCCAAAGTTAGCAGAAGGATAGAAATAAGAAAGATTAGACCAAAGATAAATAAAATAGAGAATAGAAAAAAAAATAGAGAAAATCACCAGCACCAAAAGTTGATTCTTTAAAAAGATAAACAAAATTGACAAACCTTTTGCTAGAGTAGAGGAACTAAGAAAAAAGAGAGACAACTCAAATACTAAAACGAGAAAGTGTGTACATTAATACCGATTCTATGGGAATAAAAATGACTTTACAAGGTACTATGAGTAATTGTACAGCAATAAATTAGATAACCTAGGTGAAATGGACAAATTCCTAGAAACACAGAACTAGAACCTACCAAGGCTAAGCCACATAGAAACTCTGAATAGACCTATAATTAGTAAGGAGATTGAATACATAATAAAAAAATCTCCTGATAAAGAAAAGCCCTGGAACTGATAGTTTCACAGGTGAGTTCCACCAACCATTTAAAAGAACTAACATAAACCCTTTTTAGACTTTCCCAAAAAATTGAAGCAGAGAAAACACTCCCTAACTCATCTATGAGGGCAGCATTACCCTGATTCCAAAGCAAGACAAAAACACTACAAGAAAAGAAAACTGTAGACCAATTTACCTTACAAACATTGATGCAAAAATCCCAAACAAAATCCTAGTAAACCAAATTCAGGAGCATATAAAAGGATTATACACCATGACCAAGTGAGATTTATTCCTGGAACACAAGGATGATTCAACACACGAAAATCAATCCACGTAACAGCCTATATTAGAAGACTAAAGGGAAGAAAACCACAAAATCGCCCCTCCCCCTCCCCCTCCCCCTCTCTCCACGGTCTCCTTCCACGGTCTCCCTCTGATGCCGAGCCAAAGCTGGACAGTACTGCTGCCATCTCGGCTCACTGCAACCTCCCTGCCTGATTCTCCTGCCTCAGCCTGCCGAGTGCCTGCGATTGCAGGCGCACGCCGCCACGCCTGACTGGTTTTCGTTTTTTTTTTGGTGGAGACGGGGTTTTGCTGTGTTGGCCGGGCTGGTCTCCAGCTCCTAACCGCGAGTGATCCGCCAGCCTCGGCCTCCCGAGGTGCCGGGATTGCAGACGGAGTCTCGTTCACTCAGTGCTCAATGGTGCCCAGGCTGGAGTGCAGTGGCGTGATCTCGGCTCGCTACAACCTCCACCTCCCAGCCGCCTGCCTTGGACCCCCAAAGTGCCGAGATTGCAGCCTCTGCCCAGCCGCCACCCCGTCTGGGAAGTGAGGAGCGTCTCTGCCTGGCCCCCCATCGTCTGGGATATGAGGAGCCTCTCTGCCTGGCTGCCCAGTCTGGAAAGTGAGGAGCGTCTCCGCCCGGCCGCCATCCCATCTAGGAAGCGAGGAGCGCCTCTTCCCCACCCCCATCCCATCTAGGAAGTGAGGAGCGTCTCTGCCCGGCCGCCCATCGTCTGAGATGTGGGGAGCACCTCTGCCCCGCCGCCCTGTCTGGGATGTGAGGAGCGCCTCTGCTGGCCACAACCCTGTCTGGGAGGTGAGGAGCGTCTCTGCCCGGCCGCCCCGTCTGAGAAGTGAGGAAACCCTCTGCCTGGCAACCGCCCCGTCTGAGAAGTGAGGAGCCCCTCCGTCCGGCAGCCACCCCGTCTGGGAAGTGAGGAGCGTCTCCGCCCGGCAGCCACCCCATCCGGGAGGGAGGTGGGGGGGGTCAGCCCCCCGCCCGGCCAGCCGCCCCGTCCGGGAGGTGAGGGGCTCCTCTGCCCGGCCGCCCCTACTGGGAAGTGAGGAGCCCCTCTGCCCAGCCAGTCGCCCCGTCCAGGAGGGAGGTGGGGGGGTCAGCCCCCCGCCCGGCCAGCCGCCCAGTCTGGGAGGTGAGGGGCTCCTCTGCCCGGCCGCCCCTACTGGGAAGTGAGGAGCCCCTCTGCCCAGCCAGCCGCCCCGTCCGGGAGGGAGGTGGGGGGGTCAGCCCCCCGCCCGGCCAGCCGCCCAGTCCGGGAGGGAGGTGGGGGGGTCAGCCCCCCGCCTGACCAGCCACCCCGTCCGGGAGGGAGGTGGGGGGGCCAGCCCCCCGCCTGGCCAGCCGCCCCGTCCGGGAGGTGAGGGGCGCCTCTGCCTGGCCGCCCCTACTGGGAAGTGAGGAGCCCCTCTGCCCGGCCAGCCGCCCCGTCCGGGAGGGAGGTGGGGGGGTCAGCCCCCCGCCTGGCCAGCCGCCCCATCCGGGAGGGAGGTGGGGGGGTCAGCCCCCCGCCCGGCCAGCCGCCCCGTCCAGGAGGGAGGTGGGGGGGGTCAGCCCCCCGCCCGGCCAGCCGCCCCGTCCGGGAGGGATGTGGGGGGATCAGCCCCCCGCCTGGCCAGCCGCCCCGTCCAGGAGGTGAGGGGGGCCTCTGCCCGGCCGCCCCTACTGGGAAGTGAGGACCCCTCTGCCCGGCCAGCCGCCCCGTCCGGGAGGGAGGTGGGGGGGTCAGCCCCCCGCCCGGCCAGCCGCCCAGTCCGGGAGGGAGGTGGGGGGGTCAGCCCCCCGCCTGACCAGCCACCCCGTCCGGGAGGGAGGTGGGGGGGCCAGCCCCCCGCCTGGCCAGCCGCCCCGTCCGGGAGGTGAGGGGCGCCTCTGCCCGGCCGCCCCTACTGGGAAGTGAGGAGCCCCTCTGCCTGGCCAGCCGCCCCGTCCGGGAGGATGGTGGGGGGGTCAGCCCCCCGCCCGGCCAGCCGCCCCATCCGGGAGGTGAGGGGCGCTTCTGCCCGGCCGCCCCTACTGGGAAGTGAGGAGCCCCTCTGCCCGGCCACGACCCGTCTGGGAGGTGTGCCCAGCGGCTCATTGGGGATGGGCCATGATGACAATGGCGGTTTTGTGGAATAGAAAGGCAGGAAGGGTGGGGAAAAAACTGAGAAATCAGATGGTTGCCGGGTCTGTGTGGATGGAGGTAGACATGGGAGACTTTTCATTTTGTTCTGTACTAAGAAAAATTCTTCTGCCTTGGGATCCTGTTGATCTGTGACCTTATCCCCAACCCTGTGCTCTCTGAAACATGTGCTGTGTCCACTCAGGGTTAAATGGATTAAGGGCGGTGCAAGATGTGCTTTGTTAAACAGATGCTTGAAGGCAGCATGCTCCTTAAGAGTCATCACCACTCCCTAATCTTAAGTACCCAGGGACACAAACACTGCGGAAGGCCGCAGGGTCCTCTGCCTAGGAAAACCAGACCTTCCCTCCACTATTGTCCTATGACCCTGCCAAATCCCCCTCTGCGAGAAACACCCAAGAATGATCAATAAAAAAAAAAAAAAAAAAAGAGTCATCACCAATCCCCAATCTCAAGTAATCAGGGACACAAACACTGCGGAAGGCCGCAGGGTCCTCTGCCTAGGAAAACCAGAGACCTTTGTTCACTTGTTTATCTGCTGACCTTCCCTCCACTATTGTCCCATGACCCTGCCAAATCCCCCTCTGTGAGAAACACCCAAGAATTATCAATAAAAAAAAAAAAAAAAAAAAAAAAAGAAAACCACAAAATCATTTCAACTGATGCAGAGAAAGCATTTGAGAAAATTCAACACCCTTTCTTGATAAAAACAAACAAATAAAACACTCAACAAACAAGGAATGGAAGGAGACTACCTCAACATAATAAAAGCCATATAAAAGAAATGCAAGCAAACTTCATATTCAATGGTGATGACCTGAAAGCTTTCCCTCTAAGATCAGGAATAAAGCAAGGATGCCTGTTTTCACCACTTCTATTCAACATAATAATGGAAGTTCTGTCAAGAGCAATAAGACAAGAGAAGAAATAAAAGGCATCGAAATTAGAAAGAAAGAAGTTAAATTATGTCTGTTCACGGATGATATGATCTCATATATAGAAAACCTGAATGTTCCACAAAAATACTATCAGAACTAATAAATAAATAAATTCACCAAAGTGGCAGGATACAAAGTCAACATGCAAAAATCAGTTGCATTTCTATTCACTAATGAACAATCCAAAAAGGAAATTAAGAAAACAATTCCATTTCCAATAGCATCAAAAAGAATAAAACACTTAGGAATAAACTTAACCAAGGAGATGAAAGACTTGTACAATAAAAAAAACCATAAAATACAGCTGAAAGGAATTAAAGAGGACACATACAAATGTTAAGACACCCCATAGTCATTGATTGGAAGATTTAATATTAAGATGTCAATATTACCAAAAGTGATTTACAGGTTCAATGCAATCCCTATCAAAATCCCAGTGACTTTTTTTCAGAAATAGAAAGATCCATCCAAAAATTCATATGGAATCTCAAGAGATCCTGAATAGCCAAAACAATCCTGAAAAGAAGAACAAAGCTGGAGGACTCACTCTTCCTGATTTCAAAACTTAAAATTACAGTAATCAAAACAGTGCAGCATTGACATAAAGACAGACAAATGGACCACAGAAATGAGCAGAGGGCCCAGAACAAACCCTCACATATAAAGTCATATGATTGTTGGGGGCACCAAGACCATTCAGTTGGGAAAGGACAGTTTTTTCAACAAATGCTGCTAGGAAAGCTGGCTATCCACATGCAAAAGAATGAGGTTGGACCCTTACCTACTACCATATACAAAAGTTAATTAACAATGAATCCATGACCTAAATGTAAGATCTAAAACAATAAAACGTTTAATGTTTTTTACTATAGTTTCCTATAGTGAGAAAACGCAGGCAAAAGTTTCATGACACTGAATTGGGCAACAATGTTTTAAGTATGACACCAAAGGCACTGGCAACAACAAAAAAAGATAGATTGGACAATGAAAATTTTAAAACTTTATGCATGAAAAGATACTATCAACAGAGTAAAAAGGCAGCCCACAAAATGCAGAAAATACTTTCAAATCATGTATATTTTATTATATACATTTATTATATACATGTATATTATATCCAGAATATATAGAGAATTCCTAAAACCCAACAAAAAACCTCAAACAACCCAATTCATAAATGGGCAAAGGACTTGAACCGACATTTCTCCAAATAAGAGATACAAATGGCCAATAAGCACATGAAAGAACCAATGTGATACGGAATGGACAAAAACTGGAAGCATTCCCTTTGAAAACGGGCACAAGACAGGGATGCCCTCTCTCACCACTCCTATTCAACATAGTGTTGGAAGTTCCGGCCAGGGCAATCAGGCAGGAGAAGGAAATCAAGGGCATTCAGTTAGGAAAAGAGGAAGTCAAATTGTCCCTGTTTGCAGATGACATGATTGTATATCTAGAAAACCCCATGGTCTCAGCCCAAAACCTCCTTAAGCTGATAAGCAACTTCAGCAAAGTCTCAGGGTACAAAATCCATGTGCAAAAATCATAAGCATTCCTATACACCAATAACAGACAAACAGAGCTAAATCATGAATGAACTCCCATTCACAATTCCTTCAAAGAGAATAAAATACCTAGGGATCCAACTTAAAGGGATGTGAAGGACCTCTTCAAGGAGAAGTACAAACCACTGCTCAATAAAATAAAAGAACACACAAACAAATGGAAGAACATTCCATGCTCATGGGTAGGAAGAATCAGTATCATGAAAATGGCCATACTGCCCAAGGTAATTTATAGATTCAATGCCATCCCCATCAAGCTACCAATGACTTTCTTCACAGAATTGGAAAAAACTACTTGAAAGTTCATATGGAACCAAAAAAGAGCCCGTGTTGCCAAGTCAATCCTAAGCCAAAAGAACAAAGCTGGAGGCATCATACTACCTGACTTCAAACTATACTACAAGGCTACAGTAACCAAAACAGCATGGTACTGGTACCAAAACAGAGATATAGACCAATGGAACAGAACAGAGCCCTCAGAAATAATGCCGCATATCTACAACTATCTGATCTTTGACAAACCTGAGAAAAACAAGCAATGGGGAAAGGATTCCCTATTTAATAAATGGTGCTGGGAAAACTAGCTAGCCATATGTAGAAAGCTGAAACTGGATCCCTTCCTTACACCTTATACAAAAACTAATTCAAGATGGATTAAAGACTTCAATGTTAGACCTAAAACCATAAAAACCCTAGAAGAAAACCTAGGCAATACCATTCAGGACATAGGCATGGGCAAGGACTTCATGTCAAAAACACCAAAAGCAATGGCAACAAAAGCCAAAATTGACAAATGGGATCTAATTAAACTCAAGAGCTTCTGCACAGCAAAAGAAACTACCATCAGAGTGAACAGGCAACCTACAGAATGGGAGAAAATGTTTGCAACCTACTCATCTGACAAAGGGCTAATATCCAGAATCTACAATGAACTCAAACAAATTTACAAGAAAAAAACAACCCCATCAAAAAGTGGGTGAAGGATATGAACAGACACTTCTCAAAAGAAGACATTTATGCAGCCAAAAAACACATGAAAAAATGCTCATCATCACTGGCCATCAGAGAAATGAAAATCAAAACCACAATGAGATACCATCTCACACCAGTTAGAATGGCAATCATTAAAAAGTCAGGAAACAACAGGTGCTGGAGAGGGTGTGGAGAAATAGGAACACTTTTACACTGTTGGTGGGACTGTAAACTAGTTCAACCATTGTGGAAGTCAGTGTGGCGATTCCTCAGGGATCTAGAACTAGAAATACCATTTGACCCAGCCATCCCATTACTGGGTATATACCCAAAGGATTATAAATCATGCTGCTATAAAGACACATGAACACGTATGTTTATTGCAGCACTATTCACAATAGCAAAGACTTGGAACCAACCCAAATGTCCAACAATGATAGACTGGATTAAGAAAATGTGGCACATATATACCATGGAATACTATGCAGCCATAAAAAATGATGAGTTCATGTCCTTTGTAGGGACATGGATGAAGCTGGAAACCATCATTCTCAGCAAACTATTGCAAGGACAAAAAACCAAACACCATATGTTCTCACTCACAGGTGGGAATTGAACAATAAGTGTCCATGTGTTCATGGACACAGGAAGGGAAACATCACACACCGGGGACTGTTGTGGGGTGGGGGGAGGAGGGAGGGATAGCATTTGGAGATATACCTAATGCTAAATGACGAGTTAATGGGTACAGCACACCAACATGGCACATGTATACATATGTAACAAACCTGCACGTTGTGCACATGTACCCTAAAACTTAAAGTATAATAATAATAAAATAAAAAATAAATAAATAGATAAAAAGAATTCCTGACATCCCTAATCATTAGGGAAGGGCAATTCAAAACTAAAATGAGATGCCCCCTCACACCCATTAAGATGGCTAGTATCAAAAACAAACAAAAAAAAATGATGGCAAAGATGTAGAACCCTTACTCACTATTGGTGGAGACGTAACATGGTATAGCATAGCCGCTGGCGAAAGGGGTGTGGTGGTTCCTCAAAAAATTAAATGTAAAATTACTATATGATCCAGCAATTCCACTTCTGAGTATATACCCAAAAGAATCAAAAGCAGGGTCTCAAAGAGACATTTGTACACTCATTTTCAAAGAACATGATTTACAATAGCCAAAACATGGAAACAATTCAAATTTCCATCAATAGAAGAATGGATAAGCAAAATGAGGCATTCCTTAAAAAGGAATTCCCTTTTAAGACTGAATAATATTTTTCTATATATATACACATGTGGTATTCAGCCTTTAAAAGAAAATTCTGACCTATGCAACAACATGGGTGAATCTTGAGGACATTACACTAAGTGAAGTAAGCCAGTCACAAGCAAACACTGAATGATTCCATTTATATGAAGTACACAGAAAAGTCAAAATCATAGAGAAAGAAAGTAGAACAGTGGTTACCAGGGCTGGGAGGAAGAGAGGATAGGAAGTTGCTGTTTAACGGATATAGAGTTTCAGGTTTGCAAGATGAAAAACATTCAGGAAATGGACAGTGGTGATGGTCACACAACAATCTCAATGTACTTAATACCACTGAACTTATACTTAAAAATAGTTACAGTGGTAAATTTCATGTCAAGTGTATTTTACCACATTGTGGGTAATTACAAGGGAGGAAAAAAAATAAACATAGAATTACCACATGACCCAGCAATTCCACCTCTGGGTATGCACCCAAAAGAACTGAAAGCAGGGACTCATACAGATATTTATGTATCAATGTTCACAGCAGCATTATTCACAATGGCCAAAGTAGAAACAACCCAAATGTCCATCAATGGATGAAAGGATAAACAAAATGTGGTATATACACATAATAGAATTCAGCCTTAAAAAAGAGAATGAAATTCTGGTACATGCTAGAATACAGATGGAACCTGAAAAAATTGTGGTAAACTGAAGTATGCCAGACACAAAAGGACAAAAACTGTATGATTCAATTTACAAGAAACATACAGAATAGTAATATTTGGCCAGGCGCGGTGGCTCACACCTGTAACCCCAGCATTTGGGAGGCCGAGGTGGAAGGATCCCTTGAGCCTAGGAGTTTGAGACCAGCCTGGGCAACATGGTGAAACCCCGTCTCTACAAAATATACAAAAATTAGCCAGGCGTGGTGGTGTGCACCTGAGGTCCCAGCTACTCAGGAGGCTGAGGCGGGAGGATCACTTGAGCCTGTAAGGTAGAGGGAGGTCGCAGTGAGCCAAGATCGTGCCACTGCACTCTAGCCTGGGTGACAGCGTGAGGCCCTGTCTCAAAAAAAAAAAAAAACAAAAAGAATAGTAAAATTCATGGCGAAAATAAGTAGAATAATAATGTTTGTCAGGGCTGAGGGTAGAGATTGGGAAATTACTATTTAATAGACTTCAATTTGGGATAACGGAGAAGTTCCGGAGATGGAAGGTCATGATACTGCACAACAATGTGAATATACTTAATGCCACTGAATTGTACACTCAAAAAGGATTAAAATGATAAATTGTATGTTATACATATTTTACAATTACAAAGTCAGGTATGTTGATTTTAATTTTTGCTAAGCAAAAATATTCCACAATACCCCTCTAATAAGAAGGCCAAAAAAAAAAATGTGACCAACAGGGAACAAAATGAAAACTATAAAAGGATAAACAAAGGAAAGAATAAATTCCATTTCCTTCCCTGAAAATGGAGAGAATTGAACCAGGTTTTCTTCCAAATGTAAACTCTGAAAATTTTATGTTTGTAAGGGAAGGGGGATGAAGGATTCTTCTATAATGACATACCATGTTTCTTTTAACACAGGATCAGGACTACTTCAAAATTATTTGCAAAAAGGAATATATTCAAAGTGAGAAGGCCCTCACTCTTACTGTGAAAATAAACATTACAAACATTCACAATTCAGATGAGAAAATCTTTCAACAGCTCTCACTGAGTGAAGGCAGAAAGCCCACTTTGTCCCACTTGCCTGGAAGAATGAATGCCATCCTGGAAGAACAGGCCACTTGGGTGCCCCCCACACTTCAGCAGCTGGTGCTCACCAGACCTAGGTGCTCTCCACTTGTTGAAACATCAATAACCCAAAAACCTTAGCTTTCCAGACAAAGCAGGATGGATGGCTGCAGCACTCAGGGATTCTTTCCTTCCCAAAAGAGCTTGCTTTAAGGAGCTGAAAGTGTTCTTTTTATTTAAAAAAAAAAAGGTGTTTAACACATGCTCACAGTAGTTTGAAGTATACACAGGTTAGAAATGTAGGCTTTGCAAGGCGCACCAAGACTGATTATAAAAGAGGGGAGGTTATTTTTATATGGTTAACAGCAATCACATTAGGGACCTGACACGTTTTTTTTTTGTTTGTTTGTTTTTTGGTTTTTTGAGATTTTCAGCAAGATAAACCATAGGTCCACTTTAAATGAAAATAAATAAAATATCAGAAAAGGATGCAAGAAAAAAATCTGAAATACTAATGCCAGGACTTTTCTTGCTCAAAGGGGTAACCCTTCTTGCACGTGTTAACTCATCATGGGTTCCTTAGCTCCAATGGGTAATGGGAAACAGGATTGTTTACACTGGAGAAGACGCCCTGATCAGATGGAAAGTTCTCATTTAGTAGTAGCCTAAAAAGTTGAGGCAATACTTATAGCAGATAATTGCTAAGAACAAGATCAATTTCAGAAAAAACTAACTTTTCCACACACGAAGTCTACTAATAAGGAAAATAATCTCAACTTCTACTCAGTTTATATCCAATTAAAAGAAAATATAAACGAAGTATTTCTTTCACAGAGAGTTAAGACACAATGAGTTGGCAATAAAGCAAATTGCCACCCACTCCAGACTGTAAATAGGGGGCAAATGTTGCAAAATAGGGCCTTCCATGAAGTACATTCCTTGGTGACAGCAGTTTCTGTAAAACAGTTTCCAAGGGAGCAGTAGAAGCAATCCCTGTGGCAAAGTCCGGTCACCAATGCCAGCCAGCATTGTTTGCCGTGCAAGGCACGGCAGGTACTTGGCAGTGGCTCAGTTCTGTGGCATGATCTTGGCCATTTTACTTGGCTAGGTAGCCCAAAACACGATTCTAGAGCTCTTCTGCTGATTCTGTGAGCTATCCACATTCCTTTTAATAATTTCTTTATCTGCTTAAATCAGCCAGAAAAATCTGACCAATGTACTTAACTTCAGTTTCTGTATTAGTAAAAGAGGAATAGCACTATATACCTTGAATGTAGCTCAGAGTATTAATTGATAATACATGTTAAAAATCCTTTGGAAAACAATAAACAACATTATTATAATTTACTAAAATTTAACTACATGCCAGGCACTATATAAAACACTGTATTTCAAGAATAAGAAAAATAATGCCTAATATTAATGATGGCACTCTCTCAGCCAAGCACTGTGCTAAGCATGTTCTGTATTTTGTCTTAATTGTCAGGATGACATTAAAAGGCAGGTAATCCCCTATACTAAGTAAGTAAAGTAAAAATAATCATCATAATAAAAAAATCACAGTGATGGAAATAAGTGCTAGAACTAACAGAAAGAATAATGTTATCAATTAATGATTTTTGGTGACAGAAATATTACTGCACCTTGAGGGAGATAATACAGTAGCCAAACCATGAAAGCTCTAGAGTCACCAATTCTTAAAATTCTAGTGTCAATGATTTGGCAACTTACTTGAGGAGTTCATTTAAAATATCATTTTCCTCTTAATTCAGGCTTAAGACAGTTTTTGCTTGGTTGAGATGTGGTTATACTTTAGAATCAAGATGTTTTCAGTAGCAACACAGCTCATTTATGACTAAATCTTTACCTTTATGGGTTGTCTCTCTGGAACTCACTTCGTTGAAGGTTCACTTTCGGCATTTACCATAGAACCCTTCTTCTGTATTATTGTTGACATTCCTGCTCTCTCTTCCCAGTTACTCAGTAAGGTCCTTAAGGGAAAAAGTGTGTATGGTGCCTCGTAGACTTACACAAAGTAGTTCTCTGGCCGGGCGCGGTGGCTCATGCCTGTAATGCCAGCACTTTAGGAGGCCGAGGTGGGTGGATCACTTGAGGCCAGGAGTTTGAGACCAGCCTGGCCAACATGGTGAAAGCCCATCTGTAATAAAAATACAAAAAAATTAGCCAGGTGTGGTGGCGGGCACCTGTAATCCCAGCTACTTGGGAGGCTGAGGCAGGAGAATCACTTGAACCCAGGAGGCAGAGATTTCAGTGGGCTGAGATGATGCCACTGCATTCCAGCCTGGGCAACAGAGACTGTGTCACAAAAAAGAAAACAAAAAACCAAACCAAAACAAAAAAGTAGTTCTCCACAGACTGCTGTTGGACATGCTGAGGAGTGCTCCTATGTGGATGAGTTCTGAAACATACTATTGGTGCTTGCTATGGTTTGAATGGGTCCCTTCCAAAATGCAGGTGTTGCCAATGACAGTAATAGGAGGTGGGGCTTTTAAGAGGTGGTTAGGCCATGAGGGCTCCTCTCTGGGTAAATGGGATTAGCTGCCCTTACAAAAGGGCTCAGCAGGGGAGTTACTCCTGTTTTTTGCCCATTCTCCTTCTGCCAGTTGAGGGCAGAGTGTTCATCCACTCTAGAAGACGCAGCACTCAACAAACCTTAATCTTGAACTTCCCAGCCTCCAGAACAGTGAGAAATAAATTTCTGTTCTTTATAAATTACCCAGTCTCCAGTATTTTGTTATAAATGGACCAAGACAGTGCTCCCTTGGGCCTTGGCTAAAGATCTCTAATTTCCAAGAGGCTCAAGTGCCTAGTTCCTCCATTTCATTTCCCCCAAGCAAAGTTCTGAATTTAAATTTATTTCTCACCCGGAGCAAAAGACGCACATTCTGTTCACATCTCTCCAAATAAATGAGCTCATTTCTGTTTCTGAAGTAAATTTACGTCACCCATATTTGAAGATATGGGCTCTTCTTGTGCAAGTACTGAATGAGCCCTTATCTATAAATCACTTGCCTTCAGCCTTTTGAAGAGTCTACAAAGGCAGTTATACGGAACTACAAGATAAAAGTGATACCAAAGGTCAACAAAGCCAAGGATTAAACTTTGTTCCTTTCCTCTAGCAACTAGGAAAAAATACACAATATATCCTGCCATCAGTAAGTCAAAGCTTGATTGATCTAGGGTAATTAAATCATATAATCTAGCAAGTCCACTCCTTGGTTCTCTGACCAGGGCATCACATTCAGAGATAACATATCTGAATACTCATGTGACCATAAACACAAAGATTCCAATCCCAGGGCTGAGGGAGGGAATGGGTTTCCACGTTCCAAGTCCATCAAGCGTGTACATCACAGCCTTTGTTGAAGATACCTCAGTCATAAAAACTCAAACCTTTCTCCCTGTTTCTAAAGCACACAGCTGTGAAAACATGCTCCTTTATGGAACATGTTAGTTGATAATACTCGGGAAAAAAAAGTATGTAATTAATTGTTACCCTTTCCTCATCTCCTGCTTCAGTTTCCTCAGAAGCAGGAAGGTGCCCCCCACAGCGGACTAGGGAGATATGGGGCAATCACAGAAAGGAAATCCTTGGTGTGCCCAAGCCACGGGGAAGAGCAGCTGGGATTGCCACAGAAAAGCCAGCAGAAGCAACAGACCTCTAACAGTGAAACAGCCAAATAATCCAACATGAACATATTTTGAAGAGAAATATCTTTGATTTTATGATGCAATTAAGTCAGGGAGACAGATGTGCAAACTAGTTAAATATACAGGTTTTAGAATTAGATCTGAGTTTAAATCCTAGCTCTGCCCTTAATAGCTGTGTGACAGGAAAGGTCTTTCATCTCTCTGAGCCTCAGCACCCTCATCTGCCAAATGAGGAAAATACCTACCCTAATAGGTTGTACAAGGATTAAACGAGAAAATACATGTAACACTTTTGTGCAAAAAAAAAAAGGGAAATGTGGTTATTATTAACGAAAAAGTGGGACTGTGTATACTCAAGCCACTGCTTCTATTCAATTTCTAAGAAATAATAATGAGTAGTACCTAAACACTTTGGAAGTTTTCTGGGCACCAAGTATAAAACTATGTGGAAAGTTTTTCTATCCTACCAACGTTCACGTATACAACTTTCACTATGAAGACGTGATAAAGCTAAATTATACCTTAGAAGGAAACAAAGACTTTAAAACATGTTTGTTTTCATGTTAATTACAGTAGAAGCTAATAGAGAAATAAAGTTCAAATACTTCTGGAATTATTTTTAGGGAGACTTTTGTTTAAAAACAAGTTAAAGAACAATTGAAGGTGACAGGGAATCAAATTTGGACTTATGGGAAAAAGGGGAACTCAACTACTCAAAGATGTTCCATAACAGAGCAGATTTCCTTATATGACAACGAGCTGCTTCTGATCAGATGTTGAGCAAGTCAAGGTTAAAAGTCTACTTCAATGAGATATTCCACAAAAGACCCTCAATTCAGGAACTCTGCAGGAAGCAGAATATTGGATAAAACTCTTGAACACTACAACACACAACCAACTCTCTGGTGTCCACAGTAGGGCAGAATTTCCCTCTAATAATCATCCCTAATTAGAGAAGGGTCTCCAAATTCAGGTAAGAGACAAATTTGCCACTCAATTCAAATATGACAGAAGCTGAATTCACGAATCTCATGATCCTTAAGCATGTTGTTTTGCTCTCTCAACTCTTTTTTCTCCCTTGATGCCCTGCTTTTATCAGCTATCCAATCTAATTCCATGAATAGTTACTGGCTTCTAGAAATCTATCCCAAAGAAACAAACTCAGATGAAATTTATGCACCAAGATTTTGTACTCCAGTATCATTTTAATACCCAAAATGTCCTCCAATGGGAGAATGATTAAACTATATTTATATTTACAAAAAGAAATGTTATCCAGCTGTTTACACTTTTTTTTTTTTTTTTTTTGAGACGGAGTCTCGCTCTGTAGCCCAGGCTGAAGTGCAGTGGCGCCATCTTGGCTCACTGCAAGCTCCGCCTCCCGGGTTCACGCCATTCTCCTGCCTCAGCCTCCTGAGTAGCTGGGACTACAGGCGCCCACCACCAAGCCCAGCTAATTTTTTTGTATTTTTTTTTTTTAGTAGAGACAGGGTTTCACCATGTTAACCAGGATGGTCTCGATCTTCTGACCTCGTGATCCGCCCGCCTTGGCCTCCCAAAGTGCTGGGATTACAGGCGTGAACCACCGCTCCTGGCCTTAGATGATGTTTTCAAACAATATCCAATGACATGGGAAATGCCACAATAGAATTTTAAGTAAAATTGTGATATAAAATGACAAATTTTAATTATAAAGTAAATGTATACTTTACATAGGTCTACACTAGAAGGAAAAATATAGCAAGTTATTAACAATGGCTATGTCTAGGTAGAATTTTTAATTTTCTTTTTTGTCATTTTGTTTTCCAAGTTCCTTAAAATAATCATATATTCATTTCGTGATCAGAAAAAAAATTATTAAAAAAATAAATATGGCAAAAAAGCTATGTTATAGTTATCTTGGATTTGTAACTCAGAAATCAAAACAATTCTTTTAAAAGGAAGAAGCATGGTATAAGAAAATTAAGTTTGCATCTGACCCTATGTTTGAGATGGTTGCTAAGCACGATGTTGTCTTTAAATTAATCAATAAGCAAGGAACAGCTGGGACAATATCCGGTTTTACTGAGGATGTGGAACAACAGGAACTCTAATATATAGCTAGTAAGGCGATAAAAGAGCATAACTACTTTGAAGAGTAAATTGACTGTATCTAGTAAAGCTGAAAATACATGTGCCCTACTAGACAGCAATTTGTTCCTAGTTACATACCCTAGAGAAAACTCTCATACATGTGCAAAAGGAGACATGTACAAAGATGTCCACTGCAAAACTGTTTAATAGTAAAACAACTGGAAACAACTCAAATATTCACTAATAAGTCAATGGATACACTGTGAAATATTCATTTGATGGAATACTACGCAGCAGTGAAAATAAGTGAGACATATATCAACATGGATAAATCTCAAAATTATAAGGAAAAGAAAAAAGAAAGTTACACAAGTAGCTGAAGGATACATATAGAACACAACTTATATAAAGTCAAAACAAGTGAAAGAATATTCTACACCGCTTAGATATACAAAAACATGTAGGAAAAAGACAAGCCACGAAGAAAACACATGGGCATGATGAATGCCAAAATCAGATCAATAATTCCCTGTGGAGTGGGAGGAGGAGGGAATATCAGGGAAGGATATAAAGGATGGGGAGGGGGCGTTGTTTATTTGAAACGTGTATTTTTCTTCCTGCAGGGAAAGAGATCTGAAGCAAACATGGCAAAATATTAAAATATGACAAATTTGATGAATACACAGGTGTTTGCTATTTTTTTTTTTTTTTCTGTATGCTGACATACTGCAAATGAAAAAGAAATTCTAGGTAGCAGCTGATAATCTCTATGGAGGACAAGGCATCCTATCCACAGCAGTTTCTTAAACCCTGCTGGGTCTAAGGCCCCTCTGCAAAGCTGATGGAATCTATGGCTCCACTTCCCATGGGGTTTATTATGCTACCACCACTCCACCCTTGGTCACCTCAGGAGACATTCAGGAAAACCCATGCCCACTCTTTTGTCATGTGGTTGACCGAGGTAATTTCAACTCTTGCTAAGAGTTACCAAGGCCAGACAATTAGACAGGGAGAGAGCGTGAAACATTGGCTGCTCAGAGAAATAGCCTGTGATAAAAACAAGATTTTCACTGAATCAAGGCTGCCAGGGTAACAACTAGTGAAAAAGCTAAAAATCCAGTGGTACACATGCAACTGAATGTTTTCAAACCAACTTAAAAGGTAGGGGAAGCATTACGGAAAACATTCTTCAACTTAATTCAGCCTTGGTGCGAAGCCAAGGTTCTAAGTAGTGACTGACAACAAAGATTAGTGGGATTTGTTCATACTTCTCAAAATTTTCCTCTATTTGCACATCTTATTTAATAACATTTAATTTGGTTAATTTTTAGCAAACATTTGGCTAATGTCTATGCTTAGCTTTTCCAATAAAGCACTGTGTTATTTTCAGAAAGTCCAGATGAGTGGAAAACAATGACACTTTGAGTTACTGACTCAGTTAATAAAACCTAAGGGAAAATGGCTGCTGAGACTTAGAAGTCATGACGGAAACAACTGGTGACAGTACACCTAAATTACTGGCTAAGCACCTAGAAGGACACAGTCTTTGGCAGGACAGGCTTAAAAGATTGAAACCTACAAAGGGACATTAAATACTATTAATTCAACATGTATGTGAAGGTCTTTAACTGCTGTAATTATCTCAGAGGGTTTTTCTTTTAGAAGTTCTAGATCTGTGGTACTCAGAATTGTCCCCAAAATGCCAACATTGTAAGCTTAACAATGCCATGTAAAATCTCCTGTTTCTTTGTTATGGTCTTTCATTATCTCCATTGTATTCCATCTTTATATTCCAATCCAAATCTTTTATTCATGCCTGCCTCTTCCCTGTCCTCTCTTATTTCCCCTCTACCTTACCTGCAACCCTGACCTCCACCCCAGGCTGCCTCTTGAAAATGCAGAGCAACCACCCAAAGAGCTGGAGAGTGAGTGTTGATTTGGGGAACAATAGTGGGCTACGTAAGAAACCCTTTTGCAATTCACCTTTTTTTTTCCTTCCCTCCATCCAATTTTTCCAAACTTTTTCCCCCAATACTGTTGTTTTTCCCTGAAATTCACTCTGAGGAGTGAATAGGAGTGATAGGTTGAATGAAACCTATGCTACAGTATAAACACACAACTTCTTAAAACTTTCCAAGATCTTTATGCTAAGGAACAACAAAGAAAACTGTGCTGCTTAGTAATACTGTAAAACACATACTGTTTTAGCCCCCCTGAAACACACAGAGGTAATCTGGAAGAAGGAAGGCCTCTCCTGGCCATCGCAGAGACTGGGGCACCACTGGCAATTCAGTGGGCAGGGACAAAAATTGCCAATACACGGCAGTGACACACAATAAAGGCTGGCCCACCCAAGATGCCAGTAGCACCCCAACCGTCTCTCCCACTCTTATTATGATACACTGGACCACAGACACTCATGTAGCCAGATAACTCCAACTAATTTCAATAAATAGTTGGCTAATCTTGACATTTTCTGCCTTGTAGGAAAAGGTAAAATCAGCTATCGATTGGGCTGCCTGAATTCCCAATATCGCACAGATATCTGGGAAGGGGGAGGCAGGTGGTGGCACAAGGTCTGCACAGTATTGCCTCCTAGTGTTTGGAAATTCTCATTAAAATGACCATATTTTGAGTTTGATAGCACTGTATTCCAGAGACTTCTTCACTCATCCTTGATGCAGCATTATATTGAGCCAAAAGAGCTACAGGGGCCATTCTTCCCTGAAAATGAGTCAAGATGGTTACACAACCCTCCGCAGGGATCTGCACACAACGGCCCTCTGAGGGTGTGGGGGAGGACATGGTAAACATCTCTCCCCTTCATCAGCTCATGTTCTGACTCAGATTTTTCCTGACAAAACAAACATGGCTTTGATTACATATTAATTATTTTTGTAGCAAGCAGCTCATTCTCACATTCCTTCTCCTGCTCATTTTCCCTCCATAATTCTTTACCCTTTGCCCACAATCCCTCCTCCCAGTCATGTTGTACTATTTGTATGGAAAAAAAAAATTTTAAAGAGTTGCTTCTTGCCAAGTGTGACATCAACTCATTCTTATTTAGTGATGTCCCGCAAGAACTTGCTCTCCCAAAACGTTTGCTCAGTTTTGAGGCAACAAGATTACTCACTGCATTGTTTTCCCTGTCACTTGTTTTTGATGCATTAGTGCATCTTCTGAAACAGATGACATAACACCTAATTTCTATGACCCAAAGCGCTATACACATGTATACAAGCATCTTTTCAGACAGCTTCAGGAAGACAAAGCATTGCTCCTAACTTACTAAGAAGGAAAAAATAACACTATAACAAGATAACGATAATTTTAACCTCCCTGAAAAAGCTCTCTCTGCTTTCGGTAACAAGAAACAGCTATATGATAGTAAGGAAAATGTAAGCCCCAAATTCCATTCTAGGTGAAGAGCTTTGGTTACTTAGAGGAAAGAGAAGAGGAAGATGAAGAAGGAGTGACCCCTAAAATAGTAGGACAGACATATTACACTACTTCACGCTTAACACTTCTTAGCAAGGCACTTCTTAATGAATGCTCTTGGAAAATCAATAATTTTATTCTACACATAAAATAAGCCAAAGTTTAGAATTATTTTCAGTTAGCTCACTGAAAAAACTGGCGGTGGTATTCTTAAAATGTGTTCGACAATGATGGAATTACCAGACTATGTCAGGTACCGATCTTCTCTCATCAAAGTCTTCTTTAAAACTCTTTCCATTCCACTCCTCTGTTAATTAAAAGGTACAAGTGGGAATGATATTATTCCCTAGCTCTCCTTCCTTCAGGGAACAATATTAGCAGCACAGCAGACTTAATTATCAGAATGCAGAAGCGAATTCCCAGCGTAGGCTGTTCCTGGGCACAAATGCCAGTTCTGTCACATTCCAGTACTGGCTGACCAGGATGGCACTGAGGAACCTCAGCACGTACAAAAAACTGTGTAACAACTTGAGCATGTTCCTGGTCATTCTCTAGGATGTCGGCATTTTGGGGTTTCCACTGTCACCCTAGGGGAATCAGTTTAGATCCAACGCACCTAGAAATACTTTAGGACAGGGCATTCAAAGCTTGGGAGTCTAGGTGGACATCTAGCCTGTTCTGGGGAGTTCCAAAGTTCTCAAAGATATAAGGTTTCAAATAAACTAGAGAAGGAACAAGACAACACATATCCTCCTAGGGAACTGCAACTATTTAACAAAAACAAGGCCAAAAAGTCCATAGAGAGAAAGAAGAAAATCACAGGTTTGTGCTGCTGTCTGTGTGAGGGTGCACATGCGTGCATGTGTATTTTAGGTTAGCTGGAAAAAGACAAAGGAAAAGGCCTTGAAAGTTGTAATTATAGAAAATTGCTCAGGTGACTTCATCCCACCCACATGCTTTTGATTTTCAAAAAGTATGCTGAGCATTTTTTAAGTTAGTGTTCCGGAAAGACCGCAGCTGTTCAACACAGATTTCATATGCTCATTTAAAAACATTATTTTATTAACATAAAGGTTAATGGTTTCTAAATGAGGGTAGCAATTTCCAACATGAGTACCGTAAATTCCTATTAATATTCACTCTCAGTTTAAACATACAGACCCAGAAGGATGAACTGTTCCTTGACATTAACAGAAAAATAACATAAAGATTTATAACCCCCACCCCCCACTCCCTCCAAGAGTTTTAGCGTACCCTCTAGAAAACATTACATCTATGTTAAGCACATCAGTACGGTGACATTTGCCATGACTGTAATACTGCATTCAGCGGACCTAGGGCAAAACAAGTTAGGAGAACTGCAAACTTTGGAAGACACCTGCCCCTCCCATTCCCTACCATGCTCCTCTACCCACCCCACCCTCCGCAGGGCCTCCTTTTGAAGTGCTCTCCGCCATGGCCAGAAAAGGCATTGTGCGGATGCTAGGCTAGGGAGCATTGAGTATGCATCAGTGAAACGGCTCCTACTAGTTGTGGTTTTGCAAGGCCACAAGGCCAAAATTCAAAATTAATCTCCCACTGGGCACGGTTGCTCACACCTGTAATCCTAGCACTTCGGGAGGCCGAGGCGGGCAGATCACTTGAGGTCAGGAGTTTGAAACCAGCCTGGCCAACATGATGAAACCCATCTCTACTAAAAATACAAAAATTAGCTGGGCGTGGTAATGTGGGCCTGTAATCTCAGCTACACGGGAGGCTGAGGCAGGAGAATCGCTTGAACCCAGGGGGCGGAGTGAGCCGAGATGGTGCCACTGCACTCCAGCCTGGGCAACAGAGCCAGACTCCATCTCCAAAAGAAACAAACAAACAAACAAAATTAATCTCCCTTCCCCATTCTGCCATTATTCTGCTCCCTCAATCAAGCAACCCTATGGCTATTTCCCCGTCTTTTTATTCCTGGCACCCAATTTGCCAAATCCTGTCATTTCTTCCTTGAAAATGCCTCTCAAGTTTGCTCCTCCTTCCACTATCCCCACCCCAGCCCAGGCTTTCATCAGCTCATCACTAGGAAACTACAACAATCTCCTAACTGCATTGTCCATCTTTGGCCACTGTCATACCAATTCATTCAAAAAGCGCAGCTGTCAACATGTTAATACCCTGCTCCCTACTGCAACAAACAAAACTACAATCACGTTCTTATGGCATCAACTTCAAATTCCTTTCCCTATCCTTTAGGAGCCTCCAAATCTGGCCCTAACCTAATTTTCCCACCTTGCCGGGCATGGTAGCTCACCCCTGTAATCCCGGCACGCTGGGAGGCCAAGGCAGGTGGATCACTTGAGGTCGGGAGTTCGAGATCAGCCTGGCCAACATGGTGAAACCCCATCTCTACTAAAAATACAAAAAAAAAAAAAAAAAAAAAAATTAGCTGGGTGTGGTGGTACGCACCTGTATTCCCAGCTACTTGGGAGGCTGAGACAAGAGAATCATTTGAACCTGGGAAGCGGAGGCTGCAGTGGCAGAGATCACACCACTGCACTCCAGCCTGGGTGACAGAGAGAGACTCTTTCTCAAAATAATAATAATAATAATAATTGTCTCATCCTCTTACTCCCTCTCAAATTGCAGCCTTCTCTTTGGTCACAGAGTGATCACTCTGCCACCACCCCATCTCCTCAATGCAGGATATTCAGACCCACTTTGCTCAGACTCTCTTGCCAGCCCAGAACTCCTTCATCCACCTTCCCAACCCAACCTAACACATCACACCAAAACCCCACCTGTCCTTTTAGGTTCAGCTCAATTAATCATTCCTCTCTATATACAGTTGTTTCCTATGACTATGGTCCACCTCTTCCCCTGTGGTAAAAACCATCCGGCCTTTGGACTATGACAGACCTGAGTTTAAATCTTTTTGGAAGATGAGCAAGTTGTCTAACCTCTCTGTAGCTCAGCATTATCTATATGTGGATGATGTTAATATTTCCCTCATAGGATTGTTTTTGAAGACTTGCAAAGGTCCTGTATGAAGTACAACCAGTGTAGCACTTGGCACATGGGAAACAGGCACTCCACACAGAAGGTATGATACCATTATACACTACTAAATGAACACTATGCTTGTAAAATCCTACACTTTAAGTCAACCATGAGGTTTGTTTTCTATACTAGATTGTAATCCTCAGGAGCAAAAATCAGCCTGGCAAGATGGAATACATCTGTAGTCCCAGCTACTCAGGAGGCCAAGGCAGACACTTGAGCCCAGGAGTTTGAGTTCAGCCCAGGCAACGTACTCTGTCTCTTTAAATTTTTTTTTTTTAAAGGGCGGCAAAAATTATGTGACATCCAGTTATATCTTACTTATTTAATAATTCCAACTCCCTGAACAGCCAAGAAACAGGGAAAACCAAAAATGGCCTACAGGTCACCAAAATAGTTAAATCCCATGTATTAATTCCTGTGTATTTTAATAACAGGAAGCCCTTCAGACTGCCTCAGAGGCCTATTGGTTTGTCTTTTGTTTGTTTGTTTTTTGAGATAGAGTCTCAATCTGTCACCCAAGCTGGGGTGCAGTGGCATGATCTCAGCTCACTGCAACCTCTGCCTCCTGGGTTCAAGTGATTCTCCTGCCTCAGCCTCCCGAGTAGCTGGGATTACAGGTGTGCACTACCATACCAGGCTCATTTTTGTATTTTTAGTAGAGACAGGGTTTCACCATGTTGGCCAGTGTAGTCTAGAACTCCTGACCTCAAGTGATCCACCCACCTCAGCCTCCCAAAGTGCTGGAATTACAGGCATGAGCCACCGCACCCGGCCGAGGGCTATTGATTTTATTTTGGTTTCCAAGCTGACAGTAGCTGCTACTTGCTATCAGCAAGGGGAATGAAAGAAAAACCATAAAAAGTAAACATACACACCTGATCTGTACCAAATTGTAAACAAAATCAAGTCTAGCAATCAAAACTTCTGTTCTAATTGGTATATTAGCATGTATTATATGAGAGATAATGTAATTCTAATGTTCAAAAATAGAGACAAAGGCCGGGCGCGATGGCTCACACCTATAATCCCAGCACTTTGGAAGGCCAAGGCGGGCAGATCTACCTGAAGTCAGGAGTTCAAGAACAGCCTGGCCAACATGGTGAAACCCCGCCTCTACTAAAAATACAAAATTTAGGCAGGCATGGTGGTGTGCTCCTGTAGTCCCAGCTACTCAGGAGGTTGAGGCACGAGAATCACTTGAACCCAGGAGGCAGAGGTTGCAGTGAGCCAAGATCATGCCACTGCATTCCAGCCTGAGTGACAGAGTGAGACCCTATCTGAAAAAACAAAAAACAAAAACACTTAAAAGCAGTACCTGTAAAGTCCTGCATTTAGATGAAAAATAACCAGTTGTATAAGGATAGGGTGTGGGAAAACTGGCTCAACAGCAATTCAGTGGGGGCTTTTTTGATCTCAAGTTCAGAAAGTGGAAGCAGTAGTCCCAGGCACCTGGCAATGGTTACTGTACACCTGCGAGAGTATTCTGGGTGTCATGTTTAAGAAGAGATTTTTAAACTAGGGTACATCCTGAGTTGAGTGATAGAAGTCATTGTCCAGAAACCTTGTCTTATTATTATTTTTTGGAGATAAGGTCTCACTCTGTCACCCAGGCTGGAGTGCAGCAGCACAATCTCGGCTCACTGCAACCTCTGCCTCCTGAGCTCAAGGATCCTCCCGCCCCAGCCTCCCAAGTAGCTGGGACTACAGGCATGCACCACTGTGCTGGTCTAATTTTTTTGTATTTTTTGTAGAGACGGAGTTTTGCCATATTGTCCAGGCTGGTCTTGAACTCTTGGGCTCAAGCAGTCCGCCCACCTCAGCCTCCTAAAGTGCTGGCATTGCATTATAGGCATGAGCCACCACACCTGGCCGACCTTTTTTTATGAAGGAGATTTGAAGCAGATTACAGTTTTGGTTTGCAGAAGAGACGACTCAGAATATAACCCTCTTCTAATATTACATGGGTGCCAAATAGATACAGGATTTGATCTAATTTTATAAAGTCCCAGTGATCAGAACTGAGATCAGTGGACAGAAATTATTGGGAGGTAGAGTTTGGTTTGATAAAAAGAACTTTCTATAATAATTTGAATGGTAATTTTTATTGGGCAATTGCAATACGTCACACAGTGAGCTAAGCACTTTTCAGACAGCGTCTCACATTTAATTCTCACAGCATCCTTGTCATGTGGGTACTTTTTAGTCTCAATTTATAGATAAGGATACTGTTGTTTAGAGATAAGGATTTGTCCAGTGTTGTGCAGCTAAGAAGTGGCTGAGCAGCTGTTCTTAATCTGGATCTGACTGTTCTCAAAAGTCTATGTCTGTAACCTTTTTGCTGCCTTGCATAGTATTAAACTATCTTAATTACTAGAAATGTTTAAGCAGAACTGGAATGATTCTTTGTAACTTGGAATAAATTCCTGCAATTCATGAGAGTGCAGAGGGGCAGTGTGGCATGATAGGAAAAAGCACAGACTTTGGAGATAATTCAGAGATCGAAAACGTCGTATATTGGCCTTAGGATCTTGGTCAAGTCACCTAACCTCTTTGGATCACATTTTCCTCATCTCTAAAAGGGACACTAATACCTCTACCTCAGAAGGTTATTGGGAGGATTAATTTATTTGAGTAGTGTGTATTTGTTACATATTGGGGACTCAA
Organism: Homo sapiens; assembly: GCF_000001405.40. Taxonomy (NCBI): domain Eukaryota; kingdom Metazoa; phylum Chordata; class Mammalia; order Primates; family Hominidae; genus Homo; species Homo sapiens. The sequence goes on along the minus strand of NC_000012.12, from coordinate 12,392,153 downwards.
CAAATAATTGCTGTGTGCAGAAATCCCTTTAACTTAAACAATTATGATCGTTGGACTTAGAGCTGCACCATTTTAGCTTTGTCTCTATTTTTTTTTTTTTTTTTTTTTGAAATGAAGTCTCACTCCATTGCCCAGGCTGGAGTGCTGTGGTGCAATCTTGGCTCACTGCAACCTCTGCCTCCTGGGTTCAAGTGATTCTCATGCCTCAACCTCCTGAGTAGCTGGGACTACAGGAGCAAACCCCCATGCCTGCCTAAATTTTTAGCGTTTTTTTTTTTTTTTTTTTTAGTGACGGGGTTTCACCATGTCGGCCAGGCTGGTCTTGAACTCCTGAGCTCAAGCGATCTGCCCACCTTGGCCTCCCAAAGTGCTGAGATTACAGGCATGAGCCACTGCACCCAGCTGTATTGCTTTTAAATGTCATTGTGGTTTCAGACCATCTTTTCAGTCTGTTAAGATCATTTTGTGCCAGGCGTGGTGGCTCACGTCTGCAATCCCAGCACTTTCGGAGGCCAAGGCGGGCGCATCATTTGAGGTCAGGAGTTCGAGACCAGCCTGGCCAACATGGTGAAACCCTGTCTCTACTAAAAATACAAAAAAATTAGCCGGGCATGGTGGCGTGCACCTGTAGTCCCAGCGACTTGGGAGACTGAGGCAGGAGAATGGTTTGAACTCAGGTGGTGGAGGTTGAAGTGAGCCGAGATCATGCCACTGCACTCCAGCCTAGGTGACAGAGCTAGACTCTGTCTCAAAAAAAAAGGTCATTTTGACCCTTGATTCTGTCATCCATTGTGTCAGATATTCTGTCCAACACTTTACCACCTACCAATGTGATTGATATGCCTCTACCTCTTTATTTAAGTCCAGTCCACAAATCTTCAATAAGTATCTAGCATGTATAGGGTCCTTTGCTAAGTATGGCAGGAACCAAGCTAAGTGATATGATCTTGAGTAAGGTTGAGGCCAAGGTCAGAACCTTGCAGTATCTTACTTATGCTCCTGTTATGGACTTATCTTGAAATTTTTAGTGTGACAAAACAAGACTGACTGGATGCACAATAGTAGTCTATCAATACTTTAAAAGAGAACAAGCGCTGAAGGCACAGAGTTGGAACCAATGGATGGAAATTTTGAAATCATGGCCCCTCGTTCAATTACCCGCCTCCCCTTTTAACGTGTACTTTTTTCTATTTCTAAGCTTCTGGTACCTCTTCTGTTCTTTACAATTCATTAAAAATGGCAGTTTAGGCCGGGCGTGGTGGCTTATGCCTGTACTCCTAGCACTTTGGGAGGCCAAGGAAGGTGGATCATCTAAGGTCATCCTACTTATTACTGCTTTTGCTTTGACCATAATTTTTTTTTTTTTAAGAGACAGGGTCTTGCTCTGTCACCCAGGCTGCTGTGCAGTGGTGCAGTCATAGCTCACTGCAGCCTGGAACTCTTGGGCTCAAGCAATCCTGATGCCTCAGCCTCCCAAGTAGCTGAGGCTACAGGTGCATCCACCTTATTGAGATAAGGTCAAAAAAAAAAAAGGAGATAAGGTCTTGCTATGTTGACCAGGCTGGTCTCAAATTCCTGGCCTCAGGTGATCCTCCTGCCTCAGCCTCCCAAGTAGCTGTAATTACAAGTACATGCCACCACCCCCGGCTTTCTGACCATAACTTTCTGTATTTCTAGTTATCCTTCCTTCTACATTTAGGACACATGCTTTTAAAATTAAAGCATTTTGCAATGTTCTGTGCTTGGCCACAGTGGTCACTTCAAATATATTACCTCCTTCCTCATCATGATCTATGTAAAGATTGTATCAATTTAGGAAAGGTAAAAAAGATAATGAAGGAGATGGTCTAAGACAAACTTGCCTTCTAGTGGGATGAACTATTAGAATGTAAGCTCTTTGAAAGCAGAGATTGTGTATTTGGCTATACCCTCACCTCCTAGAACAGTGCCTAACACATAGCAGCCCTCAAATATTTGCTGAACAAATGAACAAGCAAAATCTTGAAGGAATGATAGATTAAAGGAATCTAAAAAGGAATCATTAAAGGAATGAAAAGATTTTAGCAGGCCTATGTGGAAAAGATGGCTTTTTATCAGATAGAAGGGCATGGGCAAAGTTTAGAGGTGGGAAAGCAAAGAAAACAGTCCGATTTGGCCTGGAGCTCAATACAAAGCACACAGTGGGAAATGAAGATTTAAAGACTGCTTGAGGCCAGGCGCAGTGCCTCATGGCTGTAATCCCAGCCCTTTGGGAGGCCGAGACAGGAAGATCACTTGAGGTCAAGAGTTCAAGATAAGCCTGGCCAACATGGCAAAACCCTGTCTCTACTAAAAATACAAAAATTAGCTGGGTGTGGCGGCATGTGCCTGTAATCCCTGCTACTCGGGTGACTGTGGCATGAGAATCACTTGAACCCGAAAGGCAGAGCTTGCAGTGAGCCAAGATCATGCCACCGCACTCCAGCCTGGGCGACAGAGCGAGACTCTGTCTCAAAAAATAAATACATAAAACGAAATAAATTTTTTAAGATAAAGGCTGCTTGAGATCTTCACCTCAAGCTGAGGAGCTCATACCTGCATCAGAATTGGTTGTAGGCAGGATGGAGCAACCAATTCTGCAGAGGAATCACATAACTTCAGTTGGGCTTAAAAGATACTGGCAGAGGTATATAAAACTAATTAGAATTGTAAATGTGCATTAAAAATATATTTATTTGGCTGGGAGTGGTGGCTCACACCTGTAATCCCAGCACTTTGGGAGGCCAAGGCGGGTGGATCACCTAAGGTCAAGAGTTCGAGACCAGCCTAGCCAACATGGAGAAACCTGGTCTCTACTAAAAATATAAAAATTAGCCAGGCGTGGTGGTGGGCGCCTGTAATCCCAGCTACTTGGGAGGCTGAGGCAGGAGAATCCCTTGAACCTGGGAGGCAAAGTTTGCAGTAAGCCGAGATCGCACCATTGCCCTCCAGCCTGGGCGACAAGAATGAAAATGCGTCTCAAAAAAAAAAAAAAAAAAAGTACTTACTTGTAAGGACCTAGGGGAAAAACTCTGGCCAGAGATAGTTAATATCTGGTACTTTCTATATGAACCCATAGTATTTGCCTCAACAACCTGTGTCCTGTCCCTATGCTGGAATGAGTGAGACTCAAGGAATGTCACCAAAGTAAAAGTAGGGATAAAAATGAGGCCAAAATAAATAGGCCTCGGAACTGTAGCCTCTTGCGAGAACTTACTGCAAGTCAGAGGACTGGCTTCAACCATTGCTAAAAGAATGGCTTAGGGAGTTATGCTCATATCTGGAACATTTTTTAAATTTCCATCTCATGTGTGGGGTTGCCTTGATGTTCTGTTTCAATCTCTTCCAGTATATTGCCAGGAAAGGAGAAGAACAGCAGAAAGATAGTCTATCTGGCCCCAAAAATGTCAGCCATCCTCTGGTCCTCAGACCAGACTCACAGATGGCTGTTACCTTTTCTTATATGTCCCCCCCACCCCACTTAAGAGTCTGGTTTCCTTTCATTAATTATTCATGCCTTGTCCTATTTTCCCTTTTTGTATAATTATGGAACACTAACACAATTGTTTCATTAATAATATACTTATCTACTACTGCTGGAAGACCACATCCAAAAAAAAGCAGTGGATATTATAATGAGATTTATCTTCCTTATTTACAGATACATTTCTTTTGCTTTTGAATATTAACTATCCTCGGCCAGCAGTTCCTTTTTGTTGATTTCGTCCCATCTAAATTAGGAGCAGCCATGACATTGCTATCCTATTTGAGGTTTGGGGCAGGTCTTAGAATCATTACTCTCTCATCAATGGTGTGATTTTTATGTCTCTGGTCACTGCTACCATATGTTTGGGAAGTGTGGTCTTAGGATGTGGTTTAAAGTCTCAGGAAAAACACTTCAATGTTTTAAATAAGTATAGACTAGTAATAAATACAGTTTGTGGTGATAAAATACCACAATAAAAACTGCATTAATGATATACATAATAAGCATGGTACTGATAATCAGATACCAAAAAGAGTCTCAATTAATATAATAATCACAAATGTTAGTTCTCACTAATCGCATATGAGATAGCAATTTACTTCCCACAAAAATACCAACTAGAAACTGGAAAATAAAAAAGTATTCTTAACAGAAAGAGTTCTGTGTCTGTTGACTGTGATGAGCTTTTCCCTGGATCTCTGACCTAGGTTCTGTCGTGTTAAACATTCTTTAATGACTTGAGTGAGGCCCCTCATGGTGTGTTAATCGTGGGGATTCAAAAAAGGCTTCAACAAGCTAGAAACTGAGGCTACATGTGACACTGAACTGTGGATGAATGTGAGTCTTTCACTGAAGGTCCAAAAACTATCTGCAGAAATACAGGATGGGGGAGGTGTGGCTTAATGTCAGCACATGTGAAAAACACTTTAGAGTTTTAGATGATTCGATATGACTCAAGTGCATGTGGCTGCCAAAAAAGCTACTTAAACTTGGGCTGTATTAAAAGGAATATATCATGCAGAAAAGACACTGGATCCAATCCACACCTGGAACACTATGCCAATTCTGGGGGTCATGCTCTAACAAAAGAGACAAAATGGAGTATATTTAGGTTTCGGATCAGAGGGCTGAGTGACATAAAATCATGAGCACGTGTTACTTTCATGATCAGAATAAAAGATACTTCCATTTTGGAGAAAACAAATCCTTAAGTAATGCCCAGTGTTGAAGAGGATATTATGAAATGGAAATGCTCAGATAGTATTGTTTTTACTATGAATTAGTTTATTAAATCCTTTGGGAAGCAATTCTGTCATATATTGTAACTGCCACAAAACTTATGTTGGCTTTACTTATAATCACCAAATACTGGAAACAACCCCGATTCCTTCAGCTGGCAAATGGATAGACAGTCTATGGTATATCCATAAGAAGGAAACAATAAAAGGAACAAACTATTGATACAACCACATAATGAATCTTGCTAGGCATGAGAGCTCAAACCTGCAATCCCAACTACTCAGGGGGCTGAGGCAAGAGGATGACTTGAGGCCAGGTGTTTGAGACCAGTCTTAACAACACAATAAGACCACATTTCTAAAAAAAGTATTTTTTTTAATTAGCTGGGCATGGTGGTACATGCCTGTAGTCTTAGCTATTCAGGAGGCTGAGGCTAGAGGATCACTTGAGCCCAGGAGTTCAAGGTTACAGTGAGCTATGATTGTGCCACTGCACTCTAGAAAAAAAATACATATATTCATACATAAAAATAATAACCCAACAGTGCAGATAAATATTGGAACATAAAAAGACTCAATCCTAAAGCAGACAGAAAAAGGTATGGGTGGGCAGGGAGGAAGGAATAAAGAACAGGAGCAAAGGCCGGGCACGGTGGCTGGCACCTGTAATCCCAGCACTTTGGGAGGCCGAGGCAGGTGGATCACTTGAGGTCAGGAGTTCGAGACCAGCCTGGCCAACATAGTGGAGCCCTGTCTCTATGAAAAATACAAAAAACTAGCACGTGCCTGTAGTCCAGCTACTCAGGAGGCTGAGGTAGGAGTAGGAGAATTGCTTGAACCCAGGAGGTAGAGGTTGCAGTGAGCCAAGATCATAACACTGCACTAGAGCCTGGGAGAAAAAGCAAGACTTTGTCTCAAAAAAAGAGAACGAACTAGAACAAATAAAAAAAAAAAAAATAGCAACAGTGGACTTTAACCCCACCACACTGAAATTACACTAAATCTAAGAGTGTTAAAGATATCATTAAAAAGACAGATTTTCAACATATATAAAACAGCAAGACAACTATATGCTGGCTACTTTAAAAGCTAGATTAAAAGCAAATGGGGGGCCAGGCACAGTGGCTCACACCTGTAATCCCAGCACTTTGGGAGGCCGAGGCAGGTGGATCACTTGAGGCAAGGAGTCCATGACCAGCCTAGCCAACGTGGCGAAATGCTGTCTCTACTAAAAATACAAAAATTAGCCAGGCATGGTGGCACACACCTGTAATTGCAGCTACTCAAGAGACTGAGGTACGAGAATCGCTTGAACTCAGGAGGCAGAGGTTGCAGTGAGCCAAGACTGCGCCACTGCACTCCAACCTGGGCGACAGAGTGAGACTCCATCTCCAAAAAAAAAAAAACCACATGGACAGACAAGTGGGACTTCTTGATAAATCCAAATGAGGAGATCAACATATCCTCTCTGCAAAAGGTAACTATAAAGCTGAACATAATTCATACCATTCAAACATAATTCAAACCATTTTGAGGTTTGGAAAATCAACCAATGGCATATAAAAATTTGAGAAGCATTTATGCCTTAAAAATGAATGAACTTGGCCAAGTGTGGCGGCTCACGCCTGTAATCCCAACACTTGGGGAGGCCGAGGCAGGCGGATCACGAGGTCAGGAGTTTGAGAACAGCCTAGCCAATATGGTGAAACCCCGTCTCTACTAAAAATACAAAAATTAGCCAGGCATGGTGGTGTGCTCCTGCAGTCCCAGCTACTTCAGAGGCTGAGGCAGAAGAATCGCTTAAACCTGGGAGTTGGAGGTTGCAGTGAGCCGAGATTGTGCCACCGCACTCTAGCCTGAGTGACAGAGTGTGACTCCATCTCAAAAAAAAAAAAAGAACTTGGGTAAAAATAGTGAGAATCTGTGTCATTGAGATGTGAGGCTTCTCCCAACCTTCCTGCCTCAGTTGAAGCAGATGTTGTACCAGAATGGGACAGGTAATGAGAACAGGAAGCTTTCCTGCTTTAGCAGGAAGCGGCTGCTGACTTATTTGGAACAATAGGTAGCATCCACATCCAGCGGTGTCATCAGTAGAATTGACTATCTCAGAGATGGGCAAGTGGAAAGTGCCAAAAGCTATACTAACACGAGGTTGTGGTCGTGGTCAGGGCAAGCTTACTCCTAGCTAAGGCTGTATGCATTTGCAGCAGAGACCTGAAAGGGTGCAACCAGTCACGTGCTCCTAGCTGACACTGAGGGTGTGTGTATTCCAAGGGGAGAGGTGAAAGGGTTCAGCAGTGAACAAAAGATAAGATTTGAAAATGGCCTGAACTTTGAATGTGCTACCCTGCCACGCAGAGCCATTTACAGATGACAGAAGCCTTCCTGATCAAGGTGGTTAAGTACAACCTCTGATCAATAACTGACTATTAACCCATGCAGACATATGGACAACCCCTAGGAAAGCAGATGTAAAGATATAAGCAAGTTTAAAAAGCAAGCAGACACATGGAGAGGACCTGAGACTACACAAATAAAGAGAGCTGCCCAGACGGCCCCCAGCTGCTCCAGCCCCTGTTATTTCAGCTCCAGCCACCAACTGACTGCAGCTGCATAACAAAGTCAGAACTGCCCAGCTGAGCCCTTCCAGAATCCCTGACCCACAGAAATCTGAGAGATAATAAAGTGATTGTCGTCTTTTAAAAAGGAGGGTGTGGGGTGGAAAAGTAGAGACATTAATGGCCACAAACCACAGGAAAAAGATTTCACAGGTTTGACAAACATGTTACTAAACAAAGAGCAATGAACAGACAAAAAAGTAACAACAGCAATTTGGGAGGATCAGAATCCACAGCTGCTATATTATCTAAAATGCCCAGTTCTTAACAAAAAAATTATAAGACCTACAAAGAAACAGGAGTGTGACTCGTACTCAAGAAAAAAATGCAGTCAATAGAAATTGCCTCTGAGTATTGAAGATACTAGATACAGCAGACAAAAATTTCAAAGCAATTATAAGCTCACAGAACTACAGAAAATCATAATAAAAGAAAGAAAAATATAACAATGAATCTACAAATTCAGATTCCCTATAAGGAGACAGAAATTATATATATATTTTAAAAAGCAGGCCAGGCACGGTGGCTCACACCTGTAATCCCAGCACTTTGGGAGGCCAAGGTCAGCACATTGCTTGAGCCCAGGAGTTTGAGACCAGCCGGGCAACATAATGAGACTTTGTCTCTACAAAACAAACAAACAAATACATACATACATAAAATTTTTAAAAATAAGAAACCAAACAGAAATCTTGGAGTTGAAAAGTATAATAATGGAAATGAAAAATTCACTGGGGCAACTCAATAGCAATTTGGGGATGGCAGGAAAAAGAATCAGTGAACCTGAAAATAGAAATTATCTAAAGAACAAAGAGAAAAGATTAAAGAAAATAAAACAGTGCCTTAGAGATCTGTGCAACAACAACAAACATGCCAACACATGCATAATGGAAATCCCAGAAGGAAAGAAGAGACAAACTTACCAAATCTGATGAAAAATATTAATCCACACATTCAAGAAGCTCAAAGGCCCCAAGTAGGATAAATACAAAGAGATCAAAACTTGGACTTATCACAAACTATGGAAAGCTAAAGGAAAAAAAAATCCTGAAATGAGCAAGAGAAAAGCAACTCGTCTGAAACAATGGAGGCTAGAAGAGAGTAGAATGGCATATATAAAGTGCTGGGGGAAAAAAATTGTCAACCAAAAATTCCATTTCAATCAAATTTATCCCTCAAAAAAAAAAAAGACAAAGACATTCCTAGATAAACAAAAACTGAGAAAATCTGCTAGTGAATTTGTAACATTAAATACTAACAAAAGTCTTTTCAGGGTAAAAGGAAGTGACAACGGTTGGGGACCTGAAGTCCAAGAAGAACTGAGGAACACCAAAAATTGTAAATATGTGAGTTAACACAGAAGATTCTACAAATATATTTTTATTCACACCTTCTCTTAACTTCTTTAAAAGACAAACATCCTTAAGGAAGTAACTATGACACTGTGTTTTGGGTTTACAAATATATACAGATATTATACATGAGAATAATAGCACAAAAAAGGGTGAAAGAATGAGGCTATAATGGAGCAAAGCATATATATTTTACCAGAATTAAGTTAGTATTAATCTGAAGTAGACTCTGATAATTAACATGTACACTGTAATCCCTACAGCAACTGCTAAGAAAACAACTCCAAAAAATACATAGTTAAAAAAAATCAATGGAACAGTTAAAACAGTAAACTAAAAATATGTATTTAATATAAAAGGAGGCAGTCAAGGAGGAACAGAGAAACAAAATAGACAAGAATGTATAGAAAAGAAATAATAAAAAGGCAAATCTAACCAGATCAATAACTATATTAAAAGTGAATGGTTTTTATACCTCAATCAAAAGGTAGAGAATGTCAGACTGGATGAAACATCAAGATCCAACTATATGCTATTTACAAAAGACACACCTTAGATTCAAAGACACAAAAGAGTTGAAAGCAAACAGATAAAAAAAGATACATACCCACTGGGCACGGTGGCTCACACCTGTAATCCCAACACTCTGGGAGGCCGAGGCAGGTGGATCATCTGAGGTCAGGAGTTCGAAACCAGCCCGGCCAACATGGCAAAACCCTATCTCTACTAAAAATACAAAAATTAGACAGGCATGCTGGCACGCGCCTGTAATCCCAGCTACTTGGGAGGCTGAGGCAGGAAAATCACTTGAACCCAGGAGGCAGAGGTTGCAGGAAACTGAGATCGCGCCACTGCACTTCAGCAGCCTGTCGAGCAAGACTTTGTCTCAAAAAAAAAAAAAAAAAAGATATATACCATCATAGAACCATAAGAAAGACAGAATAGTGATATCATTTGGATACTTGTCCCCTCCAAATCTCATGTTAAAATGTGGCCCCTAATGTTGGAGGTGGGGTCTAGTGGGAGATGTATGAGTCATAAGAGCAGATCCCTCAAGAATGGCTTGGTGCCTCCCTGTAGTACCGAGCAAGTCTCCCTCTATTAGTTTATGGGAGAACTGGTTGTTTAAAGGAGTGTGGCACCTCCCCCACCTCTGTCTCCCTCTCTTACCATGTGACATGCCTGCTCCTCCTTCACCTTCCTCCATGATTGAAAGTTTTCTGAGGTCCTTACCAGAAGCAGATGCTGGTGCCACACTTCTTATACAGCTTGCAGAACTGTGAGCCAAATAAACCTCTCTTCTTTATAAATTACCCAGCCTCGGGTATTCCTTTATAGCAACTCAAAGTGGACTAACACAAATGGCTCTATTAATATTAGATAAAATAGAAATAAAGACAGAGAGTAATATTAGAGAACGGTGTTTCATAATGATGAAAGTTGTTACATCATGAAGATATAATAATTCTAAATGTATCCACACCAGCAACATATCCTCAAAACAAATGAAGGAAAAACTGACAGAATCAAAAGGAAAAATACACAATTCAACAAAACAGGTTAATAATTCAGTACCTCACTCTCAATTGATAAAACTAAAGACAAAATCAGTAAGAATATACAAAACTCAAAAAACACTATCAACCAACATAACTGACATATATAAAACTCTCTACCCAATGACTGCAGACTATATAGTCTTTAAAAGCACATATGGTTTATACCTTTCACAAAAATTAAGTCAAAATGGATCGCAGACCTAAATGTAAAATGCAAAACTATGAAAGTCCTAAGCAGTAATACAAGAGAAAATCTAGGTAAGCATGGATTTGGTGATGACTTTTTAGATACAACACCAAAGTACAATCCACGAAATTAAAAATGGGACAGATCAATGGAACAGACCTAAGAGTCCAGAAATAAACCCTTACATTTATGGTCATTTTTTAAAGGTGCTGAGATAATTCAATAAGGGAAAACACAATCTTTTCAACATATGGTACAGGGTCAACTGGATACCACAAGCAAACAAACAAAGCAAAATGAACTTAGACCTTTACACAACACACACAAAGTAATCCAAAAAGGATCACAGGCCTAAATGCAATCACTAAAACTATAAAACTTCTAGGAGAAATCTTTATTAAAAATATTGATACACTGAACTTCATCAAGATTAAAAAAGTTGTACTTCAAAAAATATCAGCCAGGTCAGAAGTTCCAGACCAGCCTGGCCAACATGGTGAAAGCCTGTCTCTACTAAAAACACAAAAATGAGCCAGGCACCCGTAATCCCAGCTACCTGGGAGGCTAAGGCAGGAGAACTGCTTGAACCCAGGAGGTGGAGTTTGCAGTGAGCTGAGATCGCGCCAGTGCACTCCAGCCTGGGCGACAGAGTGAGACTCGGTCTCAAAAAAAAAAAAAAAAAATCCCCCAAAAAATGAAAAGAAAGTCACAGTCTGGGAGAAAATACTGCAAATCATATATCTGATTAAGAGATTGTATCCAGAATAAAGAACTTGTTATAATACAATATAAGTTAAAAACCCAATTTAAAAATGGATAAGAGATTTGAACAGGTATTTCAAGCACACAAAAATAATCTCAACATCATTAGAGAAATGTAAATGTAAACCATAATGAGATACCACTACACAACCACTCTGATGGCTATAATCAGAAATAAAGAGAATACTGAATTCTCATACATTGCTGGAAGGAATGTAAAATGGTAATTTTGAAAAAAGTTTGGCAGTTTCGTAAAAGTAAACACAAAGTTACCATACAACCTACCAATTCCGTTCCTAAGAATCCACCCAAAAGAAATAAAAACACATTCACATGAACACATGGTCACAAAGGTTCATAGCAGCATTATTCATAACAGGCAAAAACTGGAAGTCAGACTCAAAAGAGTATGTATTGTATGATTCCATTTAGATGAAGTGTCCAGAAAAGCTGGCCTGTGGTTGCCTAGGACTGGAGACTGGGAGCAGAATTAACTGCAAACTGGAAATAATTTTGATATGGTCCTCATTCATCTCTTTTTATCTCTGATTAGATCAAGCCATCTTCCATATATAGGCACACCTCATTCTATTCCACTTCAAATTTTTTTTAAATTGTGCTTCACAGATACTGTGTTTTTTTTTACAAATTGAAGATTTGTGGCAGGGTGCTTACTTCATGTCTGTCACATTTTGGTAATTCTTGCAATATTTCAAACTTCCATTATTATGATATCTGTCATGGTGATCTGTGATCAGTGATCTTTGATGTCACTATTGTAATTGTTTTGGGCACCACAAACCACACCCATAGAAAACAGGAAACTTAAACTGAGAAGTGTTGCATGTGCTCTGACTGCTTCACGGACCAATCATTCCCCCGGCTATCACCCTCTCCTTGGACCTACTCCCTGAAATACAATAATATTGAAATCAGGCCAATGAATTCCCCTACAATGGTCTTTATGTGTTCAAGTGAAAGGAAGAATTGCACATCTCTCACTTTAAATCAAAAGCTAGAGTGAGGAAGGTATGTTCAAAGCTAAGACAGGGTAGAAGTCAGGCCTCTTGCACCAGTTTGCCAAGCTGTGAATGCAAAGGACAAGTTCTTAAAGGGAATTAAAAGTGCTACTCCAGTGAACACACAAAGGCAAAAACAGCCCTAGTGCTGACATAAAAAGTTTTAATGGTCTGGATAGACAATCAAACTAGCTCCAACATTCCACTGAGACAAAGCCTAATCAAGGAAGCACCTCAGAGGTTCTACTTCTGGGTCTTCAAGGGAACCCACTCTTGCCTTAAGCTATTCTAGTGGATTGCTTAATGGGCTTTAGTGGATCTTAAAAGCTCTGTCGGGTAGGAGATTCTAAATTCTTTCTGTTGACATCCGACCTCTCAGTAGATAACTTAGTTCAAATACAAAATTGAAATCTTTTCTAAAACAAAATTGTATTTTTAAACTTACTATTTTTGAATAAGAAGTTTAAAAAAAGCAAAAGAAGTTAAAGAAAAGTTGCAGGCTTAGGTGTGGTGGCCCATGCCTGTAAACCCAGCACTATGGGAGGCTGAGGCAGGCGGATCACCTGAGGCCAGGAGTTCAAGACCAGCCCGGCTAACATGGTGAAACCATACTAAAGATACAAAAATTAGCCAAGCATGGTGGCACGTGCCTGTAGTCCCAGCTACTCAGGAGGCTGAGGCAAGAGAATCACTTGAACCCGGGAGGCAGAGGTTGCAGTGAGTCAAGATCGCTCCATTGCACTCCAAGCCTGGGCAACAAAGCAAGATTTTTGCCTCCAAAAAGAAAAAAAAAAAAGAGAAAAGAAAGAAGAAAGAAGAAAGAAAGAAATAGAAAAGTTGCATAAAGTATAGGATTCCAGATGGGTGCAATGGCTCATGCCTATTATCCCAAGCACTTTGTGAGGCAAAGGTGGGAGGATCCCTTGAGCCCAGAAATTCAAGACCAGCCTGGGCAACATACGGAACCCTATTTCTACAAAAAAAATTAAAAATATTAGCTGGGAGTGGTGGCACACACCTGTGGTCTCAGCTACTCAGGAGGCTGAGGCAGGAAGATTACTTGAGCCTGGGAGGTCGAGGCTGCAGTGAGTCATGATCTCACCACTACACCCTCAGCAGCTTCCCCTTAATATTAACATAGTATGTAACTGCAATACAATGATCAAAACCAGGAAATTAACACTGCTACAATATAATCAACTAAACTACACAACTATTCAAATGTGCCCTTTTTTCCCACTAACATCCTTTCTCATTCTAGGACCCAATCCAGGACCCACACTGCATGTCTCCTTAGTCTCCTTAAATCTGTGATAATTCTTCAATTGTTCCTTGTCTTTCAAGACTTTGACTCTTATAAAGAAAACCGGTTAGTTATTTTGTAGCATGTCTCTAATATTTTTTCCTCATTTAATAATATTACTATCAACAAGAATCATGTACTGAGGGTTTATTAAGTGAGAGGTACTATATACTAAGCCCTATGCCTATGTTCTCTCTTTTAAATAAAAGTGTTTGTAGTAGACTTTATGTATTTTTTTGGAGACGGAGTCTCACTCTGTCACCCAGGCTGCAGTTCAGTGGCACGATCTTGGCTCACTGCAACCTCTGCCTCCCAGGTTCAAGCGATTGTCCTGCCTCAGCCTCCTGAGTAGCTGGGATTACAGGCGCACGCCACCATGCCTAGCTACTTTTTGTATTTTTAGTAGAGACGGGGTTTCACCCTGCTGGCCAGGCTGGTCTCAAATTCCTGACCTGAGGTGATCTGCCCGCCTAGGCCTCCCAAAATGCTGGAATTACAGGTGTGAGCCACCGTGCCCGGCCTATAATAGACTTTAAAACAGAAGTATTTTAAAATCAAAGAGCAATCATCTTTAATTCATTCTTCTTCAAGTGCTATTGTTTTGTAAATTACAAACTATCATGCAACATATTATTTTCCCACACCAATATCCTTCAATGTCCCCTCCAATATCCCTAAAAAATATTAAACCTAAATGTATGCTTTAAATTCAGGGCCCTTGAGTTTTTATCTTTCTAAATCTTTACTGCCTGCATTTTCCTATCCTTAAACCTTGGCTCATTGCTTTCTTCACTTGTAACTGTCCTACTTTTGCATCTCTAAATATGCTTTCTCTTAAGGACACCTTTGATCACTACCGCTAGCTCTCAAGAGCTACTGATCCCCTGAAATACTACAGAAGCTAGTGAATGCACTACTCATTTGGTTTACATACAATACCCTGTGCTGTGGGCATGTATTATCTCCCAAATGAGACTTCTTGAGAGCAGAGGACCTGTGAGCTATCTTTTCCCCCATGACATCTAGTATACTACCCTAATGCTTAATTGCATTTACTGAGTACCTACCAAGTGCCAAGCTTTGTGCTGGGCCCTAAGAAATCCACGATGTCTAAGACAAAATCCCAACTCTTGGCTGGGCATGGTAGCTCATGCCTGTAATCTCAGGACTTTGGGAGGCTGAGGCAGACAGACCACCTGAGGTCAGGAGTTTGAGACCAGCCTGGCCAACATGGTGAAAACCATCTCTACTAAAAATACACAAAATTAGCCAGGCATGGTGGTGCGCGCCTGTAGTCCCAACTACTCGGGAGGCCGAGGCAGAAGAATTGCTTGAGCCTGGCGGGGCGGGGCTTGCAGTGAGCCAAGATCACACCACTGCACTCCAGCCTGGGCAACAGAGCAAGACTCCGTCTCGAGAAAAAAAAAAAAAAAAGGACAAAATCTCAACTCTTGAGAAACCTGAGGTGTGACGATAAATGCTTCTCTGAGTACAGAGATAGACTGAAAATCGTTTTCTCTCCAAAAAATTAAGGTCACTAAAAAGTTTCCTCCGGTAGTAAGATTTGTCCTTTTCTGTCCTGATAAACACTAAAATAAGTAATTCTAGATTACTAACGTGTCACAGAACATGTATATTTCCCAATCAGCTTGTGCTTGAAGCAAGCTGTGACTTAGTTTTATGAGAAATGCAGGTGCTACAGAGGAAGCCTTATTAACCAAAGGCCTTTGAAAAGACTGCACCAGGTTGCAGCAGTTTCAACAAGCTTACCAATTGTTTTAGTCTAGTGACATCTAGTGGTAAAAGTGTTGTTAAACACAGGACTGCTATAAATTTAATTACTACACTAAAGGAAGGCCATCTTATTTTAAAAATGGCAAAATATGAGAAAGACCTATGGCATTTATTATTAATTTGCCTTTGGCCTATGTAACTGTTAACTCTCTGTTGGATTTATTTTTTCCTTCTCCTATGGCTGAGAAAAATTAATTTTGACATAACATAAGATTTACTGAAATAAAAAGATACTGATTCTTTAAGTTAGAGAAAAGCCCTCAATTAAAAAAGATTGAAGAGCAGGCCAGGTGCAGTGGCTCACGCCTGTAATCCCAGCACTTTGGGAGGCCGAGGCAGGTGGATCACGAGGTCAGGAGATAGAGACTATCCTGGCTAACACTGTGAAACCCCCTCTCTACTAAAAATACAAAAAATTAGCCGGGCGTGGTGGCGGGCGCCTGTAGTCCCAGCTACTCAGGAGGCTGAGGCAGGAGAATGGCGTGAACCCAGGAGGCAGAGCTTGCAGTGAGCTGAGATGGTGCCACTGCACTCCAGCCTGGGCAACAGAGTGAGACTCTGTCTCAAAAAAAAAAAAAAAAGACTGAAGAGCAAAGCAATCCCAATTGTCACCTGTTCCGAAAATCCTGCAAATCAAAACAGACTTTTTGTTCATAAATATTTACTTACTGACACTTTCATATACTGCTAAAAATGTTTAGAGACAGGATTACAGACCAGGCATGGTGGCTCACACCTGTAATCCCAACACTTTGGGAGGCCGAGGTGGGCGGATCATGAGGTCAGGAGTTTGAGACCAGCCTGGCCAACATGGCGAAACCCCATCTCCACTAAAAATACAGAAATTAGCTGTGCGCGGTGGTGGACGCCTAGAATCCCAGCTACTCGGGAGGCTGAGGCAGGAGAATCACTTGAACCCAGGAGGCAGAGGTTGCAGCGAGCTGAGATTGCACCATTGCACTCCAGCCTGGGCTGGACTCCATCTCAAAAACAACAACAACAACAAACAAAAAAAACCATGATTACTAACTTTTGCTGATGATTTTCACCAGTTGGTAGAAGCAAATGATTATCTATCCAAGTGCATTCTTTAAAATGTCACTTTGCATTTCACTGGCTTTCTGTGAAACTGAATTTTGATGGAAAAAATATTTAAACGTTATTAAATACCTATGACTGTGTTGTTGCTGTTGTTTCAGAGACAGGGTCTCACTCTGTTGCCCATGCTGGAGTGCCGTGGTATGACTGGAGCTCACTGAGCCTCAAACTCCTGGAATCAAGAGAGCTTCCCATCTCAGCCTCCTAAGTAGCTGGGATTACCAGCACATGCCACCATGACCAGCTAATTTTCAAATTTTTTGTAGAAATGAGGTCTATGTTGCCCAGGCTGGTCTCAAACTCCTGGCCTCAAGCAATCCTCCTGCCTCAGCTTTCCAAAGTGCTATGATCACAGGCATCAGCCACTGCACCAGGCCAACTATGACAGTTTTAAGATTCCTCTACAGGCCGGACACAGTGGCTCACGCCTATAATCCCAGCACTTTGGGAGGCCGAGGCGGATGGATCACCTGAGGTCAGGAATTTGAGACCAGCTTGGCCAACATGGTAAAACATTGTCTCTATAAAAAAATACAAAAATTAGCCGGGCATGGTGGCAGGCACCTGTAATATCAGCTACTCAGGAGGCTGAGTCAGGAGAACTGCTTCAACCCAGGAGGCAGAGGTTGCAGTGAGCCAAGATGGCGCCATTGCACTCCAGCCTGGGCAACAGAGACTCCAGCTCAAAAGAAAAAGAAAAAGAAAAGAAAAGAAAAGCAGTATATTCCAAATACAAACTTGGTTAATAATTTTTTTTTTTTTTTTTGAGACAGTCTCACTCTGTCACCCAGGCTGGATGCAGTGACGCAATCTCAGCTCACTGCAACCTCTGCCTCCTGCATTCAAACGATTGTCCCACCTCAGCCTCCCCAGTAGCTGATTACAGCTGTGCGCCACCACGCCCGGTTAATTTTTTTGTCTTTAGTGGAGATGGGGTTTCACCATGTTGGCCAGGGTGGTCTCAAACTCCTGACCTCAAGTGATCCACCCACCTCAGCCTCCCAAAGTGCTGGCATTACAGGCATGAACTACAGTGCCCGACCTGGTTAAGAATTCTTTTTGGCATCTTTTATTTTATTTTATTTTATTTGAGACAGGGTCTCATTCTGCCACCCAGGCTGGAGTACAGCGCTATGAACACCGCTCGACCTCCCAGGGTCAAGTGATCCTCCCACTTCAGCCTCCCAAGTAGCTGGGAGTACAGGTGCACACCACCACACCTAGATAAACTTTTTTTTTTTTTTCTGTAGTACAGACAGGGTCTCACCATGTTGTTCAGGCTGGTCTCAAACTTCTGGGCTCAAGTAATCCTCCCACCTCGGCCTCCCAAAGTGCTGGAATTAGAAGCATGAGCCACTGTGACTGGCCAGCATCTTTTAAATATGTTTTAAAATATATATAGAAGACTTTTAAACTAAGAATACCCTTGGCCGGGTGCGGTGGCTCACACCTGCAATCCCAGCACTTTGGGAGGCTGAGGCGGGCGGATCACGAGGTCAGGAGATCGAGACCATCCTGGCTAACACAGTGAAACCCCATCTCTACTAAAAATACAAAAAAAAAATTAGCCAGACGTGGTGGCGGGCACCTGTAGTCCCAGCTACTCGGGAGGCTAAGGCAGGAGAATGGCGTGAACCCGGGAGGCAGAGCTTGCAGTGAGCCGAGATTGCACCACTGCACTCAAGCCTGGGCGACAGAGCGAGACTCCGTCTCAAAAAAAAAAAAAAAAAAAAAAAAGAATACTCTCTGCAACCCTGCCTTCTCTATGTAGCTACCTGCTATTCATCCCTCAAAGCTCAGCTGAATTCTACTTCCTCTAGGAAGCCTGCCCCAAATTCCCAGGCCAAATTAATAATTATCTCCTCCATGTTTATCTACTCTTTGGGACATGTGGCCAGTGTTACTAATATGATATTATTGTGAATACTTACCTGTCTAAATCGCTCACAAAACAATAAGGTCCTAAAGGGCAGCAACTATGTCTTCTATTTTTTGTACCTGCACTGTCTGACCACATCAGGCACTTAGCAGGTGCTTATCAATATGTTGCAGAAATGAATGACCAATTAAAGGCTGTTGGCAGGAGGGTCTTATAAGTAAAATGGAAAAACTGGTATCGGACAGAAAAATATGGATTAAAAAGCATTTTTTTAAGGATTTCTGCCTCTGCACATGAAGGATTAACTGCTATTATGCAATAATAAACAACTAGAAAACCAGACAAAAATATATGAAACACTCATTTCCGATACTGTATAACAGGCAGCACAGGACTTTGATCCCTGAAAGAAGGAAAACAAGCCCTACCATTTTCCCAGCTTATTACCTAAAGGCAGTTTCCAAGAGGCAGACCAGGGAGGTGTCTTGGTCGGTACAGGCTGCTACAACAAGAATACCATAAACTGGATGGCTTAAACAACATACATTTATTTCTCACAGTTCTGGAGGCTGGGAAGTACAAGATTTAGGTGCTAGCACATTGGATATTTGGTGAGGGCACTCTTCCTGGTTTGCAAATGGCTGTCTTCTCCTTGTGTCCTCACATGGCTAAGAACAGAAGGAAGAAGGAACCTCTCTCCCCTCTCTTCTTGTAAGGGCGTGACTCCCATGACATGAGGGCTCCACCCTCATGATCAAATCACTTCCCAAGGCCCCATCTCCTAATACAGCATATTGGGGATTACAATTTCAACCTGTGAATTGGGGGGAGACATAATCATTCAGTCCATAGCAGAATGGACATCAAAAAAAGCCCAGCAGCCTCACTGAGTTAGAGAGAGAGCAAAGTTTGCAGAAACTAAAGTGGGTAGGATTTACACAACAGAATATGGGAGAGAAGGGGGCAGCCTTGAGATCTGCACAGGGTACCCTTAAATCTCTGAAAACATCATCTGTAAATTTGTAAGGTGAAATTCCAGAGACTGGAGAAAACTAGAGAGAAGCAGTAGGCCAAATATTTTCTGAAGAGCTCATGTTCCCATTAGCCACAGTGGAGAGACTTCATAATACATAAGGCAACAGGTAGAGTACTCAGAAGGATTTCACCTTAGTAGTGAGATGAAATTAAACTAGGCAAAGACTGCACTAGATGAGCCCCAACGGTATTTAAAAGAAAACATGGGAAGGGTCCAAATGACTACAAGTAACTTAACCATATGTATATGCCAGAATAAAGTCTGGTATCCTTAAAGGAATAAAATGAAATCCAGGCCAGGTGTGGTGGTGCATGCCTGTAATCCCAACAATTTGGTGGACTGAAGCAGGCGGTTTGCTTGAGCCCAGGGGGGTTGAGGCTGCAGTGAGCCACGGTGGTGCCACTGCACTCTAGCCTGGGCAACAGAGCGAGATCCTGTCTCTAAAAGGAAAAAAAAAATTAGTAAGTAAATTTTAAAAGAAATGCACTCTACTCCCAGCACTTTAGGAAGCCGAGGCAGGTGGATCACCTGAGGTCAGGAGTTCAAGACCAGCCTGGCCAACATGGCGAAACCCCGTCTCTACTAAAAGTACAGAAATTAGCTGGGCATGGTGGCGGGTGGCTGAAATCCCAGCTACTCAGGAGACTAAGGCATGAGAATTGCTTGAACCCTAGAGGCAGAGGTTGCAGTGAGCTGACATCGTGCCATTGCACTCCAGCCTGGGCGACAAGGGCGAAACTCCCTCTTAAAAATAAAATTAAAATAAAATTGAAGTACTCATACGTTCAAAAAGTAGAGGAAAACATAAGCATGATAAGCAGAGAGATCAAAGACATTTAAGGGGGAGAATCTAAAGCTGAAAAATACCAGCATCTGAAATTAAGAACACCTTGGATGAGATTAAAAGCAGTACAGACATGACAGAAAAAAAGACCACTGAACATGGAAACACAGCAGTAAAAATTATCCAAAGTAAGGACAGAAAGGAAAAGACTAAAAATAAAAATTGAAAGGTGTGTCAGTGATGTGTAAGAAAATATCAAGCGGTCTAACATCGAATTGGCGTCCCACAAAAAGCAGGTGGGGGGAGCAGAAAAATATTGGAAGACATAATGACCAAAGTTTTCGATTAAAAGTACAAACCTGCAGATCAAAGAACATAGAGAACATATTAGTGTGAACTTGTCATTTTCAATATATAGAAAATATAGGCCAGGCATGGTGGCTCATGCCTGCAATCCCAGCACTTTGGGAGGCTGAGGCAGGTGGATCGCTTGTGCCCAGGAGTTTGAGACTAGCCTAGGCAACATTGGGAAACCCCATCTCTACAAAAAATACAAAAAGATTAGTTGGGCGTGGTGGCACGCAGAGTAGTCCCAGCTGCTCAGGAGGCTGAGGTAGGAGGATTCCTTGAGCCCAGGAGGTCAAAGCTGCAGTGAGCCGTGATTGTGCCACTGCACTCCAGCCAGGGTGAAAGGGCAAGATCGTGTTGCCAAATACACGAACATATAAAAAATAAACATAGGTGTAAATGTGTGGGTGTGTATCTATGGATTCCCTAGCTAAATCTTCTGAGAAGGTCCAGAAATGGATTCTAAATAAGACCCTTCACTAAAAGAACCAGGGTTCCTTTAAGAAATACCCGATTCTAGAGCTGGAGACATGGAAGAACAAAATAAGTCTGGAACATTATATTGTGCCAGAAAATAAAGACATTTTCAAAGTATAAGGGGAATATGTTAAAAGGACACAGTAGGCCAGGCGCAGTGGCTCACGCCTGTAATCCCAGCACTTTGGGAGGCCGAGGTGGGCGGATCACAAGGTCAGGAGATCGAGACCACCCTGGCTAACACAGTGAAATCCCGTCTCTGCTAAAAATACAGAAAAATTAGCTGGGCATGATGGTGGGCGCCTGTAGTCCCAGCTACTCGGCAGGCTGAGGCAGGAGAATGGCGTGAACCCAGGAGGCAGAGCTTGCAGTGAGCCAAGATCGCACCACTGCACTCCAGCCTGGGCCACAGAGCGAGACTCCATCTCCAAAAAAAAAAGGACACAGGAAGTTAGATTGAAGATGCTGTCACTGGCCAATTTTGGAACATTTTGAGATTGAAAAAGAAATAATGATAATAACAGATTACATACAACTCATTGGATAAAATAGGAGCTGACTGTTCCCGCACTGATTTGAATAAATAAATGGGGAGATGAGAAACCTATTCCTTCCAATAGAATATAAACTAATAAATGTAGAAGGAATGAAAAATTTAGAAAACAGTTATTTGGTAGCCATCACAGCATAATTAATTCAAGCAAGAATCATCAATAGATATTATAACTGATGAAATAAAGGTAGATTAAAAAATGAGATTTCATGGAGTCTCACAATATGTCTTCAAAAACTTAGTAATTACACCAAAAAATGACTTTATAACAAAAGTGGGCAAAAAAAAGTTCAGATAGATAAAAACAGGACTTTTTTCCAGCTGACCTGTACTGCAAGATATGCTAAAAGAAGTCCTTTAAACTAAAAATAAATGACATCAAATGGAAACTGGAGAAAGGGATTAGGAATTCTGGAAATGTTAACTATGTGGGTAAACATCACATTCTATATATAGTTATTTTCTTCTCTTAATCACTTCAAAAAATATATTATTAAAACAAAAACGTGTGTGTGTGTGTGTGTGTGTGTGTGTGTGTGTGTATAAAACCACTATGGGATTTCTAACGTATGTAGATGCAATATATATGAAAGCAATAGCACAAAGAAGTGAAGGTGGGCCGGGCGTGGTGGCTCATGCCTGTAATTCCAGCATTTTGGGAGGCTGAGGCAGGCAGATCAACTGAGGTCAGGAGTTCGAGACCAGCCTGACCAACATGGTGACACCCCATCTCTACTAAAAATAAAAAAATTAGACAGGCATGGTGACGCACACCTGTAGTCCCAGCTACTCGGGAGGCTGAGGCACAAGAATCACTTGAACTGGAGAGGCAGAGGTTGTAGTGAGCTGAGATTGTGCCAGTGCACTCCCTCCTGGGCCACAGAGCAAGACTTTTTCTCAAAAAAAAAAAAAAAAAAAAAAAAAAAAAAGAAGTGGGGGGTGAATGAAACCACACCATTGAAAGTTTCCTACATTTTACATGAAGTGATACAATAGTAATTCTAAATGAACTATAATAAATATCAAGACTATATTGTAACCTCTAGAGCAACCACTAAAAAAATAATGCAAAGGAGTATAACTTAAAGAGCCAGAAAAGAAACTAAAATGGAATACATACTAAAAAAAAATTTTTGTAATGCAAGGAAGCAGGAAAGGAGTATGAAAGTAACCAAAAGCACACAGCACAAATAGAAAATGAAGAGCAAAATGGGAGACCTAAATCCAACCATATCAATTTACACACCAATTAAAAAGCAGACGATAGCCTAAATACAAAAGCAAGACCCTACTATATGCTGTCTACAAGAGATGCCCTTTAAATATAAAGACATAAATCGATAAAAATAAGTAAAGAATAGTAAAAGGTATACTATGCAAATAGTAAGTGTAAGAAAGCTGGAGTGGCTATATTGATAGAAAACAAATTAGACTACAAGACAGGGGTAATAACACATAGGTAGCACATTTTCATAAAGACGGAAGGATCAATATAATAATATTTAATGCATATATGCCTAATAATAGACTTTCAAAACACACAAAGTAGAAACCAATGGAATAACCAGAATAGACAAATTAACAAAAATAGCTGGATATTTGAATACCTCTCTTTCATTAAGTGATCAAATTAATGAAATAAATCAATATGCACACACAAGATTTGAACATCACCATTTCTTGACCTAAGTGATATTTATAGAACACTATACCCATTAACTACAGAACACATTCTTTTCAAGTGTACACTACTTGCCTAAGAAGATCCAGTGTTTGTTGAATAAATAAAATGAATAAATACATAATACACAAGTGGAAGATGGAATACGCTGAATTTAAAGCGACTGTATAGACAAACAGAGCAAGATGATGGACAAACAGAACAAGGAGTTGAAGCTGGCCAGGTGCAGTGGGTCACACCTGTAATCTCAGTGCTCTGGGAGGCCAGGATGGGAGGTCTGCTTGAGCCCAGGGCTTGAGACCAGCTTGGACAACAGAGTGACACCCCATCTCTAAATTAAAAAAAAAAAAAAAATTAGCCAGGTGTGGTACATCTGTGGTCCCAGCTCCTTGGGAGGCTGAGGTTGGAAGATCATTTGTGCCCGGGAGGTCAAGGCTGCAGTGAGCTATGATTGTGCCACTGCACTCCAGCCTGGATGACAGATCAAGACCCCATCTCAAAAAAAAGAAGAAGGAAAAGAAAAAAAAGTTGAAGTTGATGACAGAGACTTAAAATCATCTTAATGGCTACATTTCAGAATACTTAAAGCGCCTTAGAATCTTGTTTTTCCAAAAGAGCACTAGGCAAAATGCTGTGCAGAGAGGAATAGAGACTAACCAGTAGATTAAAAAAAAAAAAACAAAACAGAATACCACTGGGTGGGGAGGTATCATAAACTAAAGGAAGGGAGTTTTAACAAGTGGGATAGAAACCTATGTTAAATACGGAAAAGAAGAGGAGGATGTGGACTGAGAAAAAAACTTCAAGCATGAAAAGAAAACACTAGTAATCCTCCAAAGCAGCAAATATGGATGAAGTTATGTATATGAGAGCCTGTCCAGGGGAACTTCCCAAATGGCAGAGGTATCAAGGAAGCAGGGACAGCATGTAGCACCCATGGAGTCAGTAAGTTTGGCAGCAGAAATGAGAACAGAGAAAGCGTGGTAGCCAAGAGGGCAACTGAATTGAAAGAAAGTGTTCGTCTTCTGTTTTTAAGATGGGAAGAGCTGTATATCTGAACAAGAGGAAAGAGGTCCACTAAGCTAGTTGCGAGACAAAAAGAGAAAAGGACAGGAGCAAAGTCCCAGCAAATGGAAAGAGTGAAACAGAATGGCATTAAGTTTCAGAGAAAGGCATGAATACCTCATCTGAGACTTAATGGAAAGAAACAAGAATGGATGCAGGCACACAGAGATTTATGGGAGTAAGGGAAAAGATGAGGGTGTTCTGGTGAGACAGCTTCACTTTCTCAATCGGTTGAAAGCAACCATTCACCTGGTACTTCCCACTCTTCTGAGTAAGGCTAACCCAATGCTGGTAAACAGCTATGTTTATTTTTGTTTTTGTTTTTACACACAACTCACACTTCTCTGAATAGCCATGTTTAAAAGCTTAACTGAAGAGCTATTACAAATACAAACCCATAAAGTAATCAGGAATAAGTCATCAATCTTTCCAATATGGTATTTGGGAGAAAATATACTTAGGATTACCCCTGGGTTTAGAGATTACCTTTAAGCCATTCAGAGAAGACTGTGGCTCTGATTAAGATCCATTCTCTTGTCCCCTCCTTTGGCTGCCATTTTCCAATGCAATGATAAGGTCTGACAGCTGGTAGAGGCAGACATCTGATGAATGCAAAGACTTTTATTTGTCCAGATGACAGAAGAATGTGAAGAAACTGGTCATTTGAAATCTAGCTCCATCATGCTCTCCTTATCGCCCTTTTTCCATTGCTTCATTCTTCCCTAGCTACACTTTCAGGTTCCAGTTCTCAATGTTCCATGTGATTTGAAAGCTTTCACTGCTGTTCCATGAGATTTCGCTCCACTATGAAAAGCCCCAGGCTCCTTTTAATTATCAAAATCTACTTCACATGCATCATGTTCTTAACAACCAAACACCAAACTCCCAACAAAGCTGCTTAGTATCACTTCAGTATCTACACTGTATATGTTTGATCATCCTTGTTATTAACAAAAACAGCCCCTTCCATAGGCAGCAATACAATCTCTTACGTTGTATCCAAGGTCAGTAACAAAAATGACAGATCGGTTGGAAAGAATGTCACATGCATGCATGTGTGTAAATATGCACATATTCATCTACTAAGAGTGAATAATTATTTTTGTAACTTTATATATAAAACACCAACCATATTACTTTTCTCTTGCAAATATTTCATTTCTTTAGAATGACATACAATAGAGTGGGATTCATTAAAAAATATGAGTGGTTGAATTTCAAGTAAGAAATCTATACAGGGTTTGTTAACTTCTTGGAATCTTGCTAACTTACATCAAATCTACTATTTTGCCTTTGTGTTCTGTCACAGCCATTTGTAGCTACTTTCTAATTTTCTAATCTTTCATTTCCTATAAAATGCTTTACATGTCAAAATAAATTACTAATTCAGACATTGCTATGAAAAACAGAAATCCCTTTGATAAAAAAAGGAACAGATATTTGGATTATGGAGCATAAATTATACTCTGGTATATTTATGCAAAAGGGTTAAGGCCAAAGAAAGAATCTGCTTGCTTATTAAAAATGCAAACATTACCTCAGTCATACAAATAGCCCCAAACTCGCCCAGCCACTGCCTCTGCAGATCACCCACCAGCATTAGCATTACATCATATGACATTATGAAACAATAGTGAACTCTGTGTAATACTTCAATATATTGTTTTGAAAGAATAAACTGTCATTAAGTTGAATAAAAGCTTTCTGAAATCAAACCTGGGGGGTACAGGCTTCACTGTGTGGCCTTTTTACTATTTTGAGGAATGGCCTCATCCTGAAAGCAGGAAAGGGGGAAAAAAGAGTCAGAGTATAAAGGCGACAGTGATGCCTGGCCCCTGCAGCAGCCCAGCAGGCAGAGGGTAGGGCTTTTAATTATCAGGCAGAACAACGTCAAAGCAGGAGGCTCTGCAACAAATGCTGCACCTCAAAACCCAAACAACCTCATACCCACCACGCTAGTTCCTGTATATCCTAGTGATTTCTATAATGGGCTTTGCTAGAATTGGAAACTAAGTCTTATTCTATGTCCTGATGCAATCTTAAAATGTGCTATCACTTACAGCCATGTGACTTTAGGCAATTAATTTAAGCTCTCTAGGCCTCAATATTTTAATCTATAAAAACAGAAAGAACAATAGCTATTATGTAGAAGCATGGGGGATAAGATACTATTATCATAATTAAACTTATCATTTCCACCCCCTTTGCCTATCTTTCCTAATCACGGCCCAAGATGTTTCGTCTTCACAAGTGAAACATGAGCATCACCTTCAATGCTCACTGGCTTTTTGTTTGCTATAGTCTGGCCACAGCCACATGTTGTCATTTCTAGATTCACGCCACTCTCATCAAGTGGGGGTTGGGGTGGGGGGGATGAATTATACAAACTATTTTCTATAGTATTTTTTGAAACTCGGGCCGGGCATGGTGGCTCATGCCTGTAGTCTCAGCACTTTGGGAGGCTAAGGTGGGAGGAGCACTGGAGTCCAGGAGCTCAAGACCAACATGGGCAACATAGTGAAACCCTGTCTCTACAAAAAAAAAAAAAAATGTATTTTAATTAGCCGGGTGTGGTGGTGCACACTGTAGTCCCAGCTACTCTGGAAGCTGAGATGGGTGGATCGCTTGAGCCCAGGAGGTGGAGGCTGGAGTGAGCCATGATCTCATCTCTACCTTCCTTAACCAAATCCCCGATAACCTCTTCCTATAATCTGCTCCTTACTAGCCTTCCTCCTTCCTCACCTATTCTCAATGTTCTTAATAACCAAGGCTCAAAAAGGTGGAAAAACAAAGCCAGACAACATAATAGTTGGTGGCAAAGTCCCAGTTAAAACTCATTTATCAATGCAACCAGGTCCAGTTGCATTGCATTAACTGCATCACATTAATTATTCACTTTCAGGGCACTCAGTGATGATTTATTTATTTTGAGACAGAGTCTTGCTCTGTTGCCCAGATTGGAGTGCAGTGATGCAATCTTGGCTCACTGCAACCTCCACCTCTAGGGCTCAAGTGATACTCCCACCTCAGCCTCCTGAGTAGCTGGAACTACAGGTGCCCACCACCATGCCCGGCTAAGTTTTGTATCTTTTGTAGAGACAGGGTTTTGCCATGTTGGCCAGGCTAGTCTCAAACTCCTGTGCTCAGGTGATCCAACCGCCTTGGCCTTCCAAAGTGCTAGGATTACAGGCGTGAGCCACCATGGCCAGCCCTCAGTGATGACTTCAAATCTGAGGTTAGCTTCCCTTAACACCAAGTCTTCTAGATATTTCCCCTACTAGTGATTAATCATAAAACGAATTACAGCTGACCCTTGAACAACAACATGGGTCTGAACCACGTGGGTCCACTTATACGTAGATTTTCTTCTGCCTCTGCCACCCCTAAGACAGCAAAACTAACCCCTCCTTTTCCTCCTTCTCGGCCTACTCAACGTGAAGACAATGATGAAGATCTTTCTGATGATCTACTTCCACTTAATGAATAGTTAATATACTTTCTCTTCCTTATATTTTTCTTTGAGACCAAGTCTCACTCTGTCACCCAGGCTGGAGTGCAGTGGCATGATCTTGGCTCACTGCAACCTCTGCCTCCCGGGTTCAAGCGATTCTTGTGCCTCAGCCTCCCAAGTAGCTGGGACTACAGCTGCACGCCACCACACCCAACTAATTTTTGTATTTTTAGTAGAGATGGGGTGTCACCATGGTGGCCAGGCTGATCTCGAATTCCTGACCTGAAGTGATCCATCCTCCTCGGCCTCCCAAAGTACTAGGATTACAGGCATGAGCCACTGTGCCTGGCCTTCCTTATAATTTTCTTAATACATTTTCTTTTCTCTAGTTTACTTTATTGTAATAATATAGTATATAATAACATATAACACAAAAGATGTGTTAATCAACTGTTTATGCTATCAGTAAGGCCTCTAGTAAACAGAAGGCTATTAGTAGTTAAGTTTTGGCTAAGTTGAAAGTTATATGCAGATATTTTTTTTTTTTCTGAGATGGAGTTTCACTGTTGTTGCCCAAGCTGGAATGAAGTGGTAGTCTCAGCTCACTGCAACCTCCATCTCCTGGTTCTAGCAATTCTCCTGCCTCAGCCTCCTGAGTAGCTGGGTTTACAGGTGCACACCACCACACCCAGCTAATTTTTTTTTTTTGAGATGGAGTCTTGCTCTGTCACCCAGGCTGGAGTGCAGTGGCACAATCTTGGCTCAATGCAAGCTCTGCCTCCCAGGTTCATGCCATTCTCCTACCTCACCCTCCCAAGTAGCTGGGACTACAGGCACCCGCCACCACACCCGGCTAATTTTTTTTGTACTTTCAGTAGAGACAGGGTTTCACCGTGTTAGCCAGGATGGTCTCGATCTCCTGACCTCATGATCCACCCGCCTTGGCCTCCCAAAGTGCTGTTTTACAGGCGTAAGCCACTGCGCCCGGCCTAATTTTTTGTATTTTTAGTAGAAATGGGGTTTCACCATGTTGGCCAGGCTGGTATTGATCTCCTAACCTCAGGTGATCCACCCACCTCGGCCTCCCAAAGTGCTGGGATTATAGGCATGAGCCGCAGCGCCTGGCCGGCTTTTTTTTTTTTTCTTTTGAGGCAGGATCTCACTCTGTCACCTAGGCTGAAGTGTACTGACATGACTACTGCTCACTGCACCCTTGACCTCCTGGGCTCAAGCGATCCTTCTACAACAGCTTCCCAACTAGCTGGGACGACAGGTATGTGCCACCATGCCTGGCTAATTTTTTGTATTATCTGTTGAGACAGAGTCTCATTGTGTTGCCCAGGCTGGTCTTGAACTGTTGGACTCAAGTGATCCTCCTGCCTCAGCCACCCAAAGTGCTGGAATTACAGGTGTGAGCCACCATGCCCTACTATTGTTAACTTCTTTAGAGAATCACATTATTCCTCAAAATCATGAAAACTAAGAAGATGAGTAGGCCATGCAAGGTGCCTCACGCCTGTAATCCCAGCACTTTGGGAGGCCGAGGTGGGTGGATCACCTGAGGTCAGGAGTTCGAGACCAGCCTGGCCAACATGGTGAAACCCCATCTCAACTAAAAATAATAATAATAAAAACATTTAGCTTGGCGTGGTGGCAGGCATCTGTAATCACAGCTACTTCAGGAGGCTGAGGCAGGAGAATCACTTGAACCTGGGAGGTGGAGGTTGCAGTAAGCCAAGATCAAGCCATTGCACTCCAGCCTGGGTGACAGAGCAAAACTCTAAAAAAAAAAAAAAAAAAAAAAAAAAGATGAGTAACATGATATAATGTGTTGTTTTACATAAGAGCCAGAATGTTTACCAAAGTCTAACTCTCAGGCCTGTAGGGAAGAAATTGATTAGGAGATATACCTAATGTGAATGACGAGTTAATGGGTGCAGCACACCAACATAGCATATGTATACATATGTAACAAACCTGCATGTTGTGCACATGTACACTAAAACTTAAATAATAATAAAAAAGAAACTGAAAGCTTGTATTTCCTTATTTATGAAACAGATGAAGCACTGGTAAGAATAAGACAATATATGGATCATCTATAAAGCACCATTTGTTTTTGTTTTCTAAATAGTGTGGAACAGTGTAATATAGGATTTGACATCAATGAAGAAGGTTCAAGTACAACCTCTGTGTATGCCAGCTGCCTTATAAAAGGCTTATAAGAAGCTTATCTTACCCCAATCATTGAAACACATTTAATGATGTAAGAATTAAAGGGATGATATGTGTATGAGGAGGGGCATTTTAATTCAAATAGCTATGTAAATGTAAGATGTTTTACACTGTATTATACCAAGTTAAGTAAACCAGGGCCTTATGTTCATTATTTCCTAATCTTTGGTGGGGGTGAGGGAGGAGAGAACTGAAGGACTCTTACAGCAGAAACACCAGTTAATATAAAATAATCTCCACTACTTAATAGAGATACAAAAATAATAAAGTTGTGGCCTTCGTTCAAAAGGTAACTACCACAGTATATGCTAATTGGGTGGGTAATCTCTCTTCTCAAACACACACTCTCATATAAAACTGCCGCCAGGATTAATTACGAGTGTATCAGTAGTGATGGAGATTTTTCTCTATGGATCTGAACTAGTCCACCCACTGTCCAGATCACAAATAAGAATGAAAATCTTTCCATGGGAATATAACAGGGAAGGGCCATTTCCAACCTCATTCATTCACTTAGTCCCTATCTTATACCAGATTATATTTCACGTGCTGGGAATTCAACAGTGAGCAAAAGAGAAAATACCTGCCATCATGGAGCTCACATTCTAGCAGAGAAATATAGACAGATAAAGATATTTGCAATAGGTCAATGATAATTAAGTGCTATAGAGAAAAACAGGTAGGCAAAGGGGCTGCAGTTTTAATTAAGGAAATCAAGAAAGGCTTCACTGAGAAGATGCCATTTAAGCAAAGACCTAAAGGAGATGAGAGAGCAAGATACATGGATAAGTAGAGGGAAAGTAGTAGGGCTACACAAACGTCTCCAGCAAGTTCAGATAAAACAAAACGCAATCCTTTACCTTTCAAAAGGGGCTGGAAGGTTGGAATCTCTTGCAACTTGATGACATCGGGATCGTTGCTGACGTTCCGTGAGGCCTGGGAGCCCTGAGCTACAACCACAATATCATCCATCTTGGCTCTATGCTTGGCTGGTGAAGGAGTCACTGAAAATAAAGTTACACTGCTTAGGAGATGCATATTAGGCATCTCTGCCTCACCAAAGCAGTTTTTGGTGTAGTGATTAAAAAGAATAATTTTATAAAATGTAGCTATCTTGCAGTTGGGGTTGGGGTGGCAGGGATGAATTATAGAAACTGTTTTCTATAGTATTTTTAAAAGCTCAGGCTGGAGCCAGGCACGGTGGCTCATGCATGTAATCTTAGCACTTTGGGAAGCCGAGGTGGGCAGATCACCTGAGGTCAGCAGTTCAAGACCAGCCTGGCCAACATGGCGAAACCCTGTCTCTACTAAAAACACAAAAATTAGCGGGGCATGGTGGCGGGTGCCTGTAATCCCAGCTACTCAGGAGGCTGAGGCAGGAGAATCACTTGAGCCCGAGAGGCGGAGGTTGCGGTGTGCCAAGATCGTGCCACTGCACTTGAGCCTGGGCAACAGAGTGAGACTCTGTCTCAAAAACAAACAAACAAAAACGCCACCTCAGGCTGGGTGTGGTGGCTCATGCCTGTAATCTCAGCACTTTGAAAGGCTGAGTGGGAGGATCACCAGAGTCCAGGAGTTCAAGACCAACCTGGGCAACATAGTGAGACCCTATCTCTAAAAAAAAAAAAAAAAAAAAAAAAAATTTCTTTTAATTAGTCAGATGTGGTGGTGCACACTGTAGTCCCAGCTACTCAGGAAGCTGAGATGGGAGGATCACTTGAGCCCAGGAGGTCAAGACCACAGTGAGCCATGATCACACCACTGCATGGGTAAGACAGCAAGAGTCTCAAAAAACAAAACAACAACAACAACAAAAACCCTCAGACATTACAGGATTTTATTTTATTTTGAGGCAGAGCCTCGCTCTGTCGCCAGGTTGGAGTACAGTGGTGCAATCTCGGCTCACTGCAACCTCCGCCTCCTGGGTTCAAGTAATTCTCTTGCCTCAGCTTCCTGAGTAGCTAGGACAACAGGCATGCACCACCACATCTGGCTAATTTTTGTATTTTTAGTAGAGATGGGGTTTCACCATATTGGCCAGGCTGGTCTCGAACTCCTGACCTCGTGATCCACCCACCTCGGCCTCCCAAAGTGCTAGAATTACGGGTGTGAGCCATCACGCCCAGCCCATTACAGGATTATATAACATGAATGAACTTCTTTCATAACTAAATATTTTCTTTTTCAGCACACAAAAGTATAGGCAGATTGTTTTTACTTTCTCTTTAATTCTCCTGCTATCTTGAGATATATATATATATCTCCCTATTTCTAAAATGAGAAATAAAGGGTACAAAATTTAACTGTGACTTGCCCAAAGTCAGCAGTGCTAGACAGTTAGGAAAGGAATTAGACATCTACAAGTTATTGGTACACAAGGCCCATCTCTGCGACACTGGAGTTGCAAAGCTGTCTATCCACCCTACCACATCAAGCCAGCTATGTTTAGTAAGTCCAGGAAAAAAACCTGTTCTCAACCCCCGAATGACTGGCCTATTCCCGAGGCTTCAGCCTCCTCACTCTTTTTTTTTTTTTTTTAAGTCAAGGCGGCTGGGCACGGTGGCTCACGCCTGTAATCCCAGCACTTTGGGAGGCCAAGCCAGGTGGATCACTTGAGGTCAGGAGTTCGAGATCAGCCTGGCCAACATGGTGAAACCCTATCTCTACTAAAAATACAAAAATTATCCAGGCGTGGTGGCATGTCCCTGTAATCCCAGCTACTTGGGAGGCTGAGGCAGGAAAATTGCTTGAATCCGGGAGGCGGAGGTTGCAGTGAGCCAAGATCATGCCACAGCACTCCAGCCTAGGTGACAGTGAGACTGTCTCAAAAAAAAAAAAAAAAAAAGAGTCAAGTCTCACTACATCGCCCAGGCTGGATTTAAACTCCTGGGCTCCAGCAATCCTCCCACCTGGGCCTGAGTAGCTAGGACTACAGCCCCCTCACTCTTAAAATTATAGCATTAGTCCAGGGCAAAAATAGCCAGTAAGTCCATTCTAGGCTGAGGCAAAAATCAGAAATTTGGAGGACAAAGAGGGAGATCAATTCAGGTTCCTTGGGAGAAAGTAATCCATTTGGAGGGAAGTGATTCAAATTATAAAGGACTCCCTAGACCAAGAAATCATCCTCTCCCCCAAATATCTTCCAGACTGGGACAAGAATGAATCTTTAAAGTGTTTTATGCTCTAGAAGGTAATATTCCCAGGCTCATTATAGTCATATCTCAAAGGTTAATCCAGGGATGCCATAGAACTGTTCTGCCTCCTAGAAGCTCGTCTCCGGAGGCTTGGCATTCACTCTTCTAGAAAAATCTCTGCTGCTTTTATTTCTTTTCAAGAAATATTTATTTACCTGTTTTGGTAATTTACCTAACATTTTACAAAAGCCATGCCAGAAATCTTTCCTGCTATAAATTGTGATTCCTCCTTCCCCAGATACCAGAGGAAAGGGGACTTCAAAACACTCTAGCTAACCTCTACTACTTTATCTGTAAAATGGGATTACTGCAAAAATTATATGTAAATGTATGTAAAGTACCGGGCACAGGGGAATAGGCAAATTCTAACATCGGAAATGCTCGAATGCTGTTGGTTCATGGGCAAGAAAACAAATTAAAAAGATGCCACACCGCTTCCCCCTAAAATATGTTTCTGCCCTGCCATAGAGGCAAGAATGTCAAAGGTGGCAATTATTATATTTCTTATAACAGATATGACACTCTGGCCCTTCCAAGGAAATAGAAAAACGTAGCAAAGCTAGTAGATGCTGCTCACCATTCAAAGCTGCCCCAATCCAGTCCCCAGAATGTAGGTCTGAACTAGTCTTGAAAGTCACACCTTAAAGTGAAACACCCTTAGATCTATTAGCTTGCCTATTTCTGAATTACAGCTCCTATCAAGAACAGAGAACTTCTAAAATCGGCGACTCTTTTTAGGCCCCAGATTTAACCAATTTGCGTTAGCAACCCCGGAGCTTAACCAAAGCACTCCCAGCTGTCCTAGCGTGTGGGTAACAAAAAAAGCAGCAAATGGTCCTCAATTAAACATCAGCTGCTTTATCTATTTATTGAACACTCACTGTATTGCAAACACAATAATCCTCCCATTCTTGTCTCAAACGCTTAGAGAAGTCTAAAAATCATGGACAGAGAACAACAATGGAAAACACCAGTGCCTGCTGTCTGGCCAACCTCTACAAGATTAGAAAACGGACCAAGACACCTTCTGAGAAGAAAAAGCTGTTTCTGGAGACCTTTGCACTAAAGGGTTCAAAGCAAGTGGACACCTATCACATATCCCTTCAGAAAAGGAACCTCTAACACCCGTTTTTAAGAAACAGACTGTTCTTAGAGGTCCTATAATCCATCCACTGTGTGAGCCAAATCTCACTACATCAGCCATGAGCACTAGAGCCAAAAATTAATTAGCTCGTCTTTTAAACAGGAGGCTGTAGCTGGGAGAAACGGCTGTTTTGAAAATAAATAAGGGCACTGGCGCCCACGCTGGCTTAGCTTGCAGTCACACGCACTTCCATCAGGGGAATCGAGGCCAGGACAGATGGTGACTTTTTTTTTTTCCTACTAGCACGGTGAAGGCTTTTTCTGTGCGTTCCCGTCCGCAGTCCCTGACCCTAGTCTGGGAGGCAGCCCGCTCTGCAAGGGGACAGGGCGGGCTGGAGGAGGGTGGGAGGTTAGGACACCGACCTGAGGAGTTCAGATCGTTGGGTCGGCTCTCGGCCTCGGAGCTCTGCTCACTGCCCATGGTGCCGACAGCGGTGGCAGCAGAAGAACGGCGGGCCGGGCGGTCACCGCTCCGGCGGCGGGCGACAGGGCAGGGGCCAGGGACCGGGACGGGGAGGCAAAGCAGAGTCTGGGCGCCGCAGCGAGGCTAATGTGTGGGGCTGACGCGTCCAGCCCACGCAGGGGCCTGGGCGGCGGGAGAAGGAGAGGCCCTATTTGGGGAACAGAAACGCAAGGAGGCGCGGCGCGAACGCACGCGGCTAGCCCTCCTTCTTTCCGGGAGCCCTAAGAGAACCGGCAGATGACACTGGCTTTGCCGCACCTGCGGCCGGCGGGCGGCGCCGCTTTCACTCACTGGTTCACGCTCCGCAAGCTCGCTCCTTCCGGGACGCAGATGGGCGGTGCCGGCTACGCAAGACCTTCAGTTCCGGATTAGGAGGCCCCGCCCCCCGGCCCGAGGGAGGGGCGGAGAGACCCGCTCCTGCGACTTAGGGCGATGCCACCTTAAAGGGCTTGACCTCCTCGAAGCCAGAACTGCGGAAGAGGGTAAGCCCTTTCCTGTTGTAAGGATGCGTCACCTTTAAAACACCACCCACACTATTAAGCTCTTCAATACCCACATGTGAGAACAACTTTACAAAATAGGTATTTTTAACCCTGTTTTACAGATGGAGAAAGAAACGCTAGATAGACCCAGGATTCGAACCCACAACAGCTTGGATGCAAAGCTCATTTTGAATTCTGAAGAGCTGGGAGTTTAGCAGTGGACGACCAAACAAAAAAATACCAGAAGACGGTGAAAGCAGCAGCTGGAAATGAGAGAAAAATTAAGAAATAGAAAATGCTGTTTCATGTATTAGGGAGTGCACATCTTTAAAGAGAAGTGAAGAACCTTTTTGGCTAGGCGCTTTCTGGGGACCTTGGCAGTTATCAACAAGTCACTCTGAAACTAACAGAAGGTGAGGAGGGAGTAATCCAGAAAGGAAACTGCCATTTTTGCTAGGGCAAGAAAGTAGACCTAGCAATGCAATGCCATCAAGGAGTTAGCTGGCTCTAGCGTTCTCCGAACTTTGCAACTCATTTTATATTACATTGTCTGCGTCAAGAAATTTCAAGTAAATGCCTTGAGATTTTATATGTATAAAATGTAGTCTCTGGCCAGGCGGGGTGGCTCACGCCTGTAATCCCAGCACTTTGGGAGGCTGAGGCGAGTAGATCACGATGTCAGGAGATCAAGACCATCCTGGCTAACATGGTGAAACCCCGTCTCTACTAAAAAATACAAAAAATTAGCCGGGCATGATGGTGGGCGCCTGTAGTCCCAGCTACTCGGGAGGCTGAGACAGGAGAATGGTGTGAACCCGGGAGGCAGAGCTTGCAGTGAGCCGAGATCGCGCCACTGCACTCCAGCCTGGGCGACAGAGCGAGACTCCGTCTCAAAAAAAAAAAAAAAAAAAAAAGTCTCAGAAGAAGTGTCAAGTTGACTAAATGATTTTTAAGTCCCTTCCACTCTACTATATCACAATAATTTCCCCTATTTTACCTTATTTAATTTTCACAACAACCCTGCAGCCTGTAAGTAGGTGACTCCTCCATGGTCAGCAGGTGGTCAGTGGTCGAACTATTTAGGACTATCTGATGCTCTTTCCTCTGCTCACCATTGCAATACAATGAGAAAAATGCAAATGAATCTAAGTACAGTGTTCTCTGGGAATATGAAGATAGAACTAAAAACTGCCTGAGAGATCAGGGCAGGCTTCTAGAAAGTTGTGTCTAACTAGTCTTGAGGTTTACATAAACCACACCAGGCTGATGGGACTGGGAAGGGCCCACTAAGCAGTGAGACCATTCCCTTTTGGAGAGTCCTTGCATCCCCTCCCAGATTTCCTCTTTGAGGGGAAGGTGAGAGAGGAGGTAAAAGGGGTGAGGAATGGAGAATAACTCATTCTGGTTCTTGTTTCCCCTTTTCCACATAAAAGTATATTTGTCTTGTGTTCCATACACCAGTCCATACTGATGTGATGGTGTTTTTTATGCTTCCTTTTGAATAAACATTTCATTCTTAAAAGGATAGTCTGTCGCATCAACTGATGAATGGATAAATAAAGTGTGGTAATCATGGAATATTTATTCAGCCAAAATGAGGGAAGGATGAAATCATACTGATACATGCTACAACATAGAGTAACCTTGACAACATTATTCAATATGAAAAAGGCCTGTCAGGCCGGGTGCGGTGGCTCACGCCTGTAATCCCAGCACTTTGGGAGGCCGAGGCGGGCGGATCACGGGGTCAGGAGATTGAGACCATCCTGGCTGACAAACTGAAATCCTGTCTCTACTAAAAATACAAAAAAAATTAGCCGGGCGTGGTGGCGGGCGCCTGTATTTCCAGCTACTCAGGAGGCTGAGGCAGGAGAATCGCTTGAACCCAGAAGGCGGAGCTTGCAGTGAGCAGAGATCGCACCACTGCACTCCAGCCTGGGCGACAGAGCGAAGACTCCGTCTCAAAAAAAAAAAAAACAAAGCGTATCACAAAAGACCACATATTGTAGATTTCATTTATATGAAATGTCCAGGAGAAGCACTACAGAGAGAGAAATATGTTAGTGTTGCCTAAGGCCGAGGAGGGGTACGGGTGGAAGGGAAATGTAGACTATTATTGGGTATGGGGTTTCTTTCTGGGGTTGATGAAAATGTTCTAAAATTGTAATGATGAATGCACAACTCTGAATATATTAAAAACCACTGTAGAGTACACTTTACCAGGGTAAATTGTATGGTATACAAATTCCATATCCATAAAGCTATATTCAGTAAAAGAACATATGAAGATAAAATTCCTTCCTTCACTGGCTTAACATTTCTTGGGAACCTGAAATGTTCTAGGCACTTGCTACACGTTAAAAATAAAAAATTCAACAAGGCCCAATCCCTGTACTTAGGAAGCTTACAGTCTGGTGGCAAGAAAATTAAATGAGCATTTATATAACATAAGGAGTCTGCTGGAAGAGCTTTATAGCTAGGAAACATTTCAGATTGATGTCTTTTAGCACCTTTAAAATCCCTTCTACATGAGCAGCAAACTGTGTTATTGTATATGTAATAACTAGCAATTGAACAGCCTTTTTGAGTTTACAGGTCTGCAGGTCTATATGTTAGACCTGCATAAAAAGGTCTATATTATGACCTGCGTGTAAAGTAGATACCACTTTCCTAATTTTACAGAAAAGTTAAGTGATTTATTCTTGGTCACACAACTAGTGAGTGATAAAACCAGGATTCACGTTTTCAAAACTCATCATGCCTCTGTCCACTCCAGACTGACTCCTCTTCCCGTGTCTTTATATGACCTGGTACTCCCACCCAACCAGGCTCCCAAGCCAGAAGCCTGCTTACTGTCAGCACTGCATCCAACCAATCGTTGTGTCCTGGAGAGCCTCTCCTCTTAATTTCTCCTCTATCTGCATGCCCATTTCAGGGCCTTATCACTTCCGTTTCTTGGAAGAGAGGCCTCTGGCCTCACGTCCCTCAATCCATCCCTCCTGTGGCAGGTAGAGATAATTTTCTAGAATATTAATTAGGTCTCTGGACCTGTCACTGCCCTACAAAAAGCCTTCAGGAACTCCCCATGCCTTTAGGATAAAGTTTAAGATTTAACATATGAAAACCTTCCTGCTCTGACCCCAGCCTCTCTCTCTATTCTTCTGTGTACACTGGTAACCTTCCTAACAGGCTGAATTTCCTGTGGTCATGCAGTTTCCTATTCCTGAAATATTCAGCCTTTTCCTCCTCATCTGCTAATAACTTCATTCTTCAATAATTAACACCTCTTCCCAGAAATTGGGATCAGATGTCCCTTCTCTGAGCCTTTTTAGTTGCCATCTTCTATCATAACATTTATTCTTTTCTTGGGGAGGGCAGGGACAGGGTCTCACTCTGTTGCCCAGGCTGGAGTGCAGTGATGCTATCATGGCTCACTACAGCCTCCTAAGAGCCTCCTAGGCTCTTAGGAGATCCTCCTGTCTCAGCCTCCCAAGTAGCTGAAACTACAGACGTGTACCACCACACCATGCTAATTTTTATTTTTTGTAGAGATGGAGTCTTGCTATGCTGCTCAGGCTGGCCTCAAACTCCTGGGCTTAAGTGATCCTCCTGCCTTGGCTTCCCAAAGCACTGGAATTACAGGCATGAGCCACTACACCTGGCCTTCATCACACTTAACTGTTTACACAGCCATTGATTTACTTTTTCTCCTTCTGAACTATGAACATCTTAAAGGTAGATCTCATTGGTATTACTGGTCTTTAGTTTCCCCTGCAGGTGCTTAATACATGTTTTTTTTTTTGTTTGTTTGTTTGTTTGTTTGTTTGTTTTTTGAGACAGAGTCTCACTCTTTCACCCAGGCTGGAGTGCAGTGGCTCGATCTCGGCTCACTACAAGCTCCACCTCCTGGGTTCACACCATTCTTCTGCCTCAGCCTCCCCAATAGCTGGGACTACAGGCGCGCGCCACCATACCCAGCTAATTTTTTGTATTTTTATTAGAGACAGGGTTTCACCATGTTAGCCAGGATGGTCTCGATCTCCTGACCTCGTGATCCACCCGCCTCGGCCTCCCAAAGTGCTGGGATTACAGGCGTGAGCCACTGCGCCTGGCTGCTTAATACATGTTTTCCGATTACTTTTAAAGAAATCTTTCTCCACATAGATGGGACTTCTAACCCTCAGAGAAGAGTGTCAAGAATCTCTTCAGGAAATGAAGTGACAATGGATATAATTTCTAAGTTATGACTCAGGCCAGAAATTAAAGTTTTTATTTTATTTTTAAGTAAGCCAAGTGCAGTGGCTCACACCTGTAATCCCAGCACTTTGGGAGGCCAAAGCAGGAGGATTGCTTGAGCCCAGGAGTTTGAGACTAGCCTGGGCAATGTAGCAAGACCTCATCTATACAAATAATTTAAAACACCGGGTACGGTGGGTCACGCCTATAATCCCAGCACTTTGGGAGGCCAAGGTGGGCAGATCACTTGATGTCAGGAGTTCAAGACCAGCCTGACCAACATGGTGAAACCCCGACTCTACTAAAAATACAAAAATTAGCTGGGCATGGTGGCATGAGCCTGTAATCTCAGCTACTCAGGAGACTGAAGCAGGAGAATTGCTTGAACCTGGGAGGCAGAAGTTGCAGTGAGCTGAGATCGTGCCACTGCACTCCAGCCTGGGCAACAGAGCGAGACTCCATCTCAAAATTAAAAAAAAAAAAAAAATTAAGAACATTAGCTGGGTGTGGTGTGCGTTTGTGGTCCCAGCTACTCAAGAGACTGAGGCAAAAGAATCACTTGAGCCCAGGTGGTCAAAGCTGCAGTGAGTCGTGATTGTGCCATTGCACTCCAGTGTGGGCAACAGAGCGAGACCCTGTCTAAAAAAATGAATAAATAAACAATGATATTTATAAATTAAACATATATAATAGAAAATATTTCTTTAATCATTATTTTAATCAATATCCTTTGTTCACTGTCATAACTGAAAAAATAACATATCACTTCAATGAAAACAGGTTCAGGCCGGGCACAGTGGCTCACGCCTGTAATCCTAGCACTTTGGGACGCCGAGGCGGGCGGATTGCCTGAGCTCAGGAGTTCGAGACCAGCCTGGGCAACACGGTGAAACCCCATCTCTACTAAAATAGAAAAAAATTAGCTGGGCGTGGCGGCATGTGCCTGTAGTCCCAGCTACTCAGGAGTCTGAGGCAAAAGAATTGCTATAACCCGGGAGGTGGAGGTTGCAGTGAGCCGAGATCACACCACTGCACTCCAGCCTGGGCAACACAGCGAGACTCCGTCTCTAAAAACAAACAAAACACAAAACAAAACAAAAAAAGAAACAGGTTCATTGTATTAAAGCACCGAATACGAAGTTTCTAATAATGGAAAGGTCTACTTTGTAACTAGCATGGATTACCCCATGTAGAGAGATTCAAAAACTGTGATAGCTCTACACCCTGAACCCTGAAGTGTATCAGATGATAAAAGATAAAACACACTTGCAGATCAGTCCCTTGTTGCATCAGGAAAATCACTGCAATGGGAAATTACTCTGGTGTTTACTTTTCTTTGGTAACTCTTTCAAACCTAGCTTTAGCAACATTGTAATTCAAGAGTCATCCTTTGGTTACAAGTAGAGTTAGTTTCACACAATGGACCTTTGTTCACAAGCATTCTCAGTCAACCTAATCCTCCTGTAGTTATTGGTTAAGACTAGGGTGTGTAGCTGTTGGCCGTACAGGCCTAGACTTAACTTGCAATTGCATAGCGCTTCAGGTCTGCAAGCTCTTTCAAAACAGAGGTGAAGATACTGTCAAAGGTTAGACCATATGGCAAACTAAGTGTCAATGGTTTAGTAACGTTGCATTTGTGTGTGTGTTTATGGAGGTGGGGATGGGGCCAGCAGTAATTTAGAAACTTCCACAACCTATGCCCTATGCAGTTCTTTTCCATTCATTCAGTCAACAAAAATATTTTAGTTAAATATTTACTGAGCACCTATTGTGTACCAGGCACTATGCTAAGTGTTAGGGATACAGTTTTAATATATGTTACAGACACCAGCATTTTCACCATTATTATCCTATCTACAAACAATAAATCCCGCAGAAAGCCAAATACCTTCCCTGAAGTTTGTCTTGCAGATAATATTTAACTCAAGAATTGCCATCTTTAATTGAGGACTCCATCCTCCAATTATGGAAAGAGGATTCTCAGAACTATGCCCCCAATAGGATGCACTATAAGCCCTTGAACATCAAAAAACTGCTCTCAGTGGTTGCCTCTGAGGAGGGAGACTAGGAGACTGGGGCACGGGGGTGAGGGGTAGACTTGTCTCTGTGTCTATTTTTGTACTGTTTGACATTTTCCCCATGTGCATTTATTTTAACTTGCGCGGGCCGCGAGGCAAGGCTCACCTGCAGACCCTCGGGCCACCAGCAGGGAGGCACGCACTCCCCCTCGCAGCGCGCCCAGCCCGGGGTCAGCGGTGTGGCTGAGCTGGGGGGGAGCGCGGGGCGGTGGGGGGAGCCACCTCCCTGCGGGGCTCAGCGCTGGGGCCGGGAGCCCGGAGCCTCCGCGGGGAGGGACGCGCTAATGTTGCCGGGAAGCAGCTCCGGGTTGCAGGGCAGGAACGTGCCCTTCCCCCGCGGCAAACTTGCCGTCGCTGCGACGGAAGCAGGAACTTGCTAACCACAAAACCCGCCAGGCCGGTGCGGGAGCTGCGGAGCATCCGCTGCGGTCCTCGCCGAGACCCCCGCGCGGATTCGCCGGTCCTTCCCGCGGGCGCGACAGAGCTGTCCTCGCACCTGGATGGCAGCAGGGGCGCCGGGGTCCTCTCGACGCCAGGTAAAGGGGTCTCCCCAATACCCACCCCCGACCGGCCGCAGGCGACGTCGCTACCTGCGGAGAGAGTCGGTCCCCTCCTTTCCAGGGGCCGAGGCTCCTTCACCCACACCCGAGCATCCAAAGGACCAGCTGGGGCCAATAAGGGCTGACCAGGATCCTTGAGTCGCTGCAGTATTCCAAAGGGGACCTCTAGGCGGGCTCAAGGCACCTGCCATAAATGGCTCTGGCTCTGCGTTGACATCAGAAGGAGAGGCAGAAGAATAGCTCAGTAGGCAACATGCATTTCCTCAAAGGAAGAGAAAATGTTCCCTGTTTTCTTGTCGTTGACTCTGTATTCATTATTGAAACTGCTAATTGTCTAATTCTCTGTAGAGTGTGTGTGTGTATACAGTTATAAGCATCTTGGTAAATTATAGTGTGCTGTAAGACGATTTCCAATATTTGAACTAATTACGTGCGAGTAAGTTTTAGCGACTCTTGTATGCAGACGTTAAAACTCAGGGGCATCCTCTCTCACCCGCCTGTATCCTTTTACCCCGTCTTTCAACAAGATTCAACTCGACTTCAGGCCCTTAAAGCCTAAATAATAATGGATTAGAAAACGTCGCTAACCTAATATTGCTGAGCCTCTTTAATGATATAAAACTCTTAAACACTTCTCTCAATGCTGCATACTGAAAACAACTCCTGCCCCATCTCCTTACATAGTTCAGGTTTCTTTGCAAAAGCTTGAAAAGAGGCTACATTAGAATCCATTCAAAATAAAGTATTGGCCTGGTTTTCTCTTGATTCCCTAGAGGCTTGCAAAATATGGCAGCGTATTAAGTACCTTGGCCAGAATTATTAACCTGGGGAGTCCACGATAAGGTATCCATGGATAGAATTCAGGATGTCTGTGAACTTGAGTGGAAAAAATTATTATTTCACCGACTTCTGAAATGGAATGTAGGCAAAAGCCACAGTAGTATTAGCAGTAGCTATGATTTGCCCCCTGTAAATATTGCCGATATCTTTATATCACATGACTTGTTGCACGTTTCAAAATATTATCTATACTCAATACCACGTCAAAATTATGGCAGTTATTAGATGACCACTTGTTACTTAATAGGTTAATAAAGAAGCACATATTATGTCCCACAACTTTTTGTAAGTTTTAACTAAAATGAGGATAATAATGGGATCTGTAAAGATTAAATGACATGATATATATAAAGTGCTTAGCATAGAAACTGGCATTTTAGACGCAATAAATGTTACTATTTTACTGTATACAGAATTTTGACAAACAGCAAGAAAAGTATTAGACTTGTGTTTTATTACCATATACTGGTTTGTTTCTGGGTTTTTTTTTTTTTTTGGTTTTACCTTTTTTTAAAACTAAAAGTCCATAGTTCACATAATGTTCACTCTGTGTGTTTTACATTTCTATGGGTTTTGACAGATGTTCAATAACATGTATCCTCCATTACAGTGTTATACAGAATAGTCTCAATGCCCCAAATATC
The DNA here is from genome assembly GCF_000001405.40 of Homo sapiens. Lineage (NCBI taxonomy): Eukaryota > Metazoa > Chordata > Mammalia > Primates > Hominidae > Homo > Homo sapiens. Next base: position 12,348,569 of record NC_000012.12, on the reverse strand, counting down.
CCTTGCACTCCACCGATTCATCCTCCCACTCCTGTTCTCCTGGTGACCACTGGCCTTCTTACTGCCGCTGTAGTTTGCCTTTTTTAGAACGTCATACAGTTAGATTCATATCTGTTCAGACTGGCTTCTTTGACTTAGGAATATGCAGTTAAGATTCCTCCATGTCTTTTTGTGGCTTGATAGTTCATTTATTTTTATTACTGAGTAATATTCCAATGTATGGATGTATCTCATTTTGTTTATTCATCTATTGATGGGCATCTTGGTTGCTTTTAGTTTTTGGCAATTATGAATAAAGCTACTACAAATATTCTATTGCAGATTTTTGTGTGGACATAAGTTTTCAATTCATTTGAGTGAATACATAGGAGGACAATTGCTGAATTGTATGGTAAGGCTGCATTTAGCTTGGTAAGAAACTGCCAAACTTCTCCCAAAGTGGCTGTACCATTTTGCATTCCCCAACAGCAATGAATGAGAATTTTTCCTTTTTTTTTTTTCTTTTTTGAGATAGGGTCTCACTCTGTTGCCCAGGCTGGAGTGCAGTGGCATGATCTCGGCTCACTGCAACCTCCACGTCCCGGGTTCAAGCGATTCTTCTGCCTCAGCCTCCCAAGTAGCTGGGATTACAGGCACCTGCCACCATATCTGGCTAATTTTTGTATTTTTTTTTAGTAGAGATGGGGTTTCACCATGTTGGTCAGGCTGATCTCAAACTCCTGACCTCAAGTGATCTGCCCACCTTGGCCTCCCAAAGTGCTGGGATTACAGATGTGAGCCACCGCGCCCAGGCGAGAATTTCTGTTGCTCCATGTCCTTGTATTTGGTATTGTCCATTTTTTGGATTTTAGCCATTCTCATAGGTGGGTAGTGGTATCTTGTTTGAATTTGCAATCCCCTAATGACATATGATGTTAGATACCTTTTCATATGCTTATTTGTCATCTGTATATCTTCTTTGATAAGGTGTCTGCTCAGATCTTCTGTCCATTGAGTTTCTTTTCTTATTGCTGACTTGAGTTCTTTGTATATTTTGGATACCAGTCCTTTATCACAGGGTTCCCCAACCCCTGGGCCGCAGACCAGTACCTATTAGGAAATGGGCCACACAGCAGGAGGTGAGCAGTGGGCCAGAGAGCAAAGCTTCCTCTGTATTTACATTATGCATTACTGCCTGAGCTCCACCTCCTGTCAGATCAGTGGTGGCCGTAGATTCTCATCGGCGCACGAACCCTGTTGTGAACTGCACATGTGAGGGATCTAGGCTGCACACTCCTTATGAGAATCTAATGCCTGATGATCTGTCACTGTCTCCCATCACCCCCAGATGGTACTGTCTAGTTGCAGGAAGACAAGCTCAGGGCTCCCACTGATTCTACATTATGTTGAGTTGTATAATTATGTCGTTATATATTATAATGTAATAATAGAAATAAAGTGCACAATAAATACAATGCACTTGAATCATCCTGAACCATACCCCCACAACGCCGTCCATGGAAAAATTGTCTTCCATGAAACTGGTCCCTGGTGCGAGAAAGGCTATGGACTGCTGCTTTATCAGATGTGTGTTTCACAAATATTTCCTCCAAAAAAAAAAAAACCACCTCAAATATTTCCTCCAAGTCTGTGGTTTATCTTTTCATTCTCTTTAACGGTATCTTTTGTAGAGCAGAAGTTTTTAAATTTAATGAAGTCCAACATCAAATTTTTCTTTCATGGAGTGTGCTTTTGGTATTGTATTTAAAAACTCATCACCTAATCTAAGGTCACAAGGATTTTCTTCTGTTATTTTCTAGAAATTTTATGGTTTTATATTTTACATTTAGGTCTGTGATCCATTTAGAGCTAAATTTTGTGAAAGGTGTAAAGTATGTGGCTAGATTTATTTATTTATTCATTTTTGCAAATGGATATCCAGTTGTTCCAGTACCATTTTTGGAAAAGACTGTCCTTTCTCCATTGAATCCCCTTTGCTCCTTTGTCAAAGATCAGTTGACTCTCTTTGTGAGGGTCTATTTCTGGGTTTACTATTCCATTCCATTGATCTGTTTGTCTATTCTTTTTCTAATACCATACTTTTTTGATTATTGTAGCTTTACGGTAAGTGTTGAAGTCAGGTAGTATCAGTCTTCCAACTTTGTTCTTTAGTATTCTGGACTGTTCTTGGTCTTTTCTGCATTTCCATGTAAATTTTAAAATCAGTTGGTTGATATCCAAAAAATAACTTTGGGCTTTTGATTAAGACTGTATTTAATCTGTAGCTCAAGTTGGGAAGCACTGATACCTTTTTTTTTTTGAGACGGAGTCTCGCTCTGTCGCCCAGGCTGCAGTGCAGTGGCGCAATCTCGGCTTGCTGCAAGCTCCGCCTGGGGTTCATGCCATTCTCCTGCCTCAGCCTCCCGAGTAGCTGGGACTACAGGCGGCCGCCACCACGCCCAGCTAACTTTTTGTATTTTTAGTAGAGACGGGGTTTCACCGTGTTAGCCAGGATGGTTGTGATCTCCTGACCTCATGATCTGCCTGCCTCGGCCTCCCAAAGTGCTGGGATTACAGGCTTGAGCCATGGCGCCTGGCCAGGAAGCACTGATATGTTAACAAAATAAAGTCTTCCTATCCATGAACATGTTATATCTCTCTATTTATTAGCTCCTCTTTGATTTCTTTCACCAGGATTTTGTAGGGACATTCTAAAATCTATTTTGGTAATTATATTTCACTATAACTGGCTTCCTTTGGAATCCTACATATTCCATTTTATGCATTTTTAAATATGTCTCACAAAAGAGATCCTGAGCTTCCTCAGACTATCAAAGGGGTTAATAAACAAAGGTTAAAGAAGTAGTAATTCTGCTCTAAGCTATCATTCAGCAAACAATTTGTATTCAACAAAATGTTTAATGAAATGTTAAAAGGAAATGTGGAGGTTGATAGGTGAGGATAATTTCTTGTATTGTCTTGCCAGTTTAACATTTATTTTTCCTAAAAGAACCAGCATCTCAATAGAGTTGGCATTATACATAGTGTGACTTTTGTATTTTTAAGGCTGTCAAAAAGAAAACCTGCCCCTAAACTTTCCTTTAACTGAGGCAGCGTATTCCTCCTGCTGACTGGCTAATTTCTAGAATTAGATTATTAGAGTTTTCTAACTCTGATTTGATACTTCTTAAGGAGAAGCAGCAATAGGAAAGACTATCTCAGTTTCTTCATTATAAAATGAGGAAAATAATAGCTTTTTTTTTTTTTTTTGAGACGGAGTTTTGCTCTTGTCACCCAGGCTGGAGTGCAGTGGTGCAATCGTGGCTTGCTGCAACCTCCACTTCCCGGGTTCAAGTGATTCTCCTGCCTCAACCTCCCGAGTAGCTGGGATTACAGCTGCCCGCCATCACACCCAACTAATTTTTGTATTTTTAATAGAGATGGGGTTTCACCACATTGGCCAGGCTGGTGTCGAACTCCTGACCTCAGGTGATCCGCCCACGTGACTTGACCTCCCAAAGTGCTGGGATTACAGGCATGAGCCACCGCACCCGGCCAATAATAGCTTTTTTGCAAGGTTGTTGTATTAGTCAGGGTTCTCTAGAAGGACAGAACTAGTGTAATATATATATATATATATATATATATATATATATATATATATATATATATATGGGAGTTTATTAAGTATTAACTCACATGATCACAAGGCCCCACAATAGGCCATCTGCAGGCTGAGGAGCAAGGAGTTTCAAAACTGAAGAACTTGGAGTCTGATGTTTGAAGGCAGGAAGCATCCAGCTCAAGAGAAAGATATAGGCTGGGGCTGGGCGTGGTGGCTCACACCTGTAATCCCAGCACTTTGGGAGGCCGAGGCAGGCGGATCATGGTCAGGAGATCGAGATCATCCTGGCCAACACAGTGAAACCCCGTCTCTACTAAAAATACAAAAAACCAGCCGGGCGTGGTGGCATGCGTCTGTAGTCCCAGCTACTCGGAAGGCTGAGGCAGGGGAATCACTCGAACCCAAGAGGTGGAGGTTACAGTGAGCCGAGATTGTGCCACTGCACTCCAGCCTGGCGACAGCAATACTCTGTCTCAAAAAAAAAAAAAAAGATATAGGCTGGGAGGCCAGGCCAGTCTCTCTTTTTCGCATTTTCTGCCTGCTTATATTCTAACTGCACTGGCAGCAGATTTGGTTGTGCCCACCCAGATTCAGGGTGGGTCTGCCTTTCCCAGCCCACTGACTCAAATGTTAATCTCCTTTGGCAACATGCTCACAGACACACCCGGAATCAATACTTTGTATCCTTTAATCAAATCAAGTTGACACTCAGTATTAGCCATTACAGTTGGTATAAAGATTAAAGATGGTAATAAATTAAAGAGAATAACAATTCAAAAGAGTGGTAAATTCCTTAGCACAATGTCTACCATCTAGTATATTGTCACCTATTTTTACTTTTTAAGTTTTTTTTGAGACATGGTCTCGCTTTGTCACCCAGGCTGGAGTGCAGTGGTGTAATCACGGCTCACTGCAGCCTCAACTTCCTGGGCTCCAGCGATCCTCCCACCTCAGCCTCCCAAGTCGCTGGGACCACAGGCATGCGCCACCACACCCAGCTAATTTTTTGTATTTTTAGTAGAGACAGGGTTTCACCATGTTGCCCAGGCTGGTTTTGAACTCCTGAGCTCAAGCAATCCACCCACCTCAGCCTTCCAAAGTGCTGAGATTACAGGCATGAGCTACCACGCCTAGCCCCTAGTAGATGATTTTAAAATGCTGATTGTTATTACTGAGAAAGGAAATATGCTCAAACCTATTACTACTGCTTCATCAGTGACTAGAAATGTGTGCCCTCTCCGCTCTGAGTTAGAAGAGGGAAGGATTGTAGAATTCCGAGGCAGGCCTACTGTTTATACCTGTTCCTTCATAAGCATTGTCAGCTTTTAAGCATTGGTGAGGTAGTATGTTTGTTTATGCTTATTAGTTCTTTGCCAAATGTTTAATGAAAAGTTGTCTTAAATTTACTAAAAGTGAAACAAAAAATACGTGTATCTTTTCTTCTCTAAATTGTATGTGGATCCTTTTCATTGACTTTAAGGAAATGAAATGTTTCTTCCCTTGTTTGTTAAAGAAACAAAACTCATTGATGATTTTCCATTTTTGTTCTAGAGAGAAATCTCATCATCTGTGCAGCCTTCTTAAAGCAAACTAAGACCAGAGGGAGGATTATCCTTGACCTTTGAAGACCAAAACTAAACTGAAATTTAAAATGTTCTTCGGGGGAGAAGGGAGCTTGACTTACACTTTGGTAATAATTTGCTTCCTGACACTAAGGCTGTCTGCTAGTCAGAATTGCCTCAAAAAGAGTCTAGAAGATGTTGTCATTGACATCCAGTCATCTCTTTCTAAGGGAATCAGAGGCAATGAGCCCGTATATACTTCAACTCAAGAAGACTGCATTAATTCTTGCTGTTCAACAAAAAACATATCAGGTAAATAGTGGTTTCTTGGCAATCCTTTGTTCCATGTGTTTTGTGGCTTCAGGAGCTGGGGGATGTGGCTGAATAACTTATACCAGTGATTCTCGACAGGGTATGAATATAAGTGACAAAATCACTGGAGAATTTTCTACAAGTGTGCCCTCCCCTCTCCTAAGCTGAGTCAAAGTTATTGATGAATGTATGTATATATCCCTCAGGTGACTGGGTAGACAAGAGGTTGAGAATCACTGGTGTTATATCCCAACTGGTATCTAGAATATTGAAAACAAAAATCCTATTGAAATGGTTAGCTGCCATCAGCATGGAGTATTGGAATACAGTGTGATATTACAAAGAAAATGTAAACAGAGAAAAGGGGTTGAGACAAAAAATAGAATTCTTATCTCTTGGGAAAATCAGCATTTGATCTTTAAGTTGGAAGCATAAAACCTCCACTTCGTCTCCTTCCTTGGAGCTGGTGGCATAGGATAAGTCAAAAAAAAAAAAAAAAAAAAAAAACAAAAAAACACTGACTACTAGGTAACTACAGCTTCTAGAACTCTAATGGGATGGGGAATCAATTAGTCTGGCCCATTTTCATGACACAGGAGGAAACTGAGACCCATAGGTTTGAACCAGGACTTGCATATTTTAGGATTTAAGTATTTGTACTGAAAAGAGAAGTATACTGTGTATTTTAGTAAAACCTTTTTTCAATTTTACTTATGACCCTGTCCGAGTTCTCTAAATGAAAAAAACTAAATTTCTTGAGTACTTAACACTTTGTTAGTTGCCAGAGAGAAAACAGTGAATAAGATGGACAAGGCCTTGCCATCAAGTTGCCTAGAAAAGCTAGTGAATGGCCGGGTGTGGTGAATCATTCCTGTAATCCCAGAACTTTGAGAGGCCAAGGCAGGAGGATTGCTTGAGCCCAGGAGTTTGAGAGCAGCCTGGGCAACATAGCAAGACCCTGTTCTCTGTAAAAAGTAAAAAATCAGCCAGGCGTGCTGGTGCACGCATGTAGTCCCAGCTATTGGGAGGCTGAGGTGGGAGGATCACTTGATCCTAGGGGGTTGAGGCTGCAGTGGACTTTTTTGTTTGTTTGTCTGTGATGATGTCTCACTCTGTTGCCCAGGCCGGACGGAGCGCAGTGGCGCAATCTTGGCTCACTGCATTCTCTGCCTCCCAGGTTCAAGTGATTCTCCTGCCTCAGCCTCCCGGGTAGCTGAGATTACAGGTGTTCGCCACCACATCCAGCTAATTTTTACTATTTTCAATAGAGACGTGGTTTCACCATGTTGGTCAGGCTAGTCTTGAACTCCTGACTTCAAATGATCCTCCCACCTTGGCCTCCCAAAGTGCTGGCCTCCCAAAGTGTGTGAGCCACCGCACCCAGCCTACAGTGAGCTTTGATCGAACCACTGCACTCCAGCCTGGGTGACAAAGCAAGACCTTGTCTCAAAAGATACATATTTGATCTTTGTCTCCAGTTCCTGGCACAGAACTCCTAAAAACCTTGGAATTTCCCAAGAGATGGGAGCATGTCTTTGGTTATTCATAACCAGCCCCTTTCAACTATACTTGAGTTTGTGCTAGTGAGGCTTCACCTCAGGGGAGGGACTGGAGATTGAGTTCAGTCACAGTGGCCCATGACTTAATCAATCATGCTTGTGTAAAATGAGACCATCATAAAAACCCCTAGATGATCGGGAAGCATCCAAGTTGGTGAACACATCCCAGTGTCAAGAGAATTATGCACCTCAGTTCCCCAGGGACAAAGTCTCCTGCACTTGGGACTCTAGGAGCCTCTTTTGGCTGTTCATTTGTATCCCTTATTATAAACTGTAATAGTAAATACAGCATTTTCCTTAGTTCTATTAGTTGTTCTTGCAAATTATCAAATCTGAGGGGGTAGGATCATGGGAATCCCTGAATTAGCAGTAGCCGAGTCAGGCAGAAGTGTGGGTGACCTGGAGACCTGATACTTGCTACTGGCTTCTGAAATGAGGGCAGTCTTGTGATACCGAGCCCATAATCCATGGAATCTGATGCCAGCTCTGGATAGTTGGTGTCAGAATTGAACTCAATAGTAGGATATGTGGTTATTGCTGCAAAATGGTGTGGAGAAGACACCGTATACTTGGGGTCAGGAGGAAAAATCCCTTCGATGGTCTCATTGAGCAGTGTGCTTTGGGACACTTTATGCAAGTAATTTATGGAAATGACAGAGGTTTAATTTAAATTTCTAGTTTTTCTTTAAATGTTGACATCAACATGTATGTGAAATAGAAACATCACCTGCAAGCAGGACTGAATACTGTAAGTGTGGTATTTACAGGCATCAGCAAAGCCCTGCTCCTCAATTCTAAGAAACGAGGGTTTGCTGTTTTATTCTAGAAGCCAAAGTCCTATTACTGCTTTGCTACAAGCAGAGGTACTTGGAACCTCAGTTAATGGATCTCAAACATTTTCCTCACTTCCTGAGAAATGGTTTAACCACCGAGGGTTCAAAAGGCACTATGATAACTCGATGATACTCTAGAAAAATGCACATAACACGATGGGCACAATATCTTGCATACAATTTTGAGCTTATGGACCCTCCCCTTTACCTAAGTGCTAAAAAGAAAGGTATTTCTGGTATCACATTGTTGAGAAAGGAAAAGCAGGAGTACTCCTGTTATTATCTGAGTAATGGGGATATGACGTGATAAAACTCCTGCAGAGGCTAACTAAATCTTCCTTCCCATCTCGGGAGTTGGAGTTGATCTCTCACCATTGCCTGACTAGCACCAGTGGTGGTGATGGTCGACAGAGCGTATGTTTTTAACAATTAGCCTATGTGTCTCTTAACCTTCAGCCTGACCAGGGATACGCTGACCTCCCAAAGATGTGAGACTGTACCAAATGGAGGACAAAATCAAATCTAGGCCATGATGAATAGAGGGTTTAATTTCTGTTGGACACAAGAGGAACAGAAAAAGAAGCCAGCAGCTGGGTGCATTAGCTCATGCCTGTAATCCCAGTACTTTGGGAGGTTGAGGGGGATGGATTGCTTGAGCCCAAGAGTTCAAGATCAGCCTAGGCAACATAGTGAGACCCCGCCTCTACAAAAAACAAAAAATTAGCCAGGCATGGTGGTGCACGCTTGAAGTCCCAGCTACTGGGGAGGCTGAGGTGGGAGGATTGTTTGAGCCCAGGAGGTCAAGGCTGAAGTGAGCCATGATTGTTCCACTGCACTGCAGCTTGGATGACAGAGCAAGACCCTGACTCAAAAAAGAAAAGAAAAGAGACCAGAAATTATAGTTAACAGTGAAAAGTAAGGAAGGAAGGAACATAGAAAAGCAAATATGACAAGGAGAGAGGGGTAATTGGAAGAAAAACACAAAGAATGGTACAGATAAAAATTAAAAGATAGACTGTATTCCATATACTACTCAGATCCTGTGTGGAAGGAGCCATGATATCTATGATAATTTACTGACTCCACTCATGGCTTTATTAGGCATCTGAGATGCTTTCAGAATCCAAGAGATGGCCAGGTGCAGTGGCTTACACCTGTAATCCCAGCACTTTCAGAGGCCAACTAGGGCAAACAGCTTGAGCCCAGGAGTTCAAGACTAGCCTGGGCAATATAGAGAGACTCCATCTCTACAAAAAATACCAAAAAAAATCCGAGTGTGGTGGCTTGCATCTGTAGTCCCAGTTACTCGGGAGGCTGAAGTGGGAGGATCTCTTGAACCTGGGAGGTGGAGGTTGCAGTGAGCTGAAATCATGCCACTGCATTTGCACTTCAGCTTGAGCGACAGAGCAAGACATTATCTCAAAAAATAAAAAATAAAAAAAATAAATAATCCCAGTTTTGTAGGCAACATGCAAAGCATTGTGGGCAGGGGCCAGCAGAGCGCATGCCTCTTTCTCTCCATCAGGCCTGCTCAGGGTGTAACCTTGGCCACATCAGTGTCAGAGAGCCTCTTCACAGCCTCTTTGGTGCTTGCCGGCCCTGGCATCCACAGTGAACACCAGTGTGTGGTTGTCTTCTATCTTCATAGCACATCAGTAGTCAGGGCTTGATGATGGCAGAGTGGTCAAACATGTGGGAGCACTCTTCCCGGGATACTCGGGCTGCCTCTGGAGCCACAGTGTCTTGAGCTGCTGGAGGTAAGTGACATGCAGGTCTTAGGGGTGTGTGTGTGTGTGTGTGTGTGTGTGTTTGTGTGTGTGTGGTTGTGGATGCCTTTCAGCCCTGCCTTCTTGGCCTTTAAAGACTTTGCTTTGGCTTTGACTTTAGGAGGGACAGGAGCTTCCTTCTTCGCCTTCGGTGCCACCTTGTGAAAAAAAAAAAGCTAAACCCAATGTTTTTTAAAATTGCCTTAAGCAACTAAGCTAAGGAAAAGGAAATGATTCAGCGGTCAGCAAGCAAGTGAACAAAATGAACAAAGGTGTTTGTGTTGGACTCCATAATAAGTGAAGTTTTTCCTACTTGCCCTACTCTTTAGAAAATCGCATTTCAAAATCATGCTTATGAAACCTTTCATTGCAGGGGACAAAGCATGTAACTTGATGATCTTCGACACTCGAAAAACAGCTAGACAACCCAACTGCTACCTATTTTTCTGTCCCAACGAGGAAGCCTGTCCATTGAAACCAGCAAAAGGACTTATGAGTTACAGGATAATTACAGGTAATGAAAGCATTATACTTTTTCTTTTGTGATTGGAATAATTTAAGACTGGTTCATGTGAAAGATTTTCTACAAGAGTCTAAATAAAACTACCAGAAGGGGTACCAGACATATCAGAAAATCTCATGACTGGAAATTCAATTTATTAAACCAAAATTTGATTTCCAATGAAAGCCATGGTAGTATTTGTTCTGGTTTGTTTCTGTTTTTACCTTCATGAGATAAAAGACACACAAACCTTGTATGAAACGTTTTTGAAGCACCTCTTTAGAACAAGGTCGGCAACACTGGAATAAGTATACAGGTCTCCAGGGTGATTGTTTTGAAAGGGTGAAGACTTGTGTTAATATAGAAAGTTCTAGTATATTTGTTATTAAGTTCCCATTATAATCACATTATCTGAAATCAAACTTTTTATGGCCATACCACCCTGAACGCACCCAATCTCGTCTGAAATCAAACTCACTGGATTTTATTGTCTAGACTGGAAAGGAAATTCATTCAAGAAATATTTATTAAACATTTACCATGTGCCAGATTCTGTCCAAAGCACTAGAACTACAATCTCCATGTTCATGGAACTTACATATTAATTCAGAATGGAAAATAAATAGCAAAAAAATTAATATAATTCCTGGGATATGTTTTGCTGAGACTTTGGCTTGTTAATTTTTCAAGTTGAAGTGGTTTCAGTATCAATTTTTCTTTTTTTTGAGATTATCCATATAAAAAAGGTGAAAACAAATTAATGTTGCTTAGGTAATTCTGTGGACCCTTCATAGACAGTATTTGCATAAAATCAGAATTACAGAATTTAGTGGGGTTTGTTGTTGTTGTTGCTTGTTTGTTTGCTTTTTCCGAGATGGAGTCTCACTCTGTTGCCCAGGATGGAGTGCAGTGGTGCGATCTCGGCTCACTGCAAGCTCCGCCTCCCGGGTTCAGGCCATTCTCCCGCCTCAGCCTCCTGAGTAACTGGGACTACAGGTGCCCGCCACCACGCCCGGCTAATTTTGTTTTTGTACTTTTAGTAGAGATGGGGTTTCACCGTGTTAGCCAGGATGGTCTCAATCTCCTGACCTCGTGATCCGCCTGCCTTGGCCTCCCAAAGTGCTGGGATTACAGGCATGAGTGTTGTTGTTTTTTGAGAGAGAGTCTCACTCTGTCGCCCAGGCTGGAGTGCAGTGGTGCGATCTCAGCTCACTGCAACCACCACCTCCTGGCTTCAAGCAATTCTCATGCCTCAGCCTCCCAAGTAGCTGGGGTTACAGGCACCCACTACCATGCCCAGCTATTTTTTTTTTTTTGTATTTTTAGTAGAGATGGGGTTTCACCATGTGGGCCAGGCTGGTCTCACCTCCTGACCTCAGGTGATCCACCCTCCTTAGCCTCCCAAAGTGCTGGGATTACAGGCGTGAGCCACTACACCCAGCTTCAATTTTTCTTTTATTTAAGTTTTAGAAAGTTATCATCATACTCTTGATTTTTAATATTCTACTTGTTCATTTGTTCAATAAATAACAAATATTATTTAGCATCTCCTATGTGCCAAGTACTTTCTATGCCCTAAGGAAACAACACTAAACATGAAAAACAAGGTTCTGGCCATGTGGTAGCTCATGCCTATAATTCCAGCACTCTGGGAGGTGGGAGGATCACTTGAGCCCAGAAGTTAGAGACCAGCCTGGGCAACATGATGAGACCTCATATCCACAAAAAATTAAAAAAATTAGCCGGGCATGGTGGCATGAGCTTGTAGTCCCAGCTACTTGGGAGGCCAAGGCAGGAGAATTCCTTGAGACCAGGAGGTCAAAGCTGCAGTGAGCTGTGTTCATGCCACTACACTCTAGCCTGGGTGACAAAGTGAGATACTATCTCTAAAAAAAAAATAGGAAAACAAGGTTCTCCCTTCTGGAACTTATGTTTTAGGGGAGAGAGACAATAACCATAATAAATAAATAATCAAGAAAAATATAGTCACAAGTGCTATGCACAGAATTGAGACAGGACGGTATAATAGACAATCAGTAAGTAAAGTTGTAACCCCTAAACTGAGATCTGAATAGTGAGGAGCCAGATGTGAGGAGATCAGGGGAAGACCTTCCAAGTCCAAGGTCCTCAGGCAGAATGCTTTGGAGTGTTTGAAAAACCAACACTCCAATCCCAGCTGGTTGACTCATTGTGAAATACGCAGAGAGTGATATGCAAAACGGTGGGGAGGGCCAGATCACATAACACCTTGTAAGTCATAGGAGGGAGTTTTTTTGTTTGTTGTTGTTGTTTTTGAGACAGAGTCTCACTCTGTTGCCCAGGGTGGAGTGCAGTGGCGCGATCTCAGCTCACTGCAACCTCCGCCTTAGGAGGGGCATATGCCACTACACGTGGCTAATTTTTGTATTTTTAGTAGAGATAGGGTTTCACCACATTGGCCAGGCTGGTCTCGAACTCCTGATGTCGGGTAATCCACCCACCTCGGCCTCTCAAAGTGCTGGGATTACAGGCATGAGCCTCCGTGCCCGGCCGGGAGTTTTTAGGTGTGTGGTGGGAAGCTGTTGGGAGTTTTATTTTTATTTTTTTTTTGAGATGGAGTCTCACTCTTTTCACCCAGGCTGGAGTTCAGTGATGCAGTGTCGGTTCAGTGCCACCTCTGCCTCCCAAGTTCAAGTGATTCTCCTGCCTCAGCCTCCTGAGTAGCTGGGACTACAGGCAAGCATCACCATGCCTGGCTAATTTTTGTATTTTTAGTAGACATGGTCTCGCCATGTTGGCCAGGCTGGTCTCAAATTCCTGACCTCCTGACTCATGTATGTAATCCCAGCACTTTGGGAGGCTGAGGCGGGCAGATCACAACGTCAGGAATTCGAGACCAGCCTGGCCAACATGGTGAAACCCCGTCTCTACTAAAAATACAAAAATTAGCCGGGTGTGCTGGTGCGTGCCTGTAATCCCAGCTACTCAGGAGGCTGAGGCGGGAGAATTGCTTGAACCCAGGAGGCAGAGGTTGCAGTGAGCTGAGATTGCGCCACTGCACTCTAGCCTGCACGACAGAGCAAGACTCTGTCTCGGGGAGAAGAAAAAAAAAAGGTGATTTCTCAAAGCTCACCGTAGCCGCCCTCTTGGGAATGGACAGTGACACAGCAGCAAAGTGGAAATGGAAAGACTGGTTAGGAGGCGCAGGTGAGATCTGGGTGAAGAAACAGGGAGTGGCGGGCGAGATGGAGAGAGTAGTGGACATATGGGCTATTCCGAAGTAGAGTTGACAGGACTTGCTGGTGGTGTGGGTCTGGGGAACCAGAAAAAAAGAACCATCAAGGCCAAGTCCTAGTTTTTGCCTTGAGCATCCAGATGAATGGTGACACCATTTGCTGCACTGGGGGAAACTTGAGTAGTTTTAGGGTTGTGGAATGGAATCTAGGTGGAGTGGAATCTAGGGTTCTCTCTTGACTGCATTAAGTATGAGGGGCTTCGGGGAATGATACTGCCCAGGGTGCCTGCGTGTTGACACTGCTTTGCCCCCTAGCTGAGGCTGTGTCTGAGTTTTGTTCATGTGCCAGGGAAGCCTGATGGGTCAAACATCCTCTCAAACAGGAGCGTGAAGCACAGAGTATTGTGTAAATAATTGTTGTTAGGATACGATGATAGAAATTACAGCTGAATTTGTTTTCTAATACTTCTGGAGTGTTGTTACTTTTGTAATGCACATATAAAAGAGCATGTATGGGATGAAGTTCCTTGCCAATGGGAACGGAAAAAAGGGAACTTGGCATGTGCATAAATCTTTTTAGGGCGAGTGTGAAGGTAATGAAGTGAAATTAGAATTAAACTGTTCTTGTGGCAGCCACCAGGGGGCGTTGCCGGCCCCTGAGCAGGTTGATGGACACCTAGGGGCAACGTGGCACCAACCCCGGACATAGTATGCAAAGGACTGTTTATATCTACAGGATGTGTGCAAGTTGTGTTTGTAATTCTGTGTATGAATCTGTCCATGTTGATGAATTCATATTACCCCATTAAAAATGAATTATCTGCCTCCTGCCTGGAGTGAAATTAAATACAGATTATCTGTTTGGTGGTTTGTTTCTGGAAGAACTCTATTTCTTTTTCTTTTCTGTCTCTCTCTCTCTTTTTTTTTTTCTTTTTTTTTAAGGCAGCATCTCACTCTGTTGCCCAGGCTGCAGTGCAGTGGCGCGATCATGGCTCACTGCAGCGGCGCGATCATGGCTCACTGCAGCCTCCACCTCCTGAGCTCAAGCAGTCCTCTCCATTCAGCCTCCCAAGTATTTGGGACTACAGATAATGCACCACCATGCCAGGCTAATTTTTTAAAATGTTTTGTAGCAATGGGGGGGTCTCAGTATGTTGCCCAGGCTGGTCTCAAACTCCTGGCCTCAAGCAATCATCCTGCCTCGGCCTCTCAAAGTGCTGGGATTACAGGCATGAGCCACCGTGCCCAGCCTCTATTTCCTATATCCCATTGACTAATATTTACGGACCAAGAGTTTGAAAGATGACAGTGGATTCTGTTCATTCTCTAAAGCCATTGCAGTTTGGTATTTAATCTTTTATTGTTGTTGTTGGCAGCTTCATGGCATGTCATTTTTACCAAGGACTGGAAGAATAGGAGAATTCAGACATAGAATAAATTGGGAGTCTGTTTGCTCAGCTGGGGTCCCAGTAATAGTCAGTCTCTCATTTTTCAACTCAGTGAAGTCGTTTGAAAATAAAACTCCAAAGAGGAGTTAAGGGCGCTGAGCTGCTTTGCAGCTCCCTTTGTGGCTCATCTCTGCGTGACTGAGAGGAAGCACCATGCCCCAATGGCAAACATGAGTGGGTGAGGCGAATGGAGCAGGTGTGGAGGATCCCTTTGTGGTTCTAGGACCTCTGCCAACAGAGGAATCTTATCAAGAAGTGGGACTGGCCCTAGCTTTGCTTTATTTATGAGCTTGCATGCTTGAGAAAGAAAACAGCTGTTTTGGCCATTCTTGTCAATGGCCATATTTAAGTTCTGATTTCACACACATCACAGAGTGTTTACTTAAACAGTCTTTTTCTTTTTTAACTTTAAAATGAATTATAGGCCAAGTATGATGGCTCACACCTGTAATTCCAGCACTTTGGGAGGCTGAGGTGGGCGGATTGCTTGATTCCAGGAGTTCAAGACCAGCCTGGGCAACATGGCAAAATTCTGTCTCTACAAAAAATACAAAAATTAGCTGGGCATGGTGGCATGGCATTGTGGCCCCAGCTGCTCAAGAGGCTGAGGTGGGAGGATTGCTTGAACCCAGGAGGTTGAGGCTGCAGTGAGCTGTGTTTGTGCCACTGCACTCCAGCCTGGGTGACAGAGCAAGACCCTGTCTCAAAAATATATATATATATATTTTCAAATATATTTCATTTGACCCAAATTCTACTTTAGAGTAGAATACTATATCCTAGAGCAGATGTCCACCAACTTTTTCTGCCAAGGGCCAAATAGTATTTTAGGCTTTTCACACCAGTACTTTAGGTTTTGAAATACAGAAATTTGAATTTTGTATACCTTTCCTGTGTCACACAATTTTCTTTTGATTATTTTTCAGCCATTAAAAGAAATATAAAAACTGGCCAGGCATGGTGGCTCACCTCTATAATCCCAGCACTTTGGGAGACCGAAGGGGGTGGATCACCTGAGGTCAGGAGTTTGAAACCAGCTTGGCCAACATGGTGAAACCTCACCTCTACTAAAAATAGAACAATCACCCAGGTGTGGTGGCACGCGCCTGTAATCCCAGCTACTCAGGAGGCAGAGGTAGGAGAATCGCCTGAATCTGGAAGGCAGAGGTTGCAGTGAGTCGAGATCATACCACTGCACTCCAGCCTGGGCGACAGAGTGAGACTCTGTCTCAAAACAAATAAAAATTTTAAAAAACGTAAAAACCATTCTTAGCTTGCAAGTCATACAAAGACAGATGGCAGGCCAGATTTGTCCATCAGGCCGTAGTTTGCTGAGCCCTGTCCTAGATGGACGAATAAGTGACAGAGTGACAGTGCAAAGAACCTCTCAGAGGGGTAAGGCTTAGAGAGTAGTCACGAGATGGCATGAATCCGTAGCTGCCTCTGGATCCGTCTGTAGGAAAGAGGAGACTGAGGACCAGTTTGGAAACTGGCATGGAGGTGAATTGAGGAAGAAAAAGGAAAAGAGAGCAGGAGTGAGTGGACTGAGAAATGCCAGGACATTCCTCTGCTTCTTTCCTTGTGTTTTCTGCAGTTCTAATGTGAGATGGTTAGCCTAGCAGCAGAGTGATACATGGCAATTCACCTGGTCATTCCCTGCACTTGATTGCTTGAACAGGTCTTTCCAGTTTGAGCTGTGATAAATGGGGTGTGTGATCAGGAGAAAAATTCTAAGCTTCATGGAGCAGGAGCAGGATCTGGGGCTGGTTTCTCCTCAGCAGGCATCGGGACTGTATGGTTTTTCTGCCCTCTGTGTCTACAGTGTGGTCATCATGATTTCAAATATTGGTCCCATCATCCTCATGACCTATGACATTGGCTCCAAAATTCTAATCTTTGAGAGTCCAAATGAAATCTCCCAGATAGCCTCCCTCCTCTGCGCACAGTGCTGGAACGATATATCTCTGGTTTTTTGTTGTCGTTGTTGCTGTTCTGCTGCTGCTGTGGCCTCAGTGCTCAGAGCGGAGACCAGACCCTGCCTGGCCCCTCCTCCTCCTCCCTGTCAGAGACACACCACAGGGATTCTGCTCCCTCTCTCCTGCTCTATTGCCTCATTTCCCACAGCTTCCACATACCTTTCTTGCCTGCCTCATGCCCCCACTGAAATCTCTCCTGATGATTACTTGCTCCCCATTTGTCATCTCAGTCTTAGGTGGCATGTCTTGCAGAAGCCCACACCTTCCCCCGCATTCTCCCTGCCAACCTTTCCTGCTCAGGTCACCCTCCGGCCCACTTTTTTCCCTGGCCTTGGCCCCTTAGGAAGACGGAGAACCCTTTCCATCTTTGTAAGCCTCTTGCTGCCCTGCTGAGCCCCTCCGGCTTCTCTGCTGTGCACCTCCCACCTTTTCCTTAATTTGCCTGGTCCTCCTCCACACATTTCTCTTCTCTTCTGTCCTATCATGCTAGAAATAAACCACAGCATCTGGTAGAGAGGCGGCGTTATCAGATTCTCATTTAGCAATTTGTGTTTTTCCATTTTGCACACATTTCAATGAAATGTCAAGTATCAACAGTTTGGAGATTTTTTTGTTTAAGAGACAGGATCTCCCTATGTTGTCCAGGCTGGTCTCCAACTCCTGGCCTCAAACCATCCTCCTGCCTTAGCCTCCCAAAGTGCTGGGATTATAGGCGTGAGCCACCATGGCCAACCAGTTTAGGGATCTTTTGAACAAGCTGATATGTTTGTATTTTTTTAACCTACCGTAGCATGGAGTTACATAAGCCTTCCTTTTATTTTCCATACATTTTCAGATTTTCCATCTTTGACCAGAAATTTGCCAAGCCAAGAGTTACCCCAGGAAGATTCTCTCTTACATGGCCAATTTTCACAAGCAGTCACTCCCCTAGCCCATCATCACACAGATTATTCAAAGCCCACCGATATCTCATGGAGAGACACACTTTCTCAGAAGTTTGGATCCTCAGATCACTTGGAGAAACTATTTAAGATGGATGAAGCAAGTGCCCAGCTCCTTGCTTATAAGGAAAAAGGCCATTCTCAGAGTTCACAATTTTCCTCTGATCAAGAAATAGCTCATCTGCTGCCTGAAAATGTGAGTGCGCTCCCAGCTACGGTGGCAGTTGCTTCTCCACATACCACCTCGGCTACTCCAAAGCCCGCCACCCTTCTACCCACCAATGCTTCAGTGACACCTTCTGGGACTTCCCAGCCACAGCTGGCCACCACAGCTCCACCTGTAACCACTGTCACTTCTCAGCCTCCCACGACCCTCATTTCTACAGTTTTTACACGGGCTGCGGCTACACTCCAAGCAATGGCTACAACAGCAGTTCTGACTACCACCTTTCAGGCACCTACGGACTCGAAAGGCAGCTTAGAAACCATACCGTTTACAGAAATCTCCAACCTAACTTTGAACACAGGGAATGTGTATAACCCTACTGCACTTTCTATGTCAAATGTGGAGTCTTCCACTATGAATAAAACTGCTTCCTGGGAAGGTAGGGAGGCCAGTCCAGGCAGTTCCTCCCAGGGCAGTGTTCCAGAAAATCAGTACGGCCTTCCATTTGAAAAATGGCTTCTTATCGGGTCCCTGCTCTTTGGTGTCCTGTTCCTGGTGATAGGCCTCGTCCTCCTGGGTAGAATCCTCTCGGAATCACTCCGCAGGAAACGTTACTCAAGACTGGATTATTTGATCAATGGGATCTATGTGGACATCTAAGGATGGAACTCGGTGTCTCTTAATTCATTTAGTAACCAGAAGCCCAAATGCAATGAGTTTCTGCTGACTTGCTAGTCTTAGCAGGAGGTTGTATTTTGAAGACAGGAAAATGCCCCCTTCTGCTTTCCTTTTTTTTTTTTGGAGACAGAGTCTTGCTTTGTTGCCCAGGCTGGAGTGCAGTAGCACGATCTCGGCTCTCACCGCAACCTCCGTCTCCTGGGTTCAAGCGATTCTCCTGCCTCAGCCTCCTAAGTATCTGGGATTACAGGCATGTGCCACCACACCTGGGTGATTTTTGTATTTTTAGTAGAGACGGGGTTTCACCATGTTGGTCAGGCTGGTCTCAAACTCCTGACCTAGTGATCCACCCTCCTCGGCCTCCCAAAGTGCTGGGATTACAGGCATGAGCCACCACAGCTGGCCCCCTTCTGTTTTATGTTTGGTTTTTGAGAAGGAATGAAGTGGGAACCAAATTAGGTAATTTTGGGTAATCTGTCTCTAAAATATTAGCTAAAAACAAAGCTCTATGTAAAGTAATAAAGTATAATTGCCATATAAATTTCAAAATTCAACTGGCTTTTATGCAAAGAAACAGGTTAGGACATCTAGGTTCCAATTCATTCACATTCTTGGTTCCAGATAAAATCAACTGTTTATATCAATTTCTAATGGATTTGCTTTTCTTTTTATATGGATTCCTTTAAAACTTATTCCAGATGTAGTTCCTTCCAATTAAATATTTGAATAAATCTTTTGTTACTCAGTAGTGTTCTCATAAGTAGCATGTCCAGCTGGATAACTTTCCATTTATTTCCACTAGCAAAATGATTATGTGGTGAAAATATGCGTTCCACGTTAAAATGACAACCCCCCCTTTTTCCCATCAGTGAGCAAAGAGCTTCACTTGGGAGAATCTAGCGGAATGTTAGCCCACATGGAGACAATGATAAGTCAGTTCTGATAAATGGCCATATCCACTTGGGATCTGTTCTAGTTAACTTGTGTGTGTGTGTGTGTGTGTGTGTGTGTGTGTGTGTGTGTGACAGAGTCTTGCTCTGTCACCCAGGCTAGAGTGCAGTGGCGCGATCTCGGCTCACTGCCAGCTCCGCCTCCTGGGTTCCCGCCATTCTCCTGCCTCAGCCTCCCAAGTAGCTGGGACTACAGGCGCCCGCCAACACGCCCAGCTAATTTTTTATATTTTTAGTAAAGACGGGGTTTCACTGTGTTAGTCAGGATGGTCTCGATCTCCTGACCTTGTGATCCGCCCGCCTCGGCCTCCCAAAGTGCTGGGATTACAGGCGTGAGCCACCGTGCCCGGCCTCTAGTTAACTTTTTAAAGAAGTATTATAGACATTTTCTAAACTTGTACTAAGTTAAAAATGTACCACTATTATTTTATATCCTTACTTAAATTGACCAGCAATCAGTCTAAGCTTAATTTAGAACAACATTGGAAATAATAACTAGCACAGGCCAGGCGCGGTGGCTCACGCCTGTAATCCCAGCACTTTGGGAGGCCGAGATGGGCAAATCACGAGGTCAGGAGATCGAGACCATCCTGGCTAACACGGTGAAACCCCGCCTCTACTAAAAATACAAAAAATTAGCCGGGCGTGGTGGCGGGCGCCTGTAGTTCCAGCTACTTGGGAGGCTGAGGCAGGAGAGTAGTTTGAATCCAGGAGGCGGAGGTTGCGGTGAGCCAGATTGCACCATTGCGCTCCAGCCTGGGCAACAGAGCCAGACTCCGTCTCAAAAATAATAATAATAATAACTAGCACTAACATGATGCTACAATTTTTACTGGTTACCAATTAAAATTTCTGAGAAAGGCTTTTAATAAAGTTTTCCAGACAAGTTATAGGTGAGGTAACAAAGAGTCCAGAAGTCCCCTGGGTCAGTTTGATACCTCTTTCCTCTGGACTTCAATTTGCTTATCTGCAAAACAGGAAATTTGATCCCTTCCAAGTGTCACCAGAGTTTTTAAAGATAAAAATGGAATTCAGATGCGAACTTAATACAGTGAGCACTAGAGGGCAGTAGCTGGTTAATAAGTACAGCAATTAAGACAAATGCAGGAAATGACAGAAAAGGCTTTTCTTCTCCTTCCTCCTCACCTCTTCCTTCCTCCTCACCTCCTTCCCCTCTGCTCTTCTGGTACCCCTCCCCCATTTCCCTGGTTTACACTAAGTTCATAAAGTACATTAAGAGGAAAGCTGGTCTATTGAAAATACTACTTTTCTTATATTTTCCAACTTAACAGCTTGACACAAATCTCCAAGGGGTTTACATAAGCTTTAAGTAGGCTGAATAAATAAAACCTTGAGTCAATTTAACTTAACAAGTATTTATTGAATATCCACATGTAGGCCAGAATCAGATTAGTAACCAGGTGCCTTGGAATTTTAAAATTTCTCCTCTCTTTATTAATGGATTTAGCGAGTGGAAATCAGGCTTTCTGTGATGGTTTATAAAGGTATTTTCCTGGCTCTCTTGGAGTTCTCTGTCCACCTTGCTGCAGTCTTTGTTGTGATGGGGAGACCACATGGGAGCGGTCCAGATGAGTGATGCTACGGGCCCAAACTGTTAGTGGCCGTGAGGATATAGGTTGTAGGGGACATCTGGAGTGGAAAGAGTGCTCTTCTCACACAGCTCTCTCTACTTACTGCCCCTAGGATGGTGGGTGCAACTGTGGCAAGGGCAGTCAGGGTAGGGGAATCCCTTAGAGGAATTCAGCAGTGACTAGTCTGGTTAGCCTTTCCCACAAGGCCCATTGAGTTATGAGCCCCCTCCTTTGGTTTGTAGAAAGAGAAGGTAGCAGCCTAGAACAGGTGAGAAGATGAGGTAGGTCCTTCTGCTCAAACATCCTCTCTCCGTATTTTACCAACACGATACTGACCTAGGTTAAAAAGCTACTCTTGGCCAGGCGTGGTGGCTCACGCCTGTAATCCCAGCACTTTGGGAGTCCAAGGTGGGTGGATCACCTGAGGTCAGGAGTTCTAGACCAGCCTGGCCAACATGGTGAAACCCCATCTCTACAGAAATACAAAAATTAGCCAGGCATGGTGGCAGACACCTGTAATCCCAGCTACTTGGGAGGCTGAGGTAGGATAATTGCTTGAGGCCGGGAGGGGGCGGTTGCAGTGAGCCAAGATCGCTCCATTGCACTCCAGCCTAGGCGACAGAGCAAGACTCTATCTCAAAAAAATAAAATAAAATAAAATAAAAATAAGCTACTCTTAGCCAGGCACATAGTGGCTCACATCTGTAATCTCAGCCCTTTGGGAGACTGAGGTGGGAGGATCACTTGAGCCCAGGAGGTCGAGGCTGCAGTGAGCCATGATCACGCCACTGCACTCCAGCCTGGGCGACAGAACGAGAGCCCATCTCAAAAAAAAAAACAAAACAACAACAACAAAAAAAAAACTAAAAAACTCTTAAAAAACCTGAGGACTCCTGGATGAATACTGTTATGTGCCTGTTTCTCAATTACCCCTGGCCTGAGTGAGGAACTTTTGGAACTCTTTGGCTCCCAGACTGTGGTGGGCACTACCGGTCAGCTGCCCAGCAGCCAGCCCTAGTCCCACTTCTGCCTCATTTGTTACAGGTTGGAAGTGCCAGGTTCAGGGATGGGCCTGTGACCCAAGTTTTAGCTGAAAGGAAACCTACTAGGGACTTCTAGGAGAGATTTTCTTGCTTGTAAAGGGAAGGCTGCACAAGGAGAAAAGCCCTTTCTAACCACATCCCCTTATTTCATGCTTGGGATGCTGACCATGTGAAGACTTGGTTGTTGGAGCTGTGGTGGCCTCCCTGCCATGATGAGGGGAGAAGGCACTGCCACACTGAGCGTGGCAGTGGGTACAGGAAGAGTCCAGTCTCCGGGATGCCTTGGTTAATTGACAGGACAAACCCTGGAACTGCCAACTTCCATCTTGTTCTGTAATAATAAATCTCTAATATTTGTACCACTTTCAGTCGAGTATTCTATGATTTATTACTTATTGATAGCAAACACTTAGAAAGTACTTACACTATGGGCCGGGCACAGTGGCTCACGCCTGTAATCCCAGCACTTTGGGAGGCCGAGGCGGGTGGATCACCTGAGGTCAGGAGTTCGAAACCAGCCTGGCCAACATGACGAAACCCCATCTCTACTAAAAATACAAAAATTAGCTGGGCGTGGCGGGGGCAGAGTTTGTAGTGAGCCAAGATTGCACCCCTGCACTCCAGCCTGAGCGACAGAGCAAGACTCCACAAAAGAAAGTACTTACACTATGCGCCAGATTCACTTTTACATATACTAACTCATTTCAATTCCACAACAACCTTTTGAATAATTTTAATCCTTATTCTGTAGATAAGGAAACTGAGACACAGCGAAGTTTAAGGGCCTTTCCAGAGGTCACTTGCCCAGATAGCCTGGCTCCGGAGTTGCCACTTTTTACATTCTTATAACTGGAATGATACACGGTGTAACCAAAAAGAGGTTTGCACTAGATTGGAAATGTTCTAGAAAGCTTTTTGTTGTTGTTTTTGTTGTTGTTGTTTGAGACAATTTTGCTTTGTCACCCAGGCTGGAGTGTAGTGGCGCAAACACAGCTTACTGCAGCCTCCAACTCTCGGGCTCAAGTAATCCTCCTGCCTCAGCCCCCCAAGTAGCTGGGACTACAGGCATGTGCCACCACGCCCAGCTAATTTTTGTATTTTTGTAGATACAGGGTTTTGCCATGTTGGCCAGGCTGGTCTCAAACCCCTGGACTCAAGCAATCTGCCCATTTCAGCCTTCTGAAGTGCTGGGATTACAGGCATGAGCCACCATGCCTGGCCCTAAATAGCTTTTATTTTTATTTATTTATTTAGAGACAGAGTTTTCTCTTGTCGCCCAGGCTGGAGTGCAATGGCATGATCTTGGCTCATTGCAACCTCTGCTCCTGGGTTCAAGCGATTCTCCTGCCTCAGCCTCCTGAGTAGCTGGGATTATGGGTGTGCACTACCATGGCCAGCTAATTTTGTATTTTTAGTAAAGGAGATGGGGTTTCACCATGTTGGCCAGGCTGGTCTTGAACTCCAGACCTCAGGTGATCTGCCCGCCTCAGCCTCCCAAAGTGTCGAGATTACAGGCATAAGCCTGCCCCTAGATAGCTTTTTATTTTGGTTTTTAGACGGCATCTTGCTCTGTCACCCAGGCTGGAGTGCAGTGGCACGATCTCAGCTCACTGCAACCTCTGCCTCCCGGGTTCAAGCAATTCTCCTGCCTCAGACTCCCAAGTAGCTGGGATTACAGGCACCCACCACCACACCCAGCTAATTTTTTAATTTTTTTGTAGAGATGGGGTTTCACCATGTTGGCCAGGCTGGTCTTGAACTCCTGACCTCAAGTGATCCACCCGCCTCGGCCTCCCAAAGTGCTGGGATTACAGGTGTGAGCCACTACACCCAGCCTAGATAGCTTTTAAATGGTGTTGAGCCGAATGATACCTTGAGCCGAAAGCATGGAAATGAAGAGGTCAGTGGTCTCATTCTGGAGTGGGCTTCATACACTTTCCCAGTTGCTGATCACCTGTACCAAAGTTAAGAGTGACTCCTCAGGGACACGCCGGAGCAGAGAACCCATCCTGTTTCCGTGTCCTGTCATCTGGGTTAATAGTACCGCCAGCCACCCAGTATCTCCTGTATTGAGCAACTTCAAAGTCATACTCTGTTTCTCCTGCTGCCTCAGCCTCCACATCCAATGTCTACCAAATATTACCTATTGTCTTTCAAAGACGCCTCTCAAAGTCAGCCGTCCCCACTGCTGCCTCCTGTTTGGTCTCCCTAACTTGCTTCTCCTTGCTCTGCTCCCACATCATATATTCCCTCCTTACGACTTCAAGTTACATTAAAAGCACAGCACACAGTACATGTAACTCCACGCATGACACTCTGTGCTCCCAGTACCTCTAGGGATGATTACCAGTTGCACGTGGCAGGTGTACCAAGGCTCCCCATGCACTAGCCCCAACCTAACCACACTGCAGCTACCTCTGTCCCGTGAAACCTGGGCTGTAGCTACACCACCCTTTTCAACATTTCTCAGTATTGCCAGACACTTTGACGAGCCATCCTCTTCCCTCTACTTGTAAATTCCTTTCCCCCTTGTTCACTTGGCAAATTTCCGCTCATCCTTCAAGACCACGATCACACGTCACCTCCACCAGAGTCTCCCCACACTCTCCCGGGAGACGTATCAATTCCTCCTGGGTTTCTGACACAGCTCGTGATTTATACCATTAGTGAAACACTTCCATGGAATCATAATGTATCAGGTTATATATTACCCCACTAGACTGGGATACGTTAGACAGCAACATTTCTCTGATTCCATCATGCTTAACAGTGTGTCTGGCACATAGGCATTCAATAAGTGATCATGAGTGAATTTTATAACCCGTTCATTGAAGGTCATTTCTTTCAGCAATGGGCAGTAATGTGATTTGGCTGCATACAGAACAGCTTCTATATCATGCAGTGAAAGTGAACGCACTGACGTGCATTTTGTAGCAGAATGGGATAAAATCCAGGTACACAGTAATGAAGTGTATACTCTCACTTCAACTAAGACCGTGTGCAGAGGGATGGGTAGATAAGTATTTGATTTTGTTTATTTCTCTCCTTTGGGTTCAGATAGTATAGTTTCCTTAGCCTATAGAGAGGATGAGCTGACAGAATGTGCTTTTGTTTGTGTTCTTATATTTTTGATTATTTTCCCTTTCTTTCTTTCCTTCTTTCCCTTGCTTTCTCTCCCTTCCTTCCTTCCTTCCTTTCTCCCTTCCCTCCCCTCCCTCCCCCCTCCCCTCCCATCCCGCTCCCCTCCCCCTCCTCTCCCCTCCCATCCCCCTCCCTTCCCCTCCCCCTCCCCTCCCCCTCCCCTCCCCTCCCCCTCCCCTCCCCCTCCCCTCCTCCTCCCTCCCTTCCTTTCTTTCTCCCTCCCCTCCCTCCCCCCTCCCCTCCCCCTCTCCTCCCCTCCCCCCTCCCCCCCCTCCTCCCCTCCCCCTCCCCTCCCCTCCCCCTCTCCTCCCCTCCCCCTCCCTTCTCCCTTCCCCTTCCCCTCCCCTCCCCTCCCCCTCCCTCCCTCCCTCCCTCCCTTCCTTTCTTTCATCACTCTGTTGTGCAGGCTGGAGTGCAGTGGCATGACAGCTCACTGCAGCCTCCACCTCCCCGGACCCAGGTGTCTCAAAAAACAAACAAACAAAAACCACAAAACACTAAATTCTGTAATTCTGATTTTATGCAAATACTGTGTATCAAGGGTCCACAGAATTACCTAAGCAATGTTATATTTGTTTTCACCTTTTTTACACGGATAATTGGTCTTCCCAGCAATATTTTAAATGACTGGAATATTAGCACTTCACTTACATTTTTTTTATCTGTTAGTCATTTATTGTTTTCCCCCTGTAGCTACAGCTCATGCCCATCTTTTTTTCCTCATCTAGTCCTAATTACAGTGCTATAAAGGATGAGAAAAACAGCTGAAAGCTGAAGGATCTGCCCAACCTGGTCTTCCGCCTCTCCATCCTGGCTTTTTTGCTGTGAGAAGTCCTACTGGCCCGTGCATTGTCTTGGTGATCAATGAACTAACATCTGTTAGTTTTAACATATCTAGACTCCCAACACTCTAAGGTTTTTCGTCTTTCTTTTCTTGGGACAAAAGGAAACCCAAATGCAGCCAGACAGGAATAGTCAAAGTTAGGAGTGGTGAGATCTCTCGGAGGTCAGGCCTCTACTGCCCCTTATCCCATTCATTCTCTACTCTATCTAGAACCACCCTCAACTTCTCAGGCCCTGAGACCTGCATCCCTCCAGCATCCCCTCTGCCTTCCAAGGCATGGCTTCCAGGAGAATGGGGAGATGGATGGGATGTGCAGGCTGTGTTTGAGGGGCCCATCTCCTTGAAGACTTCGCCTGTTCTCATAATCCCTGAAAGCCTGCTTCACTCACATCATCAGAGGAGAAAAGGAAACCTTCACCAACTGTGTTAGTCAGGGTTCTCTTAGAGGGACAGAACTAATATAAATAGATATATATATATATCCTATGATAGATAGATAGATAGATAGATAGATAGACAGACAGACAGATAGACAGACAGACATAAGGGGAGTTTATTAAGTATTAACCTCCACAATCACAAGGTCCCACAATAGGCTGTCTGCAAGCTGAGGAGCAAGGAGATCCAGTCCAAGTCCCAAAACTGAAGAACCTGGAGTCCGACGTTTGAGGGCAGGAAGCATCCAGCATGGGAGAAAGATGTAGGCTGGGAGGCTAGGCCAGTCTCTCTCCTTTTCGTGTTTTTCTGCCTGCCTTATATTCACTGGCAGCTGATTACATTGTGCCCACCAGATGAAGGGTGGATCTGCCTTCCCCAGCCCACTGACTCCAATATTAATCTCTTTTGGCAATAGCCACGCAGACACACCCAGGATTCATACTTTGTATCCCTCAATCCAATCAAGTTGACACTCAGTATTAACCATCACACCAACTATCACAACACTCACCTGACTACATACATTTTTAGGCCTTTAATGCAGATGGATCCATTTTCATAAGCTGAAGAAGATAAAAAGATGGAAGGCAGAGGTGGGAGGATCACTTAAGGCCAGGAGTTCAAGGCCAGCCCGAGCAACCTAGCAAGACCCTGTCTCTAAATAAATTTTTTTTTAAAGAAGAAAGGTGAAAGGATAATATAGAAGAAATAGTATTTGAAGCCAATGCATAAGTTTCTAAGTGAGTGAAGGTGAGTAGGTGAAAGACAGGATTCCAGAGATTGGGCAGATGAACCATTAGCAAACAATTGAATGTTATTGTCTTTTTGTGTTTTTTTTTGTTGTTGTTTGTTTGTTTTTCTCTTTTAGAGACAGAGTATTGCTCTGTTGCCCAGGCCAGAGGCAGTGCTATGATCAGAGCTCAATGCTGCCGTGACCTCCTGGGTTCAAGTGATCCTCCTGCCTCAGCCTCCCAAGTAGCTGGGACTACAGGTATGCATCACCATGCCTAGTTAATTTTTTAAATTTTTTGTAGAGACAGGGTTTCGCTATGTCGCCCAGGCTGGTCTCAAACTCCTGGCCACAAGCGATCCTCCCACCTCAGCCTCCCAAAGTGCTGGGATTACAGGCATGAGCCACCGTGCTTGGCCTCATTGTTTAATATTTAATGAAAGTATACATGGTGCTAAATTTATTTAGCCTCAGTCAGTGACCCCTAACAAACCACTAAGGCATTCCATGCCAGGCTGACCAGGTACAGTGGCACACAAGCCAAATGCTACTGCCACACAGCCTCCTTTTTAAATGTCCCAGAGTAGAGAGGAATAGGGACAGCTGCATTTTTGCAGCCAGCAAGGAGCTCCAGAGAGATCCTTTCCCAGCAGCCCCTGCCTTCCAGACAGGCGTTCTTATGCTCCAGTTATGTTCTGCAAATCTCAGCTTTTTTCATGTCCTCATCAGTCAACATCATCAGCAAGCTTTGCGGGGAGAAAGCCAAAAAAGTTCTTATCTTTAAAAACAAAAAAAAAAGAAAGGAAAGTCTTGCATTAGACGGACTTTGTCCAGCGCTGTTGCACCCGCCCTCCCTTCCTTCCACTCATACCTAACTTTGAAAACTGTCCCCAGGCATAATAAAATCCCCCTGGCTGGATTTACGACCTTCCAAGCTGCAGTGGAGAGGAAAAAGGCCCAACTCTGAGAAAAACAAGTATCCAGGGAGGACGGTGTGTGCTGAATTTTAAAATGTTAAATTACGGTGAAAAATTTGCTGGAAAAGAAACTATCTTTCAAATTGTGCTACATAGTAAAGTTAATAGAGCCCATATGTCCTCTACTAAAATTTAGAAAAACAAACTAAAAACAATACTTTCGCGCCTGCCAGGCTGAAATGTGATCTACTTCTTAATATTCACCCAACACAGGGTAAAATGCTTTAAGATGGTAATGATTCCAAAGCGCAGCTCAAGCTCAGTGGATAAACAACAGACCTCAAACCCTGGGGGGCTCATGTTCTCATCATAGCTCTGGGCAAGTCACTTAATCTCATGGTTCCTTCTCAATTTTCTCAGCTCTGAAACGGGGATGGCAGCACTTCACGAGGTGTTTATGAGGCATACTAAGATGGTTGTAAAACATTTTACAAATGTTTAATAACTGATGCCCTTTTCATAATTTGGCTTTATAACATCTTTCATTATTCATTCAGTGGTGTGGAAATAAATGAGTACAGGGGCTATTTACTCAGAGCTTGCTATGCTATGGGAGTCAGCTTCCATCACTTTGGCAGAAGGTCAAAGCAGGCAGAGGAGTGAGAGAATTTACAGTGACAAAAAGGGAAGGCTTCAGGTTTATCTGGATTGGAGCTTATTGGCACGAGGAAGTGGGAGATGGACTGCTTAGAAGCAGGGCAGGCTGGGTGCGGTGGCTCACGCCTGTAATCCCAGCAATTTGGGAGGCTGAGGTGGGAAGCTCACAAGGTCAGGAGTTCAAGGCCAGCCTGGCCAACATAGGGAAACCTCGTCTCTGCTAAAAATATAAATAAATAAATAAATAAGCCGGGCATGGTGGTGCGTGCCTGTAGTCCCAGCTGCTAGGGAGGCTGAGGCAGGAGAATTGCTTTAATCTGGGAGGCAGAGGTTGCAGTGAGCCAAGATCGCACCACTGCACTCCAGCCTGGGTGACAAAGCGAAACTCTGTCTCAAAAAAAAAAAAAAAAAAAAAATGAAGCAGGGCATCTTCGGTGATTAGTCTGGGGAGCATCTTTGGCTTTCTCTGGTCGGTGCTGAGTTGGAAGCCAAGTGGTTTGGCTTCCCCAGCTGGTTGCTACAAAGTTTGTGAGACTCAGTTCTATTCCCCATGGTCTGGCCATTGTTCACTGTTGGTATATTCATCCGTGAAAAATTAAAGATAGGAGGGTTCTGACTACCCCAGGAGAAAACCAGGTGCCTGCCTAGCAGCCTAGGGAGTAATTTATATTTCTTATACCTTTTAAATACTTTTAGAAGAAGCAAATTTAGAAGATAGACTGCTGAACCAACAATTTTCACTCTCTTGAGTCACTGGGCACAACGAGCTAGCAATCAGGACAATTGAGTTCCAGACATGAGTCTATTATAAGATGGGCAAAAGGGAGGTGGGAAGACTGACAAGTCACATAACCTCTCAGGGCCTCAGTTTCCTTGTGAACAGCCTGCGAGTTCCTATCTGTCTACCCTATTGCATTGTTTGGTTTTGAGGATAAGTGGCCTAATAGTTTGTAAAAGGACCCTATAAAGCAGATTTTTTTTTTTTTTGAAATAGAGTCTTGCTCTGTCGCCCAGGCTGGAGTGCAGTGGTGCAATCTTGGCTCACTGCAACCTCTGCCTCCTGGATTCTAGCGATTCTCGTGCTTCAGGATCCCGAGTAGCTAGAATTACAGGTTCACGCCACCACGCCTGGCTTATTTTTGTATTTTTAGTAGAGACTGGGTTTCACTGTGTTGGCCAGGCTGGTCTTGAACTACTGGCCTCAAGCGATCCGCCTGCCTTGGCCTCCCAAAGTGCTGAGATTACAGGCGTTAGCCACTGCATCTGGCCCCGGCTAATTTTTGTATTTTTAGTAGAGACGGGGTTTTGCCATCTTGGCCAGGCTGGTCTCGAACACCTGACCTTGTGATCCATCTGCCTCGGCCTCCCAAAGTGCTGGGATTACGGGCGTGAGCCACCACACTTGGTCCCTATAAAGCAGATAGTTTAAACCCTATAAAACAGGTATTTTAGAAGTGTGCTATGGAAGAATGTGGCATAAGCCTTTGAAGATCCACCTAGTGGACTGGAGTCTTGAAAATGCCCACGTGTCCTGTAGGAGGAATGCCAGACTCTTACAGACTCACCCTCTTTCCCATCTCTGTCTCCACCAAGGCCCACCCCTGCCCACTCCCCTGCTCCTCTGTTTTCAGTCTCTGTGAATGGAATCACCAGAAACGGGAATTTCTTTGGGCCTCTGCAGGAAACTAGCATACTTGACTTCAACCTCTCGTTAATTCCTCTGTTTATTCAAAAATAATGGGTTCCTTATTGCTATTTTAACATGAAGTAATAAATATTTTTTTAATTTCTTATTTTAAATTTCTAATATAGTGAATACTGATAGCTGTAACCAACATAAACAAAATCTCTTTAGGTCTTCAACAATAGTTGAGAATGAAAAAGGGCCGGGCAGCACTTTGAGAGGCCGAGGTGGTCAGATCACCTGAGACCAGCCTGGCCAAGAATGGCAAAACCCTGTCTCTACTAAAAATATGAAAATTAGCCCGCCATGGTGGCGGGCACCTGTAATCTCAGCTACTTGGGAGGCTGAGGCGCAAGAATGGCGTGAACCCGGAAGGTGGAGATTGCAGTGAGCTGAGATCGTGTCATTGCACTCCAGCCTGGGCAATAGAGCAAGATTCAGTCTCAAAAAAAAGAAAAGAAAAAAAAACAAGACTCAGTCTCAAAAAAAAAGAAAAAAAAGAAAAAACACATAAGAATGTAAAGGGTCCTAAAACTAAAACTTCATTAGCCACTGCTTTAGATACTCTTACCCTTTATCTCAGTGATTCTACTGCTAGGATTCTATTTTAAGGCCATAGAATTCCACATAGAAATGAACGCACAGTATGCTCGTTGCAGCACAATTATCAGTAGAATCAACCTGAGTCTCTGAAGAGGATTAAATAATTCACAGTACATTCATAAAATAAAATATTATACAGTTAATAAACATATTTTCAAAGAATTTTGATGATAGGGGAAATGCTAGCAGGGTAATAGTAAATGAAATAGCAGTACATGAAACCATACTGAGAATGCTCACAATTTTGTGTTTATGTGTATGTACAGCTTAAACATACTATATACACTAAACTGTTCCCAGTGATTCTCCATTTAGGGATTATTGGACTCTGGGTGATATTTTTCTGTATTTACATGCTGTCTACAGAAAACTCACATATTTTTATAATTAGAAAAACATAGGCCGGGCGCGGTGGCTCACGCCTGTAATCCCAGCACTTTGGGAGGCCGAGGTGGGTGGATCACGAGGTCAGGAGACCGAGATCATCCTGGCTAACACGGTGAAACCCCATCTTTACTAAAAATACACAAAAAATTAGCTGGGCGTGGTGGCGGACGCCTGTAGTCCCAGCTACTTGGGAGGCTGAGGTAGGAGAATGGTGTGAACCCAGGAGGCGGAGCTTGCAGTGAGCCAAGATCGCGCCACTGCACTCCAGCCTGGGCGACTGAGCAAGACTCTGTCTCAAAAAAACAAAACGAAAAAACATAAAAGTTACTTTAAAAATATTTATAACACCAAATATATATGTGTGTGTGTGTGTGTGTGTGTGTGTGTGTGTGTGTGTGTGTGTATTTTTTTTTTTTTTGAAACAAGCTCTCACTCTGTCACCCAGGCTGGAGTGCAGTGGCGCGATCTCACTACAGTCTCCGCTTCCCAGGCTCAAACCTCCCACCTGAGCCTTCCAAGTAGCTGGGACTATAGGGGCCAAGTAGCCAACACGCCCAGCTAATTTTTGTATTTTTTGTAGAGACAGGGTTTTGCCATGTTGCCCAGGTTGGTCTCAAAGTCCTGAACTCAAAGCTATCGCCCACCTCGGCCTTTAAATGCTGGGATTACAGTGAGCCATTGCACGCAGCTAACATTTACACTTTTAACACATAAGCTTCCAGCCTTCCAAAGGATAAGGATCCATAATTTATCTTTTTTTGTGTGTGAGGACAGGAGAGAAGGAGCATTTGCTATAGCACTTACAGGTATAAAATCCTGTCTAGCCACTATTTTAATATCCAATCATATGTCTGGTGTCTGAAAAGTCTTCTCTTTCATAATCACAGAGCCCAAGCTTCAACCAGGATAGGCCAGAAATCAGGCATACCAACAGGAACAGGCAGAGGCCACTGACTCAAATGCATAGCAAAGTCAATTTTCTTTGGCATTCACCTTGGAGAAAATGATAAGGCCAAGAGATAAGCCTGTGAGGCCAGGTGCAGTGGCTCATGCCTGAATCTCAGCACTTTGGGAGGCCAAGGTGGGAGGATGGCTTGAATCCAGGAGTTTGAGACCAGCTGGGCAACAAAGTGAGACTCTGTTTCTACATAAAATTAAAAATATGAAAATTTGCTGGGCATGGTGGCACGCACCTATAGTCCCAGCTGCACAAGAGGCCAAGGTGGGAGGCTCATTTGAGCCCAGGAGGTTGAGGCTGCAGTGAGCATGTTTGCATCACTGCACTCCAGCCTTGGTGACAGAGCAACACCCTGTCTAAAAAAAATAAAAATAAATAAAAATAAAAATAAAAGAAATAGGCCGGGCACACTGGCTCACGCCTATAATCCCAGCACTTTGGGAGGACAAGGTGGGCAGATCATGAGGTCAAGAGATCGAGACCATCCTGGCCAACATGGTGAAACCCCGTCTCTACTAAAACTACAAAAATTAGCTGGGCGTGGTGGCGCATGGCTGTAGTCCCAGCTACTCGAGAGGCTGAGGCAGGAGAATCACTTGAATCCAGAAGGCGGAGGTTGCAGTGAGCTGAGATTGCACCATTGCACTCCAGCCTGGGTGACAGAGCGAGACTTCATCTCAAAAAATAAATAAGTAAATGAAATATATATTTTTATATATTTCTTGTTTATATATACTATTTTTATATATTATTTTATATATAATTATATGTATATATATGTCACTCCTCTGAAGCAGTGTCACTGTAGCATCTGAGAGTCAGTCCAAGCAGGATTGGGAAGGCAATTGGCAGGTGATTGGAAGAAGGCTAAAGAGAAAGCCCTTGGTTACCGGGGGGATCTGTCTGCAAGACCACGGGCTCCAATCTCAGGTGTCAGAACTTGTGGATGATCTGAGGCGATTAAGAAATTAGAGCCTACAGTACCCTAGTTCAGGGTGGGGGGTGCTGCAGAAAAAGTAGGTTTCAGAGACATGGCTGAAAGACGCAGGTCAGACAGACTCAGTTCACCCAAGTGAGCTGGTGCTAATTTCTACCTCACGGGGTTGTGTTCAGGATTAAATAAATCATGGCAGGCAAAATATCCAGCACAGAGCCTGCATAGTAGAAATAAAAAGAAGTCACTATTCATCGTCATTACTGTCCTTACTGCTTTCTCAGGTCTCACAAAAATGGGGAGTGAGGTGTATATATTCTTTTTTTTTTTTTTTTTTGAGACAGAGTCTCACTCTGTCACCCAGGCTGGAGTGCAGTGGCGCAGTCTCGGCTCACTGCAAGCTCCGCCTCCCAGGTTCACGCCATTCTCCTGCCTCAGCCTCCCAAGTAGCTGGGACTATAGGTGCTCGCCACCATGCCCAGCTAATTTTTTGTATTTTTAGTAGAGACAGGCTTTCACCGTGTTAGCCAGGATGGTCTCGATCTCCTGACCTCGTGATCCGCCCGCCTTGGCCTCCCAAAGTGCTGGGATTACAGGCGTGAGCCACCACGCCCGGCCTGGGTGTATGTATTCTTATATAGGTAAGAATCAATGTTCCTTGGGGACATTTTCCCTAATGGACCAACCCTAGAAATTCTCCATAAAGACCACTCTGGGACAGATGTTCCCTCCAGGCCTGCAAGAGCTCTTGGGTCAAGGAGAACTCATAGTGACATACTGATTGTTTGATCTTTAGGCAAGACTTTTCTACCCGGAGCAGCAGCTGCTCTGCACTGCACACAGGTCCTCTCATATACAGCCTGTAAAAATGGGACTTTACTCCCTGTACTGGTTTATCTCTGGTGTAGTGGGAAAAAGCCAAAACAAAGTTCACTTGCTTCCCTTAACCTTTAGAATCCTAGCTGTTACCCAACTGAACTTGGGTCTGCTTACGCAGCACACAGGAAAAACAAACAAACAAACACTGACGCTGGGATTTACAGCAAGCGGAAGTGAGGCATTTATTGCCTGGTGCCAGGCAAGGAGAACTGGGCAGCAAACTAATGCTGAAGACTTGAACTCCCTAATGACTTACAGGTAAGGATGTTTAAGAAAGCAGAAGTTGGCCAGGTGGTTCACACCTGTAATCCCAGCACTTTGGGAAGCGGAAGCAGGAGGATAGCTTGAGCCCAGTTCAAGATCAGCCTGGGAAACATAGTGAGACCCTGTCTCTATTTTTTATAAAAATAAATAAATAAATACACACACAAACACACACACACACACACACACACACACACACATATATATAATATATATATATATATATATATATTTTTTTTTTGAGACGGAGTCATATTCTGTTGCCCAGACTGGGGTTCAGTGGCATGATCTCAGCTCACTGCAGCTTCCGCCTCCCAGGTTCAAGTGATTCTCCTGCCTCAGCTTCCCAAGTAGTTGTGAATACAGGTGTGTGCCACCGTGCCCAGCTAATTTTTGTATTTTTAGTAGAGACAGGATTTTGCCATGTTGGCCAGGCTGGTTTTGAACTCCTGACCTCAGGTGATCTGCCCACCTCAGCCTCCCAAAGTGCTGGGATT
Source organism: Homo sapiens (assembly GCF_000001405.40). Classification (NCBI taxonomy): domain Eukaryota; kingdom Metazoa; phylum Chordata; class Mammalia; order Primates; family Hominidae; genus Homo; species Homo sapiens. Next base: position 12,313,490 of record NC_000012.12, on the reverse strand, counting down.
ATAGGCATGAGCCACCGTGCCTGACCAAAAATATTTTTTAAATGGGAAAAAAAAAAAAAGAGGCTGGGCATGGTGGATCAGGCCTGTAATTCCAGCACTTTCGGAGGCCGAGGTGGGCGGATCACAAGGTCAGAAAATCAAGACCATCCTGGCTAATGCGGTGAAACTCCGTCTCTACCAAAAATACAAAAAAATTAGCCGGGCATGGTGGCAGGTGCCTGTAGTCCCAGCTACTTGGGAGGCTAAGGCAGGAGAATGGCGTGAGCCCGGGAGGCAGAGTTGCAGTGAGCCGAGATCGCACCACCGCACTGCAGCCTGGGCGACAGAGAGAGACTCTGTCTCAAAAAAAGGAAACAAAAGTTACAGGCAAAATAGTAAATCAATATATGGAGGTTATACATTGATTTGGCCACCAAAAAGTGGGATGTCTCAAAGCAGGAGCTTACAGGTCATAATTGGATTCAGAGACTCTTTGATTTGGAGTTGGTTAAGGAGCAAGGCTTTGTCTAAAAACTGGGGGTCATCGGAAAGGAATGTTAAGGTTTGGCCTGTGGGCCTGACTCCCTCCAGGCTGCTCAGGGAGAAATTCAGAACAGTCAGAGTTCAGTCCTTACTTCTCCCTTATCTGAGGTCTATGTGACAGTGATCAGCATTTTTCATCTGGTGGGGGTCCAGCTTTCTGATAAACAACTCAAAGAACAGGCACGGTGGCTCACCCCTGTAATCCCAGCACTTTGGGAGGCCAAGGCGGGCGGATCATGAGGTCAAGAAATCGAGACCATCCTGGCCAACATGGTGATTCCCTGTCTCTACTAAAAATATAAAAATTACCCGGGCGTGGTGGCATGTGCCTGTAGTCCCAGCCACTTGGGAGGCTGAGGCAGGAGAATGGCTTGAACCCGGGAGGCAGAGGTTGCAATGAGCCGAGATCACGCCACTGCACTCCAGCCTGGTGACAGAGCCAGACTCCATCTCAAAAACAAACAAACAAACAAAAAACAACTCAAGAACATACATTAAGATGTTGTCTTTTAGTTTCTACAGGCAACTGAAATAGCTTGTGACTCTAACTTGCTTAGAAGACTTATTTTTTAAGTTACTGCTCTCTCTTTTTTTTTTTTTTTTGAGACAGAGTCTCATTCTGTCGCCCAGGCTGGAGTGCAGTGGGGTGATCTCGGCTCACTGCCAGCTCCGCCTCCCAGGTTCACGCCATTCTCCTGCCTCAGCCTCCTGAGTAGCTGGGATTACAGGCGCCCGCCACCACGCCTGGCTAATTTTTTGTATTTTTAGTAGAGACGGGGTTTCACCGTGTTAGCCAGGATGGTCTCGATCTCCTGACTTCGTGATCCACCCGCCTCGGCCTCCCAAAGTGCTGGGATTACAGGCGTGAGCACCACGCCCCACCTACTGCTCTCTTCTTGGATTGCTCATTTACTTCTCAAGTCTAGCTAGGTGCCTGGAATCTCCTGTGAAGGAACTCAAAACTTGTCCTTTATTTTCGTGCTTGTGGTGGTGGGGGTGGGGGCACCTGGCAGGTCCCTAAGAGGAGTCCCTGCTCCATCTTCTAACATTGACAGATACCACACATTTTATGATTAAGAAACAGAGTCACACATATAGGTTATGAATCATATCTCAATTCTATTGGGTATATGTTATATAACACAAGTGAAACTTTTCTGTGGGGGTGAGGATTATAAGTATTTACTTTAAAGTGTCCAACATTATAAGATATCAACATTAACAGAAAAAAAAGGGGGGGGGAATTTCCCTCTCAATTTTTTTCCCCTTCACTCAAAGCTAAGAAAACATGCCCGCACCTTTTACTGCTACCTGTATTGTATCCTGCATTCCCTAGCCTTGTTTACTTATAGGTTCAAGTTCAACTTTGCCCAGGTCCTGAACTATAATAGGACTTAGGCAGCGGCTGGGCGCAGTGGCTCACGCCTGTAATCCCAGCACTTTGGGAGGGCAAGGCGGGCAGATCACCTGAGGTCAGGGGTTCAAGACCAGCCTGGCCAACATGGTGAAACCCCATCTCTACTAAAAATACAAAAATTAGCTGGGCATGGTGGCATGTGCCTGTAATCCCAGCTACTTGGGAGGCTGAGGCAGGAGAATTGCTTGGACACGGGAGGCGGAAGCTACAGTGAGCCGAGATCATGCCACTGCACTCCAGACTGGGGGATAAAGGGAGACTCTGTCTCAAAAAAAAAAAAAAAAAAAAAAAGTCTGGACACAATGGCTCATGCCTGTAATCCCAGCACTTTGGGAGGCCGAGGTGGGCAGATCATTTGAGGTCAGGAGTTCAACACCAGCCTGACAAACATGGTGAAACTCCATCTCTACTAAAAATAAAAAAAGTAGCCAGGTGTGGTGGCACATGCCTGTAGTCCCAGCTCCTTGGGAGGCTGAGGCAGGAGAATCGCCTGAATCTGGGAGGTGGAGGTTGCAGTGAACTGAGATCATGCCATTGGCACTCTAGCTTGGGCGACAGAACAAGACTGTCTCAAAAAAAAAAAGACTTAGGCAGCAAGTAATTGCTGTTCAGGCCTGGTGTATGAACTTTAAGCCTTGACTGGGCACGGCGGCTCATGCCTGTAATCCCAGTGCTTTGGGAGGCTGAGGTGGGCAGATCACCTGAGGTCAGGAGTTCAAGAGCAGCTTGGCTAACATGGTGAAATCCCGTTTCTACAAAAAATACAAAAAATTAGCCGGGTGTGGTGGCATGCGCCTGTAATCCCAGCTACTCGGGAGGCTAAGGCAGGAGAATCGCTTGAACCCGGGAGGTGGAGGTTGCAGTGAGCTGAGATCGTGCCATTGTACTCCAGCTTGGGCAACAAGGGCAAAACTCTGTCTCAAAAAAAAAACAAACCACGGAACTTTAAGCCTTAGGCACAGTTATACTAACTGTAATAAATATTTGTCATGTTTTTGCACCTGCCCAGTGTCCTTCCCCTTTCTTCTGTTAACACTATCCTGTGTTTTTGTTGAGGGTAGCGTATGGGACAGTGAGGAGATGGCGGAAAAGCCCAGTCCCTCCCCGGTCTTGGTATTCATGGTGGGGGCTATCACCGTGCTCTGCTTCTCCAACATGGGGATGGGCTCTGTGTTTATGAATCTGAAGGTTTTTTTCAGACTCTGGATACATGGATGGATATTTAAGCAGTAGCTGTATAGGCCGTCCCCTGAAATTCTGGTTCAATCAGGGCCGGAGCATCAGTATTTTTTAAATTCCCCAGGTGTGCTGCTGTGTAGACCGCCGAGTTGAGATCCACTGGACCAGCACAGGGAAGCCATGACATGGGGACCCTGAGACCTTCTACTCTCCCCAATTCAAGGGACCATCTTTTCCCCTGCCCTTCCTCCATCTGTTTCACTTTTGAACTTCCCTCTGGATTATCCGTATTATGAAGAAAATATTTGTGCTATAAAGTTAATACAGAAGTAAAATTTTTAGGTTAAAAAAACTCCACCAGCCGGGCATGGTGGCTCACGTCTATAATCCCAGCACTTTGGGAGGCCAAGGTGGGCGGATCACGAGGTCAAGAGATGGAGACCATCCTGGCCAACATGGTGAAACCCCGTCTCTACTAAAAATACAAAAAATTAGCTGGGCGTGGTGGCGTGTGCCTGTAGTCCCAGCTACTCGGGAGGCTGAGGCAGGAGAATGGTGAGAACCCGGGAGGCAGAGCTTGCAGTAAGCCGAGATCACGCCACTGCACTCCAGCCTGGGCGACAGAGCGAGACTCTGTCTCAAAAAAAAAAAAATTCCACCAAAGTTGGTGGATCATTTGTGACATTTTTACTATTCTCAGACCCAACTGCGGGATTGTGCTGTCCTAAACAGACTCCACAGTTCCAAGCATGACATATCTGGGTTAATAGACAGATGATTCTGTCAGTGATGTGAGAAGACAGCCAGCAGTAGGAAGCAGCAGAGGCCGTTTGGGGACATTTTCTAGGGGGTAGTGGGCCTATTCTGATATATTTCTTTTTTTTTTTTTTTTTTTTTTGAGGCAAGGTTTTGCTCTGTCACCCAAGCTGGAGTGCAGTGATGTACTCATGGCTCACTGCGGCCTCAACTTCCTGAGTTCAAGCAATCCTCCCATCTTGGCCTTGTGAGCGTCTAGGACTACAGGCACATACACCAACCCTGGCAAATTTTTTATTTTCTGTAGAGATGGGGTCTCACTTTGTTGTCCAGGGTGGTCTCAAACTCCTGGCCTCAAGGAATCCTCCCATCTTGGCCTCCCAAAGTCCTGGGATTACAGGTGTGAGCTACCATGTCCGACCATATTCTGACATTAGGACCCTAAAGTAGAAAGACATGTAGTCCAGCCAAATGAAATTGAACCTGTAATTCTGTAAAAGGGCATACTTTTCTAAGTTTGGTGCTATCTAGATACTAAAATTTTGATTCAGATACTCACAAGAGACTACTATGGTCCATGTGTTAGATATATCTATATCTCCAAAACATGTTTTAATCAGGACTTTATAAAGATAACAAGTAAATGGATTTGTTTGGAAAGACTAAGCCCATGCTCTAGGGTGCGAACCATTTACAGCTTACTCTCACAGAGGTTCATGTATAATAAACTATAATGTGATACTTTCTGTGTAACATCATTTATTATTTCTCTGGCAGCAGCAGCTGGAAATTACTGCTCAGACACTTCATGCTCTGTGATCCAAGGGCTACCATGGCACAGTGCTGAAAGTATTTAATTTGGTGTCCTGAGGTTAGCTTTTCACCTACTTTCCAGTTTAGTGACAGAGACACCTGTTGTAAACCCAGTCTAAGCTAATAAAAGCCAATGAACTCTGGCCAAAGTACAAGTTTTGTCAGTGAAATTTGAAGGCACTGCTGTGGCACTTTTCCTTCATTTCACTCACCCATTCAACAAGCATTTATGGGGCAACTTCTCTGTGTTAGGCACCTTGTTAGAACCCCCGGGGGCTGAAAAGCGATTAATACACAAATAACAAAAAAGTGTGCCAAGCATGACCCGATAGGTATGAACAAAGTTTAGTATGGAGACACCAAGTTTTCTTAGGAAATGTTAGGACTTTTTTTTTTAATAGGGGAAGTCCTGTTTGAATTGAGTCTTAAAGAGTATATAGAAGTTTCCAGGCTGGGCGCGGTGGCTCACGCCTGTAATCCCAGCACTTTGGGAGGCTGAGGCGGGCAGATCACCTGAAGTCAGGAGTCTGAGACCAGCCTCAACATGGAGAAACCCCATCTGTACTAAAAATACAAAATTAGCCAGGCGTAGTGGTGCATGCCTGTAATCTCAGCTACTCGGGAGGCTGAGGCAGGAGAATTGCTTGAACCCAGGAGGCGGAGGTTGTGGTGAGCCGAGATCGTGCCATTGCACTCCAGCCTGGGCAACAAGAGCAAAACTCCGTCTCAAAAAAAAAAAAAAAAGAGTATATAGGAGTTTCCCTAAGAGAGAAGTGGAGAAAAGTACAGATGGTCCCCAACTTATGATTTTTTTTCACTTTACAGTGGTGCAAAAGTGATTTAAATTTAGTAGAATTCATACTTTGAGTACCCATACAACCGTTCTGTTTCCACTTTCAGTACAGTAGTCAATAAATTACATGAACTATTCAACACTTTAATATAAAATAGGCTTTGTGTTAGATGACTTTTTCCAACTGTAGGCTAATGTAAGAGTTCTGAGCACGTTGAGGTAGGTTAGACTAGGCTATAATGTTTGGTAGGTTAGGTGTAGTAAATGCATTTTGACTTAGAGTATTTTCTTTCGTTCTTTTTTTTTTTTTTTTGAGACAGAGTCTCACTCTGTCGCCAGGCTGGAATGCAGTAGCACGATCTCAGCTCACCGCAACCTCTGACTCCCTGGTTCAAGCAATTCTCCTGCCTCAGCCTCCTGAGTAGCTGGGATTACAGGCATGCGCCACCACGCCCAGCTAATTTTTGCATTTTTAGTAGAGATGGGGTATTACCATGTTGGCCAGGATGGTCTCAATCTCCTGACCTCATGATTTGCCCACCTCAGCCTCCCAAAGTGCTGGGATTACAGGCGTGAGCCACCCGTACCCGGCTGACTTCCAGTATTTTCAACTTACAATGCGCTTACTAAGATTTACCCCCATCACAAGTAGAGCAGCGTCTGTACTGCAGGCAGAAAGAAGAATATGTACAAAAGCATATGAGTAAAAAAGTCATGGAAACTTTGAGAATAGTGGGAAAAATTCAGTATGACTAGAGCAATCTGTATGGGGGGATAGGATTGTAGTTGAGACAAATAATTTTTTTGAGAAGTGAGACAAGTAATTGTTTTGAGAAGAGTTTTGTAAGTCTCATTTAAGGGTTTAGATTTGACTCTATGAGTGCACAGAATACAGTTGTTATTTCCAAGCATGGCATGTTTTTGTTACAAAAGAAAATCTGCCAATCATATGAGAAAAAGACTAGAAGTGAGAGGCAGAAAAGGCAGCTCCAAGCCCTTTCTAGAGCAGTGCTTCTCAAATGGGAAATTTTTTGCCCTCCAGGGGATATTTGGCAAGATCTGAAGATATTTTTGATTGGCATGATGGGGGGGAGTATATACAGTAGAGACTAGGGATGCTACCAACATTCTACAATGTACAAGACAGCCCCTTACAACAAAATATTATGTAGTTCCAAATGACAGTAGTGCCTAAGTGGAGAAACCCTCTTCTAGGTTGTAGTGAACCTTTTCTGCTTTTTTTTTTTTCTTTTGCAAAAGAGTCTCACTCGGTTGCCCAGACTATAATGCAGTGGCATGATCTTGGCTCACTGCAACCTCCACCTCCCAGGTTCAAGCAATTCTCATGCCTCAGCCTCCCAAGTAGCTGAGATAACAGGCATGCACCACCATGCCCGGCTAATTTTTGTGTTTTTAGTAGAGTCGGGGTTTGGCCATGTTGGCCAAGCTGGTCTCGAACTCCTGGCCTCAAGTGATCTGCCCACCTCAGCCTCCCAAAGTGTTGGGATTATAGGTGTGAGACACTGCACCCGGCCCATTTTCTGCTTTTGATTGCTCAATATCCTTTCCCCCTTCTTCTTTGGAAAAGCACCTTGAGTTTTCATTCAGATGTCCACTGTTCCATATAAAACTCAGGTGCTTCAGGGAAGATGACCCCTCTCCTGGCCCCATCCCCAGAGGTGGACCCTGATTGAATTGACTCAGTCACCTTAATACAGGGTGGTCTCAGGAGAACAGAAAATTCCAGGAGGCAGGTTCACATAACTAGCAAAAGGAAACTGATGAAATAGCTACAGAAGCGAGGGGCTGATAAAACCCTGAAAAACAGGATGTGGACTGAGCTGGCTAAGACCTACCAGACCAAACATGGCACTGGATTTGACCTAGGTTTCACTGAGGACCTCATTATACACTCATTAACATACCAATCACACACCTACCAGCACCAGGACAGTTCTAGGAGGACTCATATTTGGTGTAAAAATGAGTGGCACCAGAGTTTTGAGAAACTCCACCTTTTTCCAGGAATCTTCATGAATATTCCACCCCTCGGTTAAATAAACCCATGAAGGTTAGAAACCCCAAACTCCATTGCGTGACTCTCTGTTGAGTACGCCCTCACTCCACTTTCTTGAGTGTGTACTTTTCATTTTGCAATAAATCTCCACACTTTCACTATTTTCTGACTCATTCTTGAATTCCTTCTTGTGATGGTGTCAAGAGCCTGGACACCAGCCAGGGTTGTGGTCCCACCAGCGTTTAGGGACCTTCCCTGGCCCACTAGCATCAAGCTCATCCCATTCCCCACTGGTGTATTAATTTCGGTAGAGGCCGAACTATGGTAACAAAGAGACCTGAAAATAGTGGTTTAAATAAAATGGAAATTCATTTCTGAGTACCACAAAACAGCTAGTGGTCAGATATCCAGGGCTAGCTAAGCAATTCTCTTCCACCTGCCACTAAGGAATAAGGATCGCTTTTATCCAATTGTCCTAAAGCACTGTCCTGCTCATGTGATGGAGACTAGCTCAGCCCATGTTTCAGTCCTCAGGAAGAGCAAAAAGAGTATTCACTGCAAAAAGTTTTGTCTTTAAGATGATGATCTAGAAGTTGCACACATCGCTCTCCCTCCCATCCCATTGGGCTGAACTTAGTTATATGGACATATCCAGCCAACAGAGGAAACTGGGAAGTGGCCATTTTCTCAGTGAAAACTGGGGGAAAGCATTGGTTTCTCTGCTAACAGGAAAAAGGACAGTGTGGAAACTGAGGGATGCTTAGCTTCTCTGCCATACCTAGATGGAGTCAGCATTTGGTCCAGGATCATGACTTAATATAGGCCCATGAGATATGAAAATATATGAAAAAGACATTTTCTTGGAGTTTGTAGGGGAAAGCTAGTAAAATTCTAATCAACCCAAAAATAACTTACAGGGCCCTAGTATTTTTCCTTAACCTTATTAGATCTCTTCCTCCAAACTGCATTTTTATTTCTTTCAGTTTCCACATATTGTCCTGTTTCTATCAGTGGTGATTACCGTCACATTCTCCATGTCATAATGAACTGAATAGTTGACGTTCTCTTTGTCTCCTTCCTCTCTCTAGCCCCCATAACTAGTCACTCATGAAGTCTAAGCTACATCTTCTGTCCATTTTGTTTTTTTTTTTTTTTTTTTTTTTGAGACGGAGTCTCCCTCTGTCGCCGGGTTGGAGTGCCGCGGTGCGATCTCAGCTCACTGCAACCTCTGCCTCCCGGGTTTGAGCAATTCTCCTGCCTCAGCCTCCCAGGTTTGAGCAATTCTCCTGCCTCAGACTCCCGAGTAGCTGGGACTAAAGGTGCCCACAACCACGCCTGGCTAATTTTTGTATTTTTAGTAGAGATGGGGGTTTCACCACCTTGGCCAGGCTGGTCTCGAACTCCTGACCTCAGGTGATCCACCCGCCTCGGCCTCCCAAAGTGCTGGGATTACAGGCGTGAGCCACCACGCCTGGCTTCTGTCCCGTTTATTTCTATTTTTTGAGAGGGAGTCTCGCTCTGTTGCCCAGGCTGGAGTGCAGTGACGTGATCTTGGCTCACCACAACCTCAGCCTCCCGGGTTCAAGCGATTCTCCTGCCTCAGCCTCCCAAGTAGCTGGGACTACAGGCGCCTGCCACCATGCCTGGCTAATCTTTGTATTTTTAGTAGAGATGGGGTTTCACTGTGTTGGCCAGGCTGGTCTCGAAATCCTGACCTCGTGGCCAGGCGCGGTGGCTCACGCCTGTAATCCCAGCACTTCGGAAGCCCGAGGTGGGCGGATCACGAGGTCAGGAGATCCGAGATCATCCTGGCTAACACGGTGAAACCCCGTCTCTACCAAAAATACCAAAAAAACAAAAACAAAAACAAAAACAAAATTAGCCGGGCGTGGTGGCGGTCGCTTGTAATCCCACTCCGGAGGCTGAGGCAGGAGAATGGCGTGAACTCGGGAGGCGGAGCTTGCAGTGAGCAGAGATCGCGCCACTGCACTCCAGCCTGGGCGACAGAGGGAGACTCCGTCTCAAAACAAACAAACAAAAAAAACTGAGCTCGTGATCCGCCCACCTCGGCCTCCCAAAGTGCTGGAATTACAGTCGCGAGCCACTGTGCCCAGACTTCTGTCCCTTTAACAGCTTTATTGAGATACAATTCACACACCACACAATTCACCATTTAAAGTGTACGATTCAGGCTGAGTGTGGTGGCTCATGCCTGTAATCCCAGCACTTTGGGAGGCCGAGGTGGGCGGATCACCTGAGTTTACAAGTTCGAGACCAGCCTGACCAACACGGAGAAACCCCGTCTCTACTGAAAATACAAAATTAGCCAGGTGTGGTGGCACATGCCTGTAATCCCAGCTACTCGGGAGGCTAGCGCAAGAGAATCACTTGAACCCAGGTGACGGAGGTTGCAGTGAGCTGAGATTGTGCCATTGCACTCCAGCCTGGGCAACAAGAACAAAAACTCCATCTCAAAAAAAATAAAAATAATAAAGTGTATGGTTCAGTGGTTTTTAGTATATTCATAGATACATGCAATCATCACCACAATCAGTTTTAGAACATTTGGGGTATCATCTTAAGATCCCCATGTCACCCCATCTCCAGCCTTAAGCAACTGAAAATCTACTTTCTGTCTCTATAGACCTCCCTGTTCTAGACATTTCGTATAAATAGAATCATATAATATGTGGCATTTTGTGACTGGCTTCTTTCACTTAGCATAATGTTTTCAAGATTTGTCTGTGTTGTAGCATGTTATCAGTACTCCATTCCTTTTTATGGTTGAATAGTATTTCATTTATGGACATACCACATTTTGATTATTCATTCATCAGTTGATGGACATTTGGGTTCTTTCTACCTTTTGGCTATCATGGATAATGCTACTGTAAACATTTATGTACAAGTTTTTGGGTAGACATGTGTCCTCATTTCTTTTGGGTATACACCTAGGAGTGGAATTGTTGGGTCACAGAGTAACTGCGTATCTATCATCTATCTATCTATCTATCTATCTATCTATCTATCTATCTATATATATATATTTTTTTTGAGACAGAGTCTCGCTCTGTCACTCAGGCTGGGTGCAGTGGCGAGATCTCAGCTCACCACAACCTCTGCCTCCCAGGTTCAAGCGATCCTCCTGCTTCAGCCTCCCGAGTAACTGGGACTACAGGTGCGCACCACCATGTTGGCTAATTTTTGTATTTTTAGTAGAGACGGGGTTTTACCACGTTGGCCAGACTGGTCTCAAACTCTTGACCTCAGGTGATCCAATCACCTTGGCCTCCCAAAATGCTGGAATTACAGGCGTGAGCCACCATGCCCTGCCATAGAGTAACTGTACATTTAATTGTTTCAGAACTGTCAGAATATTTTCCAAAGCACCATTTTACATTTCTGCCAACAATGTGTGGGGGAACTGATTTCTCCACATCCTTTACACTATTTGTTATCATCTAATTTTTTTTTTTTTTTTGAGAGAGAGTCTCACTCTGTTGCCCAGGCTGGAGTACAGTGGCGTGATCTCGGCTCACTACAACGTCTGCCTCCCGGGTTCAAGCAATTCTCCTGCCTCAGCCTCCCGAGTAACTGTGACTACAGGCGCATGCAATCACGCCCAGCTAATTTTTGTATTTTTAGTAGAGACGGGGTTTCACCATGTTGGCCAGGCTGTTCTCCAACTCCTGACCTCATCATCTGCCCGCCTCAGCCTCCGAAAGTGTTAGGATTACAGGCGTAAGCCATTGCACCCGGCCTATCATCTGATTTTTTGATCCTAGCCATATCCTAATGTCTCTTGCTTCCATCCCTTTTCCATTCTTGGAGGCATAAGCCTAGTCCAAGCCCTCAAATAGCCCCTTGATCCCTGACTCCAAGCCTCTTCCTGCACCACCAACTTCTTTATTTTCCTGTCCCAACCCCCTAGCTACTTATAATGAACACCTGGTATATTAGGATTTTCTTATTTATTTATTTATTTTTGAGACAGGGTCTGGCTCTGTTGCCCAGGCTGGAATGCAGTGGCGTGATCATGACTCACTATAGCCTCAACCTCCTGGGCTCAAGTGATCCTCCCACCTCAGTCTCTTGAGTAGCTGGGACCACAGGTACATGCCACTATGCCTGGCTAATATTTGCATTTTTTTTTTTTTTTGTAGAGATAGGGTTTTGCCATGTTGCCCAGGCTGGTCTCAAACTCCTGAGCTCGGGTAATCTGCCTGCCTCGACCTTCCAATGTGCTAGGATTATAGGCATGAGCCACTACACCTGTCCTATATTAGGATTTTCTAGAGAAACAGAACCAAAGGGACTTATAGATAGGTAGATAGATGATAAGGAATTGGCTCATGCAGTTATGAAGGCTGAGAAGTCTCGTAATCTACCATCTGCCAGCTAGAGCCCCAGGAAAGCCAGTAGTATAATTCCATCCATTTCCAAAGGCCTAAGAACCAGGGGAGCTGATGGCATAAATCCCAGTCTGAGAGCAGGAGAAGAAGAAATGAGATGTCCCTGCTCAAGCAGTGAGACAGGAACAACAACAACAACAAAAAAAGTGGGGGGAGGTGAATTCCTTATTTTGTTACCTTTTGTTCTGTTTAGGCTCTCAACAAATTGGACGGTGTCCATCCACACTGGGGAGGGCAAAGTACTTTTCTGAGTTTACCAATTCAAATGCTCATCTCATCTGGAAACACCCTCATCTGCCTGGACCCCTTGCCACTCTGGACAGGTCATCACCAAGGTTCTGACTGATGAATTGTAGATGCCAGCTGGACAAATAACATCACCTATGTGGATAGACTGACCAACCACAGGAAGAGATAGTTGGGGGGTTAGAGGTCCGGTGAAGGAGGCTGAGGTGTGGTCTTAGCAGCTGGTGCATTTGTGGGGACAGGTAGGGGGATGCAGGGCCCTGAAACTCCCTTCCCTGGGCTTCCAGCATCTGCTGGGTCCCTAATAAACTGTCTACTTTCTGTTGCTGCCTCTCCCAGACCACCTGGGGAGTAAGGTGGTAGTACCGAGTTCCAGACACACCTAGAAATAATGTTTAATCTGGGCATCACATTCAACACTAAGTTCCCAGTCAAGTTGACACATAAAATTAATCACTTACATAAGCCACATCTGGCTTACTACCTGGCCTTGCACTCTTGAACCAAGGAGAGAGACCCATCAGATAACATGCAGGTGAATGTCCACTCCAGAGCTGCCCAGTACTCTCCACACACACTGAATTGGGGAACATTAAAATACCAAGACTTGGCTGGGCGCAGTGGCTCACACCTGTAATCCCAGCACTTTGGGAGGCTGAGGCAGTGGATCACCTGAAGTCAGGAATTCGCGACCAGCCTGGCAAACATGGTGAAACCCCATCTCTACTAAAAATACAAAAACAGCCAGGTATTGTGGCACGTGCCTGTCATCCCAGCTTCTCGGGAGGCTGAGAGGCTGGAGAATCACTTGAACCCGGGAGGTGGAGGTTGCAGTAAGGCAAGATGGCGCCACTGCACTCCAGCCTGGGTGACAGAACGAGACATCATCTCAAAAAAAACAACACAGACACACACACACACAAACCAAGACTTCACATTGTTGCTAGGAATGTAAAATAATGCAGCCATTATGGAAAACAGCATAATGATTCTTCAAAAAAAATCAAAAGTAGAATTATTATATGATCCAGCAATCCCACCTCTGGATATATACCAAAAGGATTGAAAGCAGGCTAGGCATGGTGGCTCATGCCTGTAATCCCAACACTTTGGGAGACCTAGGCAGGAGATCATTTGAGCCCAGGAGTTTGAGACCAGCCTGGCCAACATGGCAAAACCCCATCTCCACAAAAACATTTTTAAAAAGTTAGCAAAGCATTGAGGTGTGCACTGGTGATCCCAGCTACGTGGGAGGCCAAAGTGGGAGGATCACTTGAGCCCAGGAGGTAGAGGCTGCGATTAACTGTGATGGCACCACTGCTCTCCACTCCAGCCTGGGCGACAGAGCAAGACCCTGTCTCAAAAAAAGAAAAAGAATTGAAAGCAGACTCCTGAACAAATATTGGTACACCCATGTTCATAGCAACATTATTCACAATAGCCAAGACGTAGAAGCAGCCTAAGTGCTCATCAACAGATGAATGATAAACAAAATGTGGTCTATACATTTGGAATGAAATATTATCCTTAAAAAGGAAGAAAATTCTGACACATAATACAACACGGATGAGCCTTGAGGACATTATGCTAAATGAAATAAGCCAGTCACAAAAAGGCAAATACTGTATGATTCCACTTATATGAAGTACCTGGAATAGTCAAATTCATACAGACAGAAATTAGAATGGTGGTTGCCGGGGGCTGAGGGAGGGGACAATTGGGAGTTATTGTTTAATGGGTATGGAGTTTTGGGGCCGGGCGCGGTGGCTCACGCCTGTAATCCCAGCACTTTGGGAGGCCGAGGCGGGCAGATCACCTGAGGTCGGGAGTTCGAGACCAGCCTGACCAACATGGAGAAACCCTGTCTCTACTAAAACTGCAAAATTAGCTGGACATGGTGGTGCATGCCTGTAATCCCAGCTACTTGGGAGGCTGAGGCAGGAGAATCGCTTGAACCCGGGAGGTGGAGGTTGCGGTGAGCCGAGATTGTGCCATTGCGCTCCAGCCTGGGCAATAAGAGCAAAACTCCATCTCAAAAAATAGTAATAATAAAATAATAATAATAATAATAACAATAATAATGGATATGGAGTTTCAGTTTGGAGTGAAGAATAAGGTTCTGGAGGTGGATGGTGGTGATGGTTGTAAACAACATGAATGTACATTACTAATGCCACTGAACCGTACACTTAAAATGATTAATATAGTAAATTTTGTTATGTGATTTTACCACAATTAAAAATTTTTTAATATTATGACTGCAAATATATGTACATGGAGTATCACACAACCATAAAAAGGAATGAAGTGCTGGTATTTGCTACAACGTATATAGATAAACCTCAAAATATTATGCTAAGTCAAAGAAGCCAGACACAAAGATCATATTGTATGATTCCATTTATATCAAATAGTCACGAAAGGTATATGTATACAGACAGAATGCAGGTTGGTGGTTTCCAGGGGTTGGGGAGAGGAAGAAATGGGGAGAAAGTGCTTATGGGCACAGAGTGATTCATTTTATAGTGATTGAAATGTTTTGGAATTAGAGATTGTGGTTGTACAACATTGTTAATATACTAAATATGCTGGATTGTTCACTTAAAACAGAACACTTTACGCTGGGTGTGGTGGCTCACGCCTGTAATCCTAGCACTCTGGGAGGTCAAGGTGGGTGGATCACTTGAGGTCAGGAGTTCGAGACCAGCCTGGCCAATAAGGTGAAACCCCATCTCTATTAAAAATACAAAAATTAGCCGGGCATGGTGGCATGTGCCTGTAATCCCAGCTACTCAGGAGGCTGAGGCGGGAGAATTGCTTGAACCCAGGAGGCAGAGGTTGTAGTGAGCAGAGATCGCACCAGTGCATTCCATCCTGGGCAATAGAGTGAGACTCTGTCTCAAAACAACAACAACAACAACATAAACAGAACACTATATATATATATATATATATAAAAATATAAATGTAATGTTATGTATATAAAACATTTATATATATTTCAGTTTTAAAATGCAGGGAATTCCTTTTTAGGGAGTATATATATATATTTTTTCAGATATAAGGAAAAACATATATATTTTTAGAGAATATACATATTCTCCTTATATAAATATATATATGGAAATATATATATATTCTCCTTATATAAATATATTTTTTTCCATATATATACACTTTTTTTTTTAAGAGACAGGTTCTTGCTCTGTCACCCACACTGGAGTGCAGTGCTGTGATCTTGGCTCACTGCAGCCTCAACCCCTTGAGCTGAAATGATCTTCCTGCCTCAGTTTCTTGAGTAGCTGGGATTACAGGCATGTACCACAATGCCTGGCTAATTTTTTTTTAATTGTAGAGACAGGGTCTTGCTATGTTGCCCAGGCTGGTCTTCAATTCTTGGGCTCAAGCAATTCTCCTGCTCCAGCCTCCCAAAGTGCTGGGACTGCAGTCATGAGCCAAACAGGATACCCCTTAGTGTCTGTACCTGCCGCTCCCTCAGCTTGGAGTATTGGTCCCCTGGATGTTTGCATCTCTACCCTCCCCTCATTTAGGTCTCTGCGCTGATATCCCCTCCCCAGGAGGGATTCTTGTAATCATTCTTCCTAGATTTTAAATGTCATCCACCATGATTCCCCATCTCCTTCCTCTGCCTTTTTCCCCCTTCATAGCAGTATCACTAGACTTGTCATATTTGCCTCAGATCTTTCTGAAATAAGCAATACAGTTGAAGGCCCCTGTGACGCTTAATTTTACGTGTCAACTTGACTGGATTAAGTGATACCTAGATAGCTGGTAAGGCATTACTTCTGGGTGTATCAGTGGGAGTGTTTCCAGAGGAGACTGGTGTGTGAGTTGCTGGATAAAGGAGGGAAGATATGCCCTCCATGTGGGCGGGCACGATCCGATTGCCTTGGGGCCCCCAGATAGAATCAAAAGGCGGAGGAAAGAAATTCTTTCTCTCTCTCTCCTGGAGCTGCGACACATTCTTCTGCCCTTGGAAGTCAGAACTCCAGGCTCTCCTGTCTTTGTACTCTGGGACTTATACCAGGGGCACTCCAGGTTCTCAGGCCTTCCACCTGGGATGGATAATTACACCATCAGTTTCCCTGGTTTTTTGGCTTTTAGACCTGGACTGAGCCATGCTCCTAGTGTCCCTGGGTCTCCAGCTTGCAGATGGACTGTCATGAGATTTTTCAGCCTCCATATCACTTGAGCTAATTCCTCTAATAAATCCCCTCTCATCTGTCTGTCTGTCTGTCTGTCTGTCTGTCTATCTATCTATCTATCTATCTATCTATCTATCTATCTATCTATCTACCTATGCATCCATTGATCCTGTTGATTCTTTCTCTCTGGAGAAGCCTTACTAATACAGTCTCTTTTTTCATCTTCCCTGATATCATTCTCTTTTCTTCCTTCACCAGAAGAAACTACTATCACAATTTGAGTTTCTCTGATTTCATGTATTCTTTTTTTTTTCTGAGACAGAGTCTCGCTCTGTTGCCCACACTGGAGTGCAGTGGTGCAATCTCAGCTCACTGCAACTTCCACCTCCTGGGTTCCAGCGATTCTCTTGCCTCAGCCTCCTGAGTAGCTGGGGTTACAGGAACACACCACCATGCCCAGCTAATTTTTTTGTATTTTTAGTAGAGACAGGGTTTCGCCATGTTGGCCAGGCTGGTCTCGAACTCCTGACCTCAAGTCATCTGCCTGACTCGGCCTCCCAAAGTGCTGGGATTACAGGCGACTTCATATATTCTTTTACTCTTTTTTTTTTTTTTTTTTTTTGAGACAGAGTCTGGCTCTGTTGCCAGGCTGGAGTGCAGTGGCACAATCTCAGCTCACTGCAACCTCCGCCTGCCGGGTTCAAGTGATTCTCCTGCCTCAGCCTCCCGAGTAGCTGGGACTACAGGCACGTGCCACCATGCCCAGCTAATTTTTGTATTTTCAGTAGAGACAGGGTTTCACCATGTTGGCCAGGATGGTCTCCATCTCTTGACCTTGTGATCCACCCACCTCGGCCTTCCAAAGTGCTGGGATTACAGGTGTGAGCCACCGTGCCCGGCCTTACTCATGTTTTTATACTTCTATTACATAACATGTAGGTAGAAACAATATACAATTGCTTTTTCTGTGTGTTTTAAATATTTTTATTCAGTATGTCATACTACATGTATCCCTCTAAAACATGCATGTGCACGCGTGCACAAACACACACAAATGCTTATATATATCCAGTTCATTCATTTTAATGGCTGCACTACATTCTATCAATGAATACACCTCAATTTACGTAGCCCCGTATTGATGAACATTCAGTTTTTCCCCAATTTAGAGCTACTAAAAACGATGCTGCAAGACAATATTTGTGCTTGTCCTTTTGCACACGTGGAAGTTTCTATACGGTGTGAAATTTAGAGTAGAATTGTCAGAGGCGTGTGAACCAGAGCAACTCCATCTTAAATAGAAGCTGGGTAAAATGAGCTGAAACTTACTGGAATGCATTCCCAGAAGGTTAAGGCATTCTAAGTTACAGGATGAGATAGGAAGTCAGCACAAAATACAGGTCATAAAGACCTTGCTGATAAAACAGTTTGCAGTAAGGCCGGGCGCGGTGGCTCACTCCTGTAATCCGAGCACTTTGGAAGGCCGAGCACTTTGGAAGGCCGAGCACTTTGGGAGACCTCACCTGAGGTCGGGAGTTGGAGACCAGCCCGACCAACATGGAGAAACCCCGTTTCTACTAAAAATACAAAATTAGCCAGGAGTGGTGGCGCATGCCTGTAATCCCAGCTACTCCGGAGGCTGAGGCAGGAGAATCGCTTGAACCCGGAAGGCGGAGGTTGCGGTGAGCCGAGATCGCTCCATTGCACTCCAGCCTGGGCAACAAGAGCGAAACTCCGTCTCAAAACAAACAAACAAACAAACACAGCTTGCGGTAAAAGAGCCAGCCAAAACCCACCAAAACCAAAATGGCAACGAGAGTGACCTCTGCTCGTCCTCACTGCTACAGTCCCACCAGCGCCATGACAGTTTACAAATGCCATGGCAGCGTCAGGAAGTGACCCTAATGTAGTCTAAAAACGGGAGGCATGAATAATCCACCCCTTGTTTAGCATAACCTCAAAAATAACCATAAAAGCAGGCAACCAGCAGCCCTCTGGGCTGCTCTATGGAGTAGCCATTCTTTTATTTCTTTACTTTCTTGATAAACTTGCTTTCACTTTGCACTGCGAACTCGCCCTGAATTCTTTGTTGCGCGAGATCCAAGAACCCTCTCTTGGGGTCTAGATCGGGACCCCTTCCTTGTAACATATTTCTGGCAACCCAGATGGGACTATAGTGCAGAAACCCTGACCCAATGGCTACCTTTGGGGTAGTGTTGTGGTCCTGTAACAGAATTGTGGGTCACGTGGTATACTGGATGTTTTCCATTTGCTCCTCTGATCTTCTCTTTCTTCCTCCCTGCATTGGCCCCAGGAAGCTGACCTTTATGAACTGCTAGCCATGAATTTCCTTTCCCTCTGACTTCTTGTTGGATTTGGCCTCTGGAAGATGCCAGCAGGAAAGCAGAGGGTGGGAGGAGAGTGTGATCTGGGCATTTATTCTCCTGGCTCCCGTCCTGCTGGGCCTCTGTGGGTTGGCTGCATTCCTCCACCAAAGGCCTCCTGTCAAGGAGCTCTCCTACTGCCCCTGCTATTCTCCCTGTGTTCTGCAGTTCTGATCACCATTCCCTCTCTTTGCCTCTTCAGGCCTGGGGGCAGCAATGAAGTCCCCCAGGCTCCCCTGCTATTGCTACCCTTGTTGCTTTTTAAGGTTGCCATTAACCCTGCCCACATTTTGGTAAATAGTTCTTTTATTGAATTGTCCTCAATTACCCAGGGTGAGAGCTCATTCTGTTTCCTGCCAAGCATTGACTAGAACATATCGTATGTGTGTTTTCAACTTTACTAGACACTGATAAATCAAACTAACCTTCCAGTCTCAATCTCTTCCAGGAAACTTGCTGATGAAATCTTAGATATTTTCCAACGCTACTAAAATATGATTTTCACGCTTTTTCCCATCTGAAATCTCTGCTCTGGTCAGATTGGCCTAGTCACTGGTCCATGAGCATGGCTTTGCTGTTAGGTCTTCTTGAATAGAATAGTCTTCCTTCCATTTTTCCCATTTTTTCATACTGTGATCATCCAAGCCCCTCCACTTACCCTCACCCTCTCTCAGCTTCCTATGAAGGAATCTTACCTGCTTCATAAAATCATTCAAACTGCTGAGGGGACCGATGCTTAGCACTTACCGCCTCCCACCGCCCCCACTCCCTCGGCACTCTGCTTCTCTAAATTTCTTGTATGGTTGCTTTTCATTATTAATGAGTTTTTCTTATGTATATGTCAAATGTCTTCCATTACACTTTTCTTTAATGAAACTTTCGTGCTCGTTCTCTCTGTATATATTTTTAGTATTCCCAATATTACCAAAGTTACCTTTTTAGTATTCACCCATATTGCCTAACTGCTGTTTACAGACAGGTGCTCAATTAGTATTTTAAATGAAGCACTCAATCAATTTACTGCACTAACCTCAATAACCAAGACTTAGTAATAACATATAATCTGACAACCTGAAATCTTCTCTGCAGTTCTAAATAGATGAAACTTTCATTTTCATGTCACTTTAATTTATTATGTCACATGTATCCTGTTAAATGGCCTGTGTGTCTGAGTTCAGAGAAGTATACATTTTAGTAGTGAATGAACTAATGCCTATGAATTTACTGTAGGTATAAAACTTCCATTAAAATAAAAATATTCATATTCTCATTGGAAAACAATTATTAGCAATGAAAACAATGGTGATACCCAATCAGGTTAGTTAATAGGAATCAAGGGCCTTCTATTTTCCACTTACCCCAATGTGAAAATCTGAGGTTGCTTTTTGGACTTTGAAGAATCTGTTAGTATCTGCAGGCATCCTAATGGAAATTGACACAAAATAAATGCATCCATACTATTTTTAACTCCACAGGGGGAGAAAAGGCAAGGAGAAATTAAGTTTCTCTGCATGAAAATAGGAAGAGAAGTAGTTTTCAGGAGTTTGCCTAAGCAAAAAGAAAAAAAAAATTAGTCCCTCAACTTTCATAGCAACTCCCAAATGCAACAAAAATCACCACCACCACCAATCTCTATATAACGTATACTCAGGATACAAAATATCCTGGGTAATTTTCTCCCTTTTTTAACATTGGACTTTAAGTCTTTGGAGTGCAGTGGCGCAATCTTGGCTCACTGCAAGCTCCGCCTCCTGGGTTCACGTCACTCTCCTGGCTCAGCCTCCCGAGTAGCTGGGACTACAGGCGCCTGCCACCACGCCCGGCTAATTTTTTGTGCTTTTAGTAGAGACGGGGTTTCACCGTGTTAGCCAGGATGGTCTCGATCTCCTGACCTCGTGATCCGCCCGCCTCGGCCTCCCAAAGTGCTGGGATTACAGGCGTGAGCCACCGCGCCCGGCCTCTTTTTTTTTTTTTTTTAAATGAATCTGTGAGAAGCACCGCAATTGCATTTGTAAGAAGGTACTCAGAGTAGCAAGTAGATTCTAAAGGGGTGAGCCTGGAGCGGTGGCTCACTCCTTTAATCCCAACACTTTGGGGGGCCGAGGCGGGTGGATCACCTGAGGTCGGGAGTTTGAGACCAGCCTGGCCAACTTGGTGAAAACCCGTCTCTACTAAAAAAAATACAAAAATTAGCTGGGTGTGGTCGCGGGCTCCTGTAATCCCAGCTATTCAGGAGGCTGAGACAGGAGAATCGCTTGAATCCAGGAGGCACAGAGGTTGCAGTGAGCTGAGATCGCACGACTGCACTCCAGCCAGAGGCGACAGAGTGAGACTCTGTCTCAAAAAAAAAAAAAAAAGAAAAGAAAAGAAAAGAAAAGCGGCCGGGCAAAGTGGCTCACGCCTGTAATCCCAGCACTTTGGGAGGCCGAGGCGGGCAGATTACGAGGTCAGGAGATCCAGACCATCCTGGCTAACACGGTGAAACCCCATCTCTACTAAAAATACAAAAACAAAATTAGCCGGGCGCGGTGGTGGGCGCCTGTAGTCCCAGCTACTTGGGAGGCTGAGGCAGGAGAATGGCGTGAACCCGGGAGGCGGAGCTTGCAGTGAGCCGAGATCGCGCCACTGCACTCCAGCCTGGGCGACAGAGCGAGACTCCGTCTCAAAAAGAAAAAAAAAAGAAAAAGAAAAAGAAAAAAGAAAAGCACCAGCTCAAAGAAAAAAATAGGGGATTATCATTACACATAGCAAGAAGTCTGAAGACAGGTAATTCTGGAATTGGTTAATTAGTTGCAAAATGATGTTGATAACCCAGATGCTTCTCAACGTTCTGCTTTGGCATCCTCAATGTGTTGCGTTTTGTGCTCAGATGTAAGCCTTCATTCTAACAAAATGGCTGTCACAGCTTCAACCATTCACATCTTCAGGAAAACTGTACTCAAAGGCAAGAAGGGCAATCTCTTCTTGTGCTTCTTTTTTTTAAGACAGGGTCTCATTCTATCGCCCAGGTTGGAGTGCAGTGGCACTATCTCCACTCACTGCAACCTCAGCCTCCCAGGTTCTAGCCATCCTCCTGCCTCAGCCTCACGAGTAGCTGGGATTACAGGCGCGTGCCACCACACCCAACTAATTTTTGTATTTTCAATAGAGACGAGGTTTCGCCATGTTGGCCAGGCTGGCTCGAACTCTTGACCTCAAATGATCCACCTGCCTCGGCTTCCCAAAGTGCTGGGATTACAGGCATAAGCCACCGCGCCCAGCTTATAAATACTCTTTATGAATAACAGAGTGCTAGACAGGATAAAAGAAAGATTACAAGAGGTTAAAGAGAGAATGAATGGTGAGAAAATGAAAGTAGTCAATAAAAACAATTTTTATTTTTGTATTTTTTTTGAGACAGAGTCTTGCTCTGTCACCCAGGCTGGAGTGCAGTGGTGCGATCTCGGCTCACTGCAACATCTGCCTCCTGGGTTCAAGCGATTCTCCTGTCTCAGCCTCCAGAGTAGCTGGGATTACAGGCGCGCACCACCACGCCCGCCTGATTTTTGTATTTTTAGTAGAGACGGGGTTTTGCCACGTTGGCCAGGCTGGTCTCGAACTCCTGACCCCAGGTGATCCACCTGCCTCGGCCTCCTAGAGTGCTGGGATTACAGGCGTGAGCCACCACGCCCGGCCACAAACAATTTTTGAAGTTGTAAGAAAAAGCCAGAAGTAGAGTGAGGGTTAAGGTAGCTCTGATGAGGGAAGGTGTTATTTTGTCCTCCCCACCCATAGCACAGATCTGAAAATGTCCAAAGGAGAATGAGTCCCTGAAAGGAGATTGAGGGATGTTGTTAGCAAGGAAAGAGGCAAGCCTTGAATCAAGGACAGGCAAGTTATCCGTTGATGAGAGAGAGGTGGAGTGGGTTCTGGAGTGGTGGTCCTAGAAGCATTGTCTCCAGACCAGCAGCACCACCTAGGAACTTGTTAGACATGCAGATTCCCAGGCCACATCTCAAACCTACTGAATCAGATCTCTGAGGATGGGACTCAGCAATCTCTGTGTTAACAAGCCCTACAGGTGATTCTGACGTACACTAAAGTTTGACAATAAATGTGCCAGGGAATTGTTTATATTGTACCTAACTGTAATGTGTGCCTTTGCAATTTAAACTATTTTCTTGGGTCAGGAAATGTTTCCTGTTTTGTTCTTCCACCTGTGGGCTCAGGTAGACTCAGACACTGAGGCCCTTCTAGCCCTGAGGAGGGTGTACAGAACTCTAGACATACTAGGAGGCTTGAGTGTTGCCTCTTTGTTGCTATTCTTGCTGGGCTGGTTACCTACATTTCTTTTTTTCTTGCCCAGGCTCTTATTGAGTTCATAGACAAAGGGCCACCGATTTTTTTTTTGTCCTGTTAATGACTCTCCATTGCAAACACATGAAAGCCTGCACCCCTAAGCATGGAAAGCCAAGCCTTCTATGATCTCAACTCTGCTCACTTCTTGAGTCTTCTACCTTGCTGCCCTGAGGGGAACCTTTTCTCTCTGGCAAGAGATCTGTGGAAGGGAACTGAGAAAAATTCTTACAGAGTCCTAGCACCATTTGATCTGCTTGCATAGCTTTATTACTTGCCTACTACATGCCAGGAATTCTACAACAGACTGGGATGAAAAGATGCCTTACAAAGAAGCATAACATATTCTGGAAGAGACAGCCTGTTTTCATTCAGAATGCTATCACAGAATACCATAGAGCAAGTGGCTTAAAGAATAAACATTTTAAACAGCAAGCATGTATTTCTCACAGTTCTAGAGACTGGGAAGTCCAAGATTAGGTGGCTGACAGATCTGGTGTCTTGTGAGGGCACTCTTTCTAGTTTGTAGATGGCTATCTTCTCATTGTATCCTCATATGGGAGAGAAAAAAATATCACCTCTCTCGTGTCTCTTCTTATAAGGAAACTAATACCATTTGTTTTTTTTTGTTGTTGTTGTTGTTTGTTTTTGATTTTTTTTTTTTTTAGACAGTCTCGTTCTGTCACCAGGCTGGAGTGCAGTGGCACAATCTCGGCTCACTGTAACGTCTGCCTCCCGGATTCAAGCGATTCTCCTGCCTCAGCCTCTCGAGTAGCTGGGACTACAGGTGTGAGCCACTACACCCAGCTAATTTTCATATTTTTAGTAGAGACGAGGTTTCACCATGTTGGCCAGGATGGTCTCGATCTTTTGACCTCATGATCCGTCTGCCTTGGCCTCCCAAAGTGCTGGGGTTATAGGCATCAGCCACTGCACCCACAGTAGATATCCACAAATGGTATCTACTGATACCATTTGTAAGGGCTCCCCCTTATGACCTAATCACGTTATAAAGATGCCACCTCCTACTACCCTCACCTTCAGTGTTAGTATTTTAACATATAATTGTTGGGGGGCACAAACATTCAGTTCACAATACAGTCAAAGAAACAAATGCTTTGGTGATGGCTTCGGCAGCACATATACAAAAATTGGAATGATACAAGATTAGCATGCCCCCTGCTTAAGGATGACACACAAATTCGTGAAGCATTCCTTTTTTTTTTTTTCTGTTGCTCAGGCTGGAGTGCAGTGGCGTGATCTCGGCTCACTGCAACCTCCACCTCCTGGGTTCAAACAATTCTCCTGCTTCAGCCTTAGCTGGGATTACAGGCACATGCCACCATGCCTGGCTAATTTTAGTACAGAAGGGGTTTCACCATGTTGGTCAGGCTGGTCTCAAACTCCTGACCTCATGATCTGCCCGCCTCAGCCTCCCAAAGTGCTGGGATTATAGGCGTGAGCCACCGAGCCCCACCAGCATTCCATATATATATATTTTTTAATTGAAAAAAGAAAGAAACAAGCTGGGTGTGGTGGCTCACACCTGTAATCCCAGCACTTTGGGAGGCCAAGGCAGGTGGATCACCTGAGGTCAGGAGTTTGAGATCAGCCTGGCCAACATGGTGAAACCCCATCTCTACTAAAAACAAAAATTAGCTGGGTGTGGTGGCATGCACCTGTAATCCCAGCTACTCGGGAGGCTGAGGCAGGAGAATCACTTGAACCCGGGAGGTGGAGGTTGCAGTGAGCCAAGTTCATGCCACTGCACTCCAGCCTGGGTGACAGAGCAAGACTGCGTCTCAAAAAAAAAAAAAAAAAAAAAAAGGAAAAGAAAAGAAAGAAAGAAATCAGTACCTACATTTAAGAACATAGTTTTATTTATTTATTTATTTATTTTGAGACGGAGTCTTGCTCTGTCACCCAGGCTGGGGTGCAGTGGCGTCATCTCGGCTCACTGCAAGCTCCGCCTCCCAGGTTCATGCCATTCTGCTGCCTCAGCCTCCTGAGTAGCTGGGACTACAGGTGCCCACCACCACGCCCGGCTAATTTTTTGTATTTTTAGTAGAGATGGGGTTTCACCGTGTTAGCCAGGATGGTCTCAATCGCCTGACCTCGTGATCCGCCCACCTCGGCCTCCCAAAGTGCTGGGATTACAGGCGTGAGACACTGCACCCGGCCCCAGAACATAGTTTTAAAGAAAAAGTAGGAAGTGGCTGAGAGAAGGTAGAGGTATGTGTTTTCGATAAAAAGAACAGCATAAGCAAAGGCAGGGGGTTGAAACAGGACAGCAATTGCTGGGATCTTAGAAGTTGGAGTTTGAGAGTGGCAGATTAGGCAGCTGGAGAGGGAGAACAAGAGTAACCGACTGCTCCACTTTGCCCAGAACTGTCCCAGTTTTAGCAGTGAAAGTCCCCTGTCCCTCAGTTCTGGGCAAACCAGGATGGTTGGTCACAGGAGGACAGAAGACAGGACGCAGAAAGTCTTCTGTGCCATGCCAAAGAGCACACTCTTTCTGTTGTTGTTGTTGGTGATGGTGGTGGTGTTTTTTTTTTTTTAGATGGAGTCTCACTCTGTTGCCCAGGCTGGAGTGCAGTGTCGAGATCTTGGCTCACTGCAACCTCTGCCTCCAGGTTCACACAGTTCTCCTGCCTCAGCCTCCCAAGTAGCTGGGATTATAGGTGCCCGCCACCATGCCCGGCTAATTTTTGTATTACTAGAGATGGAGTTCCACCATGTTGGCCAGGCTGGTCTCTAACTCTTGACCTCAAGTGTTCCCCCGACCTTGGCCTCCCAAAGTGCTGGCATTATAGGTGCGAGCCACTGCACCTAGCCAAGAAGCACACTCTTGATCCATCAGGATCAAGAGCCACTAAGGGTGACAGGAGGGATCTGGAAAAACATCACGGGGCTGCATTAGCAAGCGTAGGGGCCACAGTGGGCTAACCCTACACAAGACAGGGGAGGACAAATCAAGTCTCCTGGCTTTTGCTGTCCCACTCATACGGGAAAATTAAAACATATAAAAACAAAAACAAAACAAAAGAAAATATTGTTAAAGAGGGAGGAAGGCAAGGCAGGAAGGCAAGGAGAGAGGATGAGACTGGAAGTCTGGAGTTCTGTGTTCATTCTTTCTACTTACCCAAACAAGCTCTGGAAGCTTCAGTTTCCACATCTGTGAAATGGGATAACACCTACCTCCTTGGTTTGTTTTGATGATCAAACAACAGAGTGCATGTAAAAACGCTTGGTATACTATAAAGCCCTATATGAGTATTACTAATAGGACCACTGTCACTCAAAATGTACCCAACCACATCAATCTAGAAAGCGTGATTTTGGTTGTAATTTCATCACATTGCTTATTGCTTTCAACAGCACTCTGTCATCATTAATAACTCCTGCAGGTCAGCAGGCTTGAGTGGCATTGAGAGCTGCTGAGAATTGCTAGGGGAAAGGCAGTCCAGATTTTTCGTCTTCTTCTCCCACATTATACACATTTAGGCCAGGCGCTTGTGGCTAACACCTGCAATCCCAGCACTTTGGGAGGCCAAGGTGGGCAGATCACTTGAGGCCAGGAGTTTGAGACCAGCCTGGCCAACATAGTGAAACCCCATCTCTACTAAAAATATGAAAATTAGCCAGATGTGATGTGCTCCTGTAATCCCAGCTACACGGGAAGCTGAGGCACGAGTATCACTTGAACCTGGGAGGCGGAGGTTGCAGTGAGCTGAGATTGTCCCACCACACTCCAGCCTGGGCGACAGAGTGAGACTCAGTCTCAAATAAATAAATAAATAAATAAATAAATAAATAAATAAATAAATATTTAAACCAGGTAAAGTGAGATTAAAAAGAACAAGAGCAGGGCATGTGGACAGAAAGGAATGGGAAATATTTGTTCTAGACTCCAAAGTATGGGTTGATATCAAGTTGATGTTAAGTCAGATCATGCTCTGCTTATGTTCTTTTTTTTTTTTTTTTTGAGACCGAGTCTCACCCTGTTGTCCAGGCTGAGTGCAGTGGTGCGATCTCGGCTCACTGCAACCTCTGCCTCCTAGGTTCAAGCGATTCTCCTGCCTCAGCCTCCCGAGTAGCTGGGATTACAGGCCACCACACCTGGCTAACTTTTATATTTTTAGTAGAGATGGGGTTTCACCATGTTGGCCAGGCTGGTCTCAAACTCCTGGCCTCAGGTGATCCACCTGCCTTGGCCTCCCAAAGTGCTGGGATTACAGGTGTTAGCCACCACGCCTGGCCTCCTTATGGTCTTTTAATAATTACCTTTTGCCTGGAAGTTAAAGCTCACACTTCCTGATCTTACCCTTATTTACTTCTCTAGGTTCTTTTTTTTTTTTCTTTTTTTTGGGGACAGGGTCTTGCTCTGTTATCCAGGCTGGAGTACAGTGGTATGATTATGGCTCACTGCAGCTTCAGCCTCCTGGGCTCAAGTGATCCTCCTGCCTCAGCCTCCTGAGTAGATAGGACTACAGGTGTGTACCACCATGCCTTTAAAATTTTATTTTTTTGTAAAGATGAGGTCTCTTTATGTTGCCCAGACCGGTCTCAAACTCCTAGGCTTAAGTGATCCTCCCATCTTGGCCTCCCAAAGTGCTGGGATTACAGGTGTGAGCCACTGCACCTGGCCTCTAGGTTCTCTTTAGTCCTTTGCTCTGGTATAGCTTACATTCCAACCACAACAAACTGCTAGCCATGGTGAAGTTTATTGTTTTCTATTCCAGCTGTTCTTGTCCTTCTCCCTTTGTCTGACCTTCCTTCTGGCATATACCTCCACTATGAGCTCAGATGCTACCTCCAACTGAAATCGACTTTGACTTCTTCAGGCGCAATCAGACACCTGTGAGCCTATAGCATGTTGAGCTCTTTTCTAGAACAGGGGAGAGTATCATGTAGCAGAAGAGCATTGGGTTTCCAGTCACACTCTGGCTTTTAAGCCCAGATCTACCATTTTCTTCCTTGGATGAAGCATAAGAGAAGCACCAGTGTAGATTGTGAAGGGCATGGATTCTGCGGCCAGACAGCCTGGCTGTGGGACCTTGGACAAGTTACCTAAACGCTTGGTCCCTCAGCACCCACGGATGTAAAACGAAGGTGATGATATTAATGCCCTCCTCAAAGGATAGTTGTGAAAGTAAAATGAGTTAATAAAAAAAATAAAATGAGTTACATGAGAAAACACTGAGGGCTGGGCGTGGTGACTCATGCCTGTAATCCCAGCACTTTGGGAGGCTGAGGCGGGTGGATCACTTGAGGTTGGGTGATCGAGACCAGCCTGGCCAACATGGTGAAACCCGGTCTCTACTAAAAATACAAAAATTAGCTGGGCACGTTGGTGCACGCCTATAATCCTAGCTACTCGGGAGGCTGAGGCATGAGAATTGCTTGAACCTAGAAGG
This sequence comes from Homo sapiens, assembly GCF_000001405.40. Lineage (NCBI taxonomy): Eukaryota > Metazoa > Chordata > Mammalia > Primates > Hominidae > Homo > Homo sapiens. Next base: position 12,285,033 of record NC_000012.12, on the reverse strand, counting down.
CGAGGGCTGCAGTGAACCGAAATCACAGCACTGCACTCCAGCCTGGGCGACAGAGGGGGACTTTGGTCTCAAAACAACAACAACAACAACAACAATTTAAAAATAAATAAATTAATTAAAACATTGAGAACAGGGCCCGACACTTGCTTGTCTGCTCTTGTTATTAATCTCACAGTTTCTTCTTTTGTGAAAAGGGAATAACACTCACTGGTGAGAGCGGAATGAAGATGACTGGAGGTAAGCAGGAGTGCTTGGTATAGAGAAGAACTCTTTTTCTTGCCCTTTACCTCTTGTCCTTGGAATTCCAATTCTTCATTTATAGGTATTTCCACCACTAAAATCTCCCAGCTCCCCCAGGGAAGAGAAAAGCTCACATCTTTGTGTCCTCAGCCTCTGGCACACAGTAGGTGCTCAAGAAATGCTTGGTGAAAGAATTGATAAAAATGTAGTAGTAGAAAAACTCAAAATGACCTTAAAGTCCTCTTAGCAATATCCTGAAAGGCCACCAAATAGGAATGTTAATCCCTAAAATCCTGTATCTTTATAAATTGGTGTGAAATTCACTGTTTATTAGGTTTTTTTTTTTCTTTTAATTTTGTGTTTGTATTTCTTGGTGTTTCCCCCCTCCTCCTGAGGTCTTCTTTCTTCTCTGTACTCTGCATTAATCTTGGACAGGGTTTCTCAGCCTTGGCACTAACAGCTTTTTTTTTTTTTTTTTTTTTTTTTTTTTTTTGAGACAAGGTCTCATTCCTGTCGCCCAGGCTAGAGTGCAATGGCACAATCACAGCTCACTGCAGCTGACCTCCTGGGGTCAAGGAATCCACCCGCCTCAGGCTCCCAAAGTGCTGGGATTACAGCTGTGAGCCACTGCGCCTGGCCTTTTTTTTTTTTTTTTTTTTTTTCTTTTTTGTAGAGACGAGGTCTTGCCCAGCTTGGTTTTAACTCCTGAGCTCAAGTGATCCTGCTGGCTCAGCCTCCCAAAGTGCTGGGATTACAGAGGTGAGCCACTGAGCTAGGCCTTTGTGTTTTTTTTAGAGACAGAGTCTTGCTCTGTCACCCAGGCTGGAGTGCAGTGGTGCGATCATAGCTCACTGCAGCCTTGACCTCCTGGGCTCAAGTGATCCTCCTGCCTCAGCTTCCTGAATAGCTGGGACAACCTGCATGCACCACCACACCCAGCTAATTTTTTATTTTTTTGTAGAGATGAGATCTCACTGTTTGTTGGCCTGGTCTCAAACCCCTGGGCTCGAGAGATCCTCCCATGTCCACCTCCCAAAGCACTAGGATTACAGGCATGAGCCATCGCACTTGGCCAACTCGCTTGTGGGGACCGTCTAGTATGTTGTAGGATGCTTAGCAACATCCCTGCCCTCTACCCACAAGATGCCAGTAGCATCTCCCACCCCGTAGTTCTGACAACCTAAAATGTCTCTGGACTTGGCCAAAAGTCAGATGGCTGGAGGGTGCAACCCTTCAGAAACACATGTCTAGGGAATCTGCTTAAGTGCTTTCACATAAAGTAAATCTTGGTAGAATTGATTTTTTTCTCTTTATCTCCAAGGCAAAAATTGGGTTCATATACTTCACCTCCCAATGGAACAGATTCTGACAGGGAAGGAAAAAAAAATATGTTTTCTCCCCTGACTGCAGTGTTCTGTATCTTCACTCTCAGAAATGCGAGGACAGGCAGGGTGGGATCAGGACCGTGTTTTATTTATCTGGACAAATGCTCCCAAAATAGCAATGGCAAGTTTTTTTCTTTTTCTTTTAGAAAACTGTAAGAATTCAGTGTTTTACAATTCAGATGAAGGCTAAAAACATATCAAGCTGTGTGATTTTCTGGGAGTGAGGAGAGGGGTGGTTCCATCATGGCATAACTGCATTAAAACTGTTCAACATCAGAAAGACTTTTTACGGCATCAAAGAAAAACGTATATGTTGAAAAAGAATATGCATGCTAAAACACATTGTTACTATAAATCCTTGAATCTGAGACACAATGAACAGTGTTGCCTTACTAATAGTACAACTTTAAAACTATTTAAGCTGGGAAATTTGTTATCGGGTGACTCATACAACTGGGGAAATCCAGTTCCTTGGTGCCAAAGATTAAAGAAAGAGATTAAGTATTTAAATGTTGAGATTCCATTCAGTCTTGTGAATGAATTAAAGTAAGCTTGGACGGGTAGAAAAGAAAGAGGGTAGCTACTCATCAAGTTAAAGATGTTAAAGAGCTCTCCGGATTTAAATGATAAAACCTTATATTTATAACAGGTTTATCTTTCAAATAGCATGCATACTTTTATTTTTTTATTTTGAAACATTTGCAAAGTTGAATAAAAAAGTTAAGTGCAGTGCAAAGGACTTTTTGTCCTTGACCATTTGAGAGTGAGGACTTGGTGCTCCACCACCCCAAATATTTTTAGTATTGTTTCCTACAAATAAAGACCTTCTCCTACGTAATCACAGTGCAACCATCAAAATTAGAAAATTAACATTGATACATGATCACTACCTAATCCTCAGATCTCACTCAAGTTTTGTCAATTGTCTCAATAAAATGTTCTGTAGCAATAGGATCCAGTTCAGAATCACACATTGTTCTGAGTCTTTATGTCTGTCTAGTCTGCTTCAGCCTGGAACAATTCCCCAGTCTTTCCTTGACGTTCATGACCTTGATACATTTGAAGAAAACAGGTCGGTTATTTTGTAACTTGTCCCTTAATTTGGGGTTTACTGGTGTTTTCATATGATTACATTCAGGTTATACACCTTTTAGAGGAATACCATAGAAGTGATAACTGCTTTCTTCTTATATCCTATCAGGTAGCACATAATTTCAATTTGTCCTATTACTAATGATTTTGACTTTGGTTCTTTGATCTGGGCAGTATCTGTCCACCATGAACCACGTAAATATCCCATTCCTCATCAAACTTTTGATGTGTGTGTGTGTATGTATGTATGTATGTATGTATATGTCTTTATGTCTGTTTGAACCCATAATTCCTTATTTTATTCAATGGGTTATAATCTCTTACTGCCATTTTTAATTTTGATGCTCAAATTGTTCCTGATTTGACCAGTGGAAGTCCCTTCAAGCTGGCATCTATGTCCTTTTCACATGTTTCTGTCATTTCTTGAGCCCTTCCTTGCTCTGTCACTACCAGCTGTTCCAGACTCATCTTATACTTTTCCTGCCTCAGATGTGGGATCAGCCATTTCTCTAAGGAGCCCTGGTTCCTTTTCAAGGAAAATATTATTTATAAGCTAAGATCTTGAGCCTGGCATGATGGCTCATGCCTGTAATCCCAGCACTTTGGGAGGCTGAGGTGGGTGGATCTCCTGAGGTCAGGAGTTTGAGACCAGCCTGGCCAACATAGTGAAACTCCATCTCTACTAAAAATACAAAAAATTAGCTGGGCATGGTGGTGGGGGCCTGTAATCCCAGCTACTCGAAAGGCTGAGGCAGGAGAATCGCTTGAACTCGGGAGGCGGAGGTTGCAATGAGCTGAGATCTCACTATTGCACTCCAGCCTGGGCAACCAGAGCGAAACTCTGTCTGAAAAAAAAAAAAAGAAGCTAACATCTTGACACTAGCTCTGCTCATTGCTATTGGGCTGTCATCTCTTCCAGGCCTGCTGTGATAGCTATGAAATGTGTCACTCAGTTCTCCTGCTGTGGGGAGCATAATTGACAGATAGCCCCAACTACTGCCTCCTAAATCTATCACCCTATTCACACTGAGGCCAACTTTTAAAGGGTTATTCCCAGTCAGTGCCTGAGCCCAGCAGGGGTACTAAGGTAGGTCTGTTCTGGCAAAATACAGGAATCCTCTAGGGGACAACTTTGGCTTGGGACTCCCAATCTGCTTGGTAAATTCATTCTTGGAACAATGCAGTAGTCCAAGACTTGTCCTACTCCAATCCTTCATTCTTCTCTCCTTCTAGAAATGTCAGATCTGCATCTCAGCGTGAGGAATCTCTCTTCCTTCTCTTACTTTCTACTGGTATTACTTACCTATTACTGTGTAACAATTACCCCCAAAATGTAGTGGCTTAAAATAAGTACAATTTGCCCTTGAACAACACAGGTTTGAACTGAGTGGGTCCACTTATACATGAACTTTTTTCAGTAAATATATTGGAATTTTTTTGGAGATTGGCAACAATTTGAAAAAACTTGAAGATAAACCATATACCCTAGAAATAGCAAAAAAATTAAGAAAAAGTTAGGTATGTCATGAATGCACAAAATATATGTAGATACTAGTCTATTTTTGTCATTTACTACCATAAATTATACACAAATCTATTCCAAAAAATTGAAATTTATCAAAACTTACACACACAAATACAGACCATACATGGCTTCATTTTCGTCTAGATAAATGTAAACAAATGTAAAGATGCAATATGAAATCATAACTGCATAAAATTAACTGTTGTATATACTGTACTACTGTTATAATTTCACAGCCACCTCCTATTGCTATTGTGATGAGATCAAGTATTGTGAGTATCTGCTTAAAACCCAGTGGGATGCTACTCATCTCTGTGTGAGCAGCTGATCTTTCCAGTAAATGGCATTTCACAGTGAAAAGTGATTTCTCGTGGATCTTGCACGTTTTTTATCGCATTTAGTGCAATACCATAAACCCTTGAATAACATCCTGGAACCCATGCAAAGTGCCACTAGTGATGCTGGAAGTGCTCCCAAGAAGCAGAAAAAAGTCATGACCTTACAAGAAAAAAGTGGAATTGCTTGGTATGTACTGTAGATTGAGGTCTGCATACCATTACCCATTACTTCAAAGTATCCATCTTTATGTAATTTTGCAATATCGATAAGCACAGTACAGTACTGTACTGTATAGTACTGTAAATGTATTTTCTCATCCTTAAGATTTTCATGAAAAATAAAATTACATTTTCTTTTTTCTAGCTTACTTTAGTGTAAGAATACAGTATATATAATAAATATAACAAACAATATGTGTAAATCAACTATGTTACCAGTAAGCCTTCTGGTTGACAATAGGCTATTAGTAATTAAGTTTTGGAGGAGTCAAAAGTTATACATGGGCTGATACGGTGGCTCAGGCCTATAATCCTAGCACTTTGGGAGGCTGAGGAGGGTGAATCACCTGAGGTCAGGAGTTCAAGACTAGCCTGGCCAACATGGCAAAACCCTGTTTCTACTTTTAAAAAATACAAAAATTAGGGCTGGGCGCAGTGGCTCACGCCTATAATCCCAGCATTTTGGGAGGCCAAGGTGGGGGGATCACGAGCTCAAGAGATAGAGACCATCCTGACCAACATGGTGAAACCCCATCTCTACTAAAAATACAAAAATTATCTGCGCGTGGTGGTGCGCACCTGTAGTCCCAGCTATTCCAGAGGCTGAGGCAGGAGAATCACTTGAACCCAGGAGGCAGAGGTGGCAGTGAGCCGAGATCACGCTACTGTACTCCAGCCTGGCGACAGAGTGAGAATCTGTCTCAAAAACAACAACAACAACACCAAAATTAGCTGGGTGTGGTGGCACATGCCTGTAATCTCAGCTACTCAGGAGGCTGAGGCAGGAGAATCGCTTGAACTCAGGAGGCTGAGATTGCAGTGAGCCGAGATTGCACCGCTGCACTCCAACCTGGGTGACAGAGTGAGACTCTGTCTCAAAACAAAAAAAGCTATACATGGATTTTCAACTGAGTGGAGGTCAGCACTTCTAACCTCCACGTTTTTCAAGGGTCGATTGTGTTTATTATCTCACAGTTTCTATAGGTCAGAAATTCTGGAGCAGCTTCACTGGCTTGAAATCTCTCATGATGTTGCTGTGAAGATGTCAGCCAAAGCATAGTCATATGGTGGCTTGGCTTCGGCCTCAAGGATCTACTTCCAAGATGACTCACTTGGTTGTTGGAAGGAGGTCTCAGTTCCTTACTACATGGACGACTCCATAGGGCATCTTGAGTATCTCATGCCATGGCAGCTGATTCTCCCCCTACAGTGACTGTTTCAATAGAACAACACAGACACTACTATGTCTTTTATTGTTTAGCCTGAAAGTCTCATGCTGTCACTGCAGTAATAGGTCAGTCCTACTCAGTGTGGGAGGGGATTTCACAGGGATGTGACTACCAAGAGGTGAGAATCATTAGGGACCATGCTGGAGGCTATCACACTCCCCCAATAAATCTCTTGCACATTGAATTCTGTCTCGGTGCCTGCTTATTAGTAGGCCTTAACTAACACATTTTCTTGGTAGACAGAGCTAGGATCTGTGCATTCATGTGTACACAAATACATGCACATATTCATATACACACTTACAACTATATTTATTTCTATACCTATCCATATATATTGAAAATCGTGAATTTATATGAATATATCCTATTAATATGGCATCACAGGGTCATTCTAGTTTTCTCTGTTTCTTTATTTGTAATTCCTGTGTATCTGTTGAGATGTTCATTTATTTTGTTAAATTTAGGAAGTTGACCAGGCGCAGTGACTCACACCTGTAACCCCAGCAATTTGGGAGACCGAGGCGGGCAGATCACTTGAGGTCAGGAGTTCGAGACCAGCCTGGCCAATATGGTGAAACCCTGTCTCTATTAAAAATACAAAAATTAGCCAGGAGTGGTAGCACGCACTTGTAATCCCAGCTACTCAGGAGGCTGAGGAATGAGAATAGCTTGAACCTGGAAGGTGGAGGTTGCAGTGAGCTAAGTTCATGCCACTATACTCTAGCTCGAGTGACAGAGTGACAGAGTGAGACTCTGTCTCAAAAAAAAAATTTAGGAAGTTTTTAAGTTATTTTTTTCAAGTATTCTTTCTCCTCCTTTCTATCCCTCCTCTCCCTCTGGGATTCCTGTTATGCATATATTGATATACTTGATGGTATCCTACAATTCTCTTAGTGTCTGTTCATTTTTCTTCATTCTTTTTTCTTTCTGCTTCTCAGACTGGATGATTTCAATTGACTTATCTTCAGTTTTCTGATATTTCTGACTGCTTAAATCTGCTGTTGAATGTGTCTAGCGAATTTTTTCTTTCAGTTTATTACACTTTTTAGCTCCAGAATTTCTATTTGGTTCCTTTAAATAATTTTTCTGCCTTTATTGATATTTTCTACTTGTTGAGACACTGTTCTCCTTTGGTTCTTTGTCCATGATGGCTTCCTTTAGTTTTTTTGTTTTTTTTTTTTTGAGACAGAGTCTCAGTCTGTTGCCCAGGCTGGAGTGCAGTGGCACGATCTCGGCTCAGTACAACCTTTGCCTCCCAGGTTCAAGCAATTCTTCTGTCTCAGCCTCCCGAGTAGCTGGGACTACAGGCACATGCCACCACACCTGGCTAATTTTTGTATTTTCAGTAGAGATGGGATTTCACCATATTGGTGAAGCTGGTCTTGAACTCCTGACCTCAGGTGAACCATCTGCCTTGGCCTCCCAATGTGCTGGGATTACAGGCATGAGCCACTGCACCTGGCCAGCTACATTTAGTTCTTTGAGCATATTTAAGAGAGTTGATTTGAAGTCTTTGTCTAGTAAGTCCAATGCCTATGCTTTCTCAAGGACTGTTTTTGTTAATTTTTTTTTCCTATGAACAGGGCACACTTCATTGTTTTTTGCATGCCTCATAATTTTTTGTTGAAAAGTGGTCATTTTGAATATAACAATGCGGTAACTCTGGAAATAAAATTCTCCCCATTCCAGGATTTTTTGTTGCTCTCTGTAGGTTGTGGTTGTTTGTTTAGTGACTTTTCTAAACTATTTTATACGGTTCTTTGAATTGTGTGGTCTCTGTTTTTTTAGCATAGTAGTCAGCTAATGGTTTATCAAAGATTTTCTTAAACTCCTAGAGGCAAAAAAGAAAAAGTACCATCAGGTCTTTGCAAATTGGCTCTGTGTTGGTGCCAATACTTCAATGCTCAGCCACACCATTTATTTATTTATTTTTGAGACAGAGTCTCACTCCGTTGCCCAGGCTGGAGTGCAGTGGCGCGATCTCGGCTCACTACAACTTCTACCTCCTGGGTTCAAGCAATTCTCCTGCCTCAGCCTCCTGAGTAGCTGGGACTAGAGGTGCATGCCACCACACCTGGCTAATTTTCGTATTTTTTAGTAGAGACAGGGTTTCACCATAGTGGACAGGATGGTCTGGATCTCCTGACCTCATGATCTGCCTGCCTTGGCCTCTCAAAGTGCTGGGATTACAGGTGTGAGCCACTGCACCCGGCTGACTAGCCACACCATTTATAACTCTGCCTTAGCCTTCACTTCTTACTTGTGCTAAGCCTAAAAATCAACCAGAGGTGAAGCCTATGGTGTTCTCAGACCTTTTCTGAGGATGTATCCTGGCCTGGGCCTTTTTGATTCCCCTACATAACCAGGGGCTTTTCAGAGCCTTTATTCCGCAAGTATATCAATCCCCAAGTTTTTCTTCTCAGGCTTTCTACAAGTGTATTTTTTTTGCCACAGCTGTTATCTTTTGCTCTAGGCATCTGGGCTTTATTCATTGGCTGTCCAATGTTTTTGAGAAACCTCTTCCACAAAGCAACTTTTCTATCCTGAGAGAGTTTTGAGGTAAGTGGAACAAAGGCAAGTACCCTGCATTAGTCCCCTTGGGGATCCCCCAAACAGATTAAAACCTATGAACACAATTTCTCAGGAACAAGATTCCCTCCATTCCCTTCTGATATAGTTTGGATATTTGTTCCCACCCAAATCTCATGCTGAAATGTAATCCCCAATGTTGGAGTTGGGGCTGGGTGGGAGGTGTTTGGATCTTGGGGGCAGATTCCTCATGAATGGCTTGGACCATCCCCTTGGTGATGCTCTTGCTCTGGGTTCGCATGTGATCTGGTTGTTTGAAAGTGTGTGGCACCTGCCCTCACTCTCTCTCTTTCTCCTGTTCTCACCACGTGACGTGCATGCTCCTGCTTCGCCTTCGGTGATGAGTAAACATTTCCTGAGGCCTCCCCAGAAGCAGATCCTGGTGCCATGCTTTCTGTACAGCCTGCAGAACTATGAGCCAATTAAACCTCTTTTCTTGTAAATTACCCAGTCTCAGGTATTTCTTCACAGCAGCGCAAGAATGGCCTAACACACCTCCCAAACTGAGAACCTGCACTGAGAGCATGGGCTGCTGTCTTCTAGACTGCTGCTGCACTGGGCAGGGGGATTGGACAAGGGTAAGGTAAAACACGACAAACCTCTCCTACCATGATTCAGTGCCCATTATCCTTATTAAGCATTAGCTTGGTTGCTGTAAACCTTTGACTATCTTCTAGAGTTCTAATAAAGTTGTTTCTCATGACTTTTGCCAGTTTTTTCAGTGTTTCTGCAAAGGAAGAGAGTTCCCTACCCTTAGAGTTTCTTACTCCACCATTTTCATTGCCATTGGCACCAAGGTATCTTTGTTGTATTTGTAACTTCCTTCTCTGATAGTTAGAAACTCTGATTCCATTATCTTTAATATATTTACTTAGTAGATTAATCCTTCTCGATGTAACCAATATTCTTTTTTTTTTTTGGTTTTTTTTTTTTTTTTGAGATGGAGTCTCACTCTGTCACCCAGGCTGGAGTGCAGTGGTGCAATCTCGGCTTACTGCAACCTCTGCCTCCCGGGTTCCAGTGATTCTACTGCCTCAGCCTCCTGAGTAGCTGAGATTACAGGCACCTACTACCACACCCAGCTAATTTCTGTAGTTTTTAGTAGAGACGGGGTTTCACCATCTTGGCCAGGCAGATCTTGACCTCTTGACCTTGTGATCCACCCACTTCGGACTCCCAAAGTGCTAGGATTACAGGCATGAGCCACCATGCCAGGCTGGATGTAACCAATATTCTAACACCGCCATCATCCTCTCCCCTGAATGGACTCCCTCCTCTGTTTTCTCTGGCTCCGCTTCCCTTTTCCAGGTTACCCTCTATTGCAGATATCCTTTCATCCTGTTTGGGACAAACGTAAGAAATTTAATGTATAGCGTTTAATTTATTTTTCATGTTTTAATAGACTTTACAGGGGGTTTATATAGCTGATGTTGAAAAAAGAAAAATATTATTGAAAACAAAGTTACTTCTTTTCTTTTCTTTCTTTTCCTTTTTCTTTTTTTTTTTGAGACGAGGTTTTGCTCTTGTTGCCCAGGCTGGAGTGCAATGGAGTGATTTCGGCTCACCGCAACCTCTGCCTGCCGGGTTCAAGCGATTCTCCTGTCTCAGCCTCCCGAGAAGCTGGGACTACAGGCATGTGCTACCACTCCTGGCTAATTTTGTATTTTTAGTAGAGACGGGGTTTCTCCATGTTGATCAGGCTGGTCTTGAACTCCGGACCTCAGGTGATCTGCCCACCTCGGCCTCCCAAAGTGCTGGGATTACTGGCGTGAGCCACCATGCCTGGCCCCAAAGTATACTTATTTTCTAATTATAGTGAATTCTTCTTAGGCATCTGATGTGATATTTTCATGGTGCAGCTAGGAACAAGTGTTATTCCCATTGAAGGAGGGAAAAATAGATGGGCCAGGCGCAGTGGCTCATGCCTGTAATCCCAGCACTTTGGGAGTCTGGAACACTTGTCCCTCAAGTCTGGATCACTTGAGGCTAGGAGTTTGAGACCAGCCTAGCCAACATGGCGTAACCCTGCCCCTACTAAAAATACAAAAAAAAAAAAAAAAAAGCCGGGTGCGGTGGCTCACACCTGTAGTCTCAGCACTTTGGGAGGCCGAGGCAGGCGGATCACGAGGTCAGGAGATTGAGACCATCCTGGCTAACACGGTGAAACCTTGTCTCTACTAAAAATACAAATAATTAGCCAGGCGTGGTGGCAGGCGCCTGTAGTCCCAGCTACTCGGGAGGCTGAGGCAGTAGGCGTGAACTGGGGAAGAGGAGCTTGCAGTGAGCTGACATAGCACCACTGCACTCCAGTCTGGGCGACAGAGCAAGACTGTCAAAAAAAAAGAAAGAAAAGAAAAGAAAAGAAAAAGAAAGAAGGCAGGGCACGGTGGCTCATGCCTGTAATCCCAGCACTTTGGGAGGCCGAGGTGGGCAGATCATGAGGCCAGGAGTTCGTGACCAGCCTAGCCAGCATGGTGAAACCCCATCTCTACTATTAAAAAAATAATAATAAAAAAATAAAAATAAAAAAAGGAAGAAAGAAAGACATTAGCCAGGCATGGTGGCACGCGCTTGTAATCCCAGCTACTTGGGAGGCTGAGACATAAGAATTGCTTGAACCCTGGAGGTGGAGGTTGGAGTGAGCCGAGGTCACACCACTGCATTCCAGCCTGGTGACAGAGAGAGACTCTGTCTCAAAAAAGAAAAAAGAAAAATAGAGGCAAGAAGGCCACTCTTCATGATATACACCACATTTCTGGTAGGGAGTTATAGCAGCATCCTCTGTGCTGTTAGAGGATCCTATAATGTGTCCTTTGTCAACTCCCTCTTCCATTCCCAGCTTCTCCAAACCTTTGTCACTTTCCTGACCTCCTCCCCGACCACCATATTCTTTCTTACTTCACTCTCAATGTAGACTTTGCTTTCTGTTTTTATGTAAATGAAGGCAATCAAATCTTGTCTCCACTATCCCTTCCCCATGAAACCTATTTATAGCTACTAGGGGCAGATTCAGGTTTTGTAGTGCTGAGCATATACAACTGGAGAAGGAGATATTTTAAAGAAAATGAATACTAAAACAATCTTGGTTTTGCAAGTAGTATAAAAACATATGACCATCCTAATCATTGCCATGGTCCCTCCCAAGGCCTCTGGAAGGAGTCTGTGAAAGTGGGAGTGGAGAAAGGAGAGCTGAAGGTCAAGCAGCCACACTGACTCTCCTCTCCTCCAGAAGTGGAAATCCTCCTGCTCCTCCTCCCATCCAAGGCTGATCCATTCTGCTAGGCTCCAGATCCTCTTGAAGTCTCTGAATCACTTTCCTCACTCTCCTTCTTTATTTGATCACTTACTTCAGGTTACAAATATGATCACATTCCTCTCAAACTTAAAAACAAAGTAAGCAATCAACCCTAACTAAGTCAACTCCCAGATTCCTCCAGCCTCACATTCCTTTCCAGCCACCCAAGTGTTCTCTTTCCTTTAACAATAAGATTTGGGAAAAACCACTGCCCTCCCTCCCTGTTTCCCCTTCATTTCTCAATTCACTGCACTTTTGCTTTGGATCTCATACCTCTGCTGAAACTGCTTTGGCTTAAAGTCACCAATGACTATTTTGTGCACTTTATCTGTGATTTTTTTTAAAAAGCAGGCTTCAGGTTCTTTTGATTAGGTTGAACCAGGAAAACTGTCATTTTTGTAGGCTTTTTTTTTTTTTTGAGATGGAGTCTCACTCTGTTGCCAGGCTGGAAAGCAGTGGCGCCATCTCGGCTCACTGCAACCTCCACCTCCGGGGTTCAAGCGATTCTCCTGCCTCAGCCTCCCAAGTAGCTGGGATTACAGGTGCCTGCCACCACACCCAGCTAATTTTTGTATTTTTAGTAGGGACAGGGGTTTCACCATGTTGCCCAGGCTAGTCTCAAACTCCAGACCTCAGGTGATCTGTCTGCCTCAGCCTCCCAAAGTGCTGGGATTACAGGCGTGAGCCACCGCGCCCGGCCAGCGTTTCAGTTTAAAGGTGTATGTATTTTACTCCCAGACTGATTTTCTAAAACACTGGCATAATGTATGTTCCCATCAATGACGTTCGAGAAAGTTATAGTCACAATGCCCTCTTTTCAGCACTTCTCACAGCAGACTCTCTGTTGTTAACAGTTAACACTGCATTTGCCATTACTAATCATACCTTCTTTAGTGGTAGCAATTTCTTTCTTTCTTTTTTTTTTTTGAGACAGAGTTTCACTCTTTTTGCCCAGGCTGGAGTGCAATGGCGCGATCTCGGCTCACTGCAACCTCTGCCTCCCGGGTTCAAGCGATTCTCCTGCCTCAGCCTCCCAAGTAGCTGGGATTACAGGCGCCTGCCACCATGACCGGCTAATTTTTTTTTTGTATTTTTAGTAGAGACGGGGTTTCACGATGTTGGCCAGGGTGGTCTCGATTTCTCGACCTCGTGATCCGTCTGCCTCGGCTTCCCAAAGTGCTGGGATTACAGGAGTGAGCCACCGTGCCCGGCCAGTGGTAGCAATTTCAATAAGTGTTTTTTTTTTTTTTTTTTTTGAGACAGAGTCTTACTCTGTTGCCCAGGCTGGAGTGTGCAGTGGTGTAATCTCGGCTCACTGCAACCTCCGCCTCCCAGGTTCATGCCATTGTCCTGCCTCATTCTCCCGAGTAGCTGGGACTACAGGCGCCCACCACCATGCCCGGCTAATTTTCTGTATTTTTAGTAGAGACGGGGTTTCACCGTGTTAGCCAGGATGGTCTGGGCCTCCTGACCTCGTGATCCGCCCACCTCGGCCTCCCAAAGTGCTGGGATTACAGGCGTGAGCCACCGCGCCCGGCCTTTTTTTTTTTTTTTTTTTTTTTCAGACAGAGTCGCACTCTGTTACCCAGGCTGGGTGGCAATGGCGTGATCTTGGCTCACTGCAACCTCCGCCTCCCGGGTTCAAGCAATTCTCCTGTCTCAGCCTCCTGAGTAGCTCGGATTACAGGCACGTGTTACCATGCCTGGCTAATTTTTCTGTTTTTAGTAGAGATGGGGTTTCACCATGTTAGCCGTGCCGGTTTCGGACTCCCGGCCTCAGATGATCCATCCACCTCGGCCTCCTAGAGTGCTGGGATTACAGGCGTGAGCCACCGCGCCCGGCCTCCACCTGGATGTTTCATAGACACCTCCAATACAAAAGAGCCATTGTTAAACTTATTACCCACTCCTTCTTGAAATACTTCTTAGGTTTTCTTTTCTTTGTAAAGGAGACTCCCATTACTCTCTGTTTCTCTCTCAATTCACAACTAAAAGTCCTGTTTTAATCTCGTATTCTTTAAATCCATGATGTCTTTTCAGTCCTCAGCGCTGCTGTCCTGATTGCCCCTTTCATAGACTTCTGTACAATGTGCAAAATTCTTCAATGTCCGCATTGTTAATATGCTAAAATCTAAACTTCTTAGCATGGCTTGAAAAGGTTTTTATTAATCAATAGCTATTTAATGGTCCTGCCTCAATTCCTGACATTCTCTAAAAGCATTCCATGCATCAGCTATATGAATCTACTTTCAAATCCCCAACATACTAAGTTCTCTAATGATTCAGTGTCTTTAAACCTACTATTGTGATTGAAATTTTTTTTCAGTCTTGTTGGCCTGGCAAAGTCTGATTTGTATTTCCAACCTCAGCGCTAGGGTTATTTTCCCTTCTTTTGTTTTGTTTTGTTTTGTTTTTTTGAGACAGAGTTTCACTCTGTTGCCCAGTCTGGAGTTCAGGGGCGCAATCTCGGCTCACTGCAACCTTCGCCTCCTGGGTTCAAGTGATTCCTGTGCCTCAGCCTCGTGAGTAGCTGGGATTAAAGTTGTGAGCCACTGCGCCTGGCCCTTTTTTCCCTTCTTTGAATTGTCTAGGCAGAAAAGCATCTCTACACTTAGCAATTTTGTCTTTTTTTTTTTTTTAGTTGGAGACAGGGTCTCACTGTATTGCCCAGGCTGGAGTGCAGTGGCAAGATCACAGCTCACTGCAGCATTGGCCTCCTAGGCTCAAGTGATCCTCCAACCTTAGCCTCCCGAATAGCTAGGACTCCAGGTACACGCCACCATGTCTAGCTAATTTTTGTATTTTTTGTAGAGATGGGGTTTCGCCATGTTGCCCAGGCTGGTCTCGAGCTCCTGGGCTCAAGTGATCTGCCCACTTTGACTTCCCAAAGTGCTGGGATTACAGTTGTATGCCACTGTGCCCTGCAGATTTTAATATTTTAATTACTCACTTTATTAATCAGTGTTTCCAAACTAGGCTGTAAGCTTCTTGAGGGTAGGGACTATGATTACTCTCATCTTTATATCCCCAACACTTAACAGAGTGATTGGTATCTGATTGGCACTTAAAAGAATGAGAAACAAAATTAGTTATGCAGTAATAATGGCATTCTCTCTAGGGCTTAAGCTTAACCTATAGATTTTCACTTAAGCATCTTTTAAAAATTTGTAGTAAATATATAGTACATTAAACAAAATTGAAGAACAGAAAAGCAAACTACATCTCATATTATTTCACCATCCTAATGCCTATTTTAGTGCACTTACTTTTGGTCTTTGCTCAAATATGTGCTATATATATGTGTGTGCATTTATGTTTGTATATTATATATATTTTTATTTTACATAGCTATAATCAAATGTACATGCACTTTCACTTTTTAAAAGCTTAACTCGGCCGGGCGCGGTGGCTTACGCCTGTAATCCCAGCCCTTTGGGAGGCCAAGGAGAGCGGATCACTTGAGGTCGGTAGTTCGAGACCAGCCTGACCAACATGGAGAAAGCCCGTCTCTACTAAAGATACAAAATTAGCTGGGTGTGGTGGCGCATGCCTGTAATCCCAGCTACTCAGGAGGATGAGGCAGGACAATCACTTGAACCTGGGAGGAGGAAGTTGTGGTGAGCCGGGATTGTGCCATTTTACTCCAGTCCAGGCAGCAAGAGCACAACTCCGTCTCAAAAAAAAAAAAAAAAAAAAAAAAAGCTTAACTCACTATAAACATTCAACACTGTTGCATAATCCTCTAAATTATTATTTTTCAGCAGTGTGTAATATCTCATTCCCCTACTTAGGTTGATAGTCTGAGGAGATTTAGGTTGTACCGCATTTTCTTTTTTATTTTATTTTATTTTTTTCGAGACGGAGTCTCGCTCTTTCGCCCAGGCTGGACTGCAGTGGCGCTATCTAGGCTCACTGCAAGCTCCGCCTCCCGGGTTCACGCCATTCTCCTGCTTCAGCCTCCTGAGTAGCTGGGATTACAGGCGCCCGCCACCGCGCCCGGCTAATTTTTTGTATTTTTAGTAGAGACGGGGTTTCACCGTGTTAGCCAAGATGGTCTCGATCTCCTGACCTCGTGATCCGCCTGCCTCGGCCTCCCAAAGTGCTGGGATTACAGCCGTGAGCCACCGTGCCCGGCCAGTTGTACCGCATTTTCTATTATAAATAGGGACAGATCCAGGCTTTGTGGGACTTGAAGCTTATACAATTTTGTATAATACAATTATACAGAAGAGGAATTCAAAATTATCTTTGTTTTGCAAATAGGACCATGTGAACATACCATAAAGGCCCCTCCCCAGACATTGGAAGGGGCCTGTGAAAGTGAAGGTTAACTTTCTTTTCTTTTTTTTTTTTTTTCTGAGACGCAATCTTGCTCTGTTGCCCAGGCTGGAGTGTAATGACGCGATATCGGCTCACTGCAACCTGCGCCTCCTGGATTCAAGCCATTCTCCTGCCTCTGCCTCCTGAGCAGCTGGGATGACAGGCGTGTGCCACCATGCCCGGCTAATTTTTTTTGTATTTTTAGTAGAGACGGGGGTTTCACCATGTTGGACCAGGCTGGTCTCGAACTCCTGACCTCGTGATCTGTCCGCCTCGGCCTCCCAAAGTGCTGGGATTACAGGCCTGAGCCACCCGCCCCCGGCCCAGTTTCCTGCTTTGAGGAAGCCAGAATACAAAACTCACTTGGTTCTTAGAAGCAGGTCATTTAAATAAACGGTGACTAGACCTCAGGTGAATTTGGGAGAAAGTGATTTGGCTGTTTCTGCTGTCCATCTACTTACAAACCTGCAGCACCTTTGGTTCAGCGCGCATTTCTTGGAAGGAGCGGAGTGGCTTAAGTCAGAGACCTGGATTGGGCTGAGGTACTGCTATTCATTACTTGAGTGGCCCTGGGTAAGTCATTAACCTCTCAGGTTCTCATTTTGCTCCTCTGTGCAATAAAGAATAAGTAACAAAACCTGCCTTTCCCCAGGGTAGTTTTGAGTGTCAAATATGATAACTTGTGTTCAAGCACTAGTGAACTCCAATGTCACTGAGGTACTTGTTAACATTGTGGTAGCAGCTCCACTTTCTTGCCCATCTGCCTCCAGGTAAGGGCGTGTGACAGCTGGGCAGGATGCATCTGATGGCTCCATTAGGGTTAACTGTTGGAGCGCCTCTGCCCAGACGAAAGCCTGGCAGGTGATTTCAGGGGGCGTCTGGGCCATTACTCCTGAATGCCCAATGCACTGGGAGTAGCAGAGGCTGTGCACAGTCTGAGATTCTAGGGAATCTTTTCCTTCTCAAGCTGAGAATTGATAATCGAAGCATGCCAAACATTCGTTATTATATGCAACTTGTAAAATCCTAAATAGTCTTGTCCAATTGTCCCTTTGCTCTTAGGTTTTGAGGCATTTATCTTGGAATTTTATCTGCCAGTTTAGAAATCTTTAGCTGGTCGGGCTTAATTCTGGGGGCAGTTTGTATTTCTGGGAAGGCGGGAGAAAAATGACAATCTCAGTTTTGAATTGGCGTTTTAATATCGTTCACCAGATCCACGCTGAAAGCCGGTGTAAACAGCGTTCAAAAATTCCGCCCTCCCAAAAAAAGGATGCTGAAACCGATTTCCAACCCCGAAGACGGAGCTCATCACCCCGCAACGGGATCCGCCGTGGCTCCCCGCGCGTGCACCGCGGCTGGGCAGTCTCAGGTGGCTGGGGGCGCGAGACCGGAGCCCCACCTGGCCCTGCCGGCGGCGGCCGCACAAAGAGCGGGGCAGACGGCTGCCCGGCCGAGCCGCAGAAAGTAGTCCCGACCACGCCGGCTCCAATGTTGTTCAACGCCGCCTCACGCCCTCCGCGGGGAGGGCCGAAGCGGCCGGTCCGGGAAAGAATCCCGCTGGAATGCGCCACCGGGAGGAGGCTTTCCCTCCCAGTTCGCCTCTGCTAGCCCAGAACCTCTCCCAGGGTCTCAGGCAGAGGCTGTGCGTGCGGTTGCCGACTCCCTTCCCTGGCCGTACAGGAGGCAGTACCGGGAGAAGGGGCTCGTTGCGCGCAGGGACACGGTCGCGGCGACCCTAGGAGGCGGTGCCGACCGTATCCCTGCGCCGCTGCGCGAGGCAGAGGCTGAATGAGGAGCTGCGCGGGGGAAGCGGGGCGCCGGGGGAGGAGGCGGCGGGATGGAAGCAGACGCTGGCGTCGCGCGAGCCCGGGGCCGAGCGGCGCGGTAGAGAGGGCGGCGGCGGCGCGCGCGGAACCTTGACGTGCCCCTTTCTTTCTTCTCTCGCTGGGAAGCTGGGAAGTATGAGCGTGCAGCCCTGCCGCTGCGGCGGCCGCCCCGGCTCCTCGCCTCCCCCACTTCTGGCCACCCCTCGCCGGTGAGAGAAGAGAACGCGAGAAGGGAAGATGGGGGCCGTCCTGAGGAGCCTCCTGGCCTGCAGCTTCTGTGTGCTCCTGAGAGGTGGGAAGAGTGGGGGCACTGGAAAGTTGGTGGGGTTCGGGGGGAGGTGGCCTTGTTGTATGTGTCTAGGGGGAGGGGAGGGACGGAGGAAGGGAGAAGGGGAGAGGAGCGGGGAGAGGCCTGGTCGTGGGGAGGGGGAGAGAAAGGGGCCCGGGAGCAGGGGCTGCGTGCACCGCCCGGCCACAATGCGGACCTGGCCTGGCTTCCCAGACCTTCCCCGGACACATCGGAGCTTCGATCCCGGCTGCTGGTCTTAGGGAACCCTTGGCACCCCATGCTGTCGGGATGACTGAGTGTCTGTGTGCCTCTCTCTGCCTGGGGTCTTCCAGGGAAAAGGGTCTTTGTACGTATTTTGGCTTTTAAAATGTTTGAGTCCGAGATGCTTTAAGGTTGGCCTTATCCATCGAAGCCCCGCCACCCACTCCCCACCCCGTTTCGGTGTTTCTTAGGTGAACTTTTAAAGCCCTCTTGCTATTTTTTCCAGGCCTTGTTACAGGTAATGATTGGCTTCCGTTTGGGATATAATGACCCTGGGTGAGAGCGCAGTTGGAAAGTGACTCCGGGGTTATAGGTCGAGCGTTTCAGCATTGGGAGCCTTCTGAGCTTCAGCCCATAATAAAATAAAACATTGCCCTTGTAACCTCTGGTATTCACGGCTTGCCCCTATTTTCGGAGTATGCAAGTGTACAGTTGGCACTAAGTAGGGAAATTCATCCTCGTGTGAAGAGGAGCCGGTCCTGGGACCAAAATGATAATTTGCTCTGCACCCCTGGGGACTGCTTGGCACTTTGGTAAATTGCATAGGCTGTTCGAGATAATTTGCTCTGGGAATCGCTTGAATTCGATGGCACTATGATGTTTTGAATTGGACTGCAAAGCTGACACATGCTCTGTGACTTTTGTGACAGTTCACAAAGATTTTTGACTGGCCCGTCGGCAGCTCTTCTCAAACTATTTAGTGTTGAACTTGAGATGGCTGTGATGGCTGTGGAGCATTTACCAGCAGAGGAATTTAAGTACTGCTCGATACGGTGGCTTGTAGTTTTGGTTTGGTAAAGTTCTTACTGGCGTTCATAGTAAGTTCTTTTCAGGCATGTGACCGCTGGTCGCTGGAGATTTTTAGGTGTTAACAAGCTAAACTTTTGTTAAGTTCTCCAAACTAATTTAAGTTTACAGAACACTAATAGTAACTAATAGTCTGTGACAGGTGTATATTTTTGCGTGTACTGTGTATATGTATTTCGGATGAGAATGATTGAGTTTTTTTTTGGAGGAGGAGAAATACTTTCTTCAGTTACTCTGTAGTAATGCAGCATTGTGTTTGCATGTTATATTACTTGATACTCTAAGCATATTACAAAGTTTTCCCACATGTAAACCCCGGAAAGGTAGTGTTCATTAGATTTTTGTGGCAGAAATTTTAATGAAGTGTTACGTACTGGAGAGGTTTCATAAGTATATACTTATTTTATTATTGGCATACTCTATTGAAAGGGGTTTTGCTGTAGCTGTTAGAAACAACTATATTTGACATAAGAATATGTATGTATTTTAAGACATAAGGTTAATAGGGCTGACAAATATGAGAACCAGCTGATTGGTTAGAGTCGTGGGAAAACTTATAACTTGGGATGTTTCTGGTTGTCTAGTTGTATTTCTTGGAGGAGAAGCGTGTGATGTAAATGCCGTTTGTTTAACACCAGCTTTGAGACCAGAGCTGGGTTTGTTCATTATTGGAATTTAGATAGGTTGCACTTATTTATGTAACAAGACCTGGAAGAGGTAATAGTTTAAATTGTCTCGTTTCCACTAGCAAAGTTTTCAGAAGTGGAGCTCTCGTTTTAAATGTGGCGAAATATGGTGTAAGGTGGTCTTCTAATATGTAACAGTACTGTACTTAGCTGTGAGTACATATTATTTGAAGTAAAACTGTCTTTTGATGTAAAATATTTTTGTTCATAATTTAGAATTAATTCATTCTTTGAGAATGTCATCCTCTGTTATAGTAAAGATATTTAGTCAACCTTGGACTCCAAGGAGAAAAATCTGATTGATTTGTTGCATTTAGGTCATTTTTTTCCCCCACAAAGAATTGGGGCTTTAACATTGGCTGGGTGTGATGGGGTATGTGAGAGTCTGGGAGACCTTCTGTCCTGTAGCCCTGTTGAATTAGTAGCAGAAAGCCAGGGAATACTGTTAGTGCTGTGTCCCTATCTCTATCATCACATGACAAGGTATAAAGGAAAGATTTGGGAATTTCAATACTAAAATCTTGGATTTAAAGCCCAAGTGTCACAACTTCATAACTTTGTGGTTCTGGTCTAGTCCGCTTCTCTAGGTCTCAGTTTCTTTACTGGTAGTGTGGATAATGATACCTGACTAGTTTGCAGGGTTATTGGGTGTTTTAAATGAAATAATATGGAGTACCTTGTTAATGTTACTTTTTGCTATAATTTTTGCTTGTTCAGGGACATATCCTCAAATGCTTTCATGATTTGAGATTTAATTTGTATAACGTTCACAATTTTTTTTTTTTTAAAGAGACAAAGTCTTGCTTCATCACTCAGTCTGGGGTGCAGTGGTGTAATCACAGCTCATTGCAGTCTCAAAGTCTTGGGCTTAAGTGATCCTCCTGCTTCATCCTCCCAAAGCTCTGAACTATAGGCACGTGCCACTATGCCCCCAATTTTTTGTAGATATGGGGTTGGTGTGGGGGTGTCTTGATATGTTGCCCAGGCTGGTCTCCAACTCCTGGCCTCAAGTGATCCTCTCAAAGTGCTGGGATTACAGGTTACAGGTGTGAGCCACCATGCTTGGCCAGGTTCACGAATTCCTATTTTTTTTTTGGAGGTAGGGTCTTGCTCTGTTGCCTAGGCTGGAGTGCAGTGGCATGATCGCTGCTCACTGCAGCCTGGACCTCCTGTGTTCATGTGATCTTCCCACCTCAGCCTCCCAAGTAGCTGGGACCACAGTTGTGTGCCATAACACTTGGCTAATTTTTATAGAGCCAGAGTTTTGCTATGTTGCCCAGGATGGTCTTAAACTCCTGGGCTCAAGTGATCCTCCCACCTCCGCCTCTCGGAGTTCTGGGATTACAGGTGCAGATTCACACATTCTTTTTTTTTTTTTTGAGACGGATTCTTGCTCTGTTGCCCAGGCTGGAGTGCATTGGTGTGATCTCCGCTCACTGCAAGCTCTGCCTGCCGGGTTCACGCCTTTCTCCTGCCTCAGCCTCCTGAGTAGCTGGGACTCATTTTTTTGTATTTTTTAGTAGAGACGGGGTTTCACTGTGTTAGCCAGGATGGTCTCCATCTCCTGACCTCGTGATCCGCCCACCTCGGCCTCCCAAAGTCCTGGAATTACAGGCGTGAGCCACCACGCCCGGCCAGATTCACACATTCTTTTTTTTTTTTTAAAGACAGAGTTTCGCTCTTGTTGCTCAGGCTAGAGTGCAATGGCATGATCTCGGCTCACTGCAACCTCCGCCTCCCGGGTTCAAGCGATACTCCTACCTCAACCTCCTGAGTAGCTGGAATTACAGGCATGCACCACCATGCCCAGCTAATTTTTTTTTTTTTTTTGTATTTTTAGTAGAGATGGGGTTTCTCCTTGTTGGTCAGGCTGGTCTCGAACTCCCGACCTCAGGTGATCTGCCCATCTCGGCCTCCCAAAGTGCTGGGATTACAGGTGTGAGCCACCACGCCTGGCCCAGATTCACACATTCTTAAAAGTGAAAGGGATCTTGGTCGTTTGAGCCTCACCAGTTTATTTGTAAGTGGGGAAACTCAGATTCAGAGATACTGTAATTTAATAAAGGTAGGTTAATTAAAGATGGGGCAGGGATTTATTATTCATTCTTTTAGCAAATATGTATGGAATACCTCCTATATGTCAGCCTCTGGTACTGATGGTGAGTAAAACAATGTGTTTCCTAATCTAACGGGCCTCACAGTTTAGGTTGCCATCCTTACCATTTTCTTAGTTCCATTCGGATACTGATGAGAAAAAATAATATCTGATCTTCTGCTGGAAGTATTTTTGATAAGAATATAGGTTTTGGAATACCATCGGTGTGTGTAATCTGTGAAATACTATTTCTTAGCTTGCTTTTTTTTTTTTTTTTGAGACGGAGTCTCGCTCTGTCGCTCAGGCTGAAGTGCAGTGCCGCGATCTTGGCTCACTGCAATCTCTGCCTCCTTGGTTCAAGCGATTCTCCTGTCTCAGCCTCCTGAGTAGCTGAGACTACAGGTGCCTGCCACCATGCCTGACTTATTTTTGTATTTTTGTATTTTTTTGGTTTTTGAGACGGTATCTCACCCTGTCGCCCAGGCTGGAGTGCAGTGGCATGATCTCAGCTCACTGCAACCTCTCCCTCCTGGGTTCAAGCAATTCTCCTGTTTCAGCCTCCTGAGTAGCTGGGACCACAGGCTCACACCACCATGCCCGGATAATTTTTATATTTTTAGTAGAGACGGGCTTTCACCATATTGGTCAGGATGATCTTGAACTCCTGACCTCAAGTTATCCACCTGCCTTGACCTCCCAAAGTGCTGGGATTACAGGTGTGAGCCACTGTGCCCGGCCTAATTTTTGTATTTTTAGTAGAGATGGGGTTTCACCATATTGGTCAGGCTGGTCTCGAACTCCTGACCTCAGGTGATCCACCCACCTCTGCCTCCCAAAGTGTTGGGATTACAGGCGTGAGCCACCGCGCCTGGCCTTTTTAGCTTTTTTTGAGGAGGCTTGTTATATAAAAATTCTTCGTTACTTTTTTTTGTTTTGGTGGGCTGGTAAATATTGTTGGAACAAACCACTAATGTTTTGCATCTTGTATTTCTGTAGAAGCGATCCTTTCTTCCTTTAAAATCAGGTGTTATAAAGTCTTGGGGAAGTAGAACAAATTTTGGAGTGGCAATCAGGAGAATTAAGTTATGGTTCTAAATTTGCTGTGTAACCTTGAGTGATCTCTGTACACTTTATTTGGAGATTAGAATTCATGTTAACACATTAAGGGTTCTGAAAAGTCCTGAGGTAAAGAGACCGGTTTTAACTTTGTTTAACCTATTATTTTCCAAACTTGTCAAGTATTACATTGATATTTGATGACAGTTTCATATAGTTAATTTGATACTGTCATTCCTGTTTACTTACCTGGCTTCAGGTTTGCTCATTTGGCTAAACAATAATTTGTCTGGTTATTAAATTTTAAGGTTTTAGCTTGTTATTATCAGAAGGGCTAATAGTGATTTCCTGTGGTTCAATTTTTTTTTTTTTTTTTGAGACGGAGTCTTGCTCTGTCGCCCAGGCTGGAGTGCAGCGGCGTGATCTCAGCTCACTACAAGCTCCGCCTCCCGGGTTCACGCCATTCTCCTGCCTCAGCCTATAGGCGCCCGCCACCACGCCCGATTAATTTTTTGTATTTTTAGTAGAGATGGGGTTTCACCGTGTTAGCCAGGATGGTCTCGATCTCCTGATCTCGTGATCCGCCCGCCTCGGCCTCCCAAACTGTTGGGATTACAGGCGTGAGCCACCGCGCCCGGCCATGATTCAATTTTTAAGAGATTTTTTTCTTTGCTTTAATTGGAAGTTTTTCCATTTGCTGTACTGAACTACTGTGTCCTTATATATGCTTTGGCTGTCAGAAAGGACTGTTTTAAATATCAAAGGAGATTCTGGGAAGGGATATATTAATGGAAAATATTTTATGAGAACGTATATTTTTTGTTTAAATATTTTGCGCATACTGGAAAAATAATGTTTAGTGCTATTTAGGCCATGGGTAACTACTCTGAGAAAGATTATTTTCATCGTAGAAATTCTATTGAAAGTTTACATTTAGAGAAGATTATATGGAAGGTACTATAGCAGAAAGACATGGCTTGTTGTTAAACAGGCCAAGTTAAACTCTTCTGCCGCTTTGTGTTCCTTTGGACAAGTTATTTCCTTTCCTGTTAGGTGGGGATATAACTTGCAAGACTTCTGTGAGAACTGACGAAATGTTTGTAAAGGGGTAGTAGAACGCACAGTCAATAGTAGACATTGAATAAATGGTTGCTATTATTAAGATGGCCGAATTAAAAGAAACATTATACTCTGGAAAGACTGGTAAAACATTTTAAGTGTCGCTATGTCCTGGGCACTGTTTTTGGCAGTTGATAGTTTTAGGCCAGTGGTTTTGGAATTTTTTTTGATTCTTCTGCAACTGGAATAAAAGCTCCATAAAATACTTTTACTTATGGAAATTTCTGTTTTGTTTGATATAAAACGGAATGACACTAAATTTTTTTTCTTTTTTTTTTTTTTGAGACGGAGTCTTGCTCAGTCGCCCAGGCTGGAGTGCAGTGGCGTAATCTCGGCTCACTGCAAGCTCCGCCCCCCGGGTTCACGCCATTCTCCTGCCTCAGCCTCCCGAGTAGCTGGGACTGCAGGCCCCGCCAACACGCCCGGCTAATTTTTTTTGTATTTTAGTGGAGACGGGGTTTCACCATGTTAGCCAGGTTGGTCTCCATCTCCTGACCTGGTGATCCAGCCGCCTCGGCCTCCCAAAGTGCTGGGATTACAGGCGTGAACCACCGCGCCTGGCCTAAATTTATTTCTAAAGGATTGCAGCCATAACTATTTTAGGTGATGATTATTATAAATAAGCTACAGAACAGACAGTTCAAATGATTGTGATACTTATTAAAGAGTTAAGCATGGGCAAAATAATTTTATCAAGACATCTAATTGAGAAATTGCATTATTTGTTTACAACAATTATTCAGTTGGTGGATTTCTTTCTGCAGGATGGCTGAATGCTATACTGAGTTTCTGCATTGCATGTTTTCACTTCGGATAAGGGTGTTTATCTTCTATAAAGTAAGCCTCACTTCAGTGAATAAAACACTGTTTTATATGAGTAACTTTGAAATTTAGTCAAATATACAGACTAGGCAATCTAAGAACAGGCTGTTTGCTCTTAAAATTATTTATTTTAAAATACAATTTGTCAGTACATAAATGCAAGGAAACAAGGTTATTTGGTATTATTAACATATGCTTTTGTTTCTCAAGCTGTTCGTGTTTGCGGCAGTGAGTATTCTCACTAAAGGTTCAAGCTGTTCGGGTGTGAGGCTAGAAACTTTTAAAATGTGCTTGGACTCTTCGGTGAAAATTATTGATACTTTGATGCTGTGATCCTTTTAGCGGTATCATAACTTGTAGTTTCTGTAATATCTTGCTTGGAAGGACCTTGTATAAGTGCTTAAATATTTTGGAACTAATTTCAGGAGGAGATTGGGGATGCAAAATGAAATTATATTTTTAGGCAGAAAACTACATTAAGTTATGTAAGTTATTAACACCAGGCCTAAAGTTATTGATGAGACTCTCAATAAAAATAACATGACCAGCAGTAGTCTTTTTTTTTTTTTTTTTTTGAGATGGAGTCTCGCTCTGTCACCCAGGCTGGAGTGCCGTGCCATGATCTTGGCTCACTGTGACATCTGCCTCCTGGGTTCAAGTGATTCTCCTGTCTCAGCCTCCCAAGTAGCTGGGATTAGTAGGCGCCCACTATCATGCCTACCTAATTTTTGTGTTTTTAGTAGAGATGGGGTTTCACCATGTTGGCCAGGCTGGTCTCGAACTCCTGACCTCAGGTGGTCCACCCGCTTTGGCCTTCCAAAGTGCTGGGCTTACAGGCGTGAGCCTGCTGCACACAGCTGTCATTTTTTTTTTCCCAAGAAAATAGTCACCCAAATATTGGAAACCTACCTTTATCAAATTATGTATGTTTAACCAGGAGGCTATTTTCTCTAATGGTCTTAGTCATTGTTTTATCACTACAAGACCCAAACTACAAGTAAAGGACTGCAAGGGATAGGAGTCTTCCTCACTAATGATTAGCTTTATTGGTACGTATAATTTAAGTACTGTATATCCATATATCCAGTTTAAAGATACTATGTTTTGCAAGTCTGAGAAAGGTGACGAGTGAACTTCATTACCATGAATTCTTAGCTACACATTATATTGTCTTTATTTGTAACCTTCTAGATTTATGCTAATGCAGAAATAGCTCTTTGATGAAAAGTTTTTGAAGAGTAGACCTTTTTCCCCTTTATATGCACCATGTACCAGAGGTTTGCACATATTGAGCACTGTAAATTTTACATTTAAAGTAATATAAAAAGATGTGAATTTTTATGACATTTATTTGGAATGCCATTTTGTGTTTTGACTCAATCGTTCATTAGCTATAGTTAAATTATAAATTTGTAACGATTACAAAGATTTCTTAGTCTGGGTCATGGTGGCTCACACCTGTAATCCCATCTCTTTAGGAGGCCAAGGCGAGAGGATCACTTGAGGTCAGGAGTTCAAGACCAGCCTGGGAAACATCTATAAAAAATTAAAAAATTATCTGGTCACGATGGCACATGCCTGTAGTTTCAGCTGCTTAGAAGGCTGAGGCAGGAGGATCACTTGAGCCCAGGAACTCAAGGCTACAGTGAGCCATGATCATGCCACTGCACTCCATATCACAGACAAAACCCTGTCTTTCAAAATAAATAAATAAAGATTTCTTAGCATAGATTAGATATGTTAAATAGACTACTAAAAAATCAGCATATTCATATCTGAGATTGAATTCAAGGTGTGGACTATGTAACGTGTTTTCTGGTTTTAGGATATAACTATTGCACTGATATAATTAGTTTTTTTTTTTTTTTTGAGACAGGGTCTCACTGTGTTTCCTAGGCTGGAGTGTGGTGTGATGCTATCATGGCTCACTGCAGCCTGGACCTCCTGGTCTCAGGCGATCCTCCTGCCTCAGCTTCCAGAGTAGCTGGGACTATAGGCACGTGCTACCACGCCCGGCTCATTTTTAATTTTTTTTTTTTTTTTTTTTTTTTTTTTTTTGTAGAGACAGGGTCTTACTATGTTGCTCAGACTGGTCTCGAATTCCTGGGCTCAAGTGATCCTCCTGCCTTGGTTTCCCAAAGTGCTTGCGATTACAGGCATGAGCCACCATGCCTGGCCTCAAGTACTTTTTTCTTTCTTTCTTTTTTTTTTTTCATTAAGCCCTTTCTATCAAGTACTTTTTTTTTTTTTTTTCCTTGAGAGGGAGTCTTGCTCTGTCGCCCAGGCTGGAGTGCAGTGGCGTGATCTCGGCTCACTGCAAGCTCCGCCTCCCAGATTCATGCCATTCTCCCGCCTCAGCTTCCCAAGTAGCTGGGACTACAGGCGCCCACCACCACGCCCAGCTAATTTTTTTTGTATTTTTTTAGTAGAGACGGGGTTTTACCGTGTTAGCCAGGATGGTCTGATCTCCTGACCTCGTGATCCACCCGCCTCGGCCTCCCAAAGTGCTGGGATTACAGGCGTGAGCCACCGCACCCGGCCTGTCAAGTACTTTTTTAAACCAAGTTTTTTGGAGCTATAATTCACATACAGTAAAAATCTCCATTTTACAATGTCTAGTTCGGTGGCTTTTAGTATACTCACAGGGTTGTAAAACATCACCACTATCTCATTCCAGAACGCTTATCATCCCCTGCTCCCTCAAAACCCATACATTTCCCATTTCTCCCTTCCCTCAGCCTCTGGTAACCATGAATTTACTTTCTGTCTCTATGGATTTGCTTACTCTGAATATTTCATATAAATGGAATAAAATATGTGGCCTTTTGTGTCTAGCTTCTATCACTTAGCATTTTCAGGGTTCATTCATGTTGCATGTGTCAGTACTTCATTCCTTTTAATGGCTGAGTAATCCATTGTATGGATATATTAAATACTTTCAAATGAGTGTGGGTTTGATTATTGGAGTCTTTACCTTGAGAAATTATTTCTGAATCTCAGCTTTTGATACGTTAAAAAAATCTGTTTTTTTTGAAACAGAGTCTTGCTTCATCACCCAAGGAGGAGTGCAGTGGCACAATCTCTGCTCACTGCAACCTCTGCCTCCTGGGTTCAAGTGATTCTCATGCCTCAGCCTCCTGAGTAGCTGGGACTACAGGCGTGTGCCACCATGCTGGCTAATTTTTGTATTTTTAGTAGAGAGGGGGTTTGGCTATGTTGGTCAGGCTGGTCTTGACCTCCTGACCTCAAGTGATCTGCCTGCCTTGGCTCCCAAAGTGCTGGGATTACAGGCATGAGCCACCACTCTGGCCTATGTTTGTTTGTTTGTTTTGAGCTGGTGTCTCTGTCACCCAGGCTGGAGTGCAGTGGCGCGATCATTGCTCACTGCAGCCTGGACCTTCCCAGGCTCCGGTGATCCTTCCAACTAAGTTTTTGTATTTTTTATAGAGATGGGGTTTCACCATGTTGCTCAGGCTGGCCTTGAACTCCTGGGCTCGGTGATACACCCGCCTCTGCCTCCCAGAGTGCTGGGATTACAGGCATGAGCCACCGCGCCTGGCCTAAAAAATATTTTAAGTTCCTGTTTTTCTGCTGGAGAAGCACTAAATAGTTTACCAGTATCTCGTGTTTCTGAATAGCCCTGTCAATCGTCCTGTTGCAGTTAAATCTTTTTACTAAATTCATATCTAGAGTAAGAAAATAGAAGAGGTATTAGAAATTACCTGGGCCAACTCCTTCGTTTTATAAATCAGAAAGATGAATGACTAAAGCCAGATTGTTTGTACTCTGGACAGTAATTTTACGTGCAGGACTTTCTGTATGTACCTTATTTTACCTGGGCCTTCTTGTGGTTTTGAAAGAGATGCTGATGACTTTGATAGAGGGAAATACATATTAATGTAAAATTTGGCATTTGCAAATAGGTAGTTTGTCATAGTACTTATACTGTAAATAAAAACAAAGCTGAGGCCAAGGTGCAGTGGCTCACACCTGTAATCCCAGCACTTTGGAAGGCCGTGGCAGAGGATCGCTTGAGCTTAGGAGTTTGAGACCAGCCTGGACAACACAGTGAAACCTCATCTCTACAAAAAAAATCCAAAAAAATTAGCCAGGCATGGTGGTGCCTATAATCCCAGCTGCTTGAGAGGCTGAGGAGGGAGAATCGCTTGAACCTGGGAGGTGGAGGTTGCAGTGAGATGAGATCGCACCACTGCACTCCAGCCTGGATGGCAGAGTGAGACTCTGTCTCAAAAAAAAAAAAAAAAAAAAAAGTGACCAAACCCAAAAGCAAAAACAAAGCTAGACTTAGGTAAGGAGAGACTTTATTTGAAAGGATTTTTGCAGTAGAAGGACATGCTTACTACAGGATCTGCAACACACTTCAAAATCAAACCGAAAAAGGCTTTTTTTTTTTTTATAGAAAGGAGAAGTAAGCAGGGCTATCAGGAACTTTGTGGGAATGTGGGCCAAATAGGTAGGGGTGAGCAGATTGCATGACCAGGACTATTTAACTGGAAAGCATTTTTTTTTTTTTCTGCAGTCAGCTAATGGTCAGAATGAGGGAAGAAGTTGTGCATCTACTTTCTTAAGCTTAGGGCAAGCCAAAGTTTAGGAATTTGTGGGGAGAAGAGAATCCTGACTAAAGTTTATTCAAGCCAAGTCAATGAGTAAGTAATGGGCAATTGTGATGTGCACTGGTCAGTCTCCCTGTTGTTTAAAACAAAATCAGTCACTGTTGACAATGGAATAAGAGTCATTGAGAAGTTGATCTCATTAGATTGGGCCTGATTATTTACATAGGTGTAGCAATAATAGTAATTTATCATATAATAGGTCTTTTAATATTGCCTTGCTGAAAGTTTTTTTAAGGAATCTGATTGGACTTTAAAATGCCTCTTGAGACTATAAAGGTAAGTCAAGAACTGACCATCAGGTTTCACTTGTAATACCTATAAATTTGGGTGAATTCCTGTCTTGAAGTTCCCAAAATATTCTAGGATTTTTGAGCCTGCCGGGAAGTGATCTTGCTTAATTCACCTGCAAGGCTGGGAACTCTGTAAGCCAGTTACCAGGCCAGTTTTCCTAAGAGGACTGTAAGCGTTGGTTCATAAAGTCAACTGTAACTTAGAAGTATTTGGTCATACCTGATTAAATGAATATTTTCAAATGTGGCATTCCAGTCAAAGCCTTGGTTGCATAAGTAATGTTTCCAGCTAGAAGGCAGACTCATTGAACCTCTGCAGATAACTATATTGCCATGAAAATAAAAATAATAAGAGTTTTTGAATTCTGGAGGAGTAAGACGGGGGAGAAAAAGATAAGTGTTTATTTCGGTTTACAAAAACATAGTCTCCTTAAATTGTTGTGAGTTATAGATAGCTTCAGAGAAAAGAGAAAGGGGTTCCTTATATCCAGAAAATAGGACGCTAAGGCATCAGCAATATTTTAAACGAAACCCATAATCATCCTTCATCAGTTTATTCAGTCCTATGTAATTAATTCTTGTTCTGCTGGATCTGTGTTAGCAGTCTCACGAACCCATCTGTTTTTCTACTAGCTGTTTGGAAATCTTGACTCAGTCCACTGGTGTGGTCTCAGAGTTATTTAAGTGATGCCATCAGACGCTTGTGTTCAGGTTACCTGGCGTAGTAGTTTTCCTTTTTCTTTCTTTCTTTTTTTTTTTTTTTTTTTTTTGAGACAGAGTCTCACTCTGTCACCCAGGCTGGAGTGCAATGGCACAATCTTGGCTCACTGCAGCCTTGACCTCCTGGGCTCAAGTGATCCTCCCATCTCAGCCTCCCTAGTAGCTGCGACCACAGGTGTGTGCGACCATACCCAGCTAATTTTGTATTTTTTGGTAGAGAAGGGGTTTCGCCAAGTTGCCCAGGCTGGTCTCGAACTCTTGGGCTCCAGTGATATGCCCACCTCAGCTTCCCAAAGTGTGGGGATTAGAGGCGTGAGCCACCACACCTGGCCCATAGCCCTTTTTTATTGAAGACAAGTGCACTCTGGCCTGTAGCTGATTTGCAAGTGCTTTCAGGGAAGCATTAGAGTAAAACAGAAAACTATCTGTAGATGACAAAATACTTAAAACGGTGATGATTAACCTATTACTGATAATCTTAAAAGTGAAAGATCTCCTATTGCAAGGACGAAAAACCAAACACCGCATGTCTCACTCATAGGTGGAAATTAAACAGTGAGAACACTTGGACACAGGAAGGGGAACATCACACACCAGGTCCTGTTGTGGGGTGGGGGGAGGGGGGAGGGGTAGCATTAGGAGATACACCTAATGTAAATGACCAGTTAATGGGTGCAGCACACCAACATGGCACATGTATACATATGTAACAAACCTGCACGTTGTGCACATGTACCCTAGAACTTAAAGTATAATAATAAAAAAAAAGAAAAAAAGTGAAAGATCTTATGAAACTTTGTTAGAAAAGATAATGAAATTGGCAAGGAAGTTTGATTTTTGTGGCATGCGAACTAAAATCAACCCAAAAAAGTGTTAGACAAAAGCATATCTATAAGCGTAATGATTAACTTTATTTTATTATTATTTTTTGAGACAGAGTCTCGCTGTGTTGCCCAGGC
The DNA here is from genome assembly GCF_000001405.40 of Homo sapiens. Classification (NCBI taxonomy): domain Eukaryota; kingdom Metazoa; phylum Chordata; class Mammalia; order Primates; family Hominidae; genus Homo; species Homo sapiens. The sequence goes on along the minus strand of NC_000012.12, from coordinate 12,253,234 downwards.
TGGAGTTCAGTGGCGCGATCTTGGCCCACCACAACCTCTGCCTTCTGGGTTCCAGTGATTCTCCTGCCTCAGCCTCCTGGGTAGCTGGGATTACAGGCACGCGCCACCACGCCCTGCTAATTTTTATATTTTTGGTAGAGACAGGGTTTCGCCATGTTGGCCAGGCTGGTCTCAAACTCCTCACCTCAGGTGATCAACCTGCATCAGCCCCCCAAAGTGCTGGGATTAAGGTGTGAGCAACTGCGCCCAGCCGATTAACCTTATTTTAAAGAAGAGTGGCTAGTACATGTCATTTATGAATATAGATGAATATATTCATTGCAGAGAGAAAATCTAAAGACATATAATCCTAAGATGTAATGGACCATGAATATGTCAAGAGTATATCAAGAATGTATATATGTATAGAGTATATCAAGAATGTATCAAGATTATCAAGGAAAAAGATTTAGCAGTCTGGAGTAGGTCGTTAACTTCTATATAATAGCATTCCATAAGTAAATGATGTGAATTCTTAACTGAGAACCATTAGCCAACCTAGAAGATTAAAGAAGCCAAATTATGACCAAGTTAACATTGAGGAAAAAAAATCCCTGAAATTATGACTGATGACATTATACTGTTGTCTAATACCAGGCAAAGCAGCACCAGAACTCTGATTAATAGACATGGACAATGAGGGCATTGATGAATTTCTAGGAGCTTTATACCTTCATAGAACTTCCAAAATATCCCTATTAATAACATTTTACCTATACAAATTTAACTTAAACTTAGGGAGGGTAAGCCTCTCTGGCTTTGACAGTGCTTTCCATATGACCCATAACGTTTGATCAAATAAACTATTATTTTTAACATCTCTCTTTTACAAGGTAAAGGGAATTTTGATTTTCTAGGGCCCCTTAGGGGAAATCTCAAAGACAGTTGTTGGTACAAAAGGCATCATTTAGGAGGTTTGAACATTTGATTAAATAGGATCATGGGCCACTGTGGAAAAAAATACTTGGCTACATATTTAACCAAAAGTGACCGGAAAAAAAAAAAGATTTTAGTTCAGTGCGGTGGCCCATGCCTGTAATCTCAGTGCTTTGGGAGGCCAAGATGGGAGGATCACTTGAGGTCAGGAGTTTGAGACCAGCCTGGGCAACGTGGTGGGATCCTGTCTCTACAGAAATTAGCTGGGCGAAAGATTTCATGCCTATAGTTCTAGCTCCTCAGGAGGCTGAGGCAGGAGGATCGTTTGAGCCCAGGAGTTTGAAGCTGCAGTGAGCTATGATTGTGCCGTTGCAATGAGCCATGATTGTGCCACTATACTCCAGCCTGGACAACAGGGTGAGACCCTGTCTCTTAAAAAAAATATTGAAAAAAGTAAGCATGGGAGGTAATGCAGTGGTGAAGAACCTTACCCTTTTAAGGGTGTGAATACAGTTTTAAGTAATTAAGGACATGATAAAGTCAGCATTAAGCACAGGAAATTCTGGTAAGACACAATCTTTGCCTTCTGTGGAGATTATTCAGAAGGCAAAGGAAAACCTTTAATAACTTCTTTATTAAAAGCAGACTAATGGGCGGGGCACCGTGGCTCATGCCTGTAATTCCAACACTTTGGGAGGTCGAGGTGGGTGGATCACAAGGTCAGGAGATCGAGACCATCCTGGCTAACATGGTGAAACCCTGTCTCTACTAAAAAAAATGCAAAAAAAATTAGCCGTGCGTGGTGGCGGGCACCTGTAGTCCCAGCTACTCGGGAGGCTGAGGCAGGAGAATGGCATGAACCCGGGAGGTGGTGCTTGCAGTGAGCTGAGATCCCACCACTGCTCTCCAGCCTGGGTGACAGAGTGAGACTCCATCTCAAAAAACAAAAATCAAAAAGACAAACTAATAACTGAAGAAAATCCGTCATTTTAACAGAGAAAACTAAAATCTAGTTTTACGTAACTATAATATTTGATAAGCACTTAAAAACATCTTACAAATAAACCCGTCAAATCTTAGCCGGCTTTGGCTGGGCACGGTGGCTCACGCCTGTAATCCCAGCACTTCGGAGGCCGAGGTGGGCGAATCACTTGAGGTCAGCAGTTTAAGACCAGCCTGGCTAACATGGCAAAACCACGTCTCTACTAAAAATACAAAAAAATTAGCTGGGTGTGGTGGCGAGCGCCTGTAATCCCACCTACGAGGGAGGCTGAGGCAGGAGAATCACTTGAACCTGGGAGGTGAAGGTTACATTAAGCCCAGATTGTACCACTGCACTCCAGCCTGGGTGACAGAGCGAAACCCCATCTCGAAAAACGAAGAAGAAGAAAAAAATCAAGCCAGGTGCGTTGGCTCACGTCTGTTACCCCAGCACATTGGGAGGCTGAGGTGGGTGGATCATTTGAAGTTAGGAGTTCGAGACCAGCCTGGCCAACATGGTGAAACCTGCCTCTACTAAAAATACAAAAATTAGCCGGGTGTGGTGTTGGGCGCCTGTAGTCCCAGCTACTTGGGAAGCTGAGGCAGGAGAATCTCTTGAACCAGGGAGTCGGAGGTTGCAGTGAGCCGAGATTGTGCCACTGCACTCCAGCCTGGGTGACACAGTGAGACTTTGTCTCAAAACAAAACCCCCAAAATATTAGTAAATATGTATATGATATTTCTGTGTGCAGTGAACTGTAGTAGGCATTGATGATAAAATTAGTTATAAGGTATGGTTCTTGTTTCCAAGGGCTGAGATCCTAGAGGTAGGAAGTATGCTTAAAAAAAAAAAAAGCTAATATCATGTAAGTACTAAAGACTAAGGATTAAAAGAAGTAAAGCTGAGTCAATTAGAAAGGGTTACAGAGTAGGTAAGGTTTGACTCTGGCCTTGAAGGACTTGCTTGCTGGGAGAAAAAGAGAAGTATGGAGTAGGCAGGAAAATGAATACTCTGCAATGATGGGTGTGATGTACTCCCAGTTTACATGTTTTGAAACCTGTTTGTATGATGCAGAGACTATAAAAGATTAATTTAGAGTCCTAGGTAGAAGTCATGGTGGAAGGCTGAGGTATTGAGGCATTTTGTAAATTTAGGCAAGGGGAATCAGAATGGCTTTTGAGTTGGCTAAACTGAAAGTATTAGAAGTAGAAAAGGAAAGGGGAGAATATTGAGATAACTTACTATTAGGATATTTTAGGCCTAAAGTCATGAAGGTCTAGAGTAGGATAGTGGTTTTAAAAATGGAGAAGAGGAGACAGATTTAAAGACATGCTTGTAAAATAAGAGTCAACAAGACAGTAATTGTCAGACTAGGGGAAAAGGGGAGGGGCTCAAAGATGGCTCCAAGGCATGCCAGTAAGGTTAGAATTGTGTACCATTGACTGGTGAGGGATTTTGTTGTTTTGGGGGAAAGGTGATGAATTTAATTTAACGGGAGGTAGAGATGGCCAACAAAAAGTTAGAGGGACAGAACTAGAGATGATGTTTTGGGAATTAGCTGCATAGAATTGCTTGTTGACCAGGTGAACTTTAATTAATTTATTTCCTTCCTTCCTTCCTTCCTTCCTTCCTTCCTTCCTTCCTTCCTTCCTTCCTTCCTTCCTTCTGTTATAGCACAACTTATATATTTCAAATGGACAAAAAATTAGTTTTACAGCATCTTAAGATAAATTTCCTTTGAATGGGAGCTTCCTTTCCAGTACTTTGAGGTCTACAAGACATATCTAGAAAATTTGCTGCTGTGGAAAATGAAGACTGCTTAAATTGAATGAGGGGGAAGAGGAAGGGCCTGTGGTTTTTCTTTTCGATTAATTGCTGTAACACTGTGTTGTGGTTTTTCTTTTCGATTAGTTGCTGTAACACTGTCCTTGAGGTGGCTGAGGGAGTTTCATATTTTCTTTAGACACCATTAGGCGCCAAAGCTCTTGCAGGACAACTTTGGTGCTGTGAATTCTGCCATTTTGCTAGCACTGATATGGCTCTTGGGTCCACCAATCCATTAGAACTATTAACTCCATTCATATTAATTTTTTGTTACAAATCTTACAAAGGGGGGTGCTTCTGGGTATTTAGGTCCACATTTTATTTTAAGGCTGTATATTCAGTTTTCATAAATTGTTCTTGCAGGCCCAATTATCATCCCTGTACGTCTTGTAAGTGTCACGTCTTTATCATTGTCTAGACCTCAGCTAACTGCCATCTCCTACTCCTTTCTGGCCTTCTTTGAGTTCTTCCAAAAGTGGGAAATTGCAAGGGACTTTTACCCCCGAGCCTGTGGTGGCTGCCACCTTGTGTTGCTGTTGCTTGTGAACTTTAATTTTTTATACTCTGTCATTTGGAACAACAGAGAGTCTTAGGATACCTATATATAGGAAGTGGAAGGTTTGAAACAAGACAAGAAAAAATAGGTAGTATTGTATGAGGAGAACATTCTATATAGGTAGGGATATAGTCAACAGCATTGACTGCTCTAGAGGTGTTAAGAATAAAGACTGAGAGGCTGGGCGCAGTGGCTCAAGCCTGTAATCCCAGCACTTTGGGAGGCCGAGGCGGGCGGATCACGAGGTCAGGAGATCGAGACCATCCTGGCTAACACGGTGAAACCCCATCTCTACTAAAAATACAAAAATTAGCTGGGCGTAGTGGCGGGCGCCTGTAGTCCCAGCTACTCGGGAGGCTGAGGCAGGAGAATGGCGTGAACCCGGGAGGCGGACCTTGCAGTGAGCCGAGATTGCACCACTGCACTCCAGCCTGGGCGACAGAGCCAGACTCCATCTCAAAAAAAAAAAAAAAAAAAAAAAAAAAAGAGTAAAGACTGAGAAAAGACCACTGGATTTGGTTATAAAGATTTAGAGGAAGCACTTGCAGTTGAGTGATGGATAGGAAGTTAGATAAAAGAGTAATAGCTAATGAATGGTAGTGTGAAGTATATATACCAATGTTATAAGATTTTGCAGTTAGTAGAAATATAATTATTATTCTGATGGTAGCAAGGTTAGGGTTATTAAAACAAAACAATAGCAAGGAACCTGGCGTAAACCATTGAAAATACGAGAAATACAGAACAATTGATAGAGCGAAGTTGTAGAGAGGAGGTAAGGAGGCTGAACCGAAAGTATTGCTTTAGCCTTAGGAGGAAGGCCATCTTCTCATTTGAGACTGAGGACAAGGTAAGGGAAGATGGGTGGAGAGAAAATTTTGAGAGGTATAAATTAAGATGTTGGGGATGTATGACATTTACCTTGTATCCTGCTTCACTGAGATTGTTTTATGAGATGATCTGAGGATAAAGGATTCAGGGCATGGAAATTAGTCTTTAAAAGTAGAAAAGGCTTAGAAAGGCTGGTAGAGAAAGTTTCCCAGGAGTTTAATAAAGGAAAACAAGGATTCCTGAGCACTGTGAGTGTTCCACTGAAGAGAAGTGATGGTGATTATTTGGGTTATCTGAATACTAGGCAGTCAGAAAGTAAGCTCTCTGGAATGGAAGATACTGGCATGTTCCAGGGAGCAAGTATGTGGTTCCAGTGTATCTGTTTGGTAGATAAAAACAATGTTACAAATCAAATTATACCTATCAGATATCCCATTTAATATGTTGCTGAACAGATACTGGTGACAATGTAATAGAAAGTATTCAAGCATCAGAAGGGTGGTTGGACAGGATGAACCCTGGGATTTCCTTTCAATAGTGTGGTTTATGTGCAGCAGATTTATGTACAGTCCTTTACAAATCCTCAATTGTAACCAGTATTGCTAACTTAAAAAAGATTAACTTTGCCTCCTTCACCCGTTTTCAGGAGGGAGAAGAGACTCAGAATGCTTGTGAGGCCTTAACTGACCAGAAAGCGTTTTTGGATTTTGTAGACCAAAAATATTCAGTACACGTAGAAGTGTTAAAGTTTGACTTGAAAGCAATGAAAGACATTTGGCTGCCACCTAATGTCCTATAGCTTTGATATAGTTTTCCAAGATAGTGCCATAAAGAAGGTGCCCAGTAAATATTAGATGATTATCACTCTTGAATTTTCAATTTTAAGTGTTTCGTGGGTATTCCTTAGCCTTATGCAGCACTTAGCATTGTATCCTTCACTAGTAGGGACCTTTTTTCTGATGTTTATATTTGGCCCATAGTATGAGAGACTCAGTATAGTGGGCTCTGTGGGGACTGATAAATCAGTGTGATGTGTGAAGGCCAGAAATGAATTAAAAGTGACTCTGTTAGGGAAGTTTATGAATTTGCTGATAGCTGCAGCAGATACACAGAATAAGCAGAAAGATTGGTTAGCCACTTTTTAAAAAAGCTGTCTGCCAGTTTGTTTTTGACTAAGAAAGTTGGATTTAAGCTTAGTTAGGGAAGTTTATGTTGTACTTATAGATGAAAATAGTATACATTTATAACTATTTGACAGACACAATCTATAGTGTAAACATCACTTTTTTCTTACACTTTTTTGAGATTGGAGTAATTTCTTGAAAAGGGGAATCGTTACTTCTAAATGGTAGTTGGGCTTGGCTTCAGATGACACAGTTGTAGACCCTTAGTAAGTAATTATGAAAGAAGATCATGTAGATAATTGTATCATAACTCACTCTTTTTTTTTTTTTTGAGACAGGGTCTCCCTCTGTCACCCAGGCTCACTGCAGCCTTAAATTCCTGGGCTCAAGTGACCCTCCCATTTTAGTCTCCTGAGTACCTAGGACTACAGGCGTGCACCACTATGCCTGGCTACTTTTTTAAATTAATTTTTTTGTAGAGATGGGGTTTCCATGTGTTGCCAAGGCTGGTCTTGAACTCCCGGGCTTAACCAAAGTGCTGGGATTACAGGCGTGAGCCACCGTGCCTGGCTTGGTCTTACTTTTGCTGCCTCATTTATGTTCTGCATTCCAGCCTCTAGATGTGTGCTATCCAATACTACCACTAGCCACACTTGTCTATATAAATTGGAATGAATTAAGATTATATAAAATTGGGGCCGGGCGCAGTGGCTCACGCCTGTAATCCCAAGCACTTTGGGAGGCCCTGGCGGGTGGATCACCGGAGGCCAGGAGTTCAAGACCAGCCTGGTCAACATGGCGAAACCCCACCTCTAGTAAAAATACAAAAAATTAGCCGGACCCATAGTGGTGGGCACCTGTAATCCCAACTACTCAGGAGGCTGAGGCAGGAGAATTGCTTGAACCTGGGAGGCGGAGGCTGCAGTGAGCTGAGATCGTGCCATTGCACTCCAGCCTGGGCAACAAGAGCAAAACTCTGTCTCAAAAAAAAAAAAAAAAAAAAAAAGTTTATATAAAATTAAAAATTTAATTTTGTAGTCACACTAGCCACATTTTAAGCGCTCCATAGCTGCGTGTGACTGGTGGTACTGTGTTATGCAGTGGAGAGGACATTTCCATCATCACAGAAAGTTCTGTAGGACAGTAGTGCTCTAGATTTTTAATTGTTGCTTGATACTAGGAAAGTAAATGTCAGAAGCTTGGAATAGATATTTAATAAAAACCAAAAAACATGGAATTTATACTACCTCACTCCCAACAGCTTCAACTTTCTCAAAGTTAAATGTTATTTCTGTAAGATTGGCTTTATATTTAGTTTCGGGTCTTTTCAAAGGTCATTTTAATAGTAATATAGAACAGAATAAAGTAGCTTTACTAAGAACTATTTCTGTCAAACTGTAACAGTTTTATTAAGGTATAATTGATAGACAATAAATTTTGCTTATGTTAAGTGTAAAATTTAATAAGTTTTGACATGTTTACACCTCCGAAACCATCATTATTGATAATATAGCTCATCACCTGCAAAAGTTTGCTCATGCCCATTTTTAATCCTCCCCCTCATTCTTTTGCACCTTCTTTCCCTATTTTGAGACAGCCATTGATCTGCTTTGTGTTTTTACAAAAGTTTGCCTTTTGTAAAAGTTTATATAGATGAGAGTCATGCAATATATACCTTTGTTTTGGCCTGGCTTCTTTCATTCTGAATTATTTTGAGATCCACCCATTTTTCATGTACAAAGGGTTCATTATTTTCTGTTGTATGGCAGTATCACAGTTTTTTATCCATTAGCCTGTTGATGACATTTGGGTTGATTCCAGTTTGGGTTATTACAAATAAATTGGTATGAGCATTTGCATACAAGTCTTTGTATTGACATATGTTTTTGTTTCTCTTGAGTAAATACCTAGATGTGGAATAAACAGTATCTAGCTATTGCCTTGGATTGTATAGTAGGTTGTATGTTTAACCTTTTAGGAAACTGCCAAACTGTTTTCCCAAGTGGCTGTACCATTTTACATTCACCCCAGTAGAGTATGAGTGTTCCAGTAGCTCCATATTATTGCCAATTCTTGGTATAGCCAGGCTTTAAAATTTTATCTGAGTTATTTTAACAAGAAAAGACTATCGTGGTGGAAATAGTTCCCCCCATTTCCTATGTCTTATTTTTTAAATGCTGCAAAAATAATATTTTGTGTGTGAAGTTTAGATGGTCTCCTAATGATTTATTTATTCTTTTCTTATTTTCGACAGTCTTTGCTCACTTAAACCGATTTGAAACGCAGTTTATAAGAACCAATACGTTTTCTTCCTTTTCACTTACATATTTTTCTTTTTTTGTTCTAGCGGCCCCTTTGTTGCTTTATGCAAACAGACGGGACTTGCGATTGGTTGATGCTACAAATGGCAAAGAGAATGCTACGATTGTAGTTGGAGGCTTGGAGGATGCAGCTGCGGTGGACTTTGTGTTTAGTCATGGCTTGATATACTGGAGTGATGTCAGCGAAGAAGCCATTAAACGAACAGAATTTAACAAAACTGAGAGTGTGCAGAATGTTGTTGTTTCTGGATTATTGTCCCCCGATGGGCTGGCATGTGATTGGCTTGGAGAAAAATTGTACTGGACAGATTCTGAAACTAATCGGATTGAAGTTTCTAATTTAGATGGATCTTTACGAAAAGTTTTATTTTGGCAAGAGTTGGATCAACCCAGAGCTATTGCCTTAGATCCTTCAAGTGGGTAAGTTTTTGTACAGTGTACGAAGATCATCATACCTCCTTTCGGTTTTTCTCCACTGACATACACCACCCTGACCCCTATGAGAAAAGAAAGATCGAAAACAGGAATTTTAGATTCTTTGGGCTTCTTTGTTGAGTAGACTTGAATGTGGAAAGTTACGTTGTGTTATTATTATTTTTGACAGGGTTTTTGCTTTGTCACTCAGGCTGTAGTGCAGTGGTGCAATCAAAGCTCACTGCACTGTCAGCCTCCCAGGCTGAAGTGATCCTCCCATTTCAGCCTCCCAAGTAGCTGGGACTTTAGGTGTGCGCTACCACACCTGGCTAGCTAAAAAAAATTTTTTGTTAGCTGGGCGTAGTGGCGCACATCTGTAATCCTAGCTAGACGGGTGGCTGAGGCACGAAAATCACTTGAACCCAGGAGGCAGAGGTTGCAGTGAGCTGAGATCGCACCACTGCACTCCAGCCTGAGCAACAGAGTGAGACTTTGTCTCAAAAAAATTTTTTTTTGTAGAGACAGAATTTCACCGTGTTGCCCAGGCTGGTCTTGAACCCCTGGGCTTAAGTGATCAATCGCTCTGCCTTGGCCTCCCCAAGTGCTGGGATTACAGGTGTGAGCCACTGTGCCCAGTGTGTTGTGTTCTTAGTGTTTCTGTAAATCGTTTTGGGTTTCTAATAGCCATGTTTATATTTCTTGGGTTTTCTTCTGTATTTATTTTTTGTGATATCAGAAGATAATTTAAAGAGAGAGAAGAAGGAATGAAATGAGAAGTATTTGATAGCCCAAGATGAGATAGACTAATCTAGATCTTATACCTTTTATTATATACACAATGATACTGTGATACTAGTGTTTTTTTGTTACACTCTGAAGCGTTATTTAATGTCAGTATTGAATGAAAAATAAAAATTATTAAATAACTCATTTCTAGTTAGCTAAACATATATTTGCAATAAAGGTTTATTTTCTAATGAGAAGGAAAACTTAAAGCTCTGAGTAAATCTCATTTCAGAGTGTGAACTGTATCCTCACATTGCTTCTCTGTTACTATGTCTCATTTCTACTATTAGTATACACCATTTTGTGATATTTCTTTATTGAATAAATTGTCATGGCTAGTCTGTCATGGCTAAGTATAGATAACTATCTGAACATGAACCTAAAATGACTAATATTTGGTTAAAATCCAAAGATAAATAACCTGTACTATTTTAATACTTTGTTTTCTTTAGCTTTCAGTTGTATTAGAATGCTTTAAAACTCATTTCACTTATAGAAAGGAGTGAATTCTTTTTATGTAATAAATGAGAACTTGGGGAGAATGGAAGAAAGGTTTATATGTGCTTCTTTATCTTGATATCAGGCCTGGTTACAGAGGTTGAACAGGATGCCATGTTGTAGAAAAATGAGAAGACTGATTTGACTGTAAAGGATTATGTGGGCAGTAGTATAGGGAAATTTTAGAGGGAGATGTCTGGAAATACAAATATGTATTTTTTAGAGTGAAATTAAAACGTGTTTGTTGAAGCAAGATGGTGCTCTTAAAGCACCAGGAAATATTGTAGTGGCTCTGATCGTAGGAAAAACGATTGGATGTCCTGAGGAGGAGGTCTCAGATGTAACTGTAGTTATCAAAGAATTTGGTTGTTGAGAACTTTATAGATATTTTTGAGAAACGGAGTTTGTGTTTTGCTAACAGAGTTTGTAAGGCTCAGAGGGTGTTGAAATGTTTCTGAGGTTACTGCTTTGTAGAACACATAGGATTTTGGTGCTTGTAGTCGTCATTAGGGAAGAATACCGTGGTGAAAAGATAAAGTTCTTTTTTCCCCTCTTCTTGACAAGTTCAATTTTACCACTGTAAGGGTGATGATTGAAATTTAATGAAATATCTGTTAAATGGTTATTATGTTCAGAGTTCTGCATTTTGTACTCTGGTTGGAGAGAGGGGGTTTGGTTTATCTTTACTGTTTAAGGACAGAAAACTTGGGAGAGACAACTTTTTCTTCTTCAAAGCATGTTTATTTGCATTATGTAACATGAATGTGAAGAGAGGAAGAGTGTTAAAATAATTAGAAGGGGCACAAGAGCTGTTATGAGCTTCATTACCAAATTTTGGAATGGGATCTTGATCATTTCTATAAGAGATTAATGATTACCTGATAGTACATTATTAAAGGGAACTGAATGTATATAGTTCCTCTTGACTCTTCAGGATCTAACAGTTCAGTGAGTAAATTAATCATTTTCATTTTGTTCCCCAAAACTAATGAGCTTTACTTCTGGGTAGCAGGTCTGATAAGTATCTTCTGAAGTAATTTCGCCATTTGATTAAAAAATACTTTAGAGTTTCTGTGGCTTTAATTTATCCTTGTTATTTCTCATTATTGAATGTGAGAATTCACCAAAGACTTAGCTGATAAAAAAGATTATTGGAAGAATCAGTAGCAATTTACTTTGAAGGTAGAAGGTAGTGTTATTTAGCTTCTGAAGGTGGTTCAGTGAAGAATAACTCTTTCTGTGGACTAAAGGCTTGGTCAAACACCCAGTGAAATATTTTGTATTATTTTTGATGTGTGTGGTTAATGTGGGAGGCAGAGGAGGGGAGAGTAGGGGAGAGAGAGCGGGTAAATTCAACCCCCCTCCCCAGCTTTAACAGTCCTCTCAAAATTTCTTTTAATTTTGAGAAGTCATTTTGTGTCATGGTTATTTTAAAAACGACTCAACTGGAAACAAATAGAATCTGGTCAAATGGTATATATACATTTGATATATGTACAAATGATGGAGCGTATTTAAAATTATATTTTAAACTCCTACACTGAAAAATATATTCATCAGATGATCTTTCAGTGTTAATGATCTTAGATTTGTATCGTGGATTGTGGTTTTAGTTGAAAAGTAATTATAGGTAGAGTACATCATTTGTCAAACAGAAGAGATGATTTCCAGATTTATTTTTTGGGGGAAATACGAAGTTTGAGTTCCAGACAAAGTACATGAAAACAGTGCTGAGGAAAAATGTAGACTTTTCAGAGTTCCAGGATCCTGGATTATGAGGTTCACAAGAGCTGATTGAGCTCTCTCATAGCAACTTACGTAAAGGGAAAGCTATTGAATGACTGGTATTGTTTGAGCCCTGGGAACTAGTGCAGACATCTGTGTGCTTTCGGATGTATGGAGTTCTTTGTGTAATCAGTCCATTTAGCCTAGACTGAAGGAAGATTTTTATTCCTCTCTCTAAATTTGGCCTCTATTATATTAGTCTGAGATTTTTTTTTCCTTATGATAATGACTAGCAGTATACAGTTCAGACTAAGCAACGGGAAGATGTGTGTATGAAATTGTTAGAGAAATGAACAACCAGAGTTACAGTAAACAGTTGTCTTATGTTACAGTGAGTAGAGGTGATTCCTATGTGGCTGCTCCTAATGCTGGAGCCCCTCAGTCTGATTCCACAGTTACCATGCTAAGCAACCGTACTAATCTTGGTGATGTTGAGGACCTGTGTCAAGTTTAAGGGTGTTTTGTTTGTTTGTTTAGGATCCTTTCATATTCCAAATCATTTTAGATTTTTTTTATAAAGTTAAACTTTAATGATTCAATTTGAAGTGAATTTATATTAAACAGCTTTGAATGATATTTATATTTTAAAAGTATGTATTTTTATTTATTATTTATTTATTTATTTTTGAGATGGAGTCTCACTCTGTTGCCCAGGCTGGAGTGCAGTGGCGCGATCTTGGCTCACTGCAAGCTCCGCCTCCTGGGTTCACACCATTTTCCTGCCTCAGCCTCCCGAGTAGCTGGGACTACGGGCACCTGCCACTTTGCCTAGCTAATTTTTTGTATTTTTAGTAGAGACGGGTTTTGCCATGTTAGCCAGGATGGTCTCGATCTCCTGACCTCATGATCTGCCCGCCTCGGCCTCCCAAAGTGCTGGCATTACAGGCGTGAGCCACTGTGCCCGGCCATAAAAAGATTCTTTTTGTATGGAAAGTGGAAAATGTAGCCAGTTACATTTAGGCAGATTATATAGATTCACATATGTTTGGAGATGAGGTTTTTTGAGATCATTATCTAAAAAATAAGAGTGATGTGTTAGAAGAACCACTGATCTTTTCGGGAAATCTGGATTATGGGTTTAGCTTGAATGGCATATGAATCAGGGTCTTGGAAATTAAGAAACAACAAACTCGTGGTGTGTGTCTCTTTGTGTGTGTGTGTGTACATGTGTTCTCAAATGTTAATGTAGGGTTTTTTTTTTTTTAATATCTTAACTCTCATCCAGTTTTAGTTTCTTCATATCAAGTAATATCCATCACCGTGTCTCAAATTAATAAGTTTCAATTGTATTGTCTACTTTTTTATGCTCCATATCTCCTAGCATTTATTGAAGGAATTTTGAAGGGGAGTAGTTGTAGTATAACTGAATGCCTTTACATAACACAGTATTTTAATAGCTTTGCTTTTTAATAAAAGCTTTCTTTGCTTGTAACATTGAGCTTTTCATTCATCCTTAGTAGAAGATTGAAACTTGGTGATTATAAAGAAAAGGATACCTTCCTCTGTATGGCTGGAGATGAAAAAAAAAAAAGAAAAAGAATAGGGTACCTTTATGAGTATAGGCTGCCTGCACTTGGGGATTTTGTCTACCTTCGATGTATTCCAGAGTTGATGACTCTTCAGAAATTACAATGAATCTTTAAGATTTTGGAAGGAGGGGTTTGTCAGCTAATTTGTGAACTAGGAATAAAATATGACTGTTTTTATTTTTGTAACAATTGATATTGATACTATATTTCTTTTAGAAATTTTCACTTAAGCTTATTGAGTTTTGTACTGTTTCCATTGTCCTACCACTTGGACCGTGCCTTTCCTTCCTCCATCAGCTCTTTAAAAATGGAACAGTTTAAAAGTGCATTATTTTCTTTGTTCTTTTTCTGAGATCATATCCGTTTCCAGTTGGCTTTTGCATAGAAGCAGATAGCCAATTATTTAAAATCTAAAGCTTTAGACTGGATCTTGCTTTAAAGCACTGTCCCTGTGTATGAAGGATCTTGGTGTAAACAACTTACAGTTTTGAAGGATGTTCTGTTAAATTGGGAAGGTCTGTTTTCTATCCCTTGAATCCTAGAACTGGAAGGGAATCTTAAGGATCCTCTAGCTAAATGCCTTCCTTCCCTTCTTTGGGTGAAGAAACCAAGGCCTTTGACCAAGATAAATGAGAGGGAGCTATATTCTTAGTTGAAATTTTTGAATTCCGTGTTTGGTGCTTTTTTTCTTTGTGAAAGGTATCTTACTGAAGCCATTGTTTTTTGTTTTTTGTGTTTTTTTTACGAGTTGAATTACTTTAAAAAATTGAACATGGTAGCTTTGTTTAAAGGACCTTTTAAAATAAGTTTCATGTTTTTAGGTTTACTCAGTGTAGCAATTTCTTATTTTACCATTGCTTTTTGCATCCCAGTTAATCCATTTGGATTCAGCTTCCTTTTGTTTGAAGTATGCCCTTCAGTGTTTCTTTCAATAAGCGTCTGTTAATAGTAACTCTTGGTCTTTGTCTAAAAATGTATTTATTTTGCCCTCATTCTTGAAATGATAATTAGTTGAGTATAGAATTCTACGTGATTAGTTATTTTCACTCAGACCTTTGAGGGTGTATGGCTTTAATTGTTGGTACGATTAAGTCTGTATTGCATTGTAATTTATCATTTATCTTTTTTAATATTTTTGTGGTTTTTAAAAGCTTCTCTTGATTTTTGGTATTTTGCAGCTTTGTCTACCCTGTGTCTAGATGTGGATATATTTTTATTTATCCTGGTTAGGATTCATATTTCTAGAATCTAAGCATTTTTGTCGTTTGTTAATTCTAGAGAATTCTTATCCTTTTTTTTCTTAATTTTCCTTCGTTCTCCTTAGTCTCCTTTGGAACTCTTGTTTGATATGTGTTCCTTTCTAATTCCCTGTTCCTTTCCTCTTAATTTTGCTCTTTTATCTTCTCTCTCATTATTTCTCTGAGCCACTTTCTGTTTTTTTTTTTCTTTTGTACCTGCCATCTAGATACAAAATTCTTTCTTCAGCTGTGCCTAACTTTGCAGTTTAACATGTTAATTGAGGTTTTAATATCAGTGACTATATTTTAATTTTTTTAGAAGTTCCTTGTGCCCCCTTATGAAGAAATTTCAGCTACATAAAAGTAGAGAAAACAGTATATCAGTAATTTTAGACTTGGAAAAAAAGTTGCAAAAATTGTACATAGCTCTAGTGTAACTTTCACCCAGCTTCCCTAAATATTGACATTTTGTATAACCATAGAACAGTTATCTAACCAGGAATTAATGTTGATAGAATACTGTTAACTAATCTGTAGACCATATTTGAATTTCTCCGTTTTCCCCATTAGTCCTTTCTCTGGTCCAGGATACCATTTTGCATTTAGTTATCTCCTCGGCCTTTTCTAATCTGAGATGTTTTGGTAGTCTTTCTTTGTTGTTCATAACCTGGACATTTTTGAAGATTATTGGCCAGTCATTTGTAGAACGTTCCTCAGTTTGGCTCTATTTGCTGTTTCTCATGATTTGATTAAAGTTATACATTTTTGGCAAGAATACCACAGAAGTGGTATTATGCCCTTCTCAGGGCATCCTGTCAGCAGGCACATTATGTGGATACTAGGTGATGTTACAGTTGATCACTTGGCTATGGTTTTGTCTGCTAGTTTTTTTTTCACTGTAGTTACTGTTTTTTCCCTTGCAATATATATTTGAGGCTGTGCAATTATCCTGTTTCTCATCATACTTTTATCCACAAATTTTAGCATTCCTTGATGGTTTTTGCCTGTGTTAATTATTACTGTGATGTTTGCTGTTTGCCAAATAGCGATTTTTCTAGTTCCATTATTCCTTCTGTGTGCATTATTAGCTTTCTACCTTAACGTAGAGCTGTCCTGTCTCTCTCATTTATTTATTCAGTTATTTATATTAGTGTGATATTGTGAAAATATATTTGGTCTCAGTCCCCTGGTTCTTGGCACAGAGCTTCTAAAACCCTTGTAATTTCCTGAGCAGTAGGGTTGCTAGGTGCATCTTTTGTTCTAATATTTGGTCTTTGATTCCAGTGCCTGACATGGAACTCCTAATCCCTTGGAATTTCCTGGGTGATAGGAACATCTTTTGTTCTAATGAGGCAACTCTTGATAGGCTTCTGGATGGGGGCTGGTCACCAGAAAGACCAAGCCATGATTAGAAGCTTGGAACTTTCAGCTCCACTTCACATCCTTGGGCAGGGGAGAGGGACTGGAGATAGAGCTAATAATCAGTCATACCTATATAAAAAGCCTCAAAAAAAAAATCCCTGAATTATGGGGGTTTGGAGAGCTTCTGGGTTGGTGAACACATCCATTTTCATGTTTCATTAGGATGGAATCACCTGTGCTCGTGACCCTTCTGGATCTCTCCCTATGTATCTTTTCCATGTGGTTGTTCATCTGTATCCTTTGTAATATCCTTTATAATAAACTGATAAATATAAATAAAGTGTTTCCCGGAGTTCTGTGAGCTACTTTAGCAAATGATTGAACCTGAGGAGGGGATTGTGGGAACATCCAGTTTATAGCTGGCCAGTCAGAAGCACGGGTGCCTGCAGTGTTGGAGGCAGTCTTTTAGGACCGAGCCCGTTACTGGGATCTGATGCTGTCTTCACATAGATAGTGTCAGAATTGAACTGGCTTGTAGGACACCCAGCTGGTGTTGTAGAATTGCTTGGTGTGGGGAACCCCCCCGTCACCCCGCCCAGCGATCTGGTGTCAGAAATGTTCTGTTATGTTGACCCTGTGAGAGAAGGAAATGTGTTTTTCTGATACAATTAGTATGGATTCATGGGCATTTATTTTATCCTGTAGGTTGTAATCCAAAACTGTCATGATTTTCTTGCTCAAATTGTTGCAGATTTGACCACTGGGAGCTCTTTCAAGTTGGTTCCTGAGTCATTTGTACATGCCCTCATTGTTTGTTTGTTTATTTATTTATTTATTTATTTTGAGACGGAGTTTTGCTCTGTCGCCCAGGCTGGAGTGCAGTGGCGCCATCTTGGCTCACTGCAAGCTCCGCCTCCTGGGTTCACGCCATTCTCCTGCCTCAGCCTCCCGAGTGACTGGGACTACAGGCACCCGCCACCACGCCTGGCTAATTCTTTGCATTTTTCAGTAGAGACGGGGTTTCACACCTGTTAGCCCGGATGGTCTCGATCTCCTGACCTGGTGATCCGCCCGCCTCGGCCTCCCAAAGTGCTGGGATTACAGGCGTGAGCCACCGCGTCCAGCCGCCCTCATTGTTTTTTAAGTACTTATTTACTTTCTGGCGACTCCAGGCAGTCCAGACTCATTGTGTCCTTTTTCTGTTCCACTCCTTGAATCAACTATTTCTCCAAGGAGTTCTGGCTCCTTTTATTAGAGAATGGTATTTAGAAATGAAGATGTGGAAACTAGGTATGCTCTTTGCTACTGGATTTTCTTTTTTCTTTTTCTTTTTTTTTTTGAGCCGGAGTTTTGTCCTTGTTGCCCAGGCTGGAGTGCAATGGCGCGATCTCGGCTCACTGCAACCTCCACCTCCCGGGTTCAAGTGATTCTCCTGCTTCAGCCTCCCGAGTAGCTGGGATTACAGGCATGCGCCACTATGCCTGGCTAATTTTGTTTTTTTAGTAGAGACGGGGTTTCTGCATGTTGGTCAGGCTGGTCTCGAACTCCCAACCTCAGGTGATCCGCCTGCTTTGGCCTCCCAAAGTGCGTGAGATTACAGGCGTGAGCCACTGCTCCCGGCTGTATTTTCTTTTATTGTATTTAGTTTAGTACCTCTCAGTGGACAGAGTTAGGAAATATATGATGTATGTAGACACACATACCCCTAGTTCTGTGTCTTTGCTATACGTAAAAACAAATTCATGTTATCGCCAATTCCAGTCTACTACCACAAAATTATCATTGTAGTCTTCTCCCTTTTCTTACTTGGGATATTTACTTCTATTCTGTGATAGTGAGAAACCTGGCTCTCATTATCATGATAGATTTTCTTATTTGCCCATCTTAGTGTACACATTAAGGGAGTTTTAAAATCATTAGCCTATACCACCATTGTGAGAAACGAATTTACTTTGGTGTTATGTGAAACAATTGACATGTTCCTAACAGTAAAAAATAATACAAAAATTTATACTCAGGAAAGTGTTCTTCTTCCCCATCCCTTCTATCCTAGTCCCATCTCCTACCCCCTTTTTTCCAGTCTTTCCCCACCCTTCTCTATAGGTATCTTAGTCTTAATAATTTCTGCTTTTTTCTTGTGAATTTGTTTATGTACAAATGAGTTGATACGTGTGTATATTCTTTTTTTTTCTTTTATTATATCTCCGTTCTCAGAATGTGAATGTGTATATTCTTTTTTTTTTTGAGACGTAGTCTCTCTCTGTCGCCCAGAGTGCAGTGGCACCATCTTGGCTCATTGCAACCTCTGCATCCTGGGTTCAAGCGATTCTCCTGCCTCAGCCTCCTGAGTAGCTGGATTAACAGATGTGCGCCACCACACCCGGCTAATTTTTGTATTTTTAGTAGAGGCGGGGTTTCACCATGTTGGTCAGGCTGGTCTCAAACTCCTGACCTCGTGATTCACCCACCTCAGCCTCTCAGAGTGCTGGAATTACAGGCATGAGCCACTGTGCCCAGCCGTGAATGTGTATATTCTTATAATCTTCTTTTCTTACATGAAAGAGTAACATACAGTAGATGCTCTTTTGCATGTTCTTTTTAAACTTAACTTTTTTTTTTTGAGACGGAGTCTCACTCTGTCGCCCAGGCTGGAGTGTAGTGGCACGATCTGGGCTCACTGCAACCTCCGCCTTCCGGGTCCAAGTGATTCTTTGGCCTCAGCCTCTCAAGTAGCTGGGACTACAGGCATGTGCCATCATGCCTTGCTAATTTTTTTTTTTTTGAGATGGAGTTTCGCTCTTGTTGCCCACGCTAAAGTGTAATGGTGCGATCTTGGCTCACGGCAACCTCCGCCTCCTGGGTTAAAGCAATT
The DNA here is from genome assembly GCF_000001405.40 of Homo sapiens. NCBI lineage: Eukaryota > Metazoa > Chordata > Mammalia > Primates > Hominidae > Homo > Homo sapiens. The sequence continues at coordinate 12,234,197 of NC_000012.12, read as the reverse complement.
CTCCTTCCTCAGCCTCCCGAGTAGCTGGGACTACATGCATTCACCACCACGTCTGGCTAATTTTGTATTTTTAGTAGAGACGGAGTTTCTCCATGTTGGTCAGGCTGGTCTCAAACTCCTGACCTTGTGATCCGCCTGCCTCGGCCTCCCAAAGTGCCGGAATTACAGGCATGAGCCACCGTGCCCGGCCAAAACTTAACATTTTGAATGTCATTCCATATCATTTCATAGAGATCTTCCTCATTGTTTTTTGCCAGTGCATAGTATACCATTGTGTGAGTGTACCATAGTTTATTCAACTACTCTCTATGTGTAGGCTTTTAGGCTGGTTTTTTTTTTAATTAGCTGAGATATTTTAAAGCAGATTCACACATCGATATCTCACTTGTAAATACTTTATTTTCCATCTCTAAAAAATATTTTTTCTAGAATCATAATGCCACTGTCTTTCACACAACTTGCGATGAACAATTCTTTAATGTTATAAATTAGTCTGTTCATACTCAGATATCTGTGTCTCAGAAATGTTGCTTTATAGTTGGTTGTTTGAAATCAGAGTCCAAACATTTGGTTTACAAGTTGTATGTGGTTTTTCTAGAGCAGTTCAGTTGGTCCTCCCCCTTTCCCTTTTTATCTCTCACCTTGTTGACTTAATTGAAAAGACTGGGTCAGCTGTCCTATAGAATATCCCAGATTTTTTATTTTCATTCATTCATTCATTTATTTTTTTGAGATGGAGTCTGACTCTGTTGCCCAGGCTGGAGTGCAGTGGCATGATCTTGGCTCACTGCAACCTCCGCCTCCCGGGTTCACGCCATTCTCCTGTCTCAGCCTCTTGAGTAGCTGGGACTATAAGCACCCACCACCATGCCCGGCTAATTTTTTTGTATTTTTAGTAGAGGCGGGGTTTCAGCGCATTAGCCAGGATGGTCTCGATCTCCTGACCTTGTGATCCACCCACCTTGGCTTCCCAAAGTGCTGGGATTACAAGCATGAGCCACCGCGCCCAGACAATTTTTTTTTCTAACAAATTATTGTGGTATTTGACTTATTTTTATCCCCCTGTGTTACTTGGAAAGAAAGATTTGAAGACTTGATTAGAGACAGATTTAACATTTTGACATGAATGCCTCATAGGTAGTACTGAGTACTTTGTATTTGTCACATCAGAAGTTGTCCTATATTGTAGTGTTGCTAAGATTATTCAGTAGGTTCAGATGGTCAGATTTTCTGAGCAGTTGGGATGTTAGGTGCATCTTTTGTTATAATATTTGGTTTTTGACTCTAGTGCCTGAAAGTTACTATCTTTATTTGTAAGTTGAGCCCTTTCCTCTTGTGTCCTTAAGTTATTTGTGGGATGATCCTTTTGTATTTTGCCAAATACCTAGTTCCTTATTAACCACTCATCTATTGATTATTTTAGCATGCACTGAGGATTGCTTCTTGTATTTTCTTATTAGAGATATGTTATTGTTTGATGATGTCTTTTCTTGTGTCATATATTTTATTCCATCTTTTATGTGTTTTCATCATTTAAATATTTATAATCTCTATCAAGTTGTTCAGTTTTCTGAAGTTCTTAAAAATCTACTTCTGTTTTTTTTTTTTTTTGCACCTGCTGGATTCTTGCTTAAGGTTAAATGTTTCCTCGAGTGTTTTATATAGTTTTGGACTGTGAACAGATCTTCAGAGAGGCTGTCCTTGAGAATTCTGAATGACTTGGGGGCATATTCCTCCAGAGAGATTTTGGGTTGCTTTTGCCAAGTTCACTGGAAGTGTTTCCAGTGACCACTTAAATTTTTTTTTTTTTTTTTGAGACAGCGTCTCACTCTGTCGCCCAGGCTGGAGTGCAGTGGTACGATCTCGGCTCACTGCAGGCTCTGCCTCCTGGGTTCTCGACACTCTTCTGCCTCAGCCTCCCAATAACCTGGGACTACAGGCACCCGCCACCATGCCCGGCTAATTTTTTGTATTTTTTAGTAGAGACAGGGTTTCACCATGTTAGCCAGGATGGTCTTGATCTCCTGACCTCGTGATCTGCCCACCTTGGTCTCCTAAAGTGCTGGGATTACAGTCGTGAGCCACCGTGCCCAGCCGACCACTTAACTATTTAAAGTATAATTTATATACAGTAAATTGCACAGATCTCAAGTGTGAAGTTTGAGTTTTGTTTTTGTTTTTGTTTTTGTTTTTTTTTTTGAGGCAGGGTCTCGCTTCGTCAGTGGCGCAGTCTCAGCTCACTGCAACCTTTGCCTCCCAAGCTCAAGCAATCCTCCCATCTTAGCCTCCTAAGTAGCTAGGACTGTAGGTGTGTGCCACCACATCCGGCTAATTTTCATATCTTTTGTAGAGATGGGGTTTCACCATGTTGCTCAGGATGGACTTGAATTCCTGGGCTCAAGTGATCTGCCCATCTCAGCCTCCCAAAGTGTTGGGCTTACAGGCATGAGCCACTGCGCTGCTCAGCATGAGTTTTTTTTGTTGTTGTTTAAACAAAAACAAAACAAAAAAAAAACCGTTTCCTGGGCTGATCTAAAAACTTCTGGGACTACAGGCATGAGCCACTGTGCCCGGCTTAGTTTGAGTTTTGGTAAATGAGTTATCAAATGTTATCATTGCCTTATTCAAGCAGAAGTCATTTTTTATATTTAATTTTTGAAGTTGGGAGTTTCTGTACTATGTGGATAGAATAAATCAAACTCTAAACCTATGTAGGGGCAGTCTTATGATTATGAAATCTTTGGTGATCTTTCCTACCTTTTCAGAGCCTAGGGCAAGACAAAAAAGGCTTCCTGTGTCCCTCTGCCAGTGGGCAGATCTTTCTACTTCATTGTTCTTTGAGAGTCCATGCTTTGTGCAGGAATCTTACTTCTAACACTGTGTCTTGTGTGCCAAGATCTTCTCTGGCTTGTCATTGGAACAGAAGTTTCTCAGTTTCTGAAATCAGAAAATCCAGGGTCGTCATAGCATCAGGTCAAACATGTACTGCTTTTTTTTTTTTTTTTTTTTTTTTTTTTGAGATGGAGTCTTGCTCTGTCATCCAGGCTAGAGTGTAGTGTCACGATCTCGGCTTGCTGCAACCTCCGCCACCCAGGTTCAAGCCATTCTCCTGCCTCAGCCTCCCAAGTAGCTGGGATTACAGGCGCCTGCCATCACACCCGGCTAATTTTTGTATTTTTAGTAGAGACGGGGTTTTACCATATTGGCCAGGCTGGTCGCGAACTCCTGACCTTGTGATCTGCCCACCTTGGCTTCCCAAAGTGCTGGGATTACAGGCGTGAGCCACTGCGCCTGGCCATGTACTGCTTTTTACTTTCCTGTTCATTTTTGGTCTCAGGAGATTTCTCCTACTTTCTTGATAAGTTCTACATTTAAAGGGGTGTTTGTATATTTTATTTTGTGTATATGTACAAATCAAATAAAAAGATTCACCAGTAGTTCTAGATGTTTTGTAAAAGAAGTATTTTCTGGTTGTCTTTTTACCATATTACCAGAATAGAAACTCTGACTTACATGTTTTAAAATATTGTCTATTCTTTCATGTACCATGTGCATGATAGTTGAGGATTATTCATACTTGCTAATATGTATATTAATGACTTATTTTAATTATGGATAGGATTATATAAGTAACTTCAAGGATCATGACATGATTTATGATCTAGTATAGATCTGGGTCACTTAGTTTTTATAGCTCAAGTCTCAATGTCTTAATTAGTCACCTGTGTATGTAATTACATCTTGTAAAGGGTGAAATTTCATCCCTTTAGTCTAGATTTATTGAAACTGAACATTTTCATTATGGGAAGCCGAATTCAGATTGAGTATACTTACCAAATTAGGGCTTGTGAATATTTTGGAAGATTTGTTGTTTTATCCTTACCTAATCAAATAAATTAAATGCTTTGGATTGTAATAAAAATGTATAAAGTAAATTTGTATAAAATGGCTTGTGTGTCTAGTCTTATTATCAGTTTGAGATATTTTTATTTTCCTGGCATAAGAAATTGTGACATCTTGAAAACTTAATATATGTTTACTTGCTTTACTTCCCTCCCAGTTAAAATGAAGCTCATCTTCTACCTTTCACTCCATTTAAAAATTATTTTCCAGAAAGCATTACAAATGAATATGAGACCAGACACAGCAATAAAATTACATTTGTGTGGACGCTAATGAACAGCATATAACAGCCTGGTCCTGGTTTTCATGATTTTTGGATGAATAGCAGATGTGTATACTATTGCAAAGTGGAGCTGTGACCACATATATTTATTTAATCATTATCAAGTACATATGTTCATTCTCTCTTAATTCAAAGCCAAAATAAAGCTAATTGAGGCCAAAATAAATTAGAGGCCAAATAGATTACATAACCAGAGTTAGTAAAGATTACTGCTGAAGTGAGATTTCTTCTATATAAGCCTGTAGCCTAGCTTTTGAGAAGCCAAGGGAGATATTTATCACACACTTTCTGTTTCCCAAAGCATACTAAAATTGGCTTTAAAATATGTTGCTGATAAAAGCCCTTGCAGAATATATTACACAACTAGTTGAATTAAGCAACTTCATTGTTAAGTGCTTTTATGTGTCTACAGGTTTCTAAGGTAGATTCTAAGGTAGATTAAATACAAAAACAAAACAACCAAACCTGCTCCTTAATATTTGCACACCAATTATTATTTATTTTTTGAAAGAGTCTAAAATAAAATGAAGTAGTCAAGGAGTTTATGTCACAGTTTAATTTTTAAATGGCTGAGTTAAGGGAGAGATTTTCAAGTCTCAGTGTGAGATATTCTTCTTCTTCTTCTTTTTTTTTTTTTTTTTGAAATGGAGTTTCACTTCTTTTGCCCAGGCTGGAGTGCAATGGCATGATCTCGGCTCACAGCAACCTCCGCCTTGCGGGTTCAAGCGATTCTCCTGCCTCAGCCTCCCAAGTAGCTGGGATTACAGGCATGTGCCACCATGCCAGGCTAATTTTGTGTTTTTAGTAGAGATGGGGATTCTCCATGTTGGTCAGGCTGGTCTCGAACTCCCAACCTCAGGTGATCCACCTGCCTTGGCCTCCCAAAGTGCTGGGATTACAGGTGTGAACCGTTGTGCCGGGCCGATATTCTTCATTTTCCTCATAATAGAAAATGTTTGTGTCATATCCTAGCAGATCTTGAGAATGTTTTTTTCCCTCAGGACTTTTCCTGCATCACATCCCTGTACCATGTCCTCTGAGCAGGCCTCAGTAGCTACCACTCCTCTTGGGTTAGCTTCAGTGCTGCATCCTTGAATGCAATGAATGCCTCTTTCCTAGCTCGCTGGGGCCTATTGCCATTTTCTGCTTTCCCTAGAGCAGTGGTCCCTAAACTTTTTGGCACCAGGGACTGGTTCTGTGGAAGACAGTTTTTCCACAGGCACTGGGCAGTAGCGGGGTGGGTGGGATGGTTTCTGGATGAAACTGTGCCACCTCAGATCAGGCATTAGATGCACAAATGGAGGTGTGCAACCTAGATCTGTTGCATGCGCTGTTCACAATAAGGTTCGCACTCCTGAGACTAATGCTGCCACTGATGTGACAGGAGGCAGAGCTCAGGCAGTAATGCTCGCTTGCCTGCTGCTCACCTGCTGTGCGGCCAGTTCCTAGCAGGCCACTGACTGCTACTGGTCCACAGCCTGGGGCTTGAGGACCCCTGCACTAGAGAAGGGCACAGTCTCATAAAGCAGATCCTGAGACTAAAGACTCATTCTGCTGCTGGGTCACTGCATAAACTGAAGACATCTACTTGTTACCTTTTAGGCATAGCATTTATCTCTTCCTGTTAGGTTCTCTTTCTTTTTTTTTTGAGATGGAGCCTCGCTGTGTCACCTAGGCTGTTGTGCAGTGGTGTGATCTGGGCTCACCGCAACCTCCGCCTCCCGGGTTCAAGCGATTATCATGCCTCCAGCCTCCCCAGTAGCTGGGACTACAGGCGTGCATCAGCTAATTTTTGTATTTTTAGTAGAAACGGGGGTTTCACCATGTTGGCCAGGCTGGTCCTGAGCTCCCGACCTCAGGTGATCCCCCTGCCTTGGCCTCCCAAATGGCTGGGATTACAGGTGTGAGCCACTGCACCTGGCCAGGCTCTCTTTCTTAATCCTTACCTTGGATACATAATTTAGCTACTCTCGGGGAAATGTGCCAAATGAGGATTTGGTACCAGTCTTATTGACCACTGACCACTAAAAATGAGTGCCAAGCTTTACAGAACAGCAAACTGAAGCAGAAAGGGCTCCCCTCTTGCCTTTTGTTTGTTTTTTAAATAAAAGACCATTTTTTAGAACAGTTTTGGACTTACAACAGAATTGGCTGAAACAAAATACTCCTAATTTCTCCCTTCCATCCCCTGTATTGTTGCCATCATTCATTTCACTTATATATAAGCTAAAATCATTGACTACACTGTGCTGTTACTATTTTGAACAAACTGTTACCTGTTAGCTCAATTAAGAATAAGAAAAGGCCAGGTGTGGTGACTTAAGTCTGTAATCTCAGCACTTTGGGAGGCCAAGGCGGGTGGCTCACCTGAGGTCAGGAGTTCGAGACCAGCCTGGCCAACATGGTGAAACCCCGTCTCTACCAAAAATACAAAAAATTAGCCTGGCATGGTGGTGCGTGCCTGTAATCCCAGCTACTCGGGAGACTGAGGCAGGAAAATCGCTTGAACCTGGGAGGTGGAGGTTGCAGTGAGGCGAGATTGCGCTGTTGCACCCCAGCCTGGGCAACAAGAGTAAAACTCTGTGTCAAAAAAAAAAAAAAAGGAAAAGAAAGTTTTTATTTTACCTTCACTTATTCCTTCTCTAATGCCGTTACTTTCTTTTTGTAGATCTATTTTTGACCTATATTATTTTTCTTCCTTCTGAAGAACTACTTTTAACATTTCTTAAAACGCAGGTCTACTGGTAACAAATCCCTCAATTTTTGTTGGTCTTGAGAAAGTCTTTAGTTCTCCTTCACTTTTTAAGGATAATTTTGCAGGGTAGAGAATTCCAGGCTAGCAGTTTTTTCTTTGTTTTTCCTTTCTCTTGAATTTTAAAATATTTCGCTCTATTCTCTATTTGCTTGTATGGTTTATGAGGATAAGTTGGATGTAATCCTGCTCTTCTACAAGTAAGGTGTTTTTTCTTGCTTAAGATTTATTTATTTTTTTCATTTTCTGCAGTTTGAATATGATATGCCAAGGTGTTAGGTGGTGGTTGGTTTTGTTTTGCCTTTTCCCGCTTGTTCTCTGAGCTGACTGGATCTGTGGTTTGCTGTCTGACATTAGTTTGTGTGGAATTCTGTCATTACGGCTTCAAATATTTTCTCTTTCTGTATTCTCATTATGTGTATGTTGTACCTTTTGTATAATAATTGTCCCACAGTTCTTATTGTTTTTAAAAATATATATTATAAAAATACTAACGCTTCACGAATTTGCATGTCATCCTTGTGCAGGGGCCATGCTGATCTGTGAATTGTTCCAGTGTTAGTATATGTGCTGCTGAACTGAACGCAGTTCTTAGATATTCTGTTCCCTTTTTTTCAGTCTTTTTAAAAAATCTGCTTTTCAGCTTTGGAAGTTTCTATTGACATATTCCCAAGCTCAGATTCCTCAACCATGAACAGTATACTAATAAACCCATCAAAGGCATTCTTCATTTATGTTATAGTGTTTTTGGTCTCCAGCATTTCTCTTTGATTTTTCCCCTTGCTTACATTATCAGTCTATTCTTCCATGTTGTCTGTTTTTTCCCGTTAGCATCCTTAGCATATGAATCATAGTTGCTTTAAATTCTTGTCTGTTTATTGCAATATTCTTGCCATATTTCAATCTGGTTATGGTACTTGCTCTGTCTCTTCAAACTGCTTTTTTGTCTTTTAGTATGCCTTGTAATTTTTTGTTGAAAGCTGGATATGATATATCAGATAAAAGGAATTGTGATATATAGGCCTTTTGTAATGTGATGGTAAGCTGTGGGGAGAGAAAAAATAGTCTATAGTTCAATGACTATATTTCAGTTGTTTAGTCAGCCATTGCCCTGGGCTGTGAGCTTCACAAGTGCTTCTCAGTTCTTTTCATCCCCTTAGGTGGGACAGAATGGTTAGAGGAGGCTGGAGTTAAGTATTTCTCTTCTTCTGTGTAGACGGGGAGAGGGAGGTGGAGCTGGATATTTTCCTTCCCCCAGGTTGGTTAGGCTGTAGTAAGATGGATTTTCTTGAGGGCAGACCTTACCAGTACTATAGCTTTACAAGAACTCTCCTTGCACAGGCAGCAGTGGGTATTTTTCTCAGGTCTCTCTCTTTTTTTTTTTTTTTGAGACACAGTCTTTCTCTGTCGCCTAGGTTAGAGTGCAATGGTGTGATCTCGGCTCAGTGCAACCTCTGCCTCCCGGGTTCAAGCGATTCTCCTGCTTCTGCCTCCTGAGTAGCTGGGATTACAGGTGTCCTCCACCATGCCCAGCTAATTTTTGTATTTTTAGTAGCGATGGGGTTTTACTATGTTGGTCCAGCTGGTCTCAAACTCCTGACCTCAAGTGATCCACCTGCCTCGGCCTCTCAAAGTGCTGGGATTACAGGAGTGAGCCACCACACTGGCTTGGATCTTTACTGTGAGAACCTGGTAGAGCTCCTGGAGGTAAAACCAAAAAAAGTGTCCCTAGAGTTTTTAACTTTCAGATTTGTCTATACTAAGCCTCCAGCAAGTCATCAATCGCAATTTAGGTTTTCCTACTCGGGTGCTGGCTCCTGTAGAGAGGTTTTTGTCTGTGGATTTCTGCTTTGATAAATTATGATCCTTTGTTATCACCTTGTCTGTCTATCCAATTGTGGGGGCAGTGGTTTGCCCTGTGACCTTACTTCTCTGGTGGATCTAAGAAGAGTTGTTGATCTTTGTTGTTGTTGTTGTTTAGCTTTTTACTCACTATTAGGATAGAGTAACGATTTCCAAGCTTCTTCCCCACTGCGTCCACCCCGGCCAGGTGGAGTCTCGCTTTGTCGCCCAGGCTGGAGTGCAGTGGCGTGATTTTGGCTCACTGCATCCTCCCATCCTCCACCCACTGGGTTCAAGCGATTCGCCTGCCTCAGCCTCCCAAGTAGCTGGGATTACAGGTGCCTGCCACCACAACCGGCTAATTTTTGTATTTTTAGTAGAGATGGGGTTTAACCATGTTGGTCAGGCTGGTCTAGAACTCCCGACCTCAGGTGATCCGCCTGCCTGGGCCTCCTAAAGTGCTGGGATTACAGGTGTGAGCCACCGCCCCTGGCCATTCAGAAGGTTTTAATTTGGATTCAGGCAGGCATCCAGGGAATAGGTATGTTCTTACCTTATTTATATCCTTGGTCTTAGTCTAGTTCCCTGTGTGTTGGTATTGCATTACTGATACTGTTATTTATTATGAAAGACAATGTACCTGCAGTAAGCTGATACTGTTCAGTGGACTGGACTGATTTTGTTTAAAAATCCTTATAGTGAGACTGAGCTGGGTAAGTGAACCCATGTTATATCAGTTTATATATAGGAAGTTTGAAGTGGATGTGAAAGCAGTATAATGAATTCATAACTGTTTTCAAGCTTTCATTAATTTATTTTTGATAGACACATAAGTGTTAGAGAACTCGGTTGTAAAATAAGGATATGAAATCTGTTTTCTATATAAATAAATTTAACATTTTTCTTTTGAAGCCTAATCATGAGCAGACAACTGTTAGTAATCTTGAAAGTGAAGTTTTCTGAAATGAGTCTCCTAGAGATTGTGGGAAAAAAAAAAAGGTGGTATGTGCATGGAGATAAGCCTGCAAGCATGTAGACTGTACTGTTTAGTAGAATTGAAGATGACTGTGGAAGTATGTATGTTTGTTTGAAGAATGGTGGTAAAATTGTTTGTAAGATGTTATATATGTAGAAGATGAGAAACAGGAAAAAAGCATACTACACAGATGTCAAAACCCATAGCACTTTATAGCAGAAAGCGTGGACCTTAATGAATACGAATTTTAAAAGACCATCTTTTAGGAGGCTGGGGGATTCCAGGATGGAATGCAGATTGAGACAGAAGAATCTAATTGTATTAGAGATGTATAAAACAACCTCATTGAAGTGGGTGATGGGGGAAAACTGTTGATCTAATTAATTTTGGAGATGCATAGTGCCTGTAATACTAAAGGCAAAAGGCACTGCACATATTCTTTACTTGTAGTGTACATTGGTTGATAATATTGCTTCATATAAAGGTATAGTTAACAATTCTGATACTGCAATTCTGATACCTCTAGTAATGTATACTAAACAGTTAAGTATAAGTGGATGGTGGATTGTGGTAGCCAGATTTCTCACTGTTGGAATGGAAAGTTACAAGCAAGGAGAAGGAGGCTAGAGTGATCCATGTGGTAAAGGATTAGAATTGGAGACATCAGCGTTTAGTCCATGTTTAGCTTACTATATACAGTGTACACTTTAAATAAGGTTAGTTGATTAACCTTAAAACAATGAAAAATAATCTCAGCCTTGGAATTTATACCCATTAAAAATTAAGATAGGAGTAGTAGAAAAGTATAATTAATATTTTTAGCATTTGATTTAAAAAATACTGTAGGATTTGTCAGATCTCACAGACTGGGGGAGGGTGTTAGGCCCATACCTATGTATTACCAGTCATATTGTTGAATGACCCTCAAGATGAAAGATTGTATTGATATAAACAAGTGCAGATTCCTTCATCATAAGAGTAGTGGTTGTATTTTACAGTATTTGTAATTTTATGTAAATTATTGTTTAAATATGTGCGGTATGGTTCTACCTTAGCCATCATTCCCAAGGGGAAACACAGCAACAAGGTTTCAGTGTAGCTAATACTTGTGCCTAATTTTCTGTTAAACACTTGGTTTGTGGCAAGACTTGTAGGATGTTCATTTCCCAGTCATTCTGGGAGGCTCAGATAAATGACCATCACATGCATCTAAAAGGTTTGGGAAAATTCAGGTCTTAGGTCCTGGTTTTTTTTTTTTTTTTTTTCTGATGAAATGAAGAACTTGAGTGAAATAATTAGGGAGGTATTTCTTAAAATCCTTGGAACATCTTTATAATTGTTACTATTCTTAACTAATGGCCTGTGTGGAGGTTACCACATAGTCTGGGAGGATGATTTAAAATATTTTATTTTGGTGTTGGACTGTGTCATCTATAATTTTGGCTTCAGAGAATAGAGTAAAATATAATTGAGATTTAATTGGTGGTTTTTCTGAATTGGTCTAGGAGTGATTTGCTAAATGCTTTATATACTTATCCTAGAAATATTCGTTAGTGTTATTTTTAGGATTGTATATGTAACTTTTATTACTATACATTTACTATGTATTTTCTGATGTTATAAAGACTAATGTAAGGAAAGATAGTATTTTGGTTTTATTCTCTTATTACAGTGCAGATTCTGATTCTGTAGATGTAGGATGGAGCTTGATTGGTTCATGGACCACACTTTTGTCATAAGTATGTATATATAGGAAAAAACATAGTATATATAGGGTTTGGTACTCTGCAGTTTCAGGCATCCACCGCGGGTCTTGGAATATTTCCCCCGCAAGAATGGAATCTTTCTTTCTTTCTTTCTTTCTTTTTTTTTTTTGAGACGGAGTCTTGCTTTCTCGCCCAGGCTGGAGTGCAATGGCGCGATCTTGGCTCACTGCAACCTCCGCCTCCTGGATTCAAGCGATTCTCCTGCCTCAGCCTACCGAGTAGGTGGGATTACAGGCACCACCACGACGACCGGCTAATTTTTTTGTATTTTTAGTAGAGATGAGGTTTCACCATGTTGGTCAGTCTGGTCTTGAACTCCTGACCTCAGGTGATCCGCCCGCCTCGACCTCCCAAAGTGCTGGGATTACAGGTGTGAGCCACTGCACCCGGCCGTGATCTTTCTTTATATATAGAGGATTATCGCTATAAATATATAAAATTGGGTGCCAAAAGCTTGAAAGGTTATAGTGGAAATTTGAAAATCTACTTTTATTCTCACAGATGTGTGTATTTTTACTTAGTAAAATTTACTGCTTAGTAAAATTTAAGCAGTACTTGTGAACTTTTCAAATCCCCCTTCCCAATTTGTAGAGCTTTTGAAGGAAATGTGGAAACCCATTGTGTGAGAAGGAATTTTAGTTGTTACTTTGTTCCCCTATATGGTCTTGCACAGTGGAAGGGTATAAGTACATAAAGCATTTAGCAGATCACTCCTAGATCAATTCAGAAAAACCACCAATTAAATCTCAATCATATTTTACTCTGTTCTCTGAAGCCAGAATTATAGATGACACAGTCCAACACCAAAATAAAATATTTTAAGTCATCCTCCCAGACTATGTGGTAACCTCCACACAGGCGAGTACCAACTGGGGCTTAATGATTAGCTAATATTTAGGGTCAGTGGTTAATGAGTTAAATACATTAACACCAGCTGTGCAAGAATAGAATGCTATGGATAAACAGGTGCTTGAGAACATTATGTTCCTCTTCACTGGTTCTAAGCCCTGTGTGAGTGCATTAGAATTCCTTGGGAAGCTGTTAAAAAAATATTGATTCCTGAGTTCGAGCCCAGACCAATTGAATCAGAATCTCTGATGAAAGAACCCACATAATGGATATTTTAAAATAAATTTCTTAGGTCATTCTCAAGTGCTGCCAGGGTTGAAATTTTTTGTTGTAGGTATTTCATGATGTTGCTGATGCTGTTGATGCTGTTATTTTGTGTGTGTGTGTCAGAGAGGGAAGAGGGGGGAGGTGCATAGTCTTAAACATGCTAAAGCAACAATTCTAGTTTCTTAATATTCAAGAACTGGTTATCTTGTCATCATTATGTATTGATGATTATTGGGTTTTGAAGTTATGAAGGCATGGGTGAACCAAACTGTTCAATTGGGTTTTCTCTTACACTTCATTGTTTATGGTGATATAAATACAAAAGTTTAATGTTAAGTTGGCTTTTGCATCTGTAATAAATTGTTCCTTTTATATCAGTTTGCATCAAGATGTTGTTTTAAATGTGTGTACAGAAAGAAGGGTCAGGATGTGATTTAGCTGACAGTTTTCTGCTAACCAGTCTCACGAATATTGACATTGGTTCTTAAGGAGAGAGGGGTCATAGTAGATTGTGGGAAGAACTGAGACTGCAAACATGCCACTTGTAGAAGGTAGGGAGTTGTAAGATACGAAACTTTGTCAGAGCAAGGGTTGAAGTTACTTTATCTGAACTTTAAAGTGATGCTTTGGGATGCCGTTGTGATCTAAGAATATGTGTTAGGCTGGGCGTGGTGGCTCATGCCTGTAATCCCAGCACTTTCGGAGACTGAGGTGGGCGGATCACTTTAGCTCAGGAGTTTGAGACCAGCCTGGGCAATGTGGTGAAACCCTGTGTCTCCTAAAAATAGAAAAAATTAACCGGGTGTGGTGGCGCACTCCTATGCTCCCATTTACTCAGGAGGCTGAGGTGAGAGGATCGCTTGAGCCCAGGAGGTGGAGGTTGCAGTGAGCTGAGATTGTACCACCGCATTCCAACCTGGGTGATGGAGTGAGACCCTGTCTCAAAAAAAAAAAAAAAAACTAAGAAAAATATGCGTTAGTGTTCATAGTCTTAAATAATAGAAATCCCTCTACTTTAATCATAAATGGCTTTGTGATTAAAGAGGATATTGGGCTATTCATAGAATTTCCTAAAGGGTAGAAGAACCAGTCTTGTGCAGGAACAGTGTGCTACGTACTATACTGCAGAGCTGGTCCAGTGAAAGCATCACTGTTAGGTGACATGTTCACACTATTTGTACTTTCTCTGACATAAGGTGACAGATACTCCTAAAACTGTTGTCAGTGTTCCCTTTTAAAACTGGATGAAGGAAGAATTTTTTTTTTTTTTTTGAGGCAGGTTCTCGCTCTGTTGCCCAGGCTGGAATGTAGTGGCATGATCTCAGCTCACTGCAACCTCTGCTTCCTGGGTTCAAGTGATCCTCCTGCCTCAGTCTCCCTAGTAGCTGGGACTGCAGGCGTGTGCCACCACACCTGGTTAATTTTTGCATTTTTAGTAGAGACAGGGTTTTACCATGTTGGCCTGTCTGGTCTCTTAATTCCTGACCTCAGGTGATCCGCCCGCCTCAGCCTCCTAAAGTGGTGGGATTACAGGCGTGAACCACCGTGCCCAGCTGGAAGGATTAATTAATTCAAACTGGAGTAAATTAGCTGTTGCTGTTGCCTTCAACCTCACCAGAATGGATTGCTTATGGGGCTTGCTTCTGTCGCTGCTTCCTCTTTGACCTCTACGTCCTCCTCCTTTTGTTGATTCAGTTTTTCAAAGTCGGGGTTGGTTTGTCTGACTGGAAAAGCTCAGGACTTACACGTAACCCTGTCCCAGTTAGGAGAGAGATGTGGAAAGCAAATACCTGGTTTTCAGTTTCTTTAGTTTTAGGGCAAGGTTCTGCCTTATAAAGTGAAGAATTCTCCAAACATAGGAAAGTGGATTCGATAAAGCTGGGTAGCCCCCTCCAGTGCCATATATCCATGAAAGAACATTTTGTGAATGAAAGGGAATGGTTACAGGATTTGTGGATATCTTTGCTGTGATTTGAGTCTTGTTTGTATTTTTTCCCCCTTTCTAATGTTGAAAAATGAATGAGGTGCAATGGTAGATACAAAAGCGGAGGACAGTTGGCCTGTTGGGGTGGCTCACGCCTGTAATCCCAGCACTTTGGGAGGCTGAGGTGGGCGGATCACAAGGTCAAGAGACCGATACCATCCTGGCCAACATGGGAAACCTCATCTCTACTAAAAATACAAAAATTAGCCAGGCGTGGTGGCGGGCACCTATAGTCCCAGCTACTTGGGAGGCTGAGGCAGGAGAATCGTTTGAACCCCGGGTGGTGGAGGTTGCAGTGAGCCGAGACGGTGCCACTGCACTCCAGCCTGGGCGACAGAGTGAGACTGTCTCAAAAAACAAACAAACAAAAACCAAAAAGGGGTAGACAGTTAAGAGTATAAAATTTGTAACTAAAGTGGGCCCTACAAGTAATCTGTTGTTATTTTATTGTATTTGAGATGGAGCCTTGCTGTGTTGCTCAGACTGGAGTGCAGTGGTGAGATCTCGGTGCGATTTCACCATGTCGGCCAGGCTGGTCTCAAACTCCTGACCTCAGGTGATCACCCGCCTCGGCCTCCCAAAGTGCTGGGATTACAGGCGTGAGCAACCACACCCAGCCCCACATTGTTTTTTAAACTTGCTCTACCATTTTTATATTTCCACTAGCAGTGTATGAGGGTTTCAGTTTCTCTCTTTCCTGCAATATTTGCTATTCTTTGTCTCTTCCTGGTTTTTTGTTTTTTAAAGAGATGGGGGTATTGCTCTGTCACTTGGGTTGGAGTACAGTGGCATGGTCATAGCTTACTGCAGCCTCAAACACCTGGGCTGAAGTGATCCTCCCTTCTCAGCCTTCTTTGTAGCTGGGATTACAGGTGTGAGCCTCTGTGCCTGGCCCTCTCTCCTTTTTTAAAAAGTTATAACCATCCTAGTGGGTGTATAGGCATGTCTTATTGAGGTTTTGATTTACATTTCCTTACTGACTGATGTTGAACATGTTCTGTGCTTTGACCACTTGTAAATCTTGATTTGTGAAATACCTATTTTAAAATTGTATAGTATTATTATTATTATTATTATTATTATTATTATTATTATTATTGAGAGAGGGTCTTGGTCTGTTCCCCAGCCTGGAATGTAGTGGCATGATCATGGCTCATTGCAGCCTCAACTCCCTGGGCTCAAGCGATTCTCCCATTTTAGCCTCCTGAGTAGCTGGGACCATAGGTGGGTGACACCACACCAGGCAAATTTTTAAATTTTTTTGGTAAAGATGGGGGTTCTCGTTATGTTGCCCAGGCTGGTCTTGAACTCCTGGACTCAAGTGGTCCTCCCACTTTGGCCTCCCCAGTCGCTGGGACTATAGGTATGAACCACTATGCCTGGTAAGTCCTTTTATTATTGAGTTCTAAGAGCTCTTTATATATTCTGGAAACCAGACCTTTGTCGGACATACGATTTGCAAATACTGATTTCCTGTTCTGTGGGTTGCCTTTTCACTTTCTTTGTGGTATCTTTTGAAACACACATATAATGGAGTTTTGGGATGAAGTCTGATCTGTTTTTTTCTTTTGTTGCTTGTGGTTTTAGTGTTATATCTGTGAAACCATTCTTTTAATTCTGGATCATGAATATTTACTCATTGTCTTCTAAGAGTTTTATGGTCTTAGCTTTTACAATCAGGTCTTTATCGTTTTTGAATTAATTTCTGTATGTCCTTTAGAGGTCCAGCTTCATTGTTTTGCATGTGGATATCCAGTTATCCCAGCACTATTTGTTGAACAGACTGTTTTTCCCCACTGAACTGTCTTCACATCCTCATTGAAAGTCAATCGACCATAAATATAAGGGTTTATTTTTGGATTTTCATTTCTTTTAAATTTATCTAGATGTCTGTCCTTATGCTAGTATCACACTGTCTTGATTACTGTGGCTTTGTAGTATGTTTAGCAATAGGGAAATCTGAGTCCCTATAGCTTTTAAAGCTAAGAGTGTCTCGTAAAGCAGTGGTCCCTTACCTTTTTGGCACCAGGGACTGGTTTTGTGGAAGACAGTTTTTCCACGGACTGGGCTGGAGGGATGGTTTCAGTATGACTTAAGCACATTACCTTTATTGTGTACCTTATTTCTATTATTATTACATTGTGATGTATAATGAAATAATTATATAACTCACCATAATGTAGAATCAGTAGGAGCCCTGAGTTTTTTTCCTGCAACTAGATGGTCTTATCTAGGGGTGATGGGAAACAGTGACAGATCATAAGGCATTAGATTCTAATAAGGAGCACGCAACCTAGATCCCTTGCAATGCGCAGTTCACAATAGGGTTTATGCTCTTATGAGAATCTAATACCTCCACTGATCTGACAGAGGCGGAGCTCAGGCAGTAATATGAACGATAGGGAGCGGCTATAAATACAGATGAAGCTTTGCTCACTTGCCTGTTGCTCACCTCCTGCTGTGTGACCTGGTTCCTAAAAGGCCATGAACTGGTAGTGGTCTCTGGCTTGGAGGTTGGGGACCCCAGTTATAAAGGATTTGTGTTTACATGATACTGTATTTTATGAAAGGCAGTCTGGTAGCAATAGGCAGGATACTAGAGCCGTGAGAAATGAGGAACCAAAAGCAGAGAAACAAATTAGAAAGGCTCTTATATGTCATGCTAAGAAGTTTGGGATTCATGCTGAAAGTAAGGAAATTACATAATCCCAGATTGCAGGGGCAGGGGGAGGGAGGGGGAGGGTGTGTGGGAGGGGATGTGGTGGTAATATAATCATTAATTTCAGAGTATTCTGGAAAATGGCCTTAAGGGTAGGGGATGGGAAGTCTGGAAAGAGGCTGTTTGGATTATCCGTTAGTTTTATTGGGGCTTGAGAAAACAACCTTTAACAAAGCTTTTCTTTTCTTTTTTTTTTTTTTTAAATTTTAAGTACAGAGAGAAGACCACATCCAAGAAAACCCTATAACAAAATATCAGAATTTGTGAACAACTGTCATTCTACCTAACGGTTGCAGAAACTAAAAATCCTGAGTCATTCTAGGCCCCCACCTCCTCACTCCTCACATTTAATCAGTTACCAATTCTTGTTTATTCTGCCTTCTAAGTAGCTCTTGGATTTGTCTTCTCTTCTCAAATACTATTTACATTGTTTTCAGGCCCTCATATTTTTCAGCTGAATAAAAAGTATAATTGGCTATATTATTATCATTTTTTAAAACCTCAAATTTAAATCATTATAAAACAATGTTGCATTATGGCCATTGTGGGTAACAAAGTCACTTTGAAATGTGCTGGAAGATCCAGGACATTCAGAAATCTAATAGCTTTTGGCTTATGATAGATAGAGGGGTCTCCAAATCTTTCTGTCTTCTCCCTGTTTGTGTGTGTCTGTGGGTGGATTTAATTAAGACAGAAGAAAGTGAAGTAAAAGTCTGTTGCAGCGAATTAGGACCAGAGGAGAGGTATAGAAGACCATAACCGCTTTGAAGATTTTGAAAAAGATGAAGCAATTAGGCAGATACATTAGTCTATCACACAAATAGATCATTATTATTATTATTTTTTGAGGCAGTTTCCCTCTTGTCGCCCAGGCTAGAGTGCAGTGGCCCCATCTTGGCTCACTGCAACCTCTGCCTTGTGGGTTCAAGTGATTCTCCTGCTTCAACTTCCCAAGTAGCTGGGATTACAGGTGCTCGCCACCATGCCTGGCTAATTTTTGTATTTTTAGTAGAGACGGGGTTTCACCATGTTAGCCAGGCTGGTCTCGAACTCCTGACCTCAGGTGATCCTCCCACCTTGGCTTCCCAAAGTGTTGGGATTACAGGCATGAGCCACCACGCCTGGCCACAAATAGATTCTTAAAAGAAAACTCTGATCTTTAATACCTGAAAACACTGTCTACTGAAATCTTAAATCTTAGTCCTTGGCCAGGCACGGTGGCTCACGCCTGTAATCCCAGCACTTTGGGAGGCCGAGGCGGGCGGATCACCTGAGGTCAGAAGTTTGAGACCAGCCTGGCCAACATGTGAGGCTGAGGCAGGAGGATTGTTTGAACTCGGGAGGCAGAGGTTGCAGTGAGCCGAGATCGCGCTATTGCACTCCAGTTTGGGCAACAAGAGTGAAACTCCGTCTCAAAATGAAATAAAATAAAATAAAATAATCTTAGTCCTTACTGATTAAGGCCATTAGTAATAGTAAACAACAGTACTGTTTTTATCAGACTATTTTTATTATTTTTTTTCATTATTTCTGCACAGTTTGCTGTCCCCTCAAATCTCAGGGATCAGTGGGAGAACCTGTGATATTTATTTCCCTGTGATGTCCTTCCCTCCTCAAACTTTTCCTTATTAGGAAGTGTTTGTAAAAATGTTAACTTTATGTTTATTTGTAAGGATGTCAGAAACTGCAAATAAAAATGAGTTACCAAAACACCAGGGGTTTGGTCTAGGTCATGCTGCTCACTGCAGAGAAAGCCAGTGACTGAGACAACAAGTATTGCCATGGGTGCTGCAGCCAGGAAGATGAGAACTCAGTCTCAAACCATCTCCCTGAGTGACTAAAACGAAGGGTTCATATAGCAGGGAAGAAATGTAAAAGAAACAGGAACTAAGGCGGGCCAAGGAAGCAATCATGATGAATGAGTTGTCTAGCATCTTATTGTCTGTCTGAATGTGGTGATCTGGTGAGTTTCAGTTATTTGATACTTTGAGCAGCCTGAAGGTCATTTCCTGAGGAAGGAACTCAGGTAAAACAAATGTAAGATTCAAGCTTTAAGACCAGAAGGGTCAACTTCTATGTTTATCCAAAACCTATCTAGGGAACTAATGGGTTGGTTTCAAATGGAGAAAACGCATTCCATATTCCCCCAACCAGGAAAACTATTTTTTCTATGCTTGCTTACAGAAATAGGCTCTGATAGTTAAAGGAAAAAGAAAGTTCTCACATGACTTAGAAATTTCAAATAAATGCAACCAAAAGATTAGTCTTAGCATATTTTACAAATCAGATCATGAATTTTAAGCTTTTGCCTTTTAAGAATTAAGCTTATGTATTTATTTTGCAGGAATGTGTTTATGATGATTAAAGACTTCAGGTTCTTACTATATAACATAGTTGATTTATGAGATATCTGAAGAATGGGTTTTTAGTAAGCTGACTGGGCCTTTGAATGGCACATTGTATTCACCTGTTATGAAAAGGAAGCTTATCTTTACTGGTAAGGGGGTGTTAGGTTTAACATAAAGGAAGTATTTGTATCCAGTGCTTGTAAATATTAACTGAGATGTTTTATTAAAGAATAAAGGAAAATTTCCTTTTTCTTGTTGAGTAAATGCTATTTTGTCCTAAATTTTCTCTTGTAATATACCTGCATCCAATAAATATTCTTTTACTTATGACATATTTTTGAAAATGTGTTTTGAGAGTGGGGTGCTGCTTGGCTTCTTGGTTGGTTACTGTTATAAAATAGGTATTAGCAGGGAGTTTAGATGACTAAAAGACCCCATGGGGTGGGTAATGGTAAAAGTCTAAGAGAAGATGATAAATATGAAGAACTGTCCTGCAACCAGATCAGAGCAGAAGGGTCAAAGCCAGTAGGAAAGACACTTTTCTTTTATATAAAGTGTCTTACTTTAATCCTTACATCAACTAGTGAAGTATTCACTTTGCAGATGAAAATTAAAACTATGGTCACATGATTATCCAAGACTGGTATTAATAGAGCTAATGTTAAATCTATGAGACATTATTGGTGTAAAAAATAGATATTAAACAAGTAGATTAGGAAAATACTGTACGTTACAATTTGTAACGTGATAAAAGGAGTGGGAATCAAGAGGGAAGGGACGTCATACTAGAAGAATTTACCGTTAGGAAAGAAAAAATCAGTTTATATCAGTATCTCATGTCATACTTCAGATACATTTTAGATGGATAAAAATTTTTAAGTGAAAACTTAAACATCAAATGAAAACGTGAATGTTTAATCTTTGAAGAGAGAAGGGCTTTTTAAGCATGAAAGCAATGAAAGAAATTGCAAAGAAAAATACTGATTCAACCAAATTTTGATTCAAGCAAAAAAAGACAAAGAAAAATATTTGTAACAGATATATTAATAATAGAGTTAGCCTTGATATATAAAAAGTGCATACAAATTAATAAGAAAAATGTTTAATCCCCAATAGCTAAACTGAAAAAAATAGTAAATGTTTTTCCTACTTTGTCTCTAAAAGGATTTAAGATGTTTTAGGAAGATATAAAAAAGTGATGCAAAATAAATAAATGTATTAATTTTATAAAATAAAATTTTAAAATTGAGATGGAAATATAAGAGTATACATGTAAGATGAGACCAGGAGTGAAAATATACATACCAAAACATATGTCATTAATTCCCATATACTTCCACACACATTTGATTTTAAGCCAGATTCCTTAGGGAAGAAAGTATCAGGTATGAGTTAATGTCCTTTAGATAAAAGCTGTTCACTGAAAAAAATATTTACTCCAGATGATGAAACCAGTTTCTTCCCATTAGTCCTCTAAAGAAGCTGCTATATGATATAATGAAAAATATATTCAACAATATCTTTATAATATCCACAGTGACACATTTCTTTGGCATTTGTCCCTGCGGCATCTGGGCAAAGTGCAATTCAGTTAAAGCAGGTGAGGTGAGCTGGATAAGTTCTAATTCTCAAGACCAAGAATTCTCAAGGTCAAGGACAAAATTTTCCTCAGAAACTAATTTTGATGTATTTATTAGAAAGGTAGTTGAAGTTCTCATAGAGCATGACTGAAATAAATTTACCTTAAAAAAAATAAAATTCTCTCTATGAGACCATTTAATGAAAAAGTCAGTGAAGCATATATAGCTTCCAGATTTGAGTGACAGGATATTCTAGTATACCTTCTGAGACAAACTAGTTGCAAAATATATAAAGAGACTGATTATATAGAATCATGAATAAACCAGTGAAACTATAAGTTTTGCTATGGAAATCTGTATGGTGGGGACACAAAGGACAGAGTATTCACTTTTACTTGGCAGGGGGGCGGTGGGGATGCACTATTTTAGGGTGGTGCTTGTTAGCCGAGCAGTTGTTGGCTAGAGGGACAAGGTGTGGAAGTGGGTAATAATTTTTAGTCAGTAGAAATATTATGTGACAGGCTCTCTTCATGCTTTTGTGCATTCAAAGAAAAGCAGCTCATAACTGGAGCATAGTAGAATAATGTAATCATTAAAATAAAATTTTACCTGTATTTTTCAAGGATACGGCCTTGGTAATAAGACAGATACAAGAGGTCTCACGAGCAGGTGAGTGCAGACCATTATTAAATATTTGAGTGCTGACTGTGTACTTGGCATTATGCTAGATTGTTTTAGGATAGGGGATACAACAAAAAATAAAACAAAGTCCTTGTTTTCAAGGACCTGGAATCTAGAGTGGTGAAAACATATGAGTAAACAGTCCTAATACTGTATTTGAAATGTACAGAGATGTAGTTTGTACCTGGAGCATAGTATCAGAATAACGTGCAGGAGCACAGAGGAGAGTATGCTTGAAGGGGGCATTCCTGACAGTTAATATTTCATTTTTATTAAACTTAGAGGCGCTCAAAATGCATCACCTTTGATTCTTTGGAAAGAGGAATGACGTATAACAGCAATTTTGAAAAATTACTAGAGTTAGCATTTTCTTTGATGATAGTTGGGAATTAAATTGATGTAATCTGTTACCCGCTTTCAGGTTATAATCTTTATCTTCTAGTAGTGGTTTACCAATGTTATTTCTGAATTAAATATATTCTTTGCATTATGTCCACTAACTTTTTAAAAGTAATCGACTAGACTGGGTGCTTAAGGCTGTTCATGAGGTTCTTATTTTCTCCAGGGCAACCAGTTTATACATTCAGAATTTCATGATGATGCATACTGTCACAAGCAAGTAATTAGGTAGAATTATTATCCCTATTGAGGGACAGGTAAAAACATGGGATGACAAAGCCATCCCTACTCTGGATACGGAAGGAAAAACAGTGAGGTTAGGATGCTTCAGTTCGTCCGTATTTGAACTCATCATCTTACCGTCCCAAACCATGTCTATCTAATTCCATTCCAGACTCTCTTTTTTTGAGACGGAGTGTTGCTCTGTCACCCAGACTGGAGTGCAGTGGCACGATCTCGGCTCATTGCAACCTCCACCTCCCAGGTTCAAGTGATTCTCCTGCCTCAGCCTCCCAAGTAGCTGTGATTACAGGTGCCCACCACCACGCCTAACTAATTTTTGTATTTTTAGTCAAGTTGGGGTTTGGGGTTTCACCATGTTGGCCGGGCTGGTCTCAAACTGCTGACATCATTAGCCGCCCATCTTGGCCTCCCAAAGTGCCGGGATTACAGGTGTGAACCACTGCACCCAGCCCAGACTCTTTTATCTGGTTACTGTATATTCTCTGTAAAAACAACCACAGAAACCAACCTGCTAACATGAATGCTTTCACTATCCTCTTTTATTAATTTCTACTTGTTTTTAAAATATGATACCAACACATGATCAAGTAGAGGGGAAGTGCAGAAGTAGGTCCGATTTCTTCACAATTCTTTTTTTCTTTTCACTTCTATTAGGAAGCAGAAATCCGTAAATTCTTCAAACTCCTCTTCACTTAAAGCCTAATCTACTAACCGGAGTAAGAGAGGAACATGGGGTCAGGAATCAAGTTCAGGGGTTAGTAACAGGAAGGGTGTGAATTTTACACAACACTTTTCTTTTTCACATTAAAATCAGAACTATTTTCACTGGCTGCATTTTCAATTTGATAATGATGTATGTGATTTTTGAAGTTTCCCCCAAAATAAATTTGATGGCAACAAAATGTTTTTGAGGACCTGTGGCTTTTTATAGGTCCTTTCAGAGTTACTTACATGTGTCACATTAATGTTCTTAGAATTAGCATGGCTCAACACTTCTGGATTGACTTAGTTTCATATGCAACTCGTAATTGTGATTTATTTTGCCCTGTTACTGTAGACCAACTTCTTTGACTGTTAATATGCTTTTTACTTTATTTACCTTTTCTAACCAACTTTCACTTATTTTTACACTGATTTTCCTGTTATTCTATTGACTGGTGGTCTGGATACAGAAGGAAAAACAATGAGGTGAGGATGCTTCAATTCATCCATATTTGAACTCATCATCTTGCTCTCCCAAACCACATCTAATTCCATATTATGTTGAATGACACCAATACACACACATTCACATTTGTAAATCTTGGGAGCCATCCTAGTCTATCCTTTCTCATTCCTCTTTCATATTGATCCAGTCCTCAACTTCTGTTGCCTTCATTAGTTCTTATTTGGAATATTTCAGTTTTCTGGCTTTTTCTTGTTTCTTCTTCCTCTAGCCAGTCCCTCAATGTTATTGTCACTGGAGTCCAAGTTTCTTAGTATAGTAAAATAATACACGTGGGATTTCTTTCATTGTCAATGTACCTCACGATATGCTACAGCTCTATGGATCTTCTTGCTGTTTATTGAATATATCATGACTTCATATGCTATGTCCTCTTCCTGGAACACTATTTCCCATTTTGGCAACTGCCTAAGTAAAATACATACTTTCTCTGGTATATTTTATTGACAACTCTTACATTCATTGACTTGATTGGGTGTCACTTCTCTATACTCTCAGAGCCTCCTGTTTATACCTTCCTCAATATACTTGCCACTCCTTGTCTACATTGCGAATTTCGTAAGGGCAATAGTTTTGCCTTGCTTATTTTCATATTCCCTGTATCAGGCATGGTGCTTAGCTCCTAATAGGTGCTCACCGCTTTAATAGGTGTTCAAAACCTTAAGAAAATTGAATAATATATTGGTAACTTAAAAAATACTTTTTAAAAATTTTCTGTGTCCTAATCGCTTTTTCGGTTACATTTGTAATGAGCTTTTTAATTTAAAAGTTAATGAAAATGTTTAGTATTTATAGATGAAATCTATTCCTTTATATTTTAAATATTTGCACAAATGAAGGCACATCTGTAATCTATTTAAAAATGCTAATTTTCGTCAAGTTCTCATCTGACAAATGCCTTAGTTTCACTTATTGTAGTTGGAATCTTTATCTGGGTCTTATCCTTGAAAAAACATGACTTGATTTATTTTTTAGGGTTGAATAATGAAGGGATTATCCATTAGCTTTGGTACATAGTGGCATGCAAATACTTTTATTCATTACTAAAATCTTGTTAGGTTGACTCACTCATTTGTAACATTTTATTTCACCATAAACTAGACACTGAGTTACAAAGTTAAATGCTTAGATTAGTTACAGTTAGGAAACCTACCTAAATTATATTGTACAAGAAAGACAATAGCCCTTATTGCATTTTCTGTCTTTATAGTGTGCAAATTGCTTCTGGTCAGCCCAGCCTGTGATGGCAACATTTCAAACTTTGTATCACGTAATCTCAAGTAATGCATGTTGCACACACGGCGCAGAGTATAGATTAGTAGATATTGCAGTGAGAGTAACTTCTTATTTCTCTACACTTGTTTGTTTAAAGATACTGGTAGTTTTCATTTTATGCATTAATAGAGAAAAGATGGGAGGTGGCTAATGAAGTGTGCTGTGGACTTGTTTTTAACTGTATTACTCTATCAAGATGGAAATATCAATTGATTTGTGTATTAAAGATATCCTGAGGAGAAATCTAGTTCATATATTATAATAGACATAGGCACACAAAACCATTTCACTGTTTCTGGCTGTCCCTATGCTTAGGTTATTAACCTTTTGTACTTCTTTCTCTTCTTGTAGCATCTCATGTGTCTTCCTTTACCCATTTCAGTGTGCACTGAGTTGGGGGTTAGAGGAGAAATTGAAAATGGAAAGCACAAGGTCTGGATTCATCTTTATTTAAAAAAGAATACGTGCAATGTGCCAGTCATTGTGATGTGGTAGTGACACCTAGTCTTTACCTTTGAGTTCTTTATAGTTTATCTACAAACTCTGATAAGTACTATAGTATATAACAAAACCTGCCAAGAGCTCAGAAGAGGGAATAACTTTGCCTTAGTAAGCTGGGAAAGGTTTCTAAGAAAAGTTACCTTTGAATTAACTTCTTGAAATAGTTTATGTTTCTTATTCACGTTTTAAGCAACTTTACTGAGTTAGAATTTACATGCAAAAAATTCATATTTTTTTGTTGATTGTTAAATGGGCTTTGATAAATACACCTAAGACAAACGTTCATTACTCTACTCCAGAAGGTGCCTTAAGCCCCTTTACAGTCAATCCCTTACTCCTCCCCAGTAACTGTGAATCTGGTTTTATCATCATAGATTAGTCTTTTTGATTTTACATCTATAGCTTCATATAATGGGATCACGTAGTAGGTACTCTTTTATGTGTGGTTTCTTTTGTTCAACATAATTTTAAAAAGTCATCCTTGACATTGATAAGTAGTTCTTTTATGTTGCTGAATAGTATTCCATTGTATGAATATATTATATTGACTGGATTCTGGATTCTGACCGCTCCCTGGGCTTGTTGCCATTGTTGTGTGTTTTTGTTTAATGACTTTCCTGGATTACTTCTGTGGTCTGTTTTCCTTTTAAAATATTTCTTATGCCTGGCTTTCTGGGGGATTGCCTCTGTGTCACTGTTATCTTAGTGGTCAGCTAATGATTGCTTAAAGGTTGTTCCTGAACACCAGCAAGTTAGTGTTACCCCATTTTCCTGTGGACCTGTTTATGGTTTGGAGAATGTCTTAAAATTTTAGGCAATTTCAAATTTGACCCATGTTCAGCCAGAGACTAGCTTGCAAGTGTTCTTTCTGGTGTAGCGTTACACATGCAGACAGCCTTCCTGACTACTAAGCATGAATATCCACTTAAGGCTCTTCTTGGCAGTCTTTTTCCTAGGATCTTCCTGTTAGATTTCTGGCTAGTTTGCTATTTTGTTGCTTGCCCCCACCAGAGTCAGTTAGATAATGGCCCTCGTGATGCCTGCCACTGAAAGCGTTATTATTATTAATATTATTATTATTATTTTTTTGACGGAATCTCAAAAGTGCGGTGGTGCAATCTTGGCTCACTGCATCCTCTGCCTCCCAGGTTCAGGCGATTCCCCTGCCTCAGCCTCCCCTGCCTCAGCCTCCTGAGTAGCTGGGACTACAGGTGCACACCATCATGCCCAGCTAATTTTTTGTGTTTTTAATAGAGACAGGGTTTTTACCATGTTGGCCAGGATGGTCTTGACCTCTTGACCTTGGGATCTCCCTGCCTTGGCCTCCCAAAGTGCCGGGATTACAGGCATGAGCCACTGCGCCCAGTCCACTCTTGTTTTTAACAACATTCCTGGGTACAGATTTTTCCATGCCTCGTTCCAAATAAGGTCAGTCCCCTCTTGCAGGGAAAGGTAGCTACCACTCTTTATGGCCTGCCATGTTTGCCCACAGTAGAATGTTTATGCCACAAACCTGGCAGTATAGATGGGGATAGGAATAGCCCCTAGCTAAAATACCACAGTTCTTATTGAGATGCGGTGTATTTTTCTGGAATAAATGCTTCTCATTTTGTTGTATGACCTTTGGTCAGTTTTTGGAGGCTTTGGTGGTTAGATTTGACCTTGTTTTTTTTTTTAATTGCTTAAGGGAGAGAATTTGCTGAACTCACAGAGCCTATTGGAAGACCTGGCCTCAGGATTTTTTTTAGTTTTCCTCTAGTTTTTTCCCAAACCGCAGGCATTTTTTTCTCCCTCCTGAAAACACAAAGCCAGTCATTTCACCTCCAATTTTATTTTATTATTATTTTTTCATTTTAAAAAATAGAGACAGCATCTTGCTGTGTTGCTCAGGCTGTTCTTGAACTCCTGGACTCAGACAGTCCTCCTGCCTTGGCCTGCCAAAGTGCTAGGATTACAGCATGAGTCACCGTACCTGGCCATCACCTTTAATTTTAAAAGTCTTAAAGTGCCTTTGTGTTGTTCTCAGAATAAAAATGAAAAATTCTTTTTTTTTTTTTTTTTTGAGATGGAGTCTCGCTCTGTTGCCCAGGCTGGAATGCAGTGGCGCTATCTCCGCTCACTGCAAGCTCCGCGTCCCGGGTTCACGCCATTCTCCTGCCTCAGCCTCCCGAGTAGCTGGGACTATAGGCATCTGCCACCACGCCTGGCTAATTTTTTTGTATTTTTAATAGAGACAGGGTTTCACCGTGTTAGCCAGGATGGTCTCAATCTCCTGACCTCGTGATCTGCCCGCCTCGGCCTCCCAAAGTGCTAGGATTACAGGCGTGAGCCACCGCACCTGGCCAAAATGAAAAATTGTAACATGGTCTGGTCTACCTTCCTATATATAGTCATGTGTCGCTTAACAGTAGGGACATGTTCTGAGAAATGTTGAGTGATTTCATCATTGTGTGAACATAGTGTGTTACACAAACCTAGATGGTACAGCCTGCTATACACCTGGGCTATATAAGATAGCTTATTGCTGCTAGGCTACGAACCTGTACAGCATGCTACGATACTGAATGTGGTGGCAGTCATAACACCATGGTAAGTATTTGTGTATCTAAACATAGAAAAGGTATAGTGACAATACAGTATTGTAGTTTTATAGGACCACCATTTTATACATAGTCTGTTGTTGACCACATTGTTACACAGCTCATGGCCACAGTTTTATCCTGTATTAATCTTGTCCATACCGCTCATTCTGGGTAGTGTTTGACTGTTGTCCCCAATCTAGGGAGCATTTTGCTTTCTCTTCTTTAAAAATCAAGGCTCTGACCCATGACATACACATAGACTTCAGAATTTAAGAGATGTAGGTTTGAATTTCTGTTCTTCATTTATTAGCAATGTGACTTTGAGTGATGTGCTTACATTTCTCAGTTTTCTCATCAAAATGTGGTGATGAACAAATAATATTTTGTAGGGTTGCTTAAGGCTTAAGTAAGATAATGTATGTGAAGCCATTAGCACAGTGCCTTGTATCTAGAAGGTGTATTTATTCCCCTACATGATATTCTCCTCATCATTTCTTTGAGTAAGCAGTTCATATGAAATAGTGGAGACATCAGTATGCATTAAGTAGATTCATTTCAGTATTACCATTCCACCGATTATTTGAGTAAAACTTATACCTGAATTTCATTTGGGTTTCAACACATTTATTAAGTGCCTGATCTGTTTCATAGCACCCTCATTACCTCTTTTTTTTTTTTTTTTTTTTTTTTTTTGTTTGTTTGAGACAGAGTCTTATTCTGTTGCCCAGGCTGGAGTGCAGTGGCACACAATCTCAGCTCACTGAGGCAACATCCGCCTCCTGGATTCAAGCGATTCTCTTGCCTCAGCCTCCTGAGTAGCTGGGGTTACATGCACCTGACTGATTTTTGTAGTTTTAGTAGAGATGGGGTTTCACCATGTTGGACAGGCTGGTCTTGAACTCCTGACCTGAAGTGATCCACCCACCTCGGCCTCCCAAAGTGCTAGGATTACAAGTGTGAGCCACCACTCCTGGCTCCTCATTAACTTTTGAAAATATGCTTTTAAGAGAAGTATAATACATTAAAGAGTTTTTCTATTTTTTTTTCTTTTTTTCTTTTTTGAGACGGAGTCTTGTTGTCCAGGCTAGAGTGCAATGGTGTGATCTCGGCTCACTGCACCCTCCGCCTCCCAGGTTCAAGCGATTCTCCTGCCTCAGCCTCCCGAGTAGCTGGGATAACAGGCACCCACCACCACTCCTGGCTAACTTTTTTTTTTTTTTTGTATTTTTAGTAGAGATGGGGTTTCACCATGTTGGCCAGGCTGGTCTTGAACTCCTGACCTCAGGTGATCCGCCTGCCTCAGCCTCCCAAAGTGCTGGGATTACAGGTGCCTCGACCTCCCAAAGTGCTGGGATTACAGGCATGAGCCACCGTGCCCAGCCCAAGAGAGTTTTTCTTTTACATCAAAGAAAAATTTCTTTTTCTGTAATGAGACTTTTAGACTTCTCATTTTTTATTTTGAAAAGTCTTCAAACTTGTGGAATAGAAGCAAAAGTAGTATAGCAAACCCCTCTGTATCCTAACTACAATACAATTAGCATATTTAGGAAATTAACATTAGTACAGTACTATGCAATTTGACACTACATCAGTTTTGCCTTTTCTCCCCAGTGATCATAGCATTTTTTTCTTCCTACTTCATCAGTCCAAGATCATACACTTGATGTAGTTATCATATCTCTTTGCTCTCCTCCAGTCTAGATTGGTTCCTGACCCCCCCCTCCTTTTTTTTTTTTTTTTTTTGACTTTTATGACATTGATATTGTCAAAGACCAACTGTTTTGTAGTGTCTCTCGACTTGAATCACACTGTTTCCTCATAATTTTATTTGGGGTATGCATTTTTTGGGGGCAGGAATAATATGCAAGAGAGACCGTATAAAAGACACTATGTTCTGTAAAGGTATATCACATGAAGAGGTATATAATGCCAGTTTGTTCCCTTATTGGTGATGTTAATTTAGATGACTCAGTTAAGGTGGTATCCACTGGGTTTATTTTCTCTAAAGTTATCACTTTCTTCTTTGTTGTTAATAAGTAATCTGTGGGGAGATACATTGAAATGGTGTAAATATCCTTTTTACCAATACATTTTGATTCAGTGGTTTTTGAATCCTTGATGATAGTTGTTTGAATCAGGTATTACCAGGGCAGTTGCAAATGGTAGATATTAGAATTTCAAAATACAATTTCTAAGAGTTTTAGTGTCCCTAAAATGAGGTGTTTTTTTGTTTTGTTTGTTTGTTTGTTTGTTTTTGAGACAGAGACTTGCTCTGTTGCCAGGCTGGAGTGCAGTAGCACAATCTCAGCTTACTGCAACCTCCGCCTCTCGGGTTCAAGCGATTCTCCTGCCTCAGCCTCCTGAGTAGCCAGGACTACAGGCACACACCACCACCATGCCCAGCTAATTTTTGTATTTTTAGTGGAGATGGGTTTTTACCATGTTGGCCAGGATGGTCTCGATCTCTTGACTTCGTCATTTGCCTGCCTCAGCCTCCCAGAGTGCTGGGATTACAAGTGTGAGCCACTGCGCGCGGCCTGAGCTTTCTTTAATAGTAATAATTACAGAGTATTTGATTGATATCTGCTCTGTCATGGCTTTAATTATTTTTATGATTTTTAGGTTCATGTACTGGACAGACTGGGGAGAAGTGCCAAAGATAGAACGTGCTGGAATGGATGGTTCAAGTCGCTTCATTATAATAAACAGTGAAATTTACTGGCCAAATGGACTGACTTTGGATTATGAAGAACAAAAGCTTTATTGGGCAGATGCAAAACTTAATTTCATCCACAAATCAAATCTGGATGGAACAAATCGGTAAGATTACAAGAATTAGAAAAAACTTTTAAGAAAACTCGATGAAGCCTTGATACATTACAAAGCCTAATTTTATTAAGAAATATGTTTATTTTTGACTAAGTGCCAGAGGGGAAGAAGAATAGTCTTTTAGTTAGCTCTTTAAAAGTGCTTTAAAAGTAATTACATTTATCATCCATCTTGATAGCATTTAGAATTTACAGACTGTATTTCCTCTTTCCTTACTCTGAGCTAACTTAGTTCTTCAGTGGTTCTCCACCAGGGGTAGCATCTTTACTGCCTTTGTTTGGAAATGTGTAGAGAATTTTGTTTAACCCAAGGACTGGGAGTGCTACTAGTATTTTAGTTCCGGTGGTGGAGGGGAGGTCCAAGGTTGCTAAACATCCTGCAGTGTGCTGGGCATCAGTACAACAAAGAGTGTCCCACTCAAAATTACCAGTAAAGCCCCAAGTCCTGCTAATGGAACTTTGATAAAACTCTACACTAGGACGGGGTTTGGCCAAGATTTTCTGTAAAGGCTCAGATAGTAAATATTTTAGGCTTATGATCTCCGGTTCAACTACTTCTGCTACTGTAGTTTAAAAGCAGCTATAGTAATGCATAAGGGAATAGGCATGACTGTTGCAGCAAAACTTTATTTATTTATTTACGTATTTATTTTAGACAGAGTCTCACCTTGTCATCCGGGCTGGAATGCAGTAGCGTGATCTCAGCTCACTGCAACCTCTGTCTCCTGGGCTCAAGCGATCTTCCTGCCTCAGCCTTCCGAGTAGCTGGGACTATAGGCACACGCCATCACACCGGGCTAATTTTTGTCATTTTTGTAAAGATGGCGTCTCACCATGTTGCCCAGGCTGGTCTTATGCCCTGAGCTCCAAGTGATTCACCGGCCTCGGCCTCCGAAAGTGCTAGAATTACAGGCATCAGCCATAGCACCTGGTGTAAAACTTTATTTGTAAAGCAGAATGAGCCTGTGGGCTGTAGTTTGCTCATCTCTGGACAAGGAGAAAACCTACTGCATATACCATACATTTCAGTGTTCAAGGAAGACAAAGTCTGTAAAACATAAACATGGAATTTCTTCTCAGATTATGTTCAGATTTTTAAAGACATTTTATATTTGGATTCTTGTGTTTTAATGATAATTTTGGTTTTTGATCTCAATCTGAGACCTCACCAGATGAGAGTTTTTGGTGACTGTAGGATTTTTTCAAAGTATAATAAACATTTGTCAATTACCTGAACTAAGAATAAGGAACATTTAGAAGTATTGAAAACCAGGAAAGATATAAAGAATTCAGTTAAACTTTTTGTAATCATGGAGTTGGAGTATTTTTTGCCTTCTTTCAAAAAAGAGTGAAATGACATATAACAATGTGGTTTTAAGTAAATTTAAATGTCAAAAAGTAAGTATATGATGAATATAGAAACAACTGCTGTTTTTGACCTCAAATCTGGCTGTGAGGGGGAGTCTAGGAAGATGGATGTGGCCATGTCATAGTTTTTTTGTTTTTGTTTTTAACTAAAACCTACAGAAACTAGATAGCAAATCCAAAAACATGGATAAAGTTGACTATAGCCTTAGTCATTTGAAAGCACAACTAGATAAGGGCAAACCACCAACAGCCACAAGACCTCCATGTTATCACTGTCTATGCGAGAGTAAGCAGGGAGATTTAACAGGGTGTCTCATAAGACTTGAAAGCAGGGGAACGCCAAAATAGCCACAGCTATTTGCTGGACAAGATGGTGGGTTATTTTAAGAACAGCAGCTGAAATAGGAGGGTGGGAGGGTTGCCCACTCCAATATTAGGCAAGTGCAGTGTGACTATGGTAAAGACAGAAGAAGCTAGAGCAGTCTAGCCCCAACGAACTCTCAAAATGGAACTACTGAAATGAACCTGCCAGAGTGCTCATCCAGGACAGAGCACCACACTGATTAAAACAAAATTGAATAGGATAGAATAATCCAAATTGAGCAGGATAGGGACAATAGAATAGAGTAAAACAGGAGGGGAAGGAAAGAGAAGGTTCAGATAAAGATGGGAAGATCAACGGCTAGTAGATCTCAGAAAGCAAGCTACTAGGTTTTTGAACATTATGTGAAAACAACAGAGGAATGAATTCTGTGACGTTAGAAAAACTACCTTGAACTCTACATTATTTTAAAAGTTCAGGAACACTAATTTTACGTAGACAAGAGAAACAGAAAAGTATCAAGGTAAAATCCCATTTAAAGTTATTATAAAGGAAAAAACAAAAGCTCTTATAAATAAAAGCACCCCAGAAAAACATGACCACAGAACAGATCAAATCTCTATTATAAAATGAGCTGGAGAAGGAGGAGGCTGCGAATCACTTATAAATGACGTGGAAGCAGGACTCAAACCCTAAGTTCCAGGAGGGTGAGCAAGTGCTGTGCTTTCATGGGCTGCTTCTTTATGAAGCAAAATGTGTAAAGGTTGCCATAAAGGACAAACAAGTAAAATACTTTATATATTACAGTGGTTGGAATAAAAATTGGGATGCATGGGTTCCAGAGAGCAGAGTACTCAAATACGTGGACACCAATTTGCAGAAACAACTTCAAAAAGCCCATCAGGAGCAGTATGCAGAGGGGAAGATGAGAGGGGCTGCCCCAAGAAAGAAGACATCTGGTCTGCAACAGAAAATGTTGAAGTGAAAACAAAAAAGAACAAACAGAAAATACCTGGAAATGGAGATGGTGGCAGTACCAGTGAGATGCCTCAGCCTCCTTGGAAGAAAAGGGCCCCCGGGTAGATCCTACTCTTGAAAATGAGGACACATTCATGAACAGAGTTGAAGCTAAAAAGTGAAGATTCCTGAAGAGCTGAAACCATGGCTTGTTGATGACTGGGACTTAATTACCAGACAAAAACATCTCTTTTTTCTTTCTGCCAGGAAGAATGTGGATTCCATTCTCCAGGATTATGCAAATTGCAAAAAATCTCGTGGAAACACAGATAATGAGTATGCTGTTAATGAAGTTGTGGCAGGGATAGAAGAATACTTCAATGTGATGTTGGGCACCCAGCTACTCTGCAAGTTTGACAGACCACAGTATGCTGAAATTCTTGCAGATCACCCTCATGCACTCATGTCCAAGGTTTATGGAGCACCACATCTACTGATGTACAAATTGGAGCAATGTTGGCCTATATACCTCTGGATGAGAAGAGCCTTGTGTTTTTTTTTTTTTTTTTTTTTTTTTTTTTTTGAGATGGAGTCTCGCTCTGTTGCCCAAGTGGGAGTGCAGTGGCATGATCTCAAGCTCACTGCAACCTCTGCCTCCCGGGTTCAAGCGATTCTCCTGACTCAGCCTTCTGAGTAGCTGGGATTACAGGTGCGCACCACCACGCCCATCTAGTTTTTACATTTTTAGTAGAGGCGGGATTTCACCATGTTGGTCAGGCTGGTCTCGAACTCCTTACCTCGTGATCCGCCCGCCTCAGCCTCCCAAAGTGCTGGAATTACAGGCATGAGCCACCGTGCCTGGCCGAGCCTTGTTTTATTACTGAATTATCTTCACAGTTCCCTAAAGTACCTGGCAAAGAATTCTGCAACATTTTTTAGTGCCCAGCAATTATGAATGGCTCCTCCAGAGAACCATCAGAAAGCTGTCTGAGAGACGCTCTCACTCACTTATGTTTGGATCTCTGTAAACACATTTTTGTTCTTAGTCTTTCTTTTGTACAAATGATGCACTTTGAAGATGTTATTGTACAACAATTGATGTTTTCCTGTTTAATTTTAAACAGAGAAAATAAAAGGAGTAATAGCTCCTTTTTTCCTATCTTACCTTTTTTTTCACTTCAAAGTTCCTGCCAGTGTATTCAACAATGGACAACAGAGACACATGCTATAGAGTGTTTTATTGCCTAGTTGACAGAGCTGCTTTTGAATGCTGGTGGTCCTGTTCCTTTGACCCTACGTACTTTTATAATATGTGTTCATGCTATATGACAAAATGCTGTGATTCCTAGTGCCAAAGGTTCAATTCAGTGTATATAACTGAACACACTCATCCATTTGTGCTCCTTTTTTTTTTTTAAATGGTGCTTAAATAGCCCATTCTTTGCAAGTCATCCATGTTGTTCCTTTGGCATTTAACTTTGCTCAAATTGTTGAAGAATGGTGGCTTGTTGCATGGTTTTTGTATTTGTGTCTAGTGCACATTTTAACATGGTAGATGAGATGCATTGTGTAGCTAGTTTTCTGGAAAAGTCAATCTTTTAGGAATTATTTTTCAAATCTTCAATAAATTTTTTCTTTAAATTTTAAATAAATAAATGAGTCAAAAGTCATTGAGGAACCAATATGACATGTGAAAGGATAACATAAGATTAGAAAAATTCAGAAATGACTCACGCCTATAATCCCAGCACTTTGGAAGGCCAAGGCAGGCGGGTCACCTGAGGTCAGGAGTTCGAGACCAGCCTTGCCAACATGGTGAAACCCCGTCTCTACTAAAAATACAAAAATTTGCTGGACGTGGTGATGCACGCCTGTAATCACAACTACTCGGGAGGCTGAGGCAGTAGAATCGCTTGAATCCGGGAGGCAGAGGTTGCAGTGAGCCAAGATTGTGCCATTGCACTCCAACCTGGGTGACGAGCAAAACTCTGTCTCAAAAAAAAAAAAAAAAAAAAAAGAGAAAAATTCAGAAATGAAATGATAGAACTTAAGAAAGAATTTAAAAAATCACTTCAGAAAAGAAAACTAGAAGGGACACTAGGTTGAATAAACCAAAAAACCTTTAAATAGAGGTTGAAAAGGAGGAAAAATTTAAAGACCAAAAAGAAATACAGAAAGACAAAAGATGATTTGAGAGAAAATGATAAATACTGAAGATAGGCAAAGAAGAAACAACATACAGATAATAAGACTCTTTGGAAAGAAAAGCAAAGCAAGGGAATAGAACAACTATGAACAACTATAGAAAAAGTTTCTTACAAGAAGATTTGTGACTGGGCATGGTGGCTCATGCCTATAATCCCAGTACTTTGGGAGGCCAAGGTGGGTGGATCGCCTGAAGTCAGGAGTGAGACCATCCTGGCCAACATGGTGAAACCCTGCCTCTACAAAAAATACAAAAATTAGCCGAGCATGGTGG
This sequence comes from Homo sapiens, assembly GCF_000001405.40. Taxonomy (NCBI): domain Eukaryota; kingdom Metazoa; phylum Chordata; class Mammalia; order Primates; family Hominidae; genus Homo; species Homo sapiens. The sequence continues at coordinate 12,198,068 of NC_000012.12, read as the reverse complement.
TGGGCGCTTGTAATCCCAGCTACTCAGGGGGCTAAGGCAGGAGAATTGCTTGAATTTTGCAGAGGTTGCAGAATCTGTTCACTGCAACCTCTGCCTCTTGGGCACAAGCTATCCTCCCACCTTGAGCCTCCCAAGTAGCTGGGACTACAGGTGCACACCACCACACCTGACTAATTTTTTGTATTTTTAGTAGAGACGGGATTTCATCATGTTGCCCAGCTGGTCTTGAACTCTTGGACTCAAGTGATCCACCTGTCTCGGCCTACCAAAGTGTTGGGATTACAGGTGGGAGCCACCATGCCTGGCCATAAATTTAATTCTTATAGTAACTACATTGTTGTGGTCATAATTAATATTGTTATTCTGAAACTTTATATTGTTGCATCAAGTAAGTGAGTATTAGGACATATATTGCTCCTGCATATGCTAGATTCTTAATGGGCAAGAGAGGAAGTATAGATGTAATACTGCAGAGGTTAAGTCAAACTGATTATTCCATATTTTAATGGAAAGTTACTTACTAGTATGCGCTTATTAGGTATTTTATCTTTCAAAAATATATGTACCCAACTGTGTTTGTTTGTTTCCTGACTGTGAACACTGAAGAGGACTAGATCAAAAATGACCAATTGAGTAGCAATTGAACATTTACAGTGCTGTGTGCAGTGAACTTCTGTAGCACCCAAATTGTGGTGTTGGGAAAAACCATTCCACCTTAAAAGAAACCAAGCCTTTCTGGCAAAATTGCTGATTCTAGGTTTTGGGCAAGAAATGTACATGCTGAGCTGGAACATTGTCATAACAGTTAGTAAGGAGGCTGTTAAAGACTATTTAGGGTCATTTCAGAAAGACTGGAGAAATGACTGTAGAATTCCCACTGGCCAGAGATCGGTAGAAACCTGTGAAGTGTGTTTAAATTCTTGAGTTCATAATGGTATTTTAAAAAGGAATTGGTTACTCTTAGATTAGAGCATGATAGGAACAAATTTATTACCTTGAACATTGGTAAATACAAGAAAGAAGCAATTTATCCTGCTTTTCCTATGTGAGTGTACCTCTGGCTAACAAAATAGTAGATATGGGAGAGCTATTTCAATTGATAAATGAAAAAGAAATGGCAGAATTGCAATACCACCATTTTATAACTTTGGTGAACGAATGGGTCTAGGTGGTGAGCGTCGATGGCTACTAACATCACAAGAAGAAAAAGAACAGACATTATTTGCCTTCTGGTGTAAGAACACACTACTGCCTACTATTTTGTCAAAGGGATCAATTCATCATGAGTCTGGTCAAGGCTGTATATCAGCTGGCCATTTGTAGGAAATACAGAGGACAGAGAAACATTGAACTGCACCATGAGAGTACATCAGCAGATCTGGACATATAAATGAAATATCTTAGGTACTTTAACGGAGAGATTGTAAGGAAGAGACAGACAGGAAAAGAGACTTGAACGCTCTACCAAAAAAAAAAAAATTCTTAGAACTGATCAACAAATTTGGTAAAGTTGCAGGATACAAAATCAACACAAAAAGATCAGTAGCATTTCTATACACAAACAACAAACTAGCTGAAAAAGAAATTAAGAAGGCAGTGTCATTTACAATAGCTATAAGAAATTAATAAAATACCTAGGAATAAATTTAACCAAGGAAGTGAAAGACCTCTTCAGATAAAGCTGCAAAACACTGATGAAAGAAATTGAAGAGGGATACATACAAATGGAAAAACATTTCATGCTCATGGATTGGAATAATTATTATAGTTAAAATGACCGTACTACCCAAAGCAACCTGCAGATTCAGTGGAGTCCCTATTAAAATACCAATGACATTCTGCACAGAAATAGAAAAAAAAAAAAATCCTAAAATTTGTATGGGACCATAAAAGACCCTGAATAGCCAAAGCAATCCTGAGCAAAAAGAACAAAGCTGGAGACATCATACTAACAGACTTCAAAATATACCACAAAGTTGTAGTAACCAAAACAGCATGGTACTGGCATAAAAACAGAAACATACACCGATGGAACAGAATAGAAAACCCAGAAATTAATCCATGCATCTATAGCCAATTGCTTTTTGACAAAAGTGCCAAGAACATAGATTGGGGAAAGGATAGTCTTTTCAATAAATGATGCTGGGGAAACTGGATATCCACATGTGGAAGAATGAAACTAGAAACCCACCTCTCACCTTATACAAAAATCAACTCAAAATGGATCAAAGACCTAAGGGTAAGACTTGAAACTATAAAACTGCTAGAGGAAACCATAGAGGAAATGCTTCAGGACATTGGTCTGGGAAAGGATTTTATGGATAAGATCTCAAAAATGCAGGCAACAAAAGCAAAAAATACCAGATGCATTATATCAAACTAAAAAGCTTCTACAGAGCAAAGGAAACAACACAGTGAAAAGACGACCTACAGAATGAGGGAAAATATTTGCAAATTACTCATCTGACATGGGATTAATATCCAGAATATACAGGGAACTCAAACAGTTCAACAGCAAAAAACCAGTTTGGTTAAAAAATGGGGAAATGATCCGAATAGACATGTATCAAAAGAAGGCATATAAATGGCCACAAACATATGAAAAAATGCTCAACATCACAAATCATCCAGGAAATGCAAATTAAATTCACAATGAAGTATCATCTCACCCTAGTTACCATATGGCTATTACCAAAAAGACAAAAAATAATACGGTCAAGAATGCACAGAAAAGGGAACTCTTATACACTGTTGGTGGGAGTATAAACTAGTACAGCCGCTATGGAGAACAGTATGGAAGTTCCTCAAAAAATTACAAATAGAACTACCATATGATCCAGTAGTCCCACTACTTGGCATTTACCCAAAGGAAAGGAAATCAGTGTATCGAGACATCTGCACCCCTATGTTTGTTGCAGCACTATTTACAGTAGCCAAGATGTGGTATCAACCTAGGTGTCCAACATCAGATGAATAGATAAAGAAAATGTGGTATATATACACAATGGAATACCATTTAGCCATAAAAAGAATGAAATCCTGTCATTCTCAGCAATATGGATAGACCTGGAGGATGTTATCTTAAGTGACATAGGACCAGGAACAGAAAATTAAACCATGCATGTTCTCACTCGTATGTGGAAGGTAAATGTTGATCTTGCAAAAGTAAAGAGTAGAATAGGGGATACTAGAGGCTGGGAAGGAAGAGATAAGAAGAGATTTGCTAAAAAATACAGAATTACAGTTAGAAAAAGCTTGAGTATTCTATACCACTGTAGGATGACTGTACTTAATAGGTAAAACATTATATAATTTCAAAGAGGATACTGAATGTTTCCAACACAGAAATGTTAAATGTTTGAGATTATGGATATGCTGATTACCCTGAGCTGATCACGGTACCTTATATATATTGCAACATTGCTGTGTACCCCACAAATATGTGTAATTATTATGTACCAGTTAAACATTTTTTAAAACAGAGACTTTAAAAGAAATAGCAAATGAAAATGGGGCTTAAGACTAAACTATTTTTCTGTGGATGCACACTTACAAAAAGCAATAAAACTATAAAGGCAAGAAAGTGACTAATAGAAAATCAGAATAATTGTTACTTCTATGGAGAGGGAGGGATTGGGACAGGGTTCATGCAGGGCCTTTTGAAGTCGTCTGGGTGATTCACCCAGATCAAGTTTTTTTCCTTCATCTGAGTGAATTCGTGGTTACAAGAGTGTTTGCCTTATAGTAACTTGTTAAGCTATATGTTTGTTTTGTATGTTTTTCTCTGTATTGGCTTTATTTTTTAAAAAAGATTAAAAATAGTCTTGAGCATGATATTACCTGTAGGTTTTTTTAATAAAGGGATTTTATCAGGTTGAGGAAGTTCCTTTCTATTCCTAGTTCATGGACAGATTTACCATGAATAATTACTGGATTTTGTCCGTTCCTTTTTCTGCATCTATGGAAATGATTATGTGGTTTTATTCTTTATTTTATGAACATGGTGAATTTCAGTAATTGGTTTTCAGTTGTTAAACCGATCTTGCATTTCTGGGGTAAGTTCTACTTGGTCGTGGTTTATACTTCTTTTGAAATGTTGTTAGATTTGGTTTGCTAATATTCTGTTGAGGATTTTTATGTCTTTAATAGTGAAGGATATTAATCCGTAGTCTGTTTTTCTTGTGTTTATTTGGTTTTGAGATTAGCATAATATCAGCCTCATAGAGTCGGAAGATATTTCCTCTTTCTTTGTTTTCTGGAAAAGTGTGTGACCAGTTGATACAACTTTTCCTGCCATCTGGGCATGGGGATTTCTTTTTGGGAAGATATTAATTACAAATTCAATTTCCTTGTTTGTTGTAGATCTATCAGATTTTCTGTTTCTTCTTGAGTCAGTTTTAGTAATTTGGTTTTTTTCCAGGAATATTTTTGTTTCATAAATTTGTCTAATTTGTTGGCATAAAGTTGTTTATGGTATTGCCTAATAATCCTTTTAATTTCTGTAAGGCAGTGTTTCTCTTTCATTCATCACTTTATTCACAGTTTTCACAATTTGCGTCTTTTTTTTTGGGTCAGTCTAGCACTAAAGGGTTGTCAATTTTGTGGGTCTTTTCAAAGAACAACCAGCTTCTGGTTTTATTGATTTTTCCCCCTTTATTGTTTTTCTGTTTTCTGTTTCATTGCCTTTTTTTTTTTTAACCCTAATGTTTTTATTTTCTTCCTTACACTTGCTTTGGATTTAATCTACTCTTCTTACAGTTTCTTAAGGTCAAATCATAAATAATTGATTTGTAATCTCTCTTCTTTTCTAGTATAGGCATTAGTATTCTATATACGTTTCCATATTTTGTATTTTCATTTTCTTTTAGCTCAAAATATTTAAAAACTTTTATTGTAATTTCTTCCTCGACTCATTGCTGATTTAGAGGAAATTGAGAAAGAAATTTCAAAAATTTAGAAAATAATTTGATTTCCCAAATTTTCTTCCGTTGATTTCTTCATGAATTTCATTATGGTCAGATAGTAGTCTATTTTATATGAGTTCAGTCTTTTTATTTTATATGAGTTCAGTCTTTTAAGATTAATTCTGTCTCCTAGCATGTGGTGTCCTGGAGAAAGTTCCACGTGTACGTGAAAAGATTGTGTATTCTTTTGTTGCATGGAATGTTCTATAGATAGTAGGTTAAGTTGGTTAATAATGTTCAAATTTTCTATATCCTTGGTAATTTTCTATCTAGTTGTTCTTTCCTTTAGTGAGAATAGGGTGTTGAGCTCTCCAACTATATTATTGAACTGCCCATTTTTCCTTTGATTTCTGTCAGGTTTTGCTTCATTTGTTCTGGGGCTCTGTTTTTAGGTACCTGTATGTTTCTAATTGTAACTTCCTGATGACTCTTTCTCATAAAACCTGCCACTGTATCTCTAGTTACCTTTTTATACTTAAAATCTTTTTTGTCTGATAGAGCTGCTCCAGCTCTCTTATGGTTACTGTCTACTGTAACCTTTTCTTTTCAATCTATTTGTATCTTTGAATGTAAAATGTGCTTTTATAAACAGCATATAGTGTAACCTTTGCTTTATTCAGTCTAACAGCCTTTGCCTTTTGATTGGTGTGTTTATTCACATTGAATGTCATTAATGATATGGTTGGGCTTATGTCTGACATTTTAGTGTTTTTTTTTTTTTAAATTATCTTATGTCATCTTTGTTCCTTTGTCCTTTGTATTAAGTAGATATTTTCTGGTGTGTCATTTTGATTCCTTGGTTGATAATTTTAAACTGTATTTTGGGGATTTTAAAGGTAATTATTTTAGGGATTGCAACGTGCATTTTGTCAAAATCTACTTTGTGGTAATATTAACTTAATTATGAAAAGTACATACATTTTACTCTAAGTATATCTCCATTCTCTCTCCCATCCTTTCTGCTATTATTGTCATTTATAGTTCATTTCTATTATATCTAACACAGGGTTATACTTATTGCTTTATACAATCTTATGTCTGTTAAAAAGGTTAAAGGAAAAAGAGAAAACATTATTTATAGAGTCTTTTTTATTAACCTGCATATTTACTATTTCTGGTATTCTTCATTTTTCCTGAGGGTTCAAGTTACCATCTGGAGTCATTTCCTTGTTCCAGTATAGTTCTGTTCTCTTCCTTGTCCTTTGTCCTTCAAATATTTTATTTTTTGAAAATATTTTTTTCTATTATGTAATATTTCTTCCTTTTCATTTTTTTCTTTATGTATTATGTTTATTCATTCTTATTTCGTAGACTTCATTTCTGAAATGATGTATTTTTGTATTTCTCATTCTTTCAAGTTCTGTCCCCTCACTTGTGAGTTGTCTGATTCTAATTTGTGTTGTTCATTTATGACTAGTATCTTACTTTAAATACTTTGACTGTTTTGAAATAAGTTATCAGTTTAATTTGTTCTATTTCTATATCTTTCTGGCATACTTTTTTATTGTCTGTAGGAATGTTATTCTTCACTTTATCCTTTTCTTATTTTTAATATTAACTTATTAATGGGATTTGATGTTAGTAATTTGTTTTCTTATTTTCAGGTGAAACTGTTTTGCTTGAACATTCAGAAGAAGGCAGAGTTCATAAGTTCTCCAGTTTCACAGAACTCTCATGTCTATGTATATGTGTTTAAAAAATAATGGCAGCTAGCTTTCTGGATTTCCTGGCTCTCCCACTTTACTTTTTCTGCTTTTTTCTGTACCTTATTTTCCCATTGTTCTCCTGTACCAATCATGCACACTTTTCAGTCCGCTCCCAGTGATTTCTCTTCAGTATGACGCTTTGTCTGGAAGGGAGCCCGGGAAGGACAATTTTGAGAGTTCACAATAGGTTAAAGTATAGTGCTAGACCTTTCAGTGCCTGACGATGAATTCATTGTATTCACTTACTCTTGAAGTGGCCAGAACACCTCATAGCTGGTTGCTGTTCTCAGATTGGTCTACTAAGCTTTCCAATGTTGTCTGTTTTATGTGTTCTGTCCTGCCAGATGTCCTATTGTTTCTTTCTCATATCCTGCAGAGGTGCCAATATCAGTCATATCTTAATGGCTGTTGGTAGTTTTCTCTACCATTTTGTATCTTGGGTTTTACCTAGCTTTGTTGTGAATGTTGTCCATGGGATTTGGGGTTCATTACCTAGTTGTTCTCTGTTTTCACATGGAGGATTCATGGAGATTTTTCCAAAGCTTTGCCATCACTGCTGACATTGTCTTCTTAGATATTATTACAGCTTCACTGTGGTGAAGGGAAGCTTCCTTCCAAGGTTAAGTTCAGATGTCAGAACTCATGACAGCAGTCCTGTGGTATGATTAAAGAAAGATTTATTACTCACACAAGTGGGCAGTTCTGAGAGAGGAGCAGAAGATGACTATCTGTGAGGAGGTCCAGAAACAAAAACTAAATGAGGGCATGCAGGTGTTTTATAAAGGATAAGTCCAGTTGGTGCAGAGTTTAAAAGAACCACTTGCAGAGTTCAAAGAATCTCAAAGAGCTAGCAAGAGGTGCCTGGGAGGTATTGGCAGTGGTGAGCTTTATCAGTAAGTTGCAGAATGTGACAGACATAGGCAGGAGATGATGCTCAGAGATTGCAAGCACTATATGAAAACTTCAGTGAGGTTGGGGGGAGTCTCTGTTTCTTTTCTGTGGTCCCCAGTTTGGTGATCCATTTTTTAGTTTCTGTTATCGTTGTGACCTACTATTGAGGAACTGGGCTTGGATCTTACCTGCCAGCTTGGTTCTTAGCAGCCATGATCAACTCCTCCTTGAAGTAACTTGTGTTTCCAGATGGGGATCAGGAGGTAGGCTTACTTGGTAATCTCAGCCAGAGAGAAGAAAGGGGAATACTCTGTGTGGTTATCCCTACTTTCAGGAACAAGTCATAGTTGGCTGGACAAATCATTATATCACCCTTGCATGATAGTGTTCTTAGTTCTGCCTTTTGTTCAGCTCTGTTAATTACATATTTTCTTAAAAACATTTAATTTTATCAAGCATCCCCAGAGTGTTTAGTAAGTCTGCCTAATTTGTACACCTTACCATTGTGTGGGATCCTTGGTATATAAATAAGCTAGAGTTTTACTCTCAAAAAGGTCATCTGTTATAGAGTTGCTGGATAGGTGAACAGTTATAAAACAGTTCACTAACTGTTATGAGAACGTAGAGAAAGAAAACTAACTTGGCTTGTGGCGGGAGGAAATTAAGAATGGCTATGAAAAGAAAGTGACATTTATATTTAGTGTTAAGGCCGGGCTCGGTGGCTCACGCCTGTAATCCCAGCATTTTAGGAGGCCAAGGTGGGCAGATCACCTGAGGTCAGGAGTTTGAGACCAGCCTGGTCAACATGGTGAAACCCCATCTCTACTAAAAATACAAAATTAGCCAGGCATGGTGGTGCATGCCTATAATCCCAGCTACTTGGGAGGCTGAGGCAGGAGAATTGCTTGAACCCTGGAGGCGGAGGTTGCAGTGAGCCAGGATCACACCACTGCACTCCATCCTGGGTGACAAGATCAAGACTTTGTCTCAAAAAAAAAATTAATATTAGTATAGTATTTACTGATTCTAATAAGCCATTGATTTTAAGAACTTACTGATTTTAAAAACTACCACATGAAATATTCACATTGTAAATGTTACCCTTATATCAGAAATGTTAAAATATTGAAAATATGTGTCTTAAAATTGAGGAATCATTAACGAAAGTGTTAAGTAGCAAGCGTAGTGCTGAATGGCTTTTGCGTATGTTATTTAATCTTCACATTAACGCAGTGAGGATAGATTATTACCTTCCGTTGACAGATGAAGAAATAAAGCTTGCAGAAATGGTGTCAGTAATAAGTGTCAAGGGGGGATTTAAGCTCACCTCTGAGTTCTAAGTTTATGCATTCAATTAATATATAAAATGAATATAGCTTTTAGGGATTTTGCCTTTTCCATATGTTTATTTTCCTATGTTTAGTTCAGTAGAGTGAATTTCAACTTTTCACTTAATGATATACAAAACTTTTTGAAGCCTTTTTTTTCCTTGAGTTTTTCAAAGCAGTTCTTTAAGATGGTGAAATGCCAAGTAACTTAGTTTTAACTACTCTTTATTTTTCATTTGTGTTACTTGTCTTTTTTGGCAGCTTTCTCAGTTCTCTCTCTGTTTCCACCATGAATTTTGGAAGACTTTAGTGTGAAATATACAGGCCTGTTTAAAATTGAACATAAACTGTGCCATCACCCTGTAAATAATATAGTCTCTTTAGTAAATTTAATAAAACTGTCCATTTAAAAAGTGGAAGAAAGCACTTCAGGAGAAGGTATTGTGACAGTTCTCTTTGGGAAATTAGAAGGAATAGTGAGCTTTTTACTTAGGGAAGAGAGGATTAAGGAAAATGAGAAAACTGGTGATATGGGTTGGCAGTGCAGGTATTTTGTCTGAATTTATAATGCTTTAGACTAAGATCATTCCATGTGCAATCACAGACGGTAATCCTGCTTACACGTAAAAATGACCTTAATTGCTTTTAATTTAATATGCTGGTAGTCTGTTAGATAGTAGAAATCATCAGTTAACCTCAAGGACCTGAAAATTGAATCATCTTCCTTAAAATATATGATACTTTTAATTTCTCTTCAGTAGCTTATGCTTTCCCTTCCCTTTTCCCTTCATTTTTCTTTCCCTTCCTCCCTCTCTGCCCATCTCTGCCTCCTGGGTGGGCTATTGGGAAACTTGGATTTATGAAAATATCAAAACATGTATTTTCTTGAATATTATTTTGACTCAAAACGTGATTTGTTCATTATTCCAGAGCATTTGCTTATTCTTTTTTTTTTCTTTTTTTTTTTTTTGAGATGAGTCTCGCTCTGTCGCCCAGGCTGGAGTGCAGTGGCGCGATCTCGGCTCACTGCAACCTCCGCCTCCTGGATTCAAGCAGTTCTCTGCCTCAGCCTTCCGAGTGTCTGGGATTACAGGCGCCCACCACCACGCCTGGCTAATTTTTTTGTATTTTTAGTAGAGATGGGGTTTTACCATCTTGGCCAGGCTGGTCTTGAACTCCTGACCTTGTGATCCACCCACCTCGGCCTCCCAAAGTGCTGGGATTACAGACGTGAGCCACTGCGCCCGGCCCTCAGCATTTGCTTATTCTATAACTCTCTCTAATACTCTACAAAGTTCTGTGCCTTAAGTACTAACTAGGCTGTCTACTTTTCCTTTTAAAAAGTATGTATTGCTTGTGAAAATTTTGGATCTGCTTTGTCTCATGAACATATTCTACCACTAACAGGACTTCTTTTTGGCTGCCTGAATATAGTGAAAAGTCAGCTAAGATGATCACTTGCTGGAGCTAGACTGGGGTTTGCGGGGAGAGTGCTACCTGCATGCCATTTTGGCCTCATGTTTATGTTTCATTCTCAGTTATCAAAACCATAAGAAGTGATGGACAAAACAGGCTCAGGTTCTTTGTTCTTCCACATCAAGAAGGAAAAAACCTATTGCTGATATAAATCTACTTCAGTGCCAACTGTAACCCCTGTGATTTTTCTCATTGCTTACCTTTCTCTGTCTGATGACATGAATTGTGTGAAAGGGTGGAAGCTGTGAGTCCAGAGATGGTAGTTGAAGAGTAGGATTTGACAGCAGTGCAAACAATGAAAAAGCAGTGCTCTCTCTCTGCCGGGTATCTTGTACTGAACTTGAGGCTGCTGCCAAGTTAGGGACTATTCCCAAATGCTTGTTTGGGGCTTTTGGACACCTTAAAAATATATATGAATTCATTATGTGAATTATTTTTTATAGGTGTATTTGACCTATTGGTATGTATTACTCAAGATTTGTATGTGTTAATGTGAACTAAGATCATTTTAATGGGAGAGGTGACGTTATGATAGAAGAAGAAAATTTAGAAATAAGTTTAAATTTTTCTCTTTATGTTAATAGGCAGGCAGTGGTTAAAGGTTCCCTTCCACATCCTTTTGCCTTGACGTTATTTGAGGACATATTGTACTGGACTGACTGGAGCACACACTCCATTTTGGCTTGCAACAAGTATACTGGTGAGGGTCTGCGTGAAATCCATTCTGACATCTTCTCTCCCATGGATATACATGCCTTCAGCCAACAGAGGCAGCCAAATGGTAAGTGATCCTTGATTTTTAAATTGCAAGTTGGAACAGCTTTGTAGCACTCTAATGTCTGGCTTTAGTGAGGATCAGGAGGAGGGAGGGCATATCCAAAGATAGTTGGCGGGAATAAAAAAGAGTTAAAATCCTACTTGGGAGGCTGAGGCAAGAGAATCACTTGAACTCGGGAGGCCGAGGTTGCAGTGAGCTGAGATTGCGCCACTGCACTCCAGCCTGGGAGACAGAGAAAGACTGTGTCTCAAAAAAAAAAAAAAAAAAGTTAAAATCCCAGCACTTTGGGAGACTGAAGCAGGCAGATCATATGAGGTCAGGAGTTTGAGACCAGCCTGGCCAACCTGGTGAAACCCTGTCTCTACTAAAAAATACAAAAATTAATGGGGTGTGGTAGTGTGCACCTGTAGTCCCAGCCGCTTGGGAGGCTGAGGCAGGAGTGTCACTTGAACCCGGAAGGTGGAGATTGCAGTGAGCCGAGATTGTGCCACTGCACTCCAGCCTGGGCAACAGAGCGAGACTTTGCTCAAAAAAAAGGGAAAATGTAAAAGTATAATTCAGGTTAGGCAATAGCCTAGACCATTTTGTAGCCTGTCACTACAGACCACCTCAGCCTTTTTGAGTCAGCGCTTTTAGAGGTGGAGAAGAGAGAGATAATTTAAAAATTGAGATAGCTTATATGCTAGGCTTATACACAAATGAGTTTTTTTGTTCATATTATTTCTTTCAGTATGTAGTTGAATGTGTTGATGTGAGTGTGTTTAAAAAACAAACTCTTGGGCCAGGCGCGGTGGCTCATGCCTGTAATCCCACACTTTGGGAGGCCAAGGCAGGTGGATCACTTGAGGTCAGGAGTTTGAGACCAGCCTGGCCAACATGGTGAAACCCCGTCTCTACTAAAATAACAAAAATATTAGCCAGGCGTGGTGGCGTGTGCTTATAATCCCAGCTACTTGGGAGGCTGAGGCTGGAGAATCGCTTGAACCCGGGAGGCAGAGGTTGCAGTGAGCCAAGATCACGCCATTGCACTTTCAGCCTGGGCAACAAGAAAGAAATTATGTCTCAAAAAAAAAAAAAACAAAAAACACACACACACACAAAAACGCCTCTTCTTTTTAAATGAAAACTCTGTTAATCTAGAATATATTTGAATTTAAGTACCTCAGCTTGCTAAATAAAATACCTACTTAAACTTTTCTGTGTACCCCTCCCACCTTGTTTTCCTTAGTTTTGGTTCTGTGTTTGGTCAGCCTTTACAATGACTCGGGCTATGACTGCTGAGAACTTGTAAGAGAGGACTGGAATTAGGTTTAAAAGGAATACGAGAATGTTAAGGGTTTGGCACTTTTGTGTAAATAAATGTCTGGCATCTGTCTGAGTGTATTTCAGATTTTATTACATAGCCAAAAATGAAGAGATTTTGCAACATATGTTGCTTTATATTAGCTCTCCATTTAGGGGGAGATAATCAAATATTGAAAGTGTTATGTTGGAATCTGATGATCATGAGCCCATAAAAATGTTTTTAAGTGTATGTGTTACTCTTCTGTACAAAAGAAAATGTTCAGTCACTTGTATGAATTTTTTTATTCTTCATAGCCCTCAAAAGAGAATTTTCCCTGTTTTTTGTTTGTTTTTTGAGATAGAGTCTTGCTCTGTTGTGCGTTTATGTGATCACGGCTCCCTGCAGCCTCGAACTTCCAGGCTCAAGTGATCTTTCCACCTCAGCCTCCCTAGTAGCTGGGACTACAGGCATATGCCACCACACCTGGCTAATTTTAGTATTTTTTATAGAGGTAGGGTCTCACCATGTTGGTGACCCAGGCTGGTCTCAAACTCCTGGGCTCAAGTGATCCACGCACCTAGGCCTCCCAAAGTGCTGGGATTATAGTCACGAGCCACCGTGCCTGGCCTCTTGTTTTTCTTTTTAAATGGCATTGTTGGTCCTTTATGTTTTACTAATTTGAGAATTTGCAGTTATCTTTCATGTTGGTTACTTTTATCTTTCATGTTCCATTGGTCTCCATCTTATGTTGATTTTTTTCTATGAGTATTGTTTGGACATATCCCTTTCCATAATTTCCAAAGTTTGCTAATTAGTTTTCTCTGATTTTCATTTTCCCCTTTTTTCTGCTTATCCCTTCTATGTTAATCTTCCCAAGGCATGACTTTTCAACATAATTACTTTTCTTGGCTTTCAGTGTCCTTCACTTTAATCTATTCCCATTCTTTGTATTCATTCAGCTTTAGTTCCTATTAGTCAGTAGAAACCTTAACCTCCAGTTATACTGTTCACCTTAATATCTTACCCAGTTTATAGCCCCCAAAGTTTTATTCAGATAGCTTTACCATACTTGAAATGTCCTCTTATCTATCCTTCCTATCCTTGAAGGCTCCCGTGCTGTATACTCCACAAAGCTCTTCTTCAATTCTTTAAACCTCAGCGGTTTTTTTCCCATTTGACTCTGTACTTATTGTCTATAATGTGCAAAATAGCACTTAGTTTTATTGGTTTTGTTTGTTTGTTTGTTTGTTTTTAGTTTTGCTTTTTGTTAATTTTGTTTAACTGACTAAATTGTAACCTCTTTTAGGGCAGGGATCTCCTGCTTTACTTCTTGTGTATTCCTCTTTGGTTACAAAATACTAAGTAAATTCACACTGATTAATTCCTGTCTTTGCAGATGGTTTGATAGTCAAGCACCTGCATGACATTTGGTAATAATTTTGGCTTATCACAGTTGTTCATGTTATGGTTGTTAACCTTTGTGTACTTAGTAATCATTGATATTAATCAATGTGATTTATATTTGACAGCCACAAATCCATGTGGAATTGACAATGGGGGTTGTTCCCATTTGTGTTTGATGTCTCCAGTCAAGCCTTTTTATCAGTGTGCTTGCCCCACTGGGGTCAAACTCCTGGAGAATGGAAAAACCTGCAAAGATGGTAAGAAGATATTATCCAAAATGAAAAATTTTATAACTATTGGAATTCTTCATGATTTGTTTTCTCTATAATCAGCTCTCTAGGTTATACTGCTTTGGGAGACCAGTCACTTAATTTCACAGTCTTCACACATGGTTATAGAATAGGAGTGTTTTGTTCTGTGGCATCACTTGAATGCTATTTTATAAATTATTTTAGTGTTTTAAATAACATATTTTTGAAAAAAGTTACGTGTTGTATCTTTTCTGTCAAATCTCATAGTCATTGATATCACAGTTGATAACTATGGAAATGAGTAGTCGCATAAGGAATATATTTTTAACAGGTAGCATTTGTGAATAAAGAACCTCTGTGAAAGAAAGTATGTTTATTAAACTTTTAGCTACAAAGAATATCATGAGATATATTTTATAACAAATTATTTAAGGATGTTTTAAATTGCTTTTTAACAACAGAGAGATGCTTTCAGAGCTGGGAAAAAAAATCCATATTTAAAACAACTTCTTTTTATACTTAAGAAACACACTTTGCCTGTTCTCCTTACTCTTAATTCCCTATAGAGAGAGGGCACGTTGGAGAAAGTATACTGATTTAGGACATTTTAAGGGACTTCCAGTTTGGAAGAACACCAGTTCTTCTGTTTTTCTTCTTAATGAGAATGTTATTCTTCATTCTCACCCCTATGGATCACCATCTGGTTCTCTAGCAACCAGCAAGACCTGGTAAGAAAATTGTTGTATTTAGCTGTGGCTTCTTTATCTAACTCTGAAAAGCAGAAGCCTGTGTTTTGGAGTGTGTTAGAGTCCCTGGCAAGGGGGCCAGGGAGTCAGAGAGATGGAATTGAGTCTGTGTACAGGATGTTTGTTATGACTTGGCATTGATAAATTATCCTCATAGTAAAAGGTGAAGCTGGCTGACTCTTGGTCAAATGGTTTCCATGGCAGACAGCAATTTGGTTTCAATTTAAAACAAAAGGTTTTTGTAATGTTGCTTTTTTCTTTAAAAATGTAGCCTGACTTTAAAACAGAGGATTTATTTTAGCAATAATGGTCTATCTGCTCCCTCACAGCAGTGCAAGTGTACATATTTAACCAGTTTTGAATTTCATGTGTGCATTTGGCATGTAGTAGCCTTAAGTTAACTGTTCTGTTTTGATCACCTTGCTCAAATTAACAGCTCTATGACTTCTTTGTGAAGTTCTAGGCTGGCTCCTTTTGGTTGTTAGCCGGGGCAGTGAATTGTACAAAGTTATTCCTACTTGGTTCCTGCAGTGGCATTTGGGCTGTATTTTCTTCAAGTTGGAATTCATTTATAATTAGCTCTAGAGTGAAAGGGCTGATATTGAGAGGCTTCACTCCTCTTCTCAGTTTTTTGACTTGTAATTGCAGATTGATTCTTGAAGTTTATATGCCAGTATTTTGTTTTGGACTCATTTATTTAGCTGGGAATCTTTTCTTATTCTTTCAGTTGTCAATTTGCTTACTGTCTTTTATTAGCTTCCTATAGTTAGACGATTTTTTGCTGGTGGTTTACTTGAACAATTTAAAATGAAAAAAAGATTGAGCTCAGTATCTTCATTCTTGGTTATGTGGTTAAGTATTTGGGGCTTGGGCTTTAAACAGTTCATAAATAAACCTAATTTAAAATTCAGTGAAATAAAAATCTGAAAATCTTTATTTTTTAATACTGTTGTTAAGTATTAGTTAATATTTCTTGAGTACTTAAATGTTCAGTACTTTCCTGAGTTTTAGATTTATCTCCTTTAATCCTTACAACAACCTTACAAGGTATAGATGGGGAAACTAGGCTTAGCGAGATTAGATATTTTCCCAAAGTTTGTGTAGCTTCTTGAATCAAATTATATTGGATCCACAACTCTTAACCACTGTGTTATGTTTATCTGGTTCCTTCCCTCCATTGCAGCTGTTTGTTTCTCCATAG
Source organism: Homo sapiens (assembly GCF_000001405.40). Taxonomy (NCBI): domain Eukaryota; kingdom Metazoa; phylum Chordata; class Mammalia; order Primates; family Hominidae; genus Homo; species Homo sapiens. The sequence continues at coordinate 12,182,038 of NC_000012.12, read as the reverse complement.
CTTGCTTTGTCCTCAATTCTGTGAGGTATTGCCCTGTATTTCTCTTTGTTAAGACAGTTTTACTGAGATGTAACTTACATAGCATATAAAATCCATCCATTTTTTAAATTGTACAATTCGGTGACTTTTTAGTAAATTTACAGAGTTACGCAGTTATCACCACAATCCAATTTTAGAACATTCCTATCAAGCACAAAGATTCTTGTCCTAAATTTCTTTATCTTTTTTTAAAAAATGCTTCTTGAACAAAGGATCTATATCCTACATTTCCTTCTCCTTTAATACTGAGCTACTTAGCTTCTTAGTCATTACATAGTCATTATTCATTGTACTTTTAAATAGCTGGATTAATTCCAATGAAACCATAGAATGTATCACAACTTAATTTGGAGAGTTAGCCATTAAACAGCTTGACCTCAGAGTAGACTCTTCTATTTCACTGTATTACTTTCCATTTCCACTCTAAAGAGAGTGCACATCCTTTTGTGTTAATTTATGTATATTTTATATTTATTTTTCAGTTCTTGATTCTTTATCTAGAGCAGGTAAATTTTACCTCTGGGTTTCAAAGTATTCTTCATTTCACTTTGTTGTTCTAGGTGCCACAGAATTATTGCTTTTAGCTCGAAGGACAGACTTGAGACGCATTTCTTTGGATACACCAGATTTTACAGACATTGTTCTGCAGTTAGAAGACATCCGTCATGCCATTGCCATAGATTACGATCCTGTGGAAGGCTACATCTACTGGACTGATGATGAAGTGAGGGCCATACGCCGTTCATTTATAGATGGATCTGGCAGTCAGTTTGTGGTCACTGCTCAAATTGCCCATCCTGATGGTATTGCTGTGGACTGGGTTGCACGAAATCTTTATTGGACAGACACTGGCACTGATCGAATAGAAGTGACAAGGCTCAATGGGACCATGAGGAAGATCTTGATTTCAGAGGACTTAGAGGAACCCCGGGCTATTGTGTTAGATCCCATGGTTGGGTAAGAAGCTCTACTGATAGTAAATTCTGTGTGGTGTTTCTGTTTTTCACAGGTTCCTGAAAACATTGACTAAGATAACATGACATATATATTGGTTTCCAGTAAACAGCTCTTTAATGGCTGTCTATTTTAGGATATGGTGATTAGAATACAATCTCAAGTTTAAAAATTGCTAGTTTTTTGCCTTGGATGTCTTAGATATTTTTTCTTTCTAAATTAAGTCCATGTTTGCTGACTTTGGGTGTTGTCTGCAGATTTTGCTCGGATTGCATCATTACCATGAAAAATGTGGGAAGAAATTGTTTTCAGAACTCTTTCCCTTCCCCTAGAAGCTTTAATTCCATTTTCAGTACTTTATAGTAAGAATATAGCTTACTTTTTTTTCCCTAAATACATGAATGACTTGATTTCCAAAACTTTGCCAGCCCATGCAGCTTTACTTCTAGTTTGTTGTTGTTGTTTGTTTTGTTTTGCCATGCCACCCTGATCATAGTCCAGGGAAGTACAACTTTTTACATACTCAACAATTTTGTTACTTTGAGATTTATTCTGAGGACAAGCATAGTGACAAATTACACCTCAGTATATACCAATGCCTTAGAGCCATCTAAACATCCAGGAGCCGTAAGAATCACTTAGCACTGCAGGAAGAAATAGTTATTTTGAGAATTCAGTTTGCCATCTGACTAATACTGCTGGGATAAGCCTTTTGTGTCAGAGAGATGACAAGCCATCAAGGAAAAGAGAGAGAAAGTTCATGGAAAAGGGCACACAAAATATTTAAAAAAAAAAAAAAAAAAAAGAAGTAAAACTGTAATCTCATTATTGGGAGGCATTTTCAGGATTGGCTCTAGAACACACTGATCTGAAAATTTCCCACAATCTTATATATTGCTGGGATAAATGTCTTAAACACCTCTTCATATGTTTTTTTTTTTTTCCCCTTCCTTGGCATTAACTGATGATACCAGTGTAATAGGAGGGATGGATCTCACCTTTAGAATATCTGAAAGTTACATTTTATTATCTATTTTTAGCTCATTTTTTGTATACTTCTCTAGGTACATGTATTGGACTGACTGGGGAGAAATTCCGAAAATTGAGCGAGCAGCTCTGGATGGTTCTGACCGTGTAGTATTGGTTAACACTTCTCTTGGTTGGCCAAATGGTTTAGCCTTGGATTATGATGAAGGCAAAATATACTGGGGAGATGCCAAAACAGACAAGATTGAGGTTTGTTTTTTGCTTTTTCATTTTCAAGCCACTTTTATAATGGGTTTTGAGTCGACAGTATAATGATTTGAGTACAGATATTCTTTTTTCTTAACAGTTGTCTGGGGTGCCAAAGGTACCTTTTACAGAAATTTTACTCAACCTTCATGATTCTAGGGATAATATATTCTCTTCCACATAATCCTAGGATGGAGAGATGTATTGGTATGAGAAATGGCTGCTGATCAGTTTCTAGTCTTAAAAGCTTATGTAAGTGATTTTCCTCATTTTGGGTAAAGCCACTTTCTGAATTTCCTAGGGGCAATTTCTGCAAACCAAAATTATGTAAGATCTATACTGGAAGAACTGGCTGTCCTAAGTTAGGAAAACAAAGCCCACATGTATGTGTATATCTATATCTATATCTATATCTATATCTATATCTATATCTATATCTATATCTATATCTTTTATTGCTGTTAACTGGTGTTGGGGCAGATGGTAGAATATATTAAATATTATGATGGTTACATGCAAACAATTTTAAAATTGATTTATGGGCTGTGTGGGAACAAGACTAATTAACCAAAGCTTGGGAAAAAATATTTACCAAGTGGTAGAGTTAAGTTTGTGGCAATCAAATAGATTATGGTGAAAATAATCAGTGATTAATATTTTATCACAGTGTTTTATTAGTGGCCTATATCCCTGATATTGGTGTTAAGTCTAAAATTAACAACTTTGAATTAGACTTTGCTACAGGTCTTATGGATCACATAGATAGAACAGAGTTAGGTCTCAATTTTCCTTTGGGGGAAACTTCACATACAAGGATGGCTTTAAATGGCTCTTCAGAGAGACACTGTACACATCTAATGGACAGAAAATTCAGACTCTAGAACAGTTGTTTTGGAAAGGTATTCTGTAGAGTGCCCATGACCCTGAGGGAATAATGACTTCAAGGCCTTGCTTCCAAAATGGAAACTTGGAATAGAAGAAACCCCGTTAGTATTCCACCAGGCTCAAATACTGAAAACGGCATCTGTTGTTCTTGCAGCTGGTTTTCATTAATAGAAAATTTTGCATAGACTCCATAAATTTTCTCCCTGTTAGTATTTCACTGCCTCCCACTCTTTTCAAATCCAAGTTGATGTTTGAATCTTTTAACAGTTGGAGTGCATTGCTGATGAGACAAAGGTTATGAGTTTATGTTTCAGACAGGCTTTTAGCTTCATTTTGGTCAGCTTGAATATAGATTGCCTACCTAATCCCATCTAGTTCACACCTGTGGATTATGAACTATACATGAGTGTATAGGTACGAGTATGCTTAGGAAAACAGTTTAAAGCCCATAAGTTTTAGAAGAATATCTGTAGCAAGAAAATTTACGTAAGGGAATGCACCAAATTTATTATCATGTAGGGTTTTTAAAATTCCGTATTTGGTTTTGCCCATCTTAGTCTGCTATAACTGACTGATTAGCCTGAAAATAAAATCATTTGTTTCTTACTGGGAATATTTCAAGTCTTATTTTCCTCACTTTAGGTATAATACTTTAGATACAGAAATTTATTCAGAATAACAAATAGTTCAGAAGGGATTCAGATAAAGACATTACAATTTATGGAGGTTCTGAGTGACCATCTTTAAGAATAAAAATTAATACACTTTATATAACAATATATAACATTGATTAAATAGGATTTATTTTCCTAGTTTGCAGTGAGTGCAGTAGATTTTAAAATTAGAATTCCTTTTCTGGCCTCTTTGTTATGTTTTCTTGAGCTATGCATATATATATATATACATACAGACACATACATACAGTGGTGTCATTGGCTCCGTCACCCCTTCTTTCCTTCTTCCCTGTATGGTACCAGCATCCTTAAACCTGTTTTTAATTTTTTTCATTCATTCGTTCATTCGTTCATTTGTTCCTTCATTCATTCGTTCTTTTAATCTGCAAAGGCTCTGTCACCCATAAATCTTATTTTTAGATCCATCTTTCTCCTTCTAGGTTTGCTGGAACACAACTGCTGTTTGTTTTTTGTCCCCTTTTTATAGATTGATGTTTGTGGTAAATTTACTTCTGTATACATGAAGACCTCCCTTTATAATTTCCCCTGGAGATTCTGATGTCCTAATTCACTATTAGGACATCAGAGCCTTTGTCATTTTATTTACATAGGCACGTCTAGGAAATACAGCATATAGTTATTTATTCTCTTCTTATGTTGATGTAAAATCTGATACTTGGCAAACTAAAGAAAGAGTGCAGCTCTTCGTCTAAATTAGTCCTGCATAACTCGGGGAGAAAATCTGGGGTTTTCCATCCTGAGACTAGTAGTGATTCTAGGAGCAACTGCTACTACCAGCTTTTCATCTCCCTTGATTTGATAATACTGTGAACTTGAAAACTTTTACAAAGATGTATAATTTTAAAAATCCCTCTTTTTCCAAGAAGTGTATTTGCTAGCCTTTTGTTAGTGGCAACTGATTCCAGATACTGATCTAACCCCAGTCTGGGTGACATTCTCCCTTCTAGTCCCATTTTCCTTAGAAAGCTCCCTAGCTTTTGTCATGCCCGAGAATGAAAGCTGCTTTTCGCTGGGACTATAACAGAGTATCAGATTATGGTTGTGATAACCCTGTTCTCTTCTGAAAGACTTAAGAGTCTGTTTGGTTGGCCGGGCGCGGTGGCTCACACCTGTAATCCCAGTACTTTGGGAGGCCGAGGTGGGTGGATCATGAGGTCAGGAGTTCGAGACCAGCCTGGCCAACATGGTGAAACCCTGTCTGTAGTAAAAATACAAAAATTAGCTGGGCGTGGTGGCGGGCACCTGTAATCCTAGCTACTCGGGAGGCTGAGGCAGGAGAATCACTTGAACCCGGCAGGCAGACGTTGCAGTGAGCCGAGATGATGCCATTGCATTCCAGCCTGGGGGACAAGAACAAGACTCTGTCTAAAAAAAAAAAAAAAAAAAAAAGTTTGGGCTCACACTGTTGTATATGTGTTTATAGTACATTTGGAAAGAAAAGATAATTATTTGGTAAATTATTTATATAGCAAGGTAAGACATAGTAAACCTATGTGTCTTGAGTGGATCACATGGGAAAGTCTCACTGTGTTCATTCATTTATGCTACCTGCTCGCTTAGTGGAAATTCTTTAGATCAGCTTCTCACTTCCTCTTTTGTAAGTGGTGATGTGACCAGATGCTGGCTACATTAGGGAAACCAGGGAGAAGGAATGGGGAATTCTGGGTATTAGATGTGTTTTTATATTGTACAGAGTTGTAGAAAGAATGAATAGATTTAACCTCAGGTTTATAATAAGCTTCGGGAAGGAGGGATTGAGCGTAGGGCATTGCTAATGATGTCACATTTTTTAAAAGATGGTTGTGGTATTTGGCTCCTGCTTTAATAGAATAACATATATGTGAGGGTATGTCTGTTTTCCCTACTTGTCAGGTGATAGTGGCCACCTATCTGTAGGTGTTAAAATTTAAAAGGTGCCTGCTAGTACTTGTTTATGTCTCTTCTTCATTATGCTGAAATGACTTCATTGCCTTTTGTGGACAAACCTAGTTTACTTGTCTGCACAGTACTTCTGCCACCACCCCCCCTCCTGATTTTTACTATATTGTTGTGGGGCCTTCCCATAATAAGTACTAAAGCATTAGCAGAAAGAATAATTTTCATGTTTTTGATAGAGGAAAGATCAAAAGCCTTTATTTCTATTTTATATGACCCTGCAGTAGGCAGAACAACCTTGTTTCTTAACAGCATTCCTTTTTTTTTTTTTAGGATCAGGTTTTACTGCTGAAAACGTTTGTTGCACTGAGGGCCTGTAGTACTTCTTACTAATAGCCAAGATATATCGTTGATAATTTATAGGTTTAAAGCATTTTTGCCATGGTGTAAAATTAAGAATGTACTATTAGCTTAAATTTTCTTGAGGTTGCTTTTCTTGTTATATACCCATTTAACTGATTGACAAAATCAGTGTGTTTCTAATAGTTGGTTTTATTGAAAACAATAGTATTGTCAATGCTAAATTTCTCTCACAGTTTCTTTTTTCTTTTTCTATTTATTTATTTATTTTATTTTATTTTATTTTATTTTATTTTATTTTTTATTTGAGACGGAGTCTCGCTCTGTCGTCCAGGCTGGAGTGCAGTGGCGCGATCTCGGCTCACTGCATGCAAGCTCCACCTCCTGGGTTCACGCAATTTTCCTGCCTCAGCCTCCTGAGTAGCTGGGACTACAGGCGTCTGCTACCACGCTTGGCTAATTTTTTGTATTTTTAGTAGAGACGGGGTTTCACTGTGTTAGCCAGGCTGGTCTCGATCTCCTGACCTGGAGCTGCGTGCCTCAGCTTCCCAAAGCCCTGGGATTACAGGCATGAGCTACTGTGCCCGGCCTTTTTTATTTTTATTTTTTGAGACAGGGTCTCACTCTGTCGCCCAGGCTGGAGTGCAGTGGCGTGATCTCGGCTCACAGCAACCTCTGCCTCCCAAGCTCAAGTGATACCCCTGCCCCAGCCTCCCGAGTAGCTGGGATTACAGGCGCATGCCACCACGCCTAGCTAAGTTTTGTATTTTTAGTAGAGATGGGATTTCTCCATGTTGGCCAGGCTGGCCTCGAACTCCTGACCTCAAATGATCCACCCACCTCGGCCTGCCAAAGTGTTGGGATTATAGGTTTGAGCCACCATGCCCGACCTGTTTTTTCATTATATACTTTTTATTTTGGTTTCTCCTGCCCACTTTCATTTCTGAGTTTCTACTGACAATGCAGCAACACCTGATAGTATAGATAAAAAGAGAGATTTTCATGTCTACTGTAAGAACATGTGTATTTGCTTTAAATCTTAGAGTAAGCTTCCCTACTTTAAGAGGATACAATGTCCATAGCTAGTTTTGTACAAATCTAATTTTACCTGGCACACCTTTGTTGGGAAACAGAAACAAGGTTTATTAGAACCTTTAGTACCAAGAACTTTTGAATAAAGAAGGTATTATTTTGTATGATGTGTACTGAAAACTTGGCATTTGCTGAATGTTCTGTTTCATATTCTAAGCCTGAAATTGCAGGGCTACATTTTCCTATGATAACTTCCTTTATTTCATCAATACCCTAATAAGGAAATTTGTTTCCCAAGTATTCAAACTTCTTTTTTAAAGGAGTTTCTTTGTCTGGTATCTTAGCCTTTGTACTGTTAAAAACATATAGGAACCTGTTGATAATTTTTTTTACTGTTGGTTTGTAAGATTAATTCCTCATTAAGAAATTATAATAAATCTATTGTTGAGATAAGGCTGTTCTGATAATATGACAAGTATCAACAAGTACTTCCTTTTGAATCTTTGCCAATTTGTAACATTGTGTTTCTTAAAATTGATTATACCTTCAGTTTGAGGCTGGGCACGGTGGCTCACGCCTGTAATCCAGCACTTTGAGAGTCTGAGGTGTGCTGATCACTGGAGGCCAGGAGTTCGAGACCAGCCTGGCCAACATGGTGAAACCCCGTCTCTACTAAAAATACAAAAATTAGCCAAACGTGGTGGCATGCGCCTGTAATCCCAGCTATTTAGGAGGCTGAGGCAGGAAAATTGCTTGAACCCGGGTGGCGGAGGTTGCAGTGAGCCGAGATCAGGCCACTGCACTCCAGCATGGACAACAGAGCAAGACTCTGCTTAAAAAAAAAAAAGAAAGATTGATTATACTTCAGTTTGAGAAATATTCAAAATAACTAATTTAAATACCTAAATATTTGCCCATTTGTGCTACTTTACCACACAACATGTACTGTATGTTAGTATGGATATATATTTCTCCCCAAATCTTCATAACATATGATCAGAGAAGAATGATATTGATAAACTCCATCATTAGATTCCTCAACTCAGCAGAGCACCTGGAGTTTGGACTTAATGTTCATTGAGTTGTAAACCTGGTGCTGGCCTGTTGTGTTATTTTGTGTCTGGGGTACATCGCATAACAATGAAATTTGTGAATTCCTATTTGAAAATTGCTAGTTGATTATTGGGCACAGTGGCTCACACTTGTAATCCTATCACTTTGGAAGGGTTGAGGTGGGAGGATCCCTGGATCCCTTGAGGCTAGGAGTTTGAAACCAGCCTGGGTAATATAGTGAGATCCCCGGCTCTACAGAAAATAAAAATTAGCTGGGCGTGGTAGTGCACTCCTGGAGTCCCAGCTACTTGGGAGGCTGAAGTGGGAAGATCACTTGAGCCCAGGAGTTTGAGACAAGCCTGGGCAACATGGCAAAACCCCATCTCTATAAAAAATGCAAAAATTAGCTAGGCATTGTGGTGTGCAACTGTAGTCCCAGCTACCCTGGAGGCTGAGGTGGGAGGATCACCTGAGTCTGGGAGGCAGAGGTTGCAGCGAGCTGAGATCATGCCACTGAACTCTAGCTTGGGCAACAGAGCAAGACCCTGTCCCCCCAAAAACAAAAGAATTTATTTTAGCTGTGCTTAAAAAGAATGAGAGCAGAGAGGGCAGTTTTCCCTTGTTGACATGTTAATCTTTTCCCTATTAGGTTTTTGGGGCCTCAGGACAGTGAGGCTTTCAGAAGTGTCTTATGAAGCAGTTGAGTATAATTGACCAGGATGTTGACATTCGTCATCATGATGCCTTCATCTGGAACTCTGTTCTCAATTTTTTCGTTTCCTGGAGTAATTCAGGTTTTAGAAAGCTTTGGTCACAGTAGCAATTTTTAGCTCTAACAGAAAAAGAGCATAGTAATTGCAAATCTTTAATATTCAATGCCTGATTCCTTGCAAAAAATATTATAAAACTACCCAGAGTAACTATGATACTTCAATTCTTTTCATATTTAAAATCACTTATATGTACTCAGACTTAATGTATCTTGAAGTAGGTTAAAAGGCTTTGAATATAGCACTGTAATTGCCCCTACCTCTCTCTCAAACAGGTGTGTGGTGTCCCTTTACTTCACCTACTGGGTCCAAAGCATTTCTTTATACTTGTCATCTCAGTGAGATTTGGCATGATTGAAATGTTATTTCCGTGGATAAATATTCTGTGTTTTAAAATCCCATTTGTGTGAAATTATATTTTATGTTCTATGAAGTTGTATCAGAAAAAATATGCTCCCCAACCCTCAGTCATATCTGTCTTCCTTATGTATAAGCTTTTAATTCACTGCTTGTTTTGGATATTGTCTGGAACATTAGAAGAGGAGTGGTTCATTTTGGGCATAATTTGAGTTTCTCTTCTAGAACTTTATAGCATTCCAACTCTAGCACATTTTATGGTGGTTGCTTGGTTGTCCTCCTGCATCTGTTCCTTGAACTTGTCTTGTCAAGTGAAGTTGCATAGCAGCAATTTTGGTAGTAGACTGGCTGCATTCCAAGATTGCATGGGCAGTCCTGTCTTGACATTTAATGAGCTGATGAAATGACTCAAAAACTGGATGTGATGTCTGTAGAAGATTTGCCATTACTTCTTCTTTGTGCAGATAATGTTATGGTTAACCCACGTCTATTTCCTCTTGTAGCCTATATTCTCAGTGTGGTTTAGAATATTTCAGAATGTTAAACCAATGTGCCACAGTGTGGTCAAAGCAGCTGAAACCACTGGAGACTCTGGTTCAGATTTGGAGTTAGATTTTAGAAGTGACAGAAGCCTAATTTCAGTTTAACTAATTAAACCACTCTGAGGTAATACAGTGAAGTACACCCTTAAGAGTTGTCAGATTTAATTAACATTGGCACAGTTTTTAAAGCATAAGTGTAATCTTTTGGAATTGCCTAAAGTGGTTCATTTGTTCTGGGTTCAGAATATACAAACAAGCTTTTGCCAGGATTTGTGTTATTTTAAACATAAGGAGCTTAAACTGTATTTATAGACCTAGTAACCTGTCCAAAACTTTTACAGGAATATGAGAAATGGAATAGTGATTTCTTTAAGACAGAGCAACATGTTCTTATTTCACTATGGTTAACTTGTGCCCGGTAGAAAAAGATTGTGTGGCTGGTACAAGAGAAATACTTAGTGGAGAAGTCAGTTTTCTAATAGTGTCACCTCTACAAAAGTAATGGAAGGAAACATTTCAGAAATTGGACTTTGTGTGAAGGAAAATACATTATCTGTGTGTTTAGATGCAAAGTCTCACAGTCAGATATTGTTTAAGCTGGTGATCCCTTAATCTCTTCGGAGGATCCTTATAATTCCTTTCTATACCATACTAACAAAAATGATAATAGCGTTTATTTATTTATTTATTTATTTATTTATTTATTTATTTTATTTTTTTTTGAGACTGAGTTTCACTCTGTCGCCCAGGCTGGAGTGCAGTGGCACAGTCTCGGTGCACTGCAAGCTCCACCTCCCGGGTTCACGCCATCCTCCTGCCTCAACCTCCTGAGTAGCTGGGACTACGGGCACCCGCCACCACGCCTGGCTAGTTTTTTGTGTGTGTGTTTTTAGTAGAGATGGAGTTTCACCATGTTAGCCAGGATGGTCTTGATCTCCTGACCTGGTGATCCGCCCTCCTTGGCCTCCCAAAGTGCTGGGATTACAGGCGTGAGCCACCGCGCTCGGCCAATAATAGCATTTATTAATAACAGCAGTTATCATCATCATTATTATTTGTGTGTCCTTGGACTTGCTTCTTAGCTTTTTCTCTTCATTTTTTAAAAATTATGGAAAATGTCAGAGTATAGAAAGCAGAGTAGAGACGACCATGAACTACCTAGTTTTAACCATTGTTAGTACATGGCTGATCTAGACTGCAGCGTGTCTTAAGCAGGAGGGCTAAGGAGATGGCAGAAATGGGTTTTCTAATAATATATCTATGGTCTTAATACTTCCTTTTTGACATAGCCTAAAATAAATGAAAGAATCAGGTCTTTGTTGCTCCTTCTAACTAACCTCTTAGCTAGTGTTTTATATGTAAACTTGCAAATGTGACAAGAAGAAAAAAAGTAGTTTTTTTCATCTAAGACGTGTGTGTGTGTGTGTGTGTGTGTGTGTGTGTGTGTGTGTGAAGTAATTTTAACTTCATATTAGAATTAAATAGTATATAGCTTGGAAGAAAGAAAGACCAAATAAAAGACATTTGTTTGAAGCTTTAGTGAGCCTGATCGATCTGAGGTAAGCCTGAAGGTGACAGGTATAGAGGGGACAGTGATGTAAACTAAAAAAGGAACCAATTAATTTTATTATAGGCTGTATGTAGTCACCACTCTGAAGACTCTAATCCAGCACAGTGCAATATGTAGCCACTAATTACATGTGGCTCTGCAGAACTTAAAATGTGCCTAGGTTGAATTAGGATGTACTTTAATTGTAAAACACATTCTAAGAGACCTAGTATTAAAAAAAAAACCATAAATGTCATTAATAAAATTTTAATATTGATTACAGGTTGAGAGAAAAGAATTTTGGATGTGTTAGATTAAATAAAGTATACTATTAAAATTCTGTCTACTGTTTTATACTGTTTTTGAGATGAGTCTCATTCTTTCACCCAGACTGAAGTGCAGTGGTGCGGTGTCAGCTCACTGCAACCTCTGCCTCTCAGGTTCAAGCAATTCTGCCTCAGCCTACCGACTAGCTGGGATTACAGGTGTGCATCTCCACACCTGGCTCATTTTTGTATTTTCAGTAGAGAGGGGGCTTCACCATGTTGGCCAGGCTGGTCTTGAACTCCTGGCCTCAAGTGATCCACCCGCCTTGGACTCCCAAAGTGCTAGGATTACAGGTGTGAGCGAAAACATTCTCCTGGCATGTTTTGTACTTTTTAATATGACTACTAGAAAATTTTAAATGGACACATACGGCCTACATTGGTGGCTTGTGTTATATTTCTCCTGGACAGTGCTGTTTTAGATCCAAACCTATTGTAAAAACTACACCAGATGAGAACAAGGAGATCAGGAATTAAAGGAAACAGTGTGCTTACAAAACGTGGTTTTAAAAAAATCTTTAATAAATCTTAATTACATTGCTTAACTTGAAATAGACATGAATTGATAGATCTTGCTTTTGTATTTACGTCATTACCAAAAAAAGACCTTTTAGTTTTTGCTTTTCGAGTGAGAGAACAAGGAATGGTTGGAAGGGACTAGTGCTCAAGTGAGTAAAGCAACCAAATCATTAGTTGTGCCTTCTCAGGAACTATTTTGAGTTCTTCGCCACTGTGCCATTCTTAATACCTTCATTGTTAATACCTTTGTTGAGCTTGTTAATACTTTGATCGTGGTCTTCATTTGTTGTCCTTTCAGCAAATGTTGCTGAAGACCTTTTTCTTTTCATTGTTTGCTTTGCTCTCTTCTTCCTGAGACCCTTGCTTGTATCTAGAGCAGTATTAACACTGATCCAAACCCCAGTTTTCTCAAGGGACTGAAGTGAAGATGAGCAAAGTATTTCTGATCTATAATCCTTTATCTGCAATTCTGAAATCCAAAGGGCTCTGAAAACCAAATGCTGCTTTTGTTAATTGATTTGGTGGAAAACTTGATCTGAACCAGTGTGAGACTATTTGTAGTCTGTCCCACACTGCGGGCATACTTTTATTTATTATTATTATTATTATTATTATCATTTTGAGGCAGAGTTTGCTCTTGTTGCCCAGGCTGGAGTGCAATGGTGCGATCTTGGCTCACTGCAACCTCTGCCTCCCGGGTTTAAGCAACTTTCCTGCCTCACCCTCCCAAGTAGCTGGGATTACAGGCGTTAGCCACCACTCCCGGCTAATTTTTCTATTTTTAGTAGAGACAGGGTTTCACCATGTTTGTCAGGCTAGTCTCGAACTCCTGACCTCAAATGGTCCTCCTGCCTTGGCCTCCCAAAGTGCTGGGATTACAGGTGTGAACCACTGCGCCTGGCCGTGTTTTATTGCAGAAATATTAACATGTTTGGCTATAAATAGTGCTGCCCTGAACCCAAGTAGAGGTGATATGCTATGTGCATTGTGTTAACCTTTCTTTAAAAAAAAACAAAAAGACAAAAACAGTCTGAATTCAGGAATACAACTGACCCTGACTTTAGATAAGGGATTTTGGACCTCTCTTGCCATCTCACAGAAATTGAAAATATTTTGCTAACCATAATTCTATATTGGTTTATTTATTTTTTTCATAATTCTACATTTAAAATAAGATATTTATCTTTAACACAAGCTGAACAGGGTGACAGAGATAAATGAAGTGTTTCTGAAACATGGGTTTATTGTGTCACCCTGCTTAAAGTGCTTTCAGAACCTTCTTGCTTTCTGTAATTCTCCTTATCCTGGAATTTAATACCTGCCATAGGGTGGTATCTGCTTGATGCTGTATCCTTTGAGTCCCCCATGTGTTCGTTCTATCTCAGTCAAGGCATTTCTTTCAAAGTCAAACATGTCGTGTGCATCCTTGGCTTTGCTGTGTCTTAACTCATTTCTTTTTTTCTAGAAAATCTGTTTCTCTTTTTCTTTGTCAAAATTCTAATTCTTCAAGATGAATTTCAACTGCTATTATTTCCTGAAGTTTTTCCTGATTACTTACAGAGAGGGGATATGTGTGTAATTTTAATGTAAATATCGTTTACCTCCCCAATTAGATTGTAATACATTAGCTGGAAGAGGCCCTGTTCTAAACTTCTCAGCATTCATCAGGTCTATCATGGTGGTTTGCATTTACTAGATGTCTTTACTAATGTTGTTTGATTTGCGGGGAGGTGAGTTAGGGGTCTGGCAGAGCAGCAAAAGTGTACTCATATGAAATTGTCAAATATTTGTTCTTTTTTGTTTACTGTTTTAGTTACTTTATATCTAACTAGCAAAAGTAAACAATAAAAATGGGAGTAGGAAATGGGAGGCTGTAGCTGTGTAGTTTCCCACTGGTTTCAGGATACATAAAGGTCTCTTGGTTTTTGTCTTCAGTTTAACAGTGAGTGGTTGTTTTGGTCTTTTATTTTCATATATTCTTTTATATTTATGTATTTTTATTTTGAAGCACTACATTAAATAATTAAATACAATCATTTAGCTGTTTACATTTAGGAACTAAAGCATTTTAATAAAATGATTTTTAAAGGACAGGAACCAGTGTTTACCAGATAGTGCACCTAATACTGTGCTATATATTTAGCATTATTTTATTTGATCCTTAACTAATTCAGTGATGGCAGTGGCGCTGTCCCTTTTTTTTTTTTTGAGACAGAGTCTCACTTTGTTGCCAGGTTGGAGTGCAGTGGCGCGATCTCGGCACACTGCAACCTCTGCCTCCTGGGTTCAAGCGATTCTCCTGCCTCAGCCTCCCGAGTAGCTGGGACTACAGGTGTGCGCCACCACGCCCAGCAAATTTTTTGTATTTTTAGTAGAGACGGGGTTTCACCATGTTGGCCAGGATTGTCTCCATCTCTTGACCTCGTGACCCACCCGTCTCGGCCTCCCAAAATGCTGGGATTACAGGCGTGAGCCACCGCGCCTGGACTGCTGTCCCTATTTTATTTGTGAGACTTGCTTAAAGGTACCCACTGAGTGATAAAGCTTATATTTGAAATACAAATCTCTTTCTGCCACAATACTGTTTGCTGATCATGAGAAATTTTTTAGAGAACAGAAGAATGAAGGGAAACTGGTAAATAGAAGATGCAGAATTATGTTTACTAAAAAGGTCTTAGAATTGTGGCATTTATTATTTTTCTCACAATGATTTTTAATTTCATTCTTACCTATTTTCTGTCTTTTTAAAGATTTTTTTCCTAGGCTGGAGTTACTTAGGCTGGAGTACAGTGGCTTGATTATAGCTCACTGCAGCCTCAAACTCCTGGGCTCAAGCAATCTGCCTGCTTTAGCCTCCCTAGTAGCTAGGACTACAGGCTTACCACACCATGCTTGACTAATTTTTTGGTATTTTTGTAGAGACAGGGCCTTGCCATTTTGTCCAGGCTGGTCTTGAAACCCAAGGCTTAAGTGCTCCTCCTGCCTTGGCCTTCCAAAGTGCTGGGATTATAGGCATGAGCCACCATACCCAGCCTCATTTTCCTAATTCATACTTAATCATCCATCTTTTGTTTAAGCTATTTATTTATCAAAATAAACAAAAATGTTGGAAAGTGATATAGCTGAAAGAGAAAAGATTTTGTTGATCTCATAATAGAAGTAGAAATATAAGTGTTATTCTTTAAAAGTTTAATA
The DNA here is from genome assembly GCF_000001405.40 of Homo sapiens. NCBI lineage: Eukaryota > Metazoa > Chordata > Mammalia > Primates > Hominidae > Homo > Homo sapiens. Next base: position 12,166,654 of record NC_000012.12, on the reverse strand, counting down.
TTGGGCATCTAGTTTATGCTTTTACACCAGCAAATTTTAATAGGAAAGCCAACATTTGAATGTAAAGATCAGCAAAATTAGCGTAATTTATTAAATGTAAGATAATGCAAAATAAGATAGAATTAAATCTAAGAATAAAACCGAATCAGGCATATTTTAACATACCACAAACTTATAAGAAAGTAATATTTTTGTATTGTATAATACAGAATATTTATCACTCTGTGTTGGGTGCTCCCTAATAGAATGATTGAACTCTCCCTAATGCAGGACATAGGTTCACTGTTAAGTATATGACCTTTTAGATGAGGTAGCAGTACATGTTCCTGGAAATGCAATTGGAAATGCTGCAGTAGAAACTGAGAAGACCTTGTTCTGTTCTGAAAGATGCAGCAAGCCTTCCAGAGTCCCAGTGTTCAAGTCCCTACCTGAGACCATTTCTGTCACTTAAAGGGGCCTGCGTGCTGGGCAAATTAGCCTTTAGAAATGTTATTTCATACTAAAAACATGTACATGTGAACAATATCTGCTCCTACCCCCCCAAAAAAGGTATCAGATATAATCTTATATGTAAATATCAAATATTAGTTATATTATGTCAATAAAGGTATCCCAAGTAAGTCAACACTGAATAGTGCATGGTGAATGCACTGTGAATACAGTATGAATGCCAGAGTGAATTTAATAATGTTACTATTAGGTAGTTGGAAAGAGAAGGTACATCCTAGTTTCTTGAAACTTAGATGCAGAGAGGGTGTCATATAATCCCGATACTTTTGTGATTATAATCTCAGAGGAATGAGAGATTTATTGAGATCCCTTTTATCTGTTTTTTGTTGTTACTGACAACAACAACAAAATAAAAAGCATGCTAAGTGGAAAAAGTCCTGAAAAAGACATCAACTGTGTTTACAAGCTCTGTGACCTTACATGAATCTCAGTTTCCATAGGCAAAGCTCTCAAGATAAAATAAAAGATGTTATAAAACAAAATATATGATAAAATAATGTATATGAAGGTACATTATAATTTGAAAACAAATGTGCAAACTTAAGGTGATGATACTGTATTTTTAATTTTGCCACAATTGTTTAATAGAAGAGTTGCATAATCTAAAGTTGCCAGAATTTTTAGAAGGAAGAGTAATATGAGATTGGGGGGAAAAGTGGTCAAATAGAGGCTTATATGGAAAATTTGAAATCATTTTTATAAAATCATCATGTAATTTTGAGAAAGCATTGTAATAGGAATACCAAGATGACTCTTGGATTTTTATACAACAGGCAGTTGGATTTGTTATTTTTAGCTGAAGAATAAATGCATAATTCATCCCCTTCTCTTTTGAATTTAAACCTGAAGGTTATGAATACTGATGGCACTGGGAGACGAGTACTAGTGGAAGACAAAATTCCTCACATATTTGGATTTACTTTGTTGGGTGACTATGTTTACTGGACTGACTGGCAGAGGCGTAGCATTGAAAGAGTTCATAAACGAAGTGCAGAGAGGGAAGTGATCATAGATCAGCTGCCTGACCTCATGGGCCTAAAGGCTACAAATGTTCATCGAGTGATTGGTGAGTAACTCCAAAGCTTTCTTAGAAATGGGAACCAGGAATGAAAAAAGATGGAGATAGTCAGCAGTGTAAATTATTGATGTTTTGAGGCAATTTTGAAACCTTCTTTACTGCCCCCCCGCCTTTTTTTTTTTTTTTTTTTTTTTTTTTTTTTTTTTTACTGAGAAGGGACCTTTTAAACGTTGACTTACTACTCTAGCTACCCAGTTTGAATTGAAGGGCTGAATACACATGCACAGGCACACCTTCATCAAAAGAATTCAGTCTGATAGTATGAATAATATACCTTACTTTAAAGCTTACTGTGGTATTAAAGGAAAATACTTCACCATGCTTTTACTCCCTATTAATCTGCATATTACTTGTTTGTGATATTAGAATTGAAACTTGAGATTGGGAGCAAGACATAATCATAGGCATTTGTGAACCAAACGCTTAAGTAATTTAAAAGTGAAAATATGTTGAATGTATCAATGTGTGTGTCCTTCTGTGCCCCTTTTATAATTAATCTTTTAGGTTCCAACCCCTGTGCTGAGGAAAACGGGGGATGTAGCCATCTCTGCCTCTATAGACCTCAGGGCCTTCGCTGTGCTTGCCCTATTGGCTTTGAACTCATCAGTGACATGAAGACCTGCATTGTCCCAGAGGCTTTCCTTTTGTTTTCACGGAGAGCAGATATCAGACGAATTTCTCTGGAAACAAACAATAATAATGTGGCTATTCCACTCACTGGTGTCAAAGAAGCTTCTGCTTTGGATTTTGATGTGACAGACAACCGAATTTATTGGACTGATATATCACTCAAGGTTAGCAAAAGAATTGGAATATTAAAGCTAGGGACTAAAAGGGAGAACTTCTAGAATTTCTGAATCTTCATGCTGTGACCCACCTCCCTCATTGTTTGACAGGCAGAGTTCAACAAAAACCCTCAAGTTTTTTTTTTTTTTTTTAAACGGTGTCTTGCTCTGTCACCCAGGCTGGAGTGCAGTGGTGCAGTCTCGGCTCACTGCAACCCCTGCCTCCCAGGTTCAAGCGATTCTCCTGCTTCAGCCTCCCGAGCAGCTAGGACTACAGGTGCGTGCCACGACGCCCAGCTAATTTTTGTATTTTTAGTAGTGACGGGGTTTCACCATGTTGGCCAGGCCGCTCGAACTCTTGACCTCGTGATCCGCCCGCTTCGTCCTCCCAAAGTGCTGGGATTACAGGCGTGAGCCACCGCGCCCAGCCAAAACCCTTAAGTTTTTAAGTGAAGGGAAAGGCCCATTCAGTATTTTATTAGATGCTTTTTAATACAGATACTTTGCCAGAGTGTTTTAAATCTGCAAGCCATAGTCTTCCTCTACTTTCTTCCATTTGAAAATGATGAATGACATTTTCTGCAATTAGCTGAGTAAGGAAATGTGTGCTTCACGTAAAATGGCTGTTGATTTACTTTAAAAAAAAATTCGTGATTTACTTTAAACAAAATTTTAGGGCCTGACTGAGGCGGAAAAGGCCAACAATGAGTTATTCTTTATTTTCTTCTTCCTAGAATAGTTACTGAAAAGAATACCAGGATAGCCAGAGAGGAAGCTCCCAACCTATAAATCTGAAGAATAATCTTTTCTTCTTCCAGATTGTTTTGGGCTTGTTTCAGATAACTCATGTAAACTTTTTTGTAATATGCGAAAACATGGGGTGTTGGAGTCAGAGTTGGATTCTAATGGTGTTCAGTTAAATTTATTAAGTGAATAAATGAAATAAATAAATTTTGGTTTGCATTGGGTGATGTTCTAAATTTCCTCATCTTGAAAATGGGGGGTGGCTGGGTGCGGTGACTCAGGCCTGTAAATCCCAGCACTTTGGGAGGCTGAGGCACATGGATCACCTGAGGTCACGAGTTTGAGAACAGCCTGGCCAACATGACAAAACCCCGTCTCTACTAAAAATACAAAAATTAGCTGGTCATGGTGGCGCATACCTGTAATCCCAGCTACTCGGGAAACTGAGGCACGAGAATCACTTGAACCTGGGAGGCAGAAGTTGCAGTGAGCCGAGATCATGCCACTGCACTCCAGCCTGGGTGACAGAGTGAGACTCTGTCTCAAAAACATAAAATAGGGGTGATGCCATACTTGCAGGACTGTTGTATTAAGTGACAAAATCTACGGACAAAACGTACTTAGGATAATACTTGATAAGATGTATCTATTATTAGTTTGAATTATGATTTTTAAAAGTGTTATGGGACTCAGTGCTATAATGGTAGTATAATGGTTACATTCATTTATATGGTAGGCATGATGACTTGCCATAATCTTAAGCACCTTTAGAAAATTGACCACTAATTAAGATCTGTAGCATTGTGGTCACAGCTTTTCCACTTGATTACTGATAAATTTTAAAAGTAAAGTCATTCTGCTGTTAGTAGAATAAATTTTTGGTGCATTAGAGTTTTAAAATTTCTCCCCTGAATTGGCAGTAAAACTTGAAGTTGCATTTATTAGAGATTGACATCAAATTTTTCTGTGCTTGCAAGTTATGTGAATTTTAATAGGAAATAGTATGCCTCTTGGCACTTCTGGATCCTCTTGCCCCTGACAAAAACCAAACCAAACCTTCTTTCTGGATAGGGTTTAGACTTATGCCATATGACTTAGTTGTTAATGTTCTTTTGCAGACCATCAGCAGAGCCTTTATGAATGGCAGTGCACTGGAACATGTGGTAGAATTCGGCTTAGATTATCCAGAAGGCATGGCAGTAGACTGGCTTGGGAAGAACTTGTACTGGGCAGACACAGGAACGAATCGAATTGAGGTGTCAAAGTTGGATGGGCAGCACCGACAAGTTTTGGTGTGGAAAGACCTAGATAGTCCCAGAGCTCTCGCGTTGGACCCTGCCGAAGGGTAAACAGCTTTACATGTGCATTCTTTGCAACTGCAGTGTACATTTCGGGGAACATGGCATAGTTACAGATGATATTCTTAATGTTTTAAATAATACGTATTAGGAATCTGAGAACTAAATGATAGATGAACTTTTAAAAACACTATTGATATTTTGCTGATTTGAATGAATAATTATTAGCTAATTTTACTCTTGTCGTAATTAACTTTAGGTGAAGAAAGAGGGGAATGGGTTAATAAATGTTACTGATGAGTATACTGATATGTTAAGTATATATACCAAGAGGTATTATCCATCTGTAGTTGCTTGCACTCCTTCCCAGTTATACTAGATTCCAAGCCTATTGAAGTAAACCCACCGAAACAATGTTGTGAGCTAAGAAAAAACTACATTTAAAAAGCTTTATTTTGGAGTATTTATTAATTCAAAATGGATAGTTTGGTTTGATCATTATTATAAACTGGCAGTAGCTTTGTTATTACAAGATAGAATAAACTGTTCACAACATGATGTTTTTCAAGGGCGAGTGTTCCTTTTTACAAGAGTCAGCAAATTTTTTAAAGCCGGCAGCTAAGAAATCTGAAATCTAAAGAAAAATTCCACTTATAAAAGAAGTCAACAGGCCGGGCGTGGTGGCTCACGCTTGTAATCCCAGCAACTTTGGGAGGCCGAGGCGTGGGCAGATCACAAGGTCAGGAGTTCGAGACCAGCCTGGCCAACATGGTGAAACCCCGTAACTACTAAAGATAAAAAAAAATTAGCCAGGCATGGTGGCATGTGTCTGTAGTCCCAGCTACTCTGGAGGCTAAAGCAGGAAAATTGTTTGAATCTGGGAGGTGGAGGTTGCAGTGAGCCGAGATCGTGCCACTGCACTCCACCCTGGGCAACAGAGCAAGACTCCATCTTGGAAAAAAAAAAAGAAGTAAACAGTGTGAACATATAAATATGTTTACTGTATTTGCTACTTAAAATAATTTCCCTGAAGTGACATTGATTCCATGATTAGCTAGTAATTCATCTAGTCAGCACTGACATATTGTGGTGATCTTTGCTCTAAACATTAGCTGCCAGACAGATAAATTTAATAGTTGGGACTAATTGGTTGCTGCTGGCAAGTATGAAATTTCTCTCACAGTTGTTTCTCTTTGGCTCTTGTGGTGTGCACATGCCTGTCAAATGACAAGTGCAAATGCATATAAAGGCAGGACACCTTCAGTTTTCAGAAAAGCATGTTCATACATTGCTACCAAGTCAGCTATCAGCTGACAGGCTGATGAGTGAATATATGTCCTCAGGTATTTCGTGAGAGCTGGCATGTGATGTGCTTTTTTAGTTCCAGTATTCAAGAGTCTCAAAAACTAGCACCTCACTAGTTTACTTGAAAGGGCATTTGGCCAAGGATTAGGTTCTAGTTCTAGCTCTGTCATCTAACTGGCTTGAAGACATTAGATAAGTTGTTCACATTTCTTGTAGTGTTTTGGGCTCTTCATCTATAAAAAGCCTATACTGTAGGATTACTGTAAGATTAAAGTGCAAAACTCAAAAATGGAAAATAACAGCAAAGTAATTATTCTAAAATTTCACAGAGATTGTTGTAGCGTAGTGTAGTGTTCATTGCCCAGTGGACACATCAAGGGGTGAGTCGTTGTTCTTACCATATAGTATGCTCCCTTGGACCATATGACCAAATACATTTTCAAGCTTTGCTTTTGACTTCAGTTAAAGGCTTAGTATTTATAATTACCTTTCATGTACTTCTGCAACTTATTTTGAGGAAGAGTTGATTACACAAGTCAAAAAGTAAGTTCAGCATATTAAAAACTCAAATTAGTTAATATTCAAAAGTATATAAAAATATTTTACTCAGAAGTGAACCAGATTCTGAGACCAGAGCTTTAAACCTTTGCTGTTTTCTTGAATGTTAATTTTACAAATGCCAGTACTGCAATAAACTGTTGGTTTATTTCCAATTCCTAGGTTTGGATGGAACAAATGTATTGGAAAGACTAAGGAAAGCTGACTCACTTCCTTTTTGGGATATGGAAAAAAATATTTAGTTTAGGGTGCCAAAATAATTGAAAGCATTGTAGCCGTGATTTTGTTTAACCCATTTCCTTGATTTGCTGTATGTTTTCTTTAAATTTATTTAGTTACTTTGCATGAATATGACTCTTTCCCCCAGATAATAAAAAATTGAAATGTTAAATATTTATTATTTTGAATTTAGATTTATGTATTGGACTGAATGGGGTGGAAAACCTAAGATAGACAGAGCTGCAATGGATGGAAGTGAACGTACTACCTTAGTTCCAAATGTGGGGCGGGCAAACGGCCTAACTATTGATTATGCTAAAAGGAGGCTTTATTGGACAGACCTGGACACCAACTTAATAGAATCTTCAAATATGCTTGGTAAGCTTTACTACTTTTTACTCAAACAGTATATTCTTTCCATGCAAATATCAGTGGCTGCTATTTATCATTGGTTAGATACTTTTAATACAACTTCATATGAATGTGTCCATTCTTCTTCTGTTCTGGAATTGTATCCTGTTTGTTATTAATAGTGATCCAGGTACTTGGATTCATCTTTTTATTATGTGAAAGTTTCATTATTATTGGACTTGTAATGAAATTTATAACTCCCTAGATACTCCTGAAATGACTTTTGTACCAGTAAAATATATATATTTCCATCTTTTCCTTCTATAGTTCAAGAAGAAAAAGTGAACTGTAGACCCTTATATAGAGAAAATAAAACCACATTTAAAGTAGACCATTTGCAAGAATTTTAGGAAACTGAGTGATTTGTAGCAGGAATATAAGTTTGAAGCATGGGGTCAGAAGATAGATTGATTTCAGAGAATTGGTCTCGTTTTAGAATTGCTTTTAAATGAATTTTTCTATTTTAAATTGCTTACAATGTAATGTTTTATATGTTAGGGCTTTTTTTTTTCTTTTTGCCAGCAAGACACTTGTATTCTCACATATTTCATCACTCTGCTTCTCCCCTGTCTACTGCCTTTCTGAAAATAGGGCTCAACCGTGAAGTTATAGCAGATGACTTGCCTCATCCTTTTGGCTTAACTCAGTACCAAGATTATATCTACTGGACGGACTGGAGCCGACGCAGCATTGAGCGTGCCAACAAAACCAGTGGCCAAAACCGCACCATCATTCAGGGCCATTTGGATTATGTGATGGACATCCTCGTCTTTCACTCATCTCGACAGTCAGGGTGGAATGAATGTGCTTCCAGCAATGGGCACTGCTCCCACCTCTGCTTGGCTGTGCCAGTTGGGGGTTTTGTTTGTGGATGCCCTGCCCACTACTCTCTTAATGCTGACAACAGGACTTGTAGTGGTAAGCTGCATTTCCCTCCAAAGCAAGCTAGAATGAGAGAAAGCAGCATTTTCAAAGTACTTTAGTGTGTGTTTTTTCTAAAGTTAAATAGTGTGGAAATCCAGAGGGGGTTATTTGTTTGGTTAAAGGGTAGGGGAATGCAAGTGTTTGTTACTTATTACTTGTTTGATGATAGCAATTTGATGTTATAGAAAAATTAAGTCTTATGCTGGTCCATTGTCTTATGTCCGTAACCCAGCACTTTGGGAAGCTGAGGTGGGAGGAATGCTTCAGCTCAGGAGTTCAAGACCAGCCTAGGCAATATAGCGAGACCTTGCCTCTACAAAAAATAAAAAAATTAGCCAGAGTAATGGTGTGCATTTGTAGTCCCACCTACTCAGGAGGGTGAAGTAGGATGATCACTTGGCCCCAGGAGATTGAGGCTGCAGTGAGCTATGGTGGCACCACTGCATTCCAGCCTGGGTGACACAGAGAGATTCTTTCTTCAAAAAAAAAGGAAAAATTAAGTCTTTTACCCTTGGACATTAAATATTAAGTGTAAAAGTTGCATAGTTTCATGCATCATATTTATTGTAAAGGAAGGGAAGAACATTACAAACAGTAAAACAGTGAATCGCAAAACACAACTTACTTGTCCTTTGAAGTGCAAAGAGTAGGACAGTCATAAAAAATTTAAATGTTTAACAGGCCATACAGAAAACGCGTATGAGAACATGTAACCCAGTATAAAGTAACAGTTGATGAGAAACTAAAGAGAACATGCAATGAACATAGTAGGCAGTTGCAGTTTAACTGAAGCTGATGTTACCAGATCTTTTCATTTGGTCCTGAATCTAGATTTTTTTGTGTGTGTGACTCCCTCATCTCCTGATTTTTAAATACCGGCAAGTACACACATAACACTAACAACAAAGTGTGTAACAAAACATTGTTGGCTAGGGGAAACCTGGCTTATAACTTAAATATATATGAAGGCCCATTTCTTGGTGGATAGACAAGAACAAATTGGTAGATACGATTAAGAAATAAGTAGATTAAATCAGAAAGAGTAGATTATGGGAGGGGTGTAGGGTTTGGGTCAATATGATGGAAAGTAACAAACTGCTAAGGATATTAGAGGTAATTAACTATTGACATGACTTTCTTTTGTGCTTGAGAGAATGTGTCAGAATTCCCATAGGAAAAATTTGGTCTGTTCTGATGCCAACTTCAGTTGTGAAAGAGAAAGGACACAAGCATGTAGTGGAATGATTAAGAGGTTATACTTTGGAATCTCTGCCACACATTAGCTTTTTTGCTTTACACAAGTAATAAATTCTTTAAGCCTTTATTTTTTCTCATTTGTAAAATTGGAATAATAATAGTAATTGCTGTATAGGGTTGTTATGAAGATTAAAGATAATACATGGTCTGATTTCTGGGGAGAACCAGTAGCAGGGAAGTCAGTTAGACCAGTGTGGTAATGCAGGTAGACCTGGACAATGGTGGTGGCAGCAGCGTGTGTGTTGAAGAGAGGTTGATGGATTCGAGATGTATGTGGAAGCTAGAGCAAGCAGAAGTTGTTAATGAGTTCTGTGTGGGAAAGAAAGGGAGGAAGCAAGGATGACCTCTAGATTATGTGTCATAGATGATGGACTATCATCGGAGAAGAGACATGAGGTTGAAGATACAAATTTTGGGATTACCAGGATGTATTTAAAATGAATGAGGTTACCTAAAGAGAAGGTATAGTTCAAGAGCCAGCAGCTTTCTCTCATAGGCTTTGTGGGTGTTTAGGCTGTCTCACACCTGCTGAACTCTGCCCAGCTCTCGCCATGGCAGTGTGAGAGCAGCCTCAGGCAATACATTTTAAAAATGGAAGTGGCTGAATTCCAGTAAAACTTTATTACAGAAACAGGCAGCAGGCCAGATTTAACTTGTGGGCCATAACCCCCATCAGTGGGCTAACTCTGATGGAGAGAAAAGAAGGCACTTGGTAAACTATGCAACTCTGGTTGAGGAAGAGAAGTTCACAGAGAACACTGAGAAGTAGCAACCAGAGAGGTAAGAGGAAAAGCGGGAGAGAATAGAGGCACGAAGACAGAGATTAGGTTGTTTCAAAAATGAACTCTGTTGAATGAGTAAGGGGAGGTCTAAAATAGCATACACTGGATTTTTGGGTAAAGTGGTTATTAACCCTGAAGAGAGTAATTTCAGGGAAGTAATGGTGAAATGCAGAATGCAGTACATTAAAACGTGAATGGAAAAAAGGAAACGATAGTGACATATATAGACATCTCTTTTGAGAAGTTTGGCTTCTCATTTCACACAGAATAAAAACCTAGTTCTTATAATGGCCTACTGGGTCCTACATGACCTATACCCCACATTTCATAACCCCTTCTTCACTCTCACTCCCCACCACTCAGTTTTCTTCTCTAACCTCAGCTTTTACTCTTGTCTCTCTTGCTTTCTTCATTACAGCCACACTGGCCTCGTTGCTGGTTTCAGCTAGGCCGGGTACTCCCGCTTCATGACTGTTGAACTGCTTGTTTACTCTGCTTGGAGTGTTATTGCATATATTTGCGTGGATACCCTTCACGTCCAAGTCTTTGCTTAATTGTTTCCTTCATAGTGACACCTGGTCTATGCTATTTAAAATTAAAATTATGCTGCCATTCTATCCAACGTGCCAGTGCCCCTTATCTGTACTTTTTCTTTTCTTTTTCCCATAGCACTTTCACCTCTTTATGTATTATGTAATTTATATACTCTACTATTTATGTCACTTCCTTCTTTATTATATTTGTTGCTTATTGTCTGTTGGAATATAAACTCCATGAAGCAACAATTTTTTTTCTGTTTTCTTCATTGACATATCTTATGTGCCTTAGAATAACACTTAGTCTGTGGTAGATACTCAAGAAATTATTGTTAAATAAATGAATGAAGAAACAAGGCAAGGCTTGGAAAAACACATACGCTGTTTTACCCAACAGCTTTGTGACCTTGGGAAAATTATTTAACCTTTTTTTTTTTTTTAACAGTCCAGAAGTCTTTTATTTTTTTAACACCTATTATGCCATGAATTCATAGGGAATAGGTTCCAGCAGCTCAGGCTCCTTCCCACTGGTTCTCACAAAATATGCTTCTCTGGGTGGAGCAGGCTGGCGCTTCAGTTGAACCCAGGTACCTTTCTCTTTGGCTTCTTTCTTTTTCTGATCATTTTCCTTCTTTTTCTGATAACTTTCCATTTTCTGATAGCTTCCTTTAGGAAGCTATCTCGGCTCTTAGCGTGCTTAACGTGCTGAATATGCATATTAATTCTGTTGGCAAGAATCTTGCCCTTAACTTTTTTGTTTACAACAATGCCAACAGCATGCTGGGTAACATTGTAGACCCTTCCAGTTTTGCAGTGGTAACACTTGTGGGGCATTCCTTTTGAACAGTACCCATTCCCTTGATGTCTACAATATCACCTTTCTTACAGATTTGCATATAGGTGGCCAAAGGAACAACTCCATGCTTTCTAAAAGGCCTAGAGAACACGTATCGGGTGCCTCTCCTCTTTCCCTTTGTGTTCATCATTTTGGCAAATTACTGGAAGATGGCAGTTCTGGCTGAAAGACTTTTTGTTTGTTTGTTTGTTTGTTTGAGACAGAGTCTCACACTGTCACCCAGGCTGGAGTAAAGTGGCGTGATCTTGGCTCACTGCAACATCCGCCTCCCAGGTTCAAGTGATTCTCCTGTCTTAGCCTCCTGAGTAGCTGAGTTTACAGGCGTGCATCACGGTGCCTGGCTAATTTTTGTGTTTTTAGTGGAGACGGGATTTCACCATGTTGGCCAGGCTGGTCTTGAACTCCTGACCTCAGGTGATCCACCAGCCTTGGCCTCCCAAGATGCTGGGATTACAGGCATGAGCCACTACGCCTGGCCTAACCTTTCAGATCCTCAGCGCACTCGCCTATAAAATAGAGATAATTTTGTGGATTAAATAACATTTAGTATGATATGTAATATATTGGAGGTCCTAAATAAATTTTTCTTTTCCTTTCCTCGTCTCAAATTTTATTTTCTTACTTTCAAAATCATAGCTACAAGGCTCTCCTTGTCACTCAGTGCTTCTTTCTGGCTTTTTTCCCTCTTTTTAAGAGATCAGGTCTTACTGTGTTGCCCAGGTTAGACTTGAACTCCTGGGCTCAAGCAGTCCTCCCACCTCAATCTTCCGAGTTGCTGGAACTACGAGCACATGCCACTGCGCTAGGCTCTATTGCTTGTTTCTTTGTTTCTTCATATATTATTGTAATGAGTGTTTATTTATCAAGCACCTATTACATGCTGCGCATTACTTCAGCCGTTGGAAAACATAGCAGTGAATGAAATTCAGTGGAACAGATAATAAACTAAATAAATTATGTCAGGGGTTAGGTGGCAATAAGTATAATGAAGAAATATAAAGAGCAAGAAAGGGTGATGGTGACAGGGACTGCAGTGTTAACTGGGGTGATTAGGGAAGTTCTTACTGAAAAAATGACATTTATGTCAAGAACTGAAGGAAGTGAGGAAATGAGCTATGCGGATACTGGGAGAAGGCCTATCAAGCAAAAGGGGATAGTAAATGCAAAAGGTCTTGGGGGAACATGTCCGACATGTTAGAGGAACACCTAGGAAGCTAGTGTTGCTGGAATGAAGTGAATAAAGAAATTAGATCAGAGAGGAAATGGGAAGCCAGATTGTGTAATCCTTTATTCAGTACTGAAGTGGCCTCTGTGGCATCTTTGTGCAAATTGGAAAAAGATGTTTCCTCTGAGCAGATTTAGCCCTACAGGTGTATGGCGTGGCTAAGGAAGTGTGGACTGGATTTCAGTTCCTACTCAATGCCCCTGGCACAGAGCACAAATGGTACAGTCATACATGATGGTCTTGGCCTTATAGTTTATTCTATTCTTAAACAAGAGCAACACCTTTGTCTAAGCTACCAGTGAACACATATGCCTTCAGAAGAGAACTGAAAAGCTCCCTCCTACGTACATCTCATCCTCCAGCTTCTCTGATGTCTCCATTGTGGGAATGCGAGACTCAAGACAACCAGATGAGGTCGTTGTTAAAGCACCATTCTGAAGGAAATGTGAGAGAGGTGGTTAGAGTTTAATAAATTTGATAGGGTGGATTTAGGCTTTTAAAATGGCATATTCTTTGTCATTTTAAACACTGACTTGAAAATAGGTCAAAATATTAGCTGCCTTTTAGAAATAACCAGTTAATTTGTAATTTTTAATATATTTGAGTAGACTTTTTGGAGCAGGTATTTATTTGGAGCCACATATGGCTTTCTCTTAATCTGCATTTCTAGAACAACAAGATCCACAACTAATTGTGGAATCTTATTGAAGGTTAAAATTTTGCTTGGAAAAGAGAGTACCCAGCAAAATATCCTAGGAGCCAAATATATATTTGATTAATTGCTTCCCAGGCAAGAAAATATGGGAACTAAAACTCTGGGATCTTTCTTCTAAGTCTTTTAAACAGAAGGGGGTCTTGCTGGGTTGTTCAGGCTGGTCTTGAACTCCCAGCCTCAAGTGATCCTACTGCCTCAGCCTCCCAAAGGGCTAGTATTACAGGCATGAACCACTGTGCCCAGCCAATTTAGAACCTTTAAAAATTTTTTTCTTGCTTTACTAAGAAAGTAGTACTGCCAAAATATAATTCTTTTAAAATAAAAATGATAGTGGGAGACTTTTTAGCTATTCTGTGTGATGTGTTTTTACTACTCGAAGTATGGACTCCACAAAAATTGCTAAAAGTTGTTAAATCAATGTATTAGTATGATGGACTCCAGAAATGGAGATTTGTAGTAGGATCATTGGGATAACTTTCTAAATCTTCCAAGCTGAGTGTGGGTTTTTAACTAATGAAGAACTTAAAGCAGAATTGCAGTTTTGTAGATAACAAGTTTCTTTGTGAGTACTGATTTCCTTTGGGATTTAAGCCAGTATTCATTTGAGTGTAAATGTAAAATAAGCTGAGAGACCACAAATAATGGAGCTGTGAAGAATGGGGAATAGGAGGAAATAAAGCAAGGAGTCGTGGCTTGGCTATTTATGTTTTATATTCCTGAGAAGGACAAAATTCTCCTGTATTTAGGTGATGTCTAAGCACTAAGAAAATAGAGTATAATTATGAAATGTATACAGATATTTTAATGAAGATTTAAAAAATGGCCTTAGACTTTGAAGTTGTTGGTAGTCTCCCAGAAGTCATTCTTGGCCAGGCATGGTGGCTCACATCTGCAAACCCAGCACTTTGGGAGGCTGAGGTGGGTGGATCACGAGGTCAGGAGTTCGAGACCAGCCTGACCAGCATGGTGAAACCCTGTCTCTACTAAAATTAAAAAAATTAGCTGGGCATGGTGGTGGGCACCTGTAATCCCAGCTACTTGGGAGGCTGAGGCAGGAGAATCGCTTGAACCTGGGAGGTGGAGGCTGCAGTGAGCCGAGATCGCACCACTGCATTAGTTCATTTTCATGCGGTTGATAAAGACATATTGGAAACTGGGAACAAAAAGAGGTTTAATTTACAGTTCCACATGGCTGGGGAGGCCTCAGAATTGTGGTGGGAGGCAAAAGGGACTTCTTTCCTGGCGGTGGCAAGAGACAAATGAGAAAGAAGCAAAAGTGGGAACCCCTTCAGATCTCATGAGACTTATTCACTATTATGGGAACAGCACGGGGAAGACCGGCCCCCATGATTCAATTACCCGCCCCTGGGTCCCTCCCACAACACATGAGAATTGTGGGAGTACAATTCAAATTGAGATTTGGGTGGGGACACAGCCAAACCATATCATAAAGCATCTATTATTATTTTTGTAATTTTTACCTGCTCTCTTTCCATGCCGTCCTCACATAAACAACAAAATAGTATCTGCAATCCATTAAGGTTTCAGTGCCTGTTAATACCAAGTTTATTACTGCCACTACTGGTAATAAATAATTATTTTAAATTTATGGGTGGGCACAGTGGCTCTGCCTGTATTCCCAGCAGTTTGGGAGGCCAAGGTGGGAGGATTGCTTGAGCCCAGGAGTTCGAGACCAGCTTGGGCAACATGGCGAGACCCCATCTCTATTAATTTTTTATAAATAATTTTTAAGTTATTAAAAACATTAAAAATTTACATTTATATAGTGCCTTACAGTTTCTAAAGTATTTTCATATACGTTGTAAAATTCTTGTAGCAACTCAGTGAGAGGGACAAGATGACTATGACTTTTATTTTACCGCTGAGTAAACTTTGGCCTAGAGAGGCTCAGTGACTTAAGATCAAATGAGAAGGCTGAGACTAAAAATCAGCCTTCTTTTTTTTTTTTTTTTCCTTAGATGGGTCTTGCCCTGTCAAGTGTAAAATCAGTCTAGAAGTTTCTGCTTTAATTTATAAAAGCCCAGGCTTCCTGCCACCCACCAGACAGAATAGGTTAAGGGTTATTCACTTGGTAGACCAGGAGAATTTTGTATATCAAATACCTGATGGAAATGAAGTTTTCTGTGGTATCTCTGTGGACAAGATGGAGAAAAACAGGGTAGGTGGCTATGTCATTAGGTAAATTCATAACTGATTTGGTAACCAGAGAGCTGATTAGTGTTACTCTGAAGAGAGTTTTTGAGGGCATGCCAAAGAATTTTGTCCTCAGCCTTAGCTCTTCAACATCTATGTCTGTTTTGTATGAAATACATACAACAGGCTGATCAAATCATTGGATGATAGAGGATGTAGGGTAACTAGATTTCAGATTTTCTCTTTTCTTCCTTTTAAGCTCCTACGACTTTCCTGCTCTTCAGTCAAAAGAGTGCCATCAACCGCATGGTGATTGATGAACAACAGAGCCCCGACATCATCCTTCCCATCCACAGCCTTCGGAATGTCCGGGCCATTGACTATGACCCACTGGACAAGCAACTCTATTGGATTGACTCACGACAAAACATGATCCGAAAGGCACAAGAAGATGGCAGCCAGGTAATTGAGAGCTTGGTTCAAAATTCATTTCTCCTGACTAATAACTGGACTCACCAACCACTCTGTTTCACTTAAGTCTTGACTCTGCTTAAGTGTGTGTGTATGTGTGTATGAAACTGAAATTCTGGACCTAGTAGCTTATTTTTTCCTTCTGACGATATTTTGAGTAAGCAATTGTTTGATGATGATATTATGATGAAAATTGTTAGGCGTACTTAAGCTGTTGTGTTGGTAATGGCTTTGTGACTGCCCCCTACGTTTCTTTATGAAGTCTTTTTCCTTACATTTCTATTGTATGGAGTATTAGAAGCCTTGAAATAGGCCTTGGTTCTGATTCCAGCTCTATCCCTCACTTAGGATTCTTAGGAACTTTTTTAGCTGAAAAGAATGCAAAGCACATAGCTCTTATGTGTTATGTAACAGGAACTCAATAAATAACGGTTACATTACTAATTAACTATTATTTAAAAGGTTCAGAGGATATGAAACATATAACACAATCTCAGTAGGGTTAAAAACATCTAACATGTTATTAATCCAGTGGGTTTTTTTGGTCATAATTATATGGTGACTGTGGGATGGGAATGAGGATATTATCAATAAATCTTACCCATTTACATGCCAATTATGGATTTACACATCACTATCGATACTTCTTTGCTTGCTTTCTGTGGCCGAGCCCTGTCAGACTGGGATTATAATACTATAAATAATTACTTGTTGTCATCCTCATAGCAGTGATCGTAAGTTGTATCTTGAATGTATTAAAATTTAGGGAAGTTAGAGTACCGTTTTTCACTATGTCTCATCTTAAAATAAAGACCAAGGAGGTAATATATTTAGGGCTGCTGAGAGATCATTTAGGGTATAGTAATAGCTGTGTATTCCAGACACACTTTCCACCATATAGGCCAGGACTGATGGGCTGATAACTAATAGATAGAAATTAAGGAATATGTTACTTCAGAGATACCAGTAAGATACAGTTCAGATGGCACAAATGGACAAAGCCTCTCTTTTTGCTTGACTTTATTGTAAAAAAATTGCATGTGTAGACTTGAGGATCAGAAAAGGAGATGACTTGATTTGTAGCCTTTACTAGTTGCTGTTATCTCTAGAGCAGGGTTTCTCAAGCACTGTGGTCGTTTTGGGCTGGATTAATTGTTTGTTGTGGGGGGCTGCTCGGAATATTGTAGGATGTTTAACAGCATCCCTGGTCTCTGCCTGCTAGTTACCAGTTGTATTCCCACAGTCGTGACAGTAAAAAATGTCTTCATACATTGCCAAATGCCCATGGCGGGGCAATATTGCCTCTAGTTGCAATCCGCTGCTTTAGAGATATTTCTAGGGTGTGGTTTTAGCCACAGTTGTCTCCAGTTTAGAGAAGATAGTTGCCACCTTCTCACTCCCATCTCTTAATCAAGGCATTATCAGGTTCTTGGAGCAACTAATCTGACCTCAGCTCTTTTTTTCAGCAGCAGGATAACCCAAGGAACATTTGAGATGTGTATTAACAAAGAAGCACATTACCCATAAAAAAAGGTATCAGTAAGAAATACTCCTTAAGACTTGAGAGAGCCTTCTCAGCTGTGTGCCCATGTAGGTGTAAGCATTGTGACTGATTGCCTCAGGGTTATCTGCCCCTGGAGTTTAATTTTCTCTGTATTTCTTTTTTTCCCTAGGGCTTTACTGTGGTTGTGAGCTCAGTTCCGAGTCAGAACCTGGAAATACAACCCTATGACCTCAGCATTGATATTTACAGCCGCTACATCTACTGGACTTGTGAGGCTACCAATGTCATTAATGTGACAAGATTAGATGGGAGATCAGTTGGAGTGGTGCTGAAAGGCGAGCAGGACAGACCTCGAGCCGTTGTGGTAAACCCAGAGAAAGGGTATGTTACTAAAGTGGCGTTCAGATACTGTGGCTTCTGAGACTCTCCTCACCCTTCTTTTTCAGCCTGTTATTTATTTACCTTTAAGTGTCCTGTGCTCCAGCAAACAATTCAATATTCTCTATCAGTTTGTTTCTGCATTATCTTAACAGTTGTCTTACACTTTCTCTGATTTCACTGCCCAGACTTTCTTTCCTGGGCCACTAGTGCTTTAATTCTAAGTCTTAACCACACCTCCAGGACCATTTCAACTGCCACGTCCTCCAGGAAGTTTTCCTCGATCTACCTCATCCCAGCCAGATGTGATTTTTGCCCCCTCCTGAATACTCAGTACTCTGTATCTGTGCCTCTCTAAGTTATACTTAGTCCTTTCCAATTTACGTTACTTTTAATTATTTTTTAGTCTTGTATTTACCACTAGACATCAGTTTTCTTTATGATGAGAACTAGTATGCTTTCTTTCATTTAATAAAGAGCTTTGCATTTAATAAATACTCAATAATCAGTTGTATCTGAGTCAATGATAAGGTATTCAGCAAGTAAAGTAGCTTACTTCAAAAGAGAGGAAAAGGATGAAATCTAGACGTTAAATATAAGAAGTGATTTATATGTAACTTCTTTTTAGTTATTAAATAGATTAATTAGAAAGAATTTAAAATTTTGTGTTAAGGTCTCTCTAGTCACTGATCTTTAATTTGTCGTATTATTCTGAAAACATATGTGTGCCTATGTCTAACACTATTCTGTTAATCTATGAAAGCTCCCTAATAACTTCTGTGTACCTTTGTTGCTACTATTAAAAGTAGTAAAAGTGTCCCATGACCTTTTAAAAATGTAAATATATAAATAGATATGTATATATTTATAAAAGGATTTTTATCTATACACATTTATTTATATAAAAGAGGATTTATATATATATACACATATATATTTATATAAAAGAGGATATATATATATATATTTGGATACAAGGTTTGGCTCGATCACCCAGGCTAGAGTGCAGTGACACAATCTCAGCTCACTGCAACCTCTGCCTCCTGGGCTCAAGTGATCCTCCCACCTCAGCCTTCCAAGTAGCTGGGACTACAGGCACACGCCACCATGCCTGGCTAATTTTTGGGGTATTTTTTGTAGAAATGGGGTTTTGCTGTGTTGCCCAAGCTGGTCTCTCACTCATAAGCTTAAGCAATACCCCCGCCTCAGTCTCCCAAAGTGCTGAGATTACAGGCATGAGCCACTGTGCCTGGTCAAAAAATACGTATTTTAAAACTTTTAAAAACAATACTTAAAAATACTCTACCTCCATTTGTCTTAATAAGAATATCCTCATTTTATGTGGTTTCTTACTCCAGTAACTTATTTTTTTCCTCCTTTCCCTCTAGGTATATGTATTTTACCAATCTTCAGGAAAGGTCTCCTAAAATTGAACGGGCTGCTTTGGATGGGACAGAACGGGAGGTCCTCTTTTTCAGTGGCTTAAGTAAACCAATTGCTTTAGCCCTTGATAGCAGGCTGGGCAAGCTCTTTTGGGCTGATTCAGATCTCCGGCGAATTGAAAGCAGTGATCTCTCAGGTACCCAAGAAATATGTTTCCTTATTTTAATTTGAGTTTTTAAGATGATTCATCTATTGTGTTTTTCTTGCATCGTATTGTTTTTGGCACATTTCTTGGCAGTTTTATTCATTAAATGTAGTCAGCATCAGGTTGGTTGGTGAAGAGCTTTTTCTTCAACTGTCAACATGATTACTCCTCTGTTACTTAACTACCTGCCAGTTTTCTTGATCTTGGTTCTGTAAATAATATATTTCTTTTTTTTTGAGACGGAGTCTTGCTTTATCGCCCAGGCTGGAATGCAGTTCCCGGGTTCACGCCATTCTCCTGCCTCAGCCTCCTGAGTATCTGGGACTACAGGCACCTGCCACTGCGCCCAGCTAATTTTTTCTATTTTTAGTAGAGACAGGGTTTCACCGTGTTAGCCAGGATGGTCTCGATCTCCTGACCTTGTGATCCACCCGCCTCGGCCTCCCAAAGTGCTGGGATTACAGGCGTAAGCCACCGCGCCCGGCGTAAATAATACATTTCTAATGCATCCTTTCCTAACTCTTCTGCTCTAGTTTATGTTCTTGTCATCTGTGGCCAAATCCTAGCCTCTGGTTGATCTCCCTGCCAGTTTTTCTCCATGAAAGTTTACACATGGCTCCTAAATTTTCTGAAGCATGGTTTTAATGTCACTGCTTTACTTAAAAAATCTTCAGGGTAGTTTCATAACCTGTAGGAAAAAAGTCTAGTTGTACTCTTAAGTTGGTATAAGTTAGTATTCACCTTTCACAACCTCATCGTGGCGTTTACCTTTCTGGTATTTTAACCAAATTAAATTATTTGTTCGTCTTAAGATATACTTTTACTTTCACATTTCTCTGCAATCTTATGTCTGTAATTATAATTACCTCCTCTGTCCCCAATTTCTGATGTCCATATAGTCTGTGTTGGCCTCCCTAGTGATCAGGTAAATGAAATTAAAATATACTATTTGTGTCTGTCAGCATGGCAAAAATATGTTAACGTTGATTATTGCCTAGCATTGGCCAGTATGGTAGAAAATTACATGCCCTCATGTGCTTTGGTGGAAGTGGAAATTGATAGAGCCTTTTTAGAGGACAATTTGCCAGTAATAATCAAAATTTAAAATATGCATTCCCTTTGATCTGGTGATTTCCTTTGTAGATAGCTGTCTTAGAGAAAGACCGATGTAAGTGTATAAGGGTATTTGCTGAGCATTATTTGTGATAGTCCTTCATGGAGAAATACATTCTATCAGTGTATGGAATATTACAGTCATTCAAAAGAATAAGGTAGATCTGTGTGCACTAACATGAATGATTTTTAAAAATTAAATTTCAGAAAAATTCTTAAGATCTAGTTTTGTTTAAAATTTGAAACCGTATAGTATATACACTGTGTATACACAGTGTATGTATATATACCGTTAAGAAATGTGGGAACTCAGGCCAGGTGTGGTGGCTCATGCTTGTAATCTCAGCACTTTGAGAGGCCGAAGAGGGTGGATCACCTGAGGTCAGGAGTTTGAGACCAGCCTGGCCAACATGGCAAAATGCTGTCTCTACTAAAAATACAGAAAATAGCCAAGCATGGTGGTGGGCACCTGTAATCTCAGCTACTCGGCAGGCTGAGGCAGGAGAATCGCTTGAACATGGGAGGCGGTGGTTGCAGTGAGTCAAGACGGCGCCACTGCACTCCAGCCTGGGTTATGGAACGAGAACGAGACTGTCTCAAAAAAAAAAAAAAAAAAAAAGAAAAAGAAAAAAGAAATGTGGGATCTCAGATCTCAGATCTTCAGATCTCAGGTTCTTCAACAAAGAGAGAGAGGGAAAGAGAGAAGGGGGAGGGAGGGAGGGAGGGAGGGGAGAGAGGAGAGGGGAAAAGAAACAGACATACATGTCAGTATTTTCCTCAAGAAATAAGCAAATATATCTCAAGTCTGGAGCATTAGCATACTAAAATGTTGAGACTGCTTACTCCTGTATCATGTACATTTTTGTATGTTTGAATACATTTATAATTATTTTAATCTTTTTTTCACATTTTTTTTAATGTCTTCAGGTTCAAATGCCTCCCTTCCATTATGTATTCTCTGATTCCAGACAGTTAGGCACACACTTACGCATGTATAGTTACACGCCTGGTATAGTATATTCTTTCCCTCATCTGATCTCCTCTGTCTCTTATATCACCTCTAATTTTTTTTTCTGGGTACCTAATGCATTTATGTCTTTTGAATAATTGTTTT
This sequence comes from Homo sapiens, assembly GCF_000001405.40. Classification (NCBI taxonomy): domain Eukaryota; kingdom Metazoa; phylum Chordata; class Mammalia; order Primates; family Hominidae; genus Homo; species Homo sapiens. Next base: position 12,145,129 of record NC_000012.12, on the reverse strand, counting down.
TTCCAAAATTCACCTTCTGTTGCAATCTGAATGTATTAGGTTGGTGCAAAAGTAATTGCAGTTTTTTTTTTAATTATAAGTTTTAGGATACATGTGCACAATGTGCAGGTTTGATACATAGGTATACATGTGCCCTGTTGGTTTGCTGCACCCATTAACTAGTAATTTACATTAGGTATTTCTCCTAATGCTATCCCTCCCCTAGCCCCCCACCCCCCGACAGGCCCCAGTGTGTGATGTTCCCCACCCTGTGTCCAAGTGATCTCATTGTTTAATTCCCACCTGTGAGTGAGAACATGTGGTGTTTGGTTTTCTGTCCTTGTGATAGTTTGCTGAGAATGATGGTTTCCAGCTTCATCCATGTCTCTGCAAAGGACATGAACTTATCCTTTTTTATGGTTGCATAGTATTCCATGGATATCACCTCTCATTTGTACATTAGTTACTTATGTCAATATTTTAAACTATCTTTTGTTTTTATTTTTGTTTGAGAAAGGGTTTTGCCCTGTCACCCAGGCTAGAGTACAGTGGTGTGATTATAGCTTGCTGCAGCCTCAAACTCCCTAGCTCAAACAGTCCTCCTGCCTCAGCTTCCTGAGTAGCTAGGACTATGGGCACACACCACCACACCCGGCTAATTTTATTTTTGTAGAGATGGGGGTCTTGCTGTGTTGCTGAGGCTAGTCTCAAACTCCTGGGCTCAAGTGATCCCCCTGCCTTGGCCTCCCAAAGTTCTGGGATTACAGGCATGAGCCACCATGCCTGGCAGGCAGGTCTGTGATAAAGCTCTTCATGAAAATGTTTCATTCATTACAATTAATTTTGTCCCACTGCTGCAATGAGCCATGATCATGATTGCACCACTGCACTCCAGCCTGGCCAATAAAGCCGAGACCCTGTCTCAAAAAATAACCCAAAACTGGTAACTTGAAAGTTTATTGTTGTATAGGAATTCTTTGTACATTCTAGATATGAATCCTTTGTCAAGATATATACTGCATAAATCTCCCAGTTTGTGATTTACCTTTTTTATTCTCCCAGTAGTATCTTTAGATGAAAAGAAAGGTCCTAATTTTAATGTAGTACAGTTTATTAATTTTCTTTTTACGGTTAACATCTTTTATGTTGTTTAAGAAATCTTCATGGGAGTTGAGGGATGAGAAATTACTTAATGCGTACAACGTACACTATGGTTTTACACTAAAAGCTCACACTTCACACTTGTACACATCATAGATACATAGTATATATCCATGTTAAAAAAACTTGTACCACATAAATGTATAGCAATAAGAAAAAAGAAAGAAATGTTTGTCTTCTGCAAAGGTACAAAAAGATACTTTAGTTTTTTCCCTGAAATTTCTTCATTTAACTTTTCTTATTGGGATCTGTAATCCATCTGGAATTGATTTTGGTGTGTAGTGTGAGGCAGGGGTTAAAATGCATTTTTTTCCACATTACTGTTGGATTCAGCATCATTTACTGGAAAGACTGTCCTTTCCCTACTACTCTGTAGTATCACCTTGGTCATAAATGAGGTGACTGTATTTGTGTGTGTTTGTTTCTAGACTCTGATGTTCCCTTGGTCACTTTGCCTTTACTTATATTATACTGTCAATTATTATAACTGCAATAGATTCATCTGTGTCTTCAGTATTTTTTCAGGATTACCTTGGCTATTGTTAACTACCGCAATTTCCATGTACATTGTAGAATCAGCTTGTGAGTTTCCCCTTCCAAAAAAAATCACATACTAAGATGTTCATTGGGTTTGCATTAAATTGATAGTTTAGAGAGAATTATTATCTTTATAATATTAATCTTCTAAACCATGATCATGGTAAATCTCCCTGTTTATTTAGATCTTTAATTTCTCTTAATGTTTTATAATTTTCAGCATAGAGGTCTTGCCTATCTTTCATTAGAGTTGTTATTCCTTCTTATTTGGTGCTTTTAAACGCTAGTGGTAAAGACTATTCTAAACTTAATGTTTTATTTTCTAATTGTGCCTGGAATATGGAAATACAATTTCTTTTTTTCTCCTTCTAGCATATTAGCTTGTACCACAGGACCATGCTAAGTATACTTATCTTTAGGATTTTTTATGTTATAGAATCATGTTTCTTCAAATAATGAGAGTTGTGTTTTTTTCTTTCCTTATACTGGCTGGGGTCCCCCAGTACAGTGTTGAATAGGATGATAATAGAATCCTTTTTTGTTGTTGTTGTTTTCTAGGTCTTGGAGAAGCATTCAGTACTTTTGTGATTAAGTATTCTTTGCTAAGGTTTTTCTGTAGATAACCTTTGTCAAATTAAGGAATTTACTTACTTTCCCCAGTTTACTGGGATAAATAAAATCTAGCATGATATATTATTCTTTTTTTTATTGCTGGATTTGATTTGCTAATGTTTTGAGATTTTTTTTAATCTACGCTCATGAGAAGGATTACCTTATAATTTTCTTTTCTTGTCAGGTATTTGTTGGTGTTTTGCCATCAAGGCTTTGTTGGCCACATAAAAAGAAATGTTTGTTCTTTTTCTATTCTCTGAAAAAGGTTACTGTCAAGTTGATTTTTTTTTTCTTACGTATTCACAGATAATTATGCTTTCATCCTGGGACCTTTTTCTATTTCGTATTTGTAGCCACCCACATAGCCTTTTATAGCGAATTGCATCCAGTGCATGCTTAGTTTGTTGAATAAATAAGCATATCTTTTCCTTGTTGGTTCCAGTAGCTTACTTATTTTTCACCAGCATCAAAGTAGATCAGGTCCTTACCATATCTGGGGGCCTGCAGTGACACTATTGACTTCCTTTTTTACCCAGTTGTCTACCTCAGACCATCCTTTCATTACCGCCAGCTAATCTTTAAAAATCATTCTTCTTTATTGTTTAATTTTAATTTTCATTAAAGTAATACATGTAAATATTATGGATATCAAACTGTTCTACCTGGCTTGTAACAAAAAACAAGCCTACTGCTCTACTCTGCTGCTCTCAGTTCCCATGCTTAGAAGCATTCACAACTATTTTCACTTATTTTAAAATAAACTTGCTTAAAAATGCTATTTCTTGATTTTTCTCTTTTAGACGTTAAACATTGACTTCCTTTGGAAGATAAAGATTTTGCTATCTTAAACCATATGTCGCCAAAATACACGTGTGAATTTTCTTTCCATCCTCCCCAGCATAGTTATGAACTTTCCAGAATTCGAGGCACAAGTTTGCAGATAGAAAGGACCCACCTGTGACTAGTGCCATAATTTTTTTAAGTCTAGACTTAATTACTTATTATTTATGGCTATGAACATATTACTGTTAGGTACATTTCTTTCTAAAACTTTTTTCCTCCCTGCAGAGTTAATACTTGTGTAATGTAAATATTGTTTCAATAAATGGATATGCATCAAGCAGTCCATCTATTTGTCTTCATAATTAAAATCACATCTCTGGGTTTCTTCATCATCTTGCTGCAGTCTGGATTTGCTTGGTTTCTAGGCTAACTTCATTTCTCCATTGTCCTGGGAGTATACAGATGCTGAACCTGCTATTTCCTGGACTCCATTTCTTCTGGTTTTCTTAAGAGAGACCATTTTCTAGCAGCTTCTTGAAAGGGGCTCATCATAAAAGGTTAAAATTCTTGATCTTGTTTGAATTTTTTTTCCTCCTCACACTTGGTTGATAATTTGCTTTCATGTTTTATAGCTGTTTTCTCTCAGAATTTCGAAAATAGAACTCCATTGTCTTTGAGCATCTTGTGTCATTGGGAAGTTTGATGTGACTGTGATTTCAGTCTTTGTATGCTGTCCTTTTCCTTTTTCCTCCAGAAGCTTTTAACATGTTCTTTCCCCTCAATGTCCTAGAATTTGATACTGTGCCTTTGTTTGATTCCTCCCTTCTTTCCTTTTTTCTTTCTCTCCACTCTCCCTCCCCCAGCCCTTTCCTCTTCCCCTTTCTCATCATTCCCTTCTTTTCCCCTTCTCCTTCCCCTTCTTTCCCTTCTTCTTCCTTTCTAGTCCTTTTCCCCTTGAGCTTGGGGGAAGCATTCAATACTTTGTGATTAAGTATTCTTTGCTAAGGTTTTTCTGTAGATAACCTTTGTCAAATTAAGGAATTTAACTTCTTTTCTCAGTTTGCTGGAATAAATAAAATTTAGCATGGTACATTCTTTTTATTTATTGCTGGATTTGATATGCTAATGTTTTGTTTTAAGATTTATTTTTTTAATTGGCCAGGTGCAGTGGCTCACGCCTGTAATCCCAGCACTTTTGGAGGCTGAGGCGGGCAGATCATGAGGTCAGGAGTTCAAGGCCAGCCTGGCCACCATGGTGAAACCCCATATCTACTAAAAATACAAAAATTAGCCTGGCATGGTGACGGGTGCGAGTAATCCCAGCTACTCAGGAGTCTGAGGCAGGAGAATCACGTGAAACCGGAAGGTGAAGGTTGCAGTGAGGCGAGATTGAGCCACTGCACTCTAGCCTGGGCGAAAGAGCAAAACTCCGTCTCAAAAAAAAAAAAAAAAGATTTTTAAAATCTATGCTCGTGCTTTCCCTTCCCCTTCCCTTCCTTCTCATTGAACTGGTTACTAGGTTGATCCTTTCTGTCTAGAAGTCTACACCTTAAATTCTGGAATGTTTTCTTGTGTTGTTTCTTTGATAATTTATTTTTCATTTTCCTATTTTGGAGCTTTTTATTTTTATGCTGAACCTTCTTGACTGTAGCTGTATTTTTCTCACCTATTATCCATCTCTTTGTGTTTTTGTTATACTTTCTGAGGAGAGCTTCTCAAATTTGTCTCCCAACCCTCTTGTTGCATTTTTCTTTGAAATTTTTGGATATCATGTTTTTAATTTCCAAGGGCTCTTTTTTGTTCTCCAAATGCTCTGCCCCTCTGAAGACAGCCTATTCTTTAGGTTTTTTGTTTTTTTTTTAATTGGTATTTATTTGTTTTCTTCTGCTTTTGTGTCTTTTTCTCCAAGTTCCTTTGTTGTGTTTGTCTTGGGCTTCAAATTTAAAGATAGAGGTTTTCTTTAAATATTTGGTGATCCTTAGCTGTTTGTATTTAGTATGAGGCTTAAAAATACTGAGAACATTGCTGTGTAATTTCTTACACATATTTTCAATTAGTACTCCTCTTTCAGCCCCAGCCACATAACTCCTACCTTTGTTCCATTCTAAAATACCTGGTGCTTCCACTTTCTGAGCTAATTAATTTCATTGTTAGCTTCACTGGCTGTAGGCCTTTAGCTTTCTCTGGGCTACTGTGTCATTATCCCTGGTCTATCTATTCTCCAGCTTCCAAAATTTATATCACTTTCCTGCTCTCTTCTGTTCTTCTGCCTTCTTTGTCCTTATGGGTTTATACCTTCAAAATTATTTTCTTTTTCTTTCTTTCTTTTTTTTTTCCTGAGACAGGGTCTCACTCTGTCACCCAGGCTGCAGTGCAGTGTGAACTTGGCTCACTACAGCCTTGACCTCCCTGGCTCAAGGAATTCTCCCATCTCAGCCTCCTGAGTACCTGGACTACAGGCGCATGCCACCATGCCTGGCTAATTTTTATATTTTTTGTAGAGATGGCATTTTGCCATGTTGCCCAGGCTGATGTCGAACTCCTAGGCTCACGTGATCCTCCTGCCTCAGCCTCCCAGATTACTGAGATTACAGGTGTGTGCCACTGCACCCGGCCTAAAATTTTTTCAATCACCATATTAGTAGAGTTTTAGGAGAGAATATATAAGTAAACTTGTGCTTAGCCTACCATCTGAATGTTGACTCAGGCAATGCCTTCCCATCTGGAATATCTCCCCACTTTTCTTCATTTATTAAAAAGTTGGCATTTTGCTTGCCTCTTTCCTGAAACTTTCCTTGATACTTCCAAAATATCAGCTAATGTCTTTGTTTGACTGAACTCATGACTTAGGAACCGTGAACTTTCTATAAATATTTGAAGGACTGTTATGAAAAAGAAGGAATGAGTATATTTTTTCTTTTTGAGTGAGGGAGAAACTGAATAAAGCAGGGTGGGGGGTATGAACACAGATTTTAGCCCACTGTATAAAAGAACTTTCTCACTGTGCAACAATAGCAGAAGTTGCCTCCTCAGAGTCTGGATGACTCTATGTCTGAGATGATTAGAAATAATTCTTACCTTGGGGTGAGTCAGTCATTTTTTCTAATTGTGTTCTGAGAAGCCAGGTGGGGTGAGAGTGAAGCTGTTCTTCATAAATGCCTCAGGTATACTCAGAACTCTGGGTCCACCACCACTGCTCCTCCAGAGAAGTGCCATTTTTATCTGTTGTATATATAAGTTAGGGTTTTTCAAACTACTGTTCTAAGTTCTTTTCTACATTTCTATGAACTAGAATATTTACTGCACATTGGGCACTTACTTGCTCTTGATTGCATATTAATATCTAGTTTATTGGCTGTTTTCTAGTGTATGTCTTACCATGATTTTTAAGTTTTGTGGTAGAGATCTTGTTTTTTTTTTCTTTTCTCTACCTGTAGAATCTAACTGGTAGTCAGTAAATAATTACCAAAAGTATAACTTGACCCACATGAGTCATTTCTGTTGAATTTTCTCCTTTTCCAAGGTGCTAACCGGATAGTATTAGAAGACTCCAATATCTTGCAGCCTGTGGGACTTACTGTGTTTGAAAACTGGCTCTATTGGATTGATAAACAGCAGCAAATGATTGAAAAAATTGACATGACAGGTCGAGAGGGTAGAACCAAAGTCCAAGCTCGAATTGCCCAGCTTAGTGACATTCATGCAGTAAAGGAGCTGAACCTTCAAGAATACAGTAAGTGTTAATGGGATAAAGCTAATTGGAGGAATCATGTGTTATAATAAATTAATATGTACTTTTGTGGATTTTTAAACTCTGTTTCCTTGAAGACTTTCATGCACTTTTAGTTTTGCCATTTTTTTGAACTCTCCATGCTTTTTTTTTTTTGGAGACGGAGTCTCACTCTGTCGCCCAGGCTGGAGTGCAGTGTCACGATCTTGGCTCACTGCAGCCTCTGCCTCCCGGGTTCAAGTGATTCTCATGCCTCAGCCTCCAGAGTAGCTGGGATTACAGGTGCATGCCACCATGCCTCGCTAATTTTTTTTTTTTTTAATTTTTAGTAGAAGCAGGGTTTCACCATGTTGTCCAGGCTGATCTCGAACTTCTGACTTGAAGTGATCTGCCCACCTTGGCCTCCCAAAGTGCTGGGATTACAGGTGTGATCCACCACACCCAGCCTCTTCATGCTTTTAAAGCCTTATGTCAACCTTACCCGGGAGCTTTTCCAAATTAAACATAATCTCATAAACCAGAAATGGGGGAAAGGCATGGGTCTTGCCTGTTAAAAAAGAATATTTCCTGGTACAACAATGACTGCTTATCATGCCTTGTTTTTCTCTCCTTCAGTTCCTTTGGGAATACTGATAACATAAAGCATCTATTTCTTTTCTTCCCTCTCTATACTTCCCCCCATAGCTTGAAAAAAAGTAAAAATTATATAATGATGAATATAGTTATAATGGGTTAATCTTATTCTTAGGCAAAACAAACTAAAAATTAGTGTGTAAACATAGAGAAGACTCTGTTTAATTAGTAGGTGCTTGGTTTTTTTCCCCCCCTTTGGGATAAATATTTCAATTCCCAGCTTAGAAAAATAGCCATCTCCATGAGCCCCAGGAAAAAAGAAAAGTAGCCAGAAATATTTTCTTATTTTTTTTTGAAAATGGCTAGTCATCTTGGCCTAGTTCTTAATTCATATCTGTCATCAAAATTACCCTAATCATAGAGAGGAATAAATGAGTTTATATATGCAAAACGTTTTTTAAAAAGTGCCTTCCTAGCAGTCACTACTGTTGATCATACATGATGGTACCGGGGATGCCAATGTTAAATTGAGTATGAGAGAGACAATTATTGAAATTCTGTAACTTCTCAGCTCAGTGCTTTTAAATTGAATTTAAGCATGAAAGGAGAATGAAGAAACAGGAGTAGCCCTGTACAAGTGTTCATTATGTTGGTACAGTTCATGAATTTAGAAGTAAAGTTACAAGTAATTGAGAATTAGAAAGTTAAAAATTGTTGTCATTTTATGGTATGACTTGTAGCTCAGGCTGAACATTTAATAGAAATATGATAATGATATCATACCTAAGTTATTTATTTAGTCGATACATGAATATTTTATTACAGAAAATCTCAAGATTTTCAGAATTTCAAGGGAGAGGTTTTATTTAATAACTATTTAAATATGATTGTATATTAGGTAAATCATTTTTTCAAATTTCTAATATTAAAGAGAATGGGATTTTTATCAAAAATGTCATGGAATTAAAGGTTGAGAAACACTGCTACATAGACTGTATATTCTATATAATGTGTGATGTCTGTTTTGGACAGTATGCTCATTTGTAGATAGCTGACTCCCTCAGTCTCAACACAAACTGAAGCAGAACCAATGTTATTGTGGAAGAGAGTCAAATAATAAATGGTGGCTTATATTAGATGTTCATATTTTGTGACGACAGATGTCAAGTTGCTTTTAATACAGGCTAAACAGAAAATTCCAAACAATGATTCTTTAAAAATACAACTTGTGAAACAGACTTTGAAAAGTTGCCTAGTGGTTTCTTTACTTAGCCCATGTATGAGGAAGTTAGACATTTATAGTATTACAAGTTACCTTTTGCAGTTGACCAAATAATTTTGTTTCTGAATTGTTCTGTTACATGTGCCTTTTAAGTTTTTTTCTTCTAATAACTCTTTAATTCTCAATGGATTCCTCATTAAGATACACTTTTTGACTGAAGTTGTCTTTCAGATATACGGATTTTCTGAGTTAAAAATCTTAATATAGGAGAATTCTTATATTTTAAATAGAATAATACTCAAGTTTCAGCATTCTCCCTAGCAATTTTTTGTTGTTGTTTTTTGTAGAGATGGAGTCTTGCTCTGCCGCCCAGGCTGGAGTGCAGTGGCACTATCTTGGCTCACTGTAACCTCCGCCTCCCAGGTTCAAGCAATTCTTATGCCTCAGCCTCCCGAGTAGCTGGGATTACAGGTGCATGCCACCACACCCAGCTAATTTCTTTTGTATTTTAGTAGAGACGGGATTTCACTGTGTTGCCCAGGCTGGTCTTGAACTCCTGAGTTCAGGCAATCCACCTGCCGCAGCCTCCCAAAGTGCTAGGATTACAGGCGTGAGCCACCGCACCCGGCCTCTCCCTAGCAATTTTTTAGTTTCAGTAAACATTTCTTCATATTCACAAAAATTAAGATGAGCTTTACCATTATCTTAAAATATTTTATATATAAATATATAAGGACAGTGGTTAGATAGAAGTAGTTTCTTGTAGGTTGTGTAGAGATTGAGTGAAGAATCATATTGTGTGGAAATAAAAGTCCAAGCTGGACCAACCTGACCACCATGGTAAAATTCCATCTTTACTAAAAACGGAAAAATTGGCCAGGCATGGCGGCAGTCACCTGCAATCCCAGCTACTCGGGAGGCTGAGGCAGGAGAAGCACTTGAACCTGGGAAGCAGAGTTTGCAGTGAGCCAAGATCACACCACTGTACTCCAGCCTGAGCTACAGAGCAAGACTCTGTCTCAAAATAATAATAATAATAATAATAATAATAATGATAAAAGTAAAAAAAGTCCATAATAATAATAATAAAAGTAAAAAAAAAGAGTCCAAGCTGATTATACATTTGATTTTCATAAATAGTTTTGACAGGGTTGTCCCTTTTTCTCTTCTCTCCCACTTCTCTCCCCCTCCACTCCCCCTCCTCTCCCCATCCTCACCTCTTCTCTTTGCAGGACAGCACCCTTGTGCTCAGGATAATGGTGGCTGTTCACATATTTGTCTTGTAAAGGGGGATGGTACTACAAGGTGTTCTTGCCCCATGCACCTGGTTCTACTTCAAGATGAGCTATCATGTGGAGGTAAATATGTTGTAATTTTCTTGTGCAACCCTAAATGCAAACATATTCCATATCTTAAGCCTAGACTTCTATGACTAGGCATTGAAGTTGCTCTGTCTACTAACTTAATTGGTTGCGTGTGTTCCATTCATTTGTATTGTACTAGGCTTTTCTGTTATTCTTCTCTGCCACCCTGCCCAGCCTCATAATCATCATTTTACTCTGTTTCTTTGACTTTTTTACACTCCACGTGTGAGATCATGTAGTATTTGTGTTTCTATGCCTAGCTTATTTCACTTAACAGGATGACTTCCAGGTTCATCTGTGTTGTTGCAAATGACAGGATTTCCTACTTTTTTTGACTGAATAGTATTTCACTGCGTATATATTACCACACTTTTCAGCCTGTGAATGAGTATGCTTCCTAATATTAAAGTAGCCTCCCCCCTCTCCCAAAAGGTAAAAAAATGAATTAATTCTACCTCCTGTAATCTCTCTCCACTAAATTGTAGATTCTCTAAGTTTATGTGTCATTGTTGGGAATGTGTCTGATGGAAAGAATATTCTTTTGTTCAAATCCATCAGCAAATTCCTGTTGCTTCTTTATCTAGTAAAAAATGATTTTTTAAAAGATATCACTGAGTATAGTGATACTGTTGTAGTAAAATTGGTTTAATCACTTAGCAGGTTTAACAAATAGATACATTCCATTGTTAAATTATAGTATGATGGTATCAGGCACCACAATAGTATTCATACCCTTAATTCAGATATCCTCCTTTTGGGGATAATTCTAAGTTAATTCAACTGAAGGAAAAAGACTACATCATACTATTATCTACAGTGGCAGAAATTTTTAAATGAATTTCTAATGGTGTGAAAATTATTAAGTAAAATAACTGAGTTTATACAGCTATTAAATGTTATAATCATGAAGTTGATGTAAAAATGTTGCCAAAATGACAAGTACATAAAATATATATTTCTGTAAACAAATATTGAAAGAGAATATGTATTCAACATATAAAAATTGTTGATCGGGTGGGTGGGATTACAAGTAAATTTTATTCGTCGAACTATAAGTTTTTTAAAAAATAAATAATGCATGTATTCAGTAGCAGCTATGGGCACTGTGCTTGGACCGTAGGGGATTTGAAGATCTTTGAGATAGCATACAGCGTAGTCAGGGAAATCAGATATGTACAAAGAGTTAAGCTCTGGTACTTGAAATTTTTAAAAATAGGGATTGCACAATAATGTGAATGTACTTAATGTCATTGAGCTATGCACTTTAAAGTGGTTAAATTGGTCAATTTTATGGTTACTTTACCCTCCCCCCCCCCCCCCCCCAAAAAATAGCATGTGTTTCCCTATCAGGGTGCTGGAGTGTTACTTTGAGGCAAATCCTAGAAAAATTTCTCTTTATGTTAATGATAACATGGATAAAACTGAGTCAAGGATCTCATCTTCCAGTTTGAAAATATCTTTTAAAGGGCCTTTTTTCTTGCTTGCACATTTAGCAATTATTTTTAATGTATGTATTAAAACGAGTTTTGACAGATGTATACAACTGTGTATTAGGCCATTCTTGCATTGCTATAAAGAAATACCTGAGGCTGGGTAACTTATAAAGAAAAAGTTTAATTGGCTCATGGTTCTGCCGGCTGTATTGTTCAGCTTCTGGATAGGCCTCAGGAAACTTTGATGGCGGGGGTGAAGAGTGAGCAGGCAGGTCACATGGCAAAAGAGGGAGCAAGAGAGAGAGAGTAGGCTAGAGGGAGTGCCACACACTTTTAAACAACCAGCTCTCCCAAGAATTCATTTACTATCAGGAGGATAGCACCAAGGCATGAGGGATCTACCCCCCATGATCCAAACACTTCCCACCAGGCCTCACTTCCAACATTGGGGATTACATTTCAACATGAGATTTGGAGGGACAAATATCCAAACTATATCACACGGTTTGCATGACATGCAGTTCAAAGTAGTGTCCTTTGTTTTATGTTTATTAGTTTCTTTCTATCCCCAACCAAATTCAAACTGCTTTAAGGACGTGGATATATTTTATCTACTTTAATTCTCCATACAATATAGATAGTATAGTGCTGAATACATAATAGGCTCTTATTAAATAATCCCTAAAATTCCCCATGTAAAATGTTCACCTGTAATCTGCAATATTCTCTGTTGTAAAGTTACAGGGTTTTCTGACCTATGGTCACATCATAAGGTTATGGGTTCTCTAGATAATTCACTAACAGACAAGTGTAAATAACTACTGTATAATTTACCTGTCAGTCATTCTTTCAAGTAAAAATGACATTCCATTTTGAGTTGGATTTACAACTCAAAACAAATGCTTTCCCATTAGAAACTACCACACTTAGGTTTGCAACATGAGCTTTATGCATAATTGCCATTTGATTGATCAGACTATTAAAGAGGCATACACTTGGGTTGATTTTAATATAATTTTTTATTGATTCATCAATAACATTCTTAAGTGAAATTGGTCTTTTTGTGTGTTTGTTTAAACTGTGCACATGTGGCTGTGTATAGTACAGTGATTACTAATAAAGTTTGTTGTCATTTGCCTGAGTCTGCTAAGGTACCAAGTTTTATTCACTATTTCTTTTGCAGCATCAGTGCAAAGATAGCCAAAAAAAAGCAATGACATCTTAATGTTATTATAAAAATAGTTTTTACCTAGTGGGTCCCCTGAAAGAGGTCTCAGGAACGCCTAAGGGTTCATGGACTATCCTTTGAGAAGCTTAGAGCTAGAAAACTTTTGAGTGCTAGGCTAACTTTAAAGTCTTTGGTAATTATACTGATTATTCCTAGGTTTTGTGTGAGACTGTAACGGATTGCAAATATTACAATCCTGTTTTGGATTACAAGATATGAAAAAACTTTTGCCTTATAGTTTTGCGGGCAAAAGTTTATAGTGAATGTAAAGGAAGTAATGTGAAAACCTTTATTTCTTCTTTGAATAGATGAGATAGTTATAAATCATATTTATTATAAAGTATTTTGTGTATGTTAATTATTAAATGAGCTTCACTCAGGTATGTGTTTGTACTTCTGTGTGACCATGATTGTGTTTTTGTCACTCCCCTTCTCCTTGTTCATTTGAAGAACCTCCAACATGTTCTCCTCAGCAGTTTACTTGTTTCACGGGGGAAATTGACTGTATCCCTGTGGCTTGGCGGTGCGATGGGTTTACTGAATGTGAAGACCACAGTGATGAACTCAATTGTCCTGTATGCTCAGAGTCCCAGTTCCAGTGTGCCAGTGGGCAGTGTATTGATGGTGCCCTCCGATGCAATGGAGATGCAAACTGCCAGGACAAATCAGATGAGAAGAACTGTGAAGGTATCCAGAATTCTTCAGTGCCTCAGCATGCAATCCTTTTTTCCCATTCAGTTGTTTAAACTTCAGTATTACTTGGCTTAGTGTCAGTTGGGGTTTTTCAAGTACATATGACTGTATCACTTCTGATCATAGTGCCATGTTCCATATTATTGTTTTAATTCACTCCATATGCATAAGATTTATACAAATTAATAAGCTTTGAAAATTGAGAAATGAAACTAAAATATATTAGGCCTTCAGTATATAAAAATAGTCCCTGTTTCCAATGAGCTCTGAATTAGTGGATTTATTAATTACGCTCTAACATATTTTATATTCTTCACTTTCCCTTACTAACTTTTCCCATGGTAAAAACAACCCAGCCAAGTTCTCTAGAATTCTTTAGTGAAAGAGGGAATTTAATGTAAAGAATAAGCCGGGCGTGGTGGCTCACGCCTGTAATCCCAGCACTTTGGGAGGCCGAGGCGGGCGGATCACGAGGTCAGGAGATAGAGACCATCCTGGCTAACACGGTGAAACCCCATCTCTACTAAAAATACAAAAAAATTAGCCGGGCCTGGTGGCAGACGCCTGTAGTCCCAGCTACTTGGGAGGCTGAGGCAGGAGAATGGCGTGAACCTGGGAAGCAGAGCTTGCAGTGAGCCAATATCGCGCCACTGCACTCCAGCCTGGGCGACAGAGCAAGACTCCGTCTCAAAAAAAAAAAAAAAAAAAAAAAAAAAATGTTAGGAAATTTCCTGCTGGATTTTTTTCTCCTACTCTTTTTTCTCTCTCTCAACCAATGGAACTCCAGAGAATAATATTTAAGTTATAGCTAAAAGTCTAATTTGTTTTTCATTTGTGTTCAGAAGGCACCTTTTGATTCTTGCCAGAGTTTGACTTTACATGATATTAAAAATAAGGAAACTATTTATGTTTTTTTTCCAGTGCTTTGTTTAATTGATCAGTTCCGCTGTGCCAATGGTCAGTGCATTGGAAAGCACAAGAAGTGTGATCATAATGTGGATTGCAGTGACAAGTCAGATGAACTGGATTGTTGTAAGTAGGACTGAGATCTATAAATTACTCTTAACAGAGAATTTAAACAATTTTTTTTCTTATGTGTGAGGTTTACTTATCGAGATTTCCTTTCTAAGTAATAAGTATTAATATTAAGCTAATTATTTGTGTGAAGGTTTTTTTATGTTTTGCTTTCAGTAATTCTTTAAACATAGCAGTTTTCTTATGCACAGAAATCTTCACAGAAACATTTAGTAAAGCACTAGAAAAGAGTAAATATTATTTTACTATAACCAAAGTTACAAAATTCTCAAATCATTTAGATACATAGAAATCAGCCGGGCGTGGTGGCTCACACCTGTAATCCCAGCACTTTGGGAGGCCAAGGTGGGCGGATCACTTGAGGTCAGGAGTTCGAGACCAGCCTGGCCAACATGGTGAAACCCTAGCTGTACTAAAAATACAAAAATTAGCCAGGCGTGGTGGTGCATGCCTGTAATCCCAGCTACTGGGAGGCTGAAGCAGGACAATCATTTGAACCCAGGAGGCGGAGGTTGCATTGAGCCGAGATCACACCATTGCACTCTAGCCTAGGCGACAGAGCAAGACTCCGTCTCAAAAAAAAAAAAAAAGAAAAGAATTCAATTGGTCTGAATTCAATTCAGAACTTAAGCAATCCACCCACTTTGGCCTCACAAAGTGCTGGAATTACAGGTCTTCATCTTCAAAATGAAGAGAATGATGCTTAACCTGATGCCTATAAGAAAATTAAATGATTTAACATATATATCATTTAGCCTAAAAAACACATAGCCTGGTTCATAGTAGATACATTGATTATGGAGTATAAGTGCTGTAATAGAAATCTACACAGGTGGCAGTAGAAATGAGAGAGTAGTCAGCTTATTAGGGACAAAGATGGACTTGATCAAGGAAGGCATCTTAGAAAAATGGTATTTAAGATTGGGTGTTGTGCCAGTGCGCTGGCTCACACCTGTAATCCCAGCACTTTGGGAGGCCAATGTGGGCAGATCACGAGGTCAGGAGTTCGAGACCAGCCTGGCCAACATGTGAAACCCCGTCTCTACTAAAAATACAAAAATTAGCTGGGCGTGGTGGCGGGCACCTGTAATCCCAGCTACTCAGGAGGCTGAGGCAAGAGAATCGTTTGAACCCGGGAGGTGGAGGTTGCAGTGAGCCGAGATCGTGCCATTGTACTCCAACCTGGGCGACAGGGCGAGACTCCATCTCAAAAAAAAAGAAAAAAAAGACTGGGTGTTGATCAATGAATAGTGTTCATCATGTAGATAATTGGAGAAATTTCATTTTGGGCAGAGGGAATATACTGTTCAAAAGCAGAAAAGAGTGAAACAGGCACCTCTGGGAAACTCCATGTAATGGGACTGCCAAAATACAGGCTCTGTTGAGGGGTGTCAGCAAGAGATAACATAGGTAAAGGTACAATCATGGAGGACTATGCTTTTCTTCTAAAGAGCCTAGACAATATTAACAATGGGGAGTGGAGAGTCACTGAAAATTTCAAGAAAAAGACTAGCATGGTCAAGCAATACAGAAGTTGTAAAGCCAGTGGGTTGGAGGTGATAAGCTTATAGGCAGGGAAATCTGTTAGATTGATTGCTTTCAAACTTCTGATCGCATCAAGAGGAATACAGAGATGTGAGCTCATGCATTTAAAAAGGTGTCACACAACACTTAAATATTTACCCATGTTATATAGAACACTTTCTGACATTTTCTGTTTTATTTTTTCAAAGCTGGTTGTAACCCACTAAATCATTCTCACCATTTACGAATGACTTGCAGCCTGTAATTTAAAAAGGAAGCGATTAGAGTTTAGGCAGAAGATGATAAAGATCTAAATCATGAGGAGGAGGAGTGGGGGTGGCAGGGAGAGAACAGATTTCGGAGTTGTTTCAGAAGTAGAATAAAGAGGAATTGGTAACCACTTAGCTATAGTTGATAAGTTTAAGTTGACCCACAGGTACCTCACTGAGTGACTGGAGTCATTAAATGGGATATATAGCAGGAACTGAAAACCAAAGTACCATACCACATCTTGGCTGCAGATGTAATGTTTGATTGATGTGATGTTTAATTTACATTAAATGCCTTTAGGCAGGCGTGTACTTTGCCACAAGCCCCATCACTTTTTATTATCTTATACTAGATGACTTTATTTATGGTGTCTTTACCCCTGGAATCTAGGAGAAATGACTGATCATGGTGACAGTGAGTTCAGTTTGTGATATGTTGCCTGAGAGGTACTCATGGAATATCCCACTGAAGCTCTTCAGGAAGTTGATTATAAGGAACTGTGGCTCAGAAGAGAGATTTGGTGCTCATTAGTTTATTGATAATAATGAAAGCTGTGACAGTAGATAGAATCTCCCAGGACAGTAAGAAGAGGAGGAAAATAGTAGGTGATAGATAGAAATCTCTCTGGGAAGCACCTGCACTTAAGATGCAGGCAGAAGAGAATGAAGCCAACAAAGGAAGCAGAGAAAGAATAATCAGAAATAGTAAAATTAAGAGAGTGGTATCTTGGAAGAATATTGATCAGACTTTTTTTTAAAGAGAAGACAGGAGCCAGCAGTATTGTGTAAAGAGGTTAGTGAAATGAATATATTGAATATGGCAAATAGTAGAACTTTGACTGTTGACAGAAAAGTTTCAGTGCAGTGGTGAGGGTGGAAGTCTGATTTCAGGGAGTTTATGGTGTGACCCAGAGGCTAGGGATTGAGGGTAGTGAATGTAAACTTTTCTTTCCTGAAGCTTGGCATTGCAAAGGAATGTTAGGGGACTAAAAAGGAATGAAAAGATGAGACGGTTGTTCTCAAGGACTAAGAAGAGTCTATGCTTCAGATTCCACAGACTAAATTTGTAAATGATAATCCCTACATATTATGTAACTTAGAGATGTCATTTTCACGCATTTCTTTCATATAATCTGTCAGAGGATGAGTTTAGCTATATGGATGGGAGATTTGAGGTAAGATGAAGCAGGAGGAAGTTTTTTAAAGGATCTGCAACTGTGAGATAAAATTTAACTGTTCAGAATGGAAGAATTTTCCCTCTGAATAGAGACAGTAATGCTCTAATTTCAATAAGCTCACTTTCCCTCTACCTCTGATATTGATGCCCTCTGCTTCTTAAACGGGTAGCTCAGGGATCCAGGGAAGGTGAATCCCTGGGGTGGTGTCCTCTTCTGGCAATGTGGCCTTTCTTTGTGAGTCCTCCAGTAATCAGGTATTAAAGACCTTATGTTCCTTGGTCTCAGGCAACTAGACAGCCTGAAGGCCAGCAGCATAGGGGATTTGAGAGCTGAGGCTTATCTTTAGCTTCCAGTTTTCATTCATCAGGCCTAAATGTCACTATTCAAATCTAAAATCTAACATGTGCTCAGAGCTGATTTTGGCTTCTTCACCATTCCAGGTAAAACATTTGATGACTTTTCTAGGTTTATCCCTTCTGGTCATAAATTTTTTCCCGAAATCTTGGAATACCGTTGTTCATTTGTATGGTATATAGAATGAAGTAGAATGGATTTTATCTGTTTATTTATTTAAAGCTTCTTAATGGTGTTTAAATCTGTACTTCATTTACCATCTTTGTTTCTATCTGTTTACAATTACACTTTCCAACCTATTGTTTTATTTCTGTCTTCATTTAAGGGTAGTTCATTTTGATTCCTAATGATGACATTTATTTCATATGTCTTCAGGGCGTGGTATGTATGTACTCATAAAAAAGAAAAGTGTTTATGAATTATCTTCATTAGGCTTATAGCTTCACATCCTATTAGCAAGCCCTCTTTTGATTACTATTTTGAATATACAGTTGTTTTTCTATTAAATAACCATACTGCATTCTTCATTGTAGATCCGACTGAAGAACCAGCACCACAGGCCACCAATACAGTTGGTTCTGTTATTGGCGTAATTGTCACCATTTTTGTGTCTGGAACTGTATACTTTATCTGCCAGAGGATGTTGTGTCCACGTATGAAGGGAGATGGGGAAACTATGACTAATGACTATGTAGTTCATGGACCAGCTTCTGTGCCTCTTGGTTATGTGCCACACCCAAGTTCTTTGTCAGGATCTCTTCCAGGTGAGTCAGGATGGATCCATTGAGAATCAAGTCTTTGGTCCTGCAAGACTGCCAGTTTCCATTGTGGAAAAGAATACTACCTAGAGTCTGTCTGAAACCATATTACTCTGAGTTTAAACAATTATAAGGACAAACGTTCTTTTTTACTATTAGCACCTTCTCTTTACACAGAAGGCCTTAGATATGGTTTGGTAGAAATTGTCAAAGCATATAAAGCAAATACATATGCAAGCTCTAAGCCTCTCTGACTGCAATTCTGGATGCATGCTACGGAAGGTGAATCAGCCAGTCATTTAGTGAAAGAGTTGTAAACCACAGGTTAAGTTCACCACCAGGGAACTCTAGTACTATGGAGCCCATGAATAAAAGGAGGCCAAAAATTATATAAGATTCCCTTCAGCCAACAAAGATTTGTAAATAGCTGGATGATAGAAGGGAGAATATGTCTTAAGTTTTCTCCTGACTTCATGTGCTAATAAGGGACAAAGGGCTAGTTTAGGCATAGCTGAGTAGCCAGAAGTTTTAAGCTTGGGTAGGCCGTGTTGCTCTAGGGAACTGGCCTTCTTTTTAATGTTTTCTGGTGCCCTTAGTTAAAAGACGCCTTCCTTTTAATGAATATGGAGAAGGCGGTGCCTTGCAAAAACCCTCTGAAAATAGGAACTTACTATGGGTGTAACTCTTAAGTAGACAAACATGGTTTTTAAACTGTTAATGGTAGTGTTGCTTTGTTGCCATACCTATTTTCAGTTAGTGGAATTTGGGAAGCTTCTTGGAAAAAATAGAATTTTTTCTTTAGCACTGGTAGTTTTGATTCTAGCAACATTTATATTCATTAGATGAAAAAATATTCTTTCATATGTTGTTTGTGCCCTAAAAATGTTTTTTTGTTTTCTTTTGAGCAAGTCTGGTATTTAATATGCCCTGCCTCACAACCTCTACCCTTTACAATCCTTTCAAATCCTCCAAGAGGTTGAAAAGCCCTTATTTTAAATAGCTCTGCTTCTACCAGGGGAGGGAGAAGGTGGGAGCTATTCTTGGCCTTGTTCTAGGCCAGCTCTTTCAATGGAAGCATTGACTTCTAGAAAACGTTCATTTCCTTTCTCCATTAAATGTTTTCAATTATAGGAAAAGAGTGTAAGTTATTTTAAAATCAGACTACTTCACTGTTGATATTTGTAATCCTACTGTTGAATGAAATTGCTTGATACATTTTTATATATCATACTCATCTTCAGTTTTTAACCTCCTTTTATTTTAGGAATGTCTCGAGGTAAATCAATGATCAGCTCCCTCAGTATCATGGGGGGAAGCAGTGGACCCCCCTATGACCGAGCCCATGTTACAGGAGCATCATCAAGTAGTTCTTCAAGCACCAAAGGCACTTACTTCCCTGCAGTAAGTAGTCTGTTTTCCTTTGAATGCGACATACATAAGATCTTAGATTTTTTAACTCATTTAAATGTGGGTGATCAGTGATAGTAATGTAAAAGTAGTTTTTGAATGTAAAATTTAGGCATAAAAGGCTCAAAGGACTTACCACACACCACCATCCATGCTTATAAATCTTTTAAGTTACTGTGTAGTAACCAGAATACTTGAAAGCACTGGGCATTAATTTCACATTTCAAGTAAAAGTAGAACTACTGAATGGTACCTATTGAGGGATTAGGGCCTTCATTTTATGACTTCCCAAAAGAGGAAGCACACCTGGAATTTCTCCTAAATCAATAATTTTTCTCTAAATACTTACTATTTTAAATAACCAGGACCTAAATGTACTGACCAATGATTTTTAGGTTACAGATTTTCGTTTTTGTCACTTTGCACTTTTTAGCCATGATGAGGTCTTAGGGAATGAGGAAGCCATAGTCCCAAAGTACTGTTTGAGGTCAATTCTTTGGAAAAGAAGAATTGTGCTAATAGTGTATTGTAAAGAAACACTAATAGAGATGAAGGAAGAAAAGTTGAAAGAAAGTCTGATAGTTTCTATGTTGTTATTTTAATATTTTAATTATTTTTTTCTTTTAGATTTTGAACCCTCCACCATCCCCAGCCACAGAGCGATCACATTACACTATGGAATTTGGATATTCTTCAAACAGTCCTTCCACTCATAGGTCATACAGGTAATACACATCCTTCTCTAAAATAAGGTGCAGTATTTATTGAAAGTGTTTCAGTTGTGGACCTGATATAGCCCCAAATGAGTAGACGATGGTCACCAGAGAGAGACTAGTCATCTTATCTTGATAGTACTGACATTGCCTCTACCACAAATCCTTTCCTTTCAGGACGTTATACTTTTTTTTTAATTTTTTGAGATGGATTTCGCTCTTGTTGCCCAGGCTGGAGTGTAATGGCATGATCTCAGCTCACTGCAACCTCCGCCTCCCAGGTTCAAGCGATTCTCCTGCCTCAGCCTCTCAAATAGCTGGGATTACAGACCTGCGCTACCACGCCCAGCTAATTTTGTATTTTTAGTAGAAACGTGGTTTCACCATGTTGGCCAGGCTGGTCTCGAACTCCTGATCTCAGGTGATCCGCCTGCCTTGGCCTCCCAAAGTGCTGGGATTACAGGTGTGAGCCACCACACCTGGCCTATACTTTTTTTTTTTTTTAAGAGAGTCACAAATGCTGGCTTTTATAATAATAAAATACAGCCTCAGGCTTTGGCAGTATTCTAAGGAGGAATTACCCACCAAAGTGACTGGTTTCAAAATAGTTTGATATTCTAAGAATGAAATATTGGGATAAGATTGGTTCATAGAATTGAGAGTTTAAAACAGCAACATACTCAGAGCACAGAATTTTAGAAAAGTTGAGAGAAATGTAAGTTCAGCCATTGCTTGCATATGCTATTACAATTTGGAGTGAAAGATTTCTCATGTAGTTGCATGGAATAAAGAAAGATTGAAATAAATAAAGTGTATTTGTAAGCCAAAAAAGAGAAAATTATTCCTTTTTGCTAATTTATGAGTCTATAAAGTGTGTTGAGCAGGTCAAGTACTGTTGTGTCAGCTTCCACTTCTATGTTCCTTGAAAGGCCAACAGACCATCAGTAGCTTGAGAGTTTCTATCTACACACTGAAGTGCCCAGGGTTCATGGGCATCCCTCAAGTGCCTGTTATCTTCTAGATAATCTTTTCTATCTTCTATCCTCTCTAGATAATCTTCTATTATCTTTCCTAGCATTTCAGTCAAATTGGCCTGATACGACCTCACCCATGTGTAGAAATGAAGTGGAAACCACTTAAAGTATCTCACTCAGAATTCTCATTTCAGCTTAGATAAGACTGAAATAGCCTTGGCTGTGAACTGATTGTTTTAATGATATGTTGTAATGTTGCTTTCCCTGCCACAAGTTTCTTCTTCTAGGAAGCCAAAACAGAAAAAGCAGAAGCCTGAAAATTGAGAAAGGAGAAAGATACAAAATTTTATTTTTTAAAAGTAATGTCCTTAATTCAAATTGACTAAGGCACTCATCAGAATAAACACGATTGCATAAAAAACTATTCTTGCTTAACTATTTTCCGTATAAGCCCAATTTCTGTTTCCTCTGAGTCAAAACTTACATCATTTGTTGAGATTTTGGTTTAAACTGGGACATGAAAAAATTTTATTAATTCAGTTTGTTTTCTTTTTTTTTTTTCATGAAAATAGAAGTATTTGGACTTTTAAATGTTGACCTTAGAAATTTCACCAAGGATTGACACCTGATTGGACAAAGAGTTAAACAAAACAAACTGTGACATCATGTCAGTATTGATAGTAAAAGCCTTTGAGAACTCACTCAGTGGGTCATATAACTTTTGGTCTCTGGCAGCCTTGCACCCTTTTTATTTTTATTTTTATTTTTTTTGAGACAGGGTCTTGCTCTGTCACCCAGGCTGGAGTGCAGGGGCACAATCACAGCTTACTGCAGTCTCCACCTCCCGGGCTCAAGCAGTCCTCCTGCTTCAGCCACCCAAGTAGCTGGGACTACAGGTGTGTGTCACCACGCCTGGCTAGCTTTTTTTTATTTTTTGTAGAGACGGGGTCTTGCTATGGTGCCCAGGCTGGTTTCTTTCTTTCTTTCTTTTTTAAAGACTAATCAAATGCAGTAGTAAGAAGGGGAGACAGAGTAGAACAAGGAATTTGATCTGTGACTGTGAACAATCTGGCAGCCATTTCTTTTGAAGCAAGCCAAGTGATATCAAATGGTTTGTATCCTGGGTTCCTGGGATATATTACCTGGTGGTGCTCTGTATCACTAGGTGTTTTATGAATCGTTGTATCAGTTTTTAACTTGGTTTTCCCCTTCTCTTGTAGTCACTTTGATGAGAAAGCTTATGAAAAAATCTTTGGGATAAATTTAAGATCAGCTTTACCATATTTAGAATAAACAGGTATAAGAAGTTAAAAATAGAAGTAGGAATGACAGAAAAGCCAGAACTTAGGTCAGATCTTATTTTCACTAGTATGTTTCTCTCTTTCCAATGCCTTTTTCTTTAGTTAGCAGTGCTACAAACCTAACAACTGTATGTCACTTGTAAAGATAAACAAGTGTAAGAAATAAACTAGGCCTCTGAAATATACATTAGAAAATTCACTGACCCTTTATGGGCATTTAAATTTTATCATTTTGATGTTTAAAGCTGCTCTTATGAGAGGTACTTACCTATACACAGGGAATGAAAACCGTTTCCCCCAATCACAGCAATTTCCCTTTGCTAAGATAACAACAATGGAATAGTTATGCCCCTGAGGCTGTCTACCAAAATCCAGCCTGGACTGTACAGAAATTGTACAGAATTGTACAGAAGAAAGAAATGAAGACTTCAGATGTCATTAAATTAATTATTCATCAGGTTAATTTTGGAGTAAAGAATGTTGAGGGAATGCTGACATGTTTGAGTAGTGTAAAATATGTAAAAACCCATTCTTCCCATGGGCTATGAAACTGCAGAACAAATTTGAATAGTCATTTTTTATTCTGTGATACAGTTTAACTTGAAGATGTAAGAGCACAACCAGAGGCTAGATTGAATTCACCTCTGCATTCCCATCCTGTTCATTTTCACTTGCCACTTTCTTATTTGCAAATAAGAAAGTACCTGCTATTTTCCTCAGCGAATCTGCCATTGAAAATTGCCTCTTGGTCTGTGTAAATTTAAATTGCAGTAGCTTATTGTTTTCATAGGGTAGTTGACATCTAATACCTCTATTCTGAGAGGGGAAATCATTTTTTTTTGTAAAACTAACTGCTTCTCTTTATTTTCTCCCTATACCAGCTACAGGCCATATAGCTACCGGCACTTTGCACCCCCCACCACACCCTGCAGCACAGATGTTTGTGACAGTGACTATGCTCCTAGTCGGAGAATGACCTCAGTGGCAACAGCCAAGGGCTATACCAGTGACTTGAACTATGATTCAGAACCTGTGCCCCCACCTCCCACACCCCGAAGCCAATACTTGTCAGCAGAGGAGAACTATGAAAGCTGCCCACCTTCTCCATACACAGAGAGGAGCTATTCTCATCACCTCTACCCACCGCCACCCTCTCCCTGTACAGACTCCTCCTGAGGAGGGGCCCTCCTCCTCTGACTGCCTCCAACGTAAAAATGTAAATATAAATTTGGTTGAGATCTGGAGGGGGGGAGGGAGCTATTAGAGAAGGATGAGGCAGACCATGTACAGTTAAAATTATAAAATGGGGTAGGGAATACTGGAGATATTTGTACAGAAGAAAAGGATATTTATATATTTTCTTAAAACAGCAGATTTGCTGCTTGTGCCATAAAAGTTTGTATAAAAAAAATTTGTACTAAAAGTTTTATTTTTGCAAACTAAATACACAAAGCATGCCTTAAACCCAGTGAAGCAACTGAGTACAAAGGAAACAGGAATAATAAAGGCATCACTGACCAGGAATATCTGGGCTTTATTGATACCAAAAATAAAAAAGAGGAAGAAGAAAAATTAAGTCCATCTCAGAGCAGCAAACCATAGATACATGGATGTAGCCAGATAGCCTTCAGTTAACTAACATTTGAGGGCCAACAAGTAAGAAATGATGAAAGGAAAAAAATGCAATTAATACTAACCTTGGACGAAGGGCTTTGTTTTCTCTAGGAATCCAACAGTGCTAGTGAGGAAAGTAGATATTTCTAAAAACCCATTCTGGGTGTTGCTGTTGTAGGAGAGATCAGCCCTCTGGTAAGATGCCATGAAGCTGTGTGTGTGTGCAAGTCTCTGTCCCTACCTTTAGAATCCATACCTCTGTCAAAATGAATTTTTTTCTCTAGGTATGTTTACCTTGCTGCCTCCTCCAGCAACTTGGTAAGTCATTTTGCTAAGATACCATGATTTTTTTAAGCTGAAGCATTGACTAAATGGAATTTTCTAAATTAAACTTGATTTTAATATTTCTTCTAGCTCCATTCCCCAGTAGGCTTAGCTCTTCAATTTGACTGCTGTTTTTGCATAATGATCAAAAGTTAGACATATTATTTCTCTTCTTCCAAGATTGTTTTAATGCTCATTAAAATGTCTTTTTACAACACATATAGACAATGTTTAAGAATTAAAAATTTAACCATTATGTTTTTGTTGTAAATCTCATATCCTTGCACTACTTTCAGCATATATCACAGTACGAAATCATTTATATATATATATATATATATATATATATATATATATATATATATATATATATTTTGTTTGTTTGTTTGTTTTCTGAGTAAAACATTTAAATATGTTCTGGTTAGAGACAATCTATTTAAAAAGATTTTTTTCTTATTAGGATTTTCCCTATATTAACAGTTTGTGATGTTTTCATGTTCTTTAGACCGGTTTTTCTCAGAATAATGTCTACATACATACCTCTTCTAATGTGTGACATGAATTTAATATCTTTCTGTTACCCACTGTGAATGTTAGGCTGTTTTCAAATTATCCACAAATTATTCTTGTAATCACCCAATATTTTTATGTGGGTCCTCTCTTACCCATTATGGATTAAGATAGTTTAACAAATTTAACAATGAGGATTAAATGAGAAGGCAAACTGTTAACTTCTCAGCTGTCAGAATTTGGGTGGAAGGGAATAATGGAAGCCTCTTTTGTGATCTGCCTGACCTGCTGTCATGTATGGTACTGGGGCTGCTACATCTTGAGCTATCAGGGCTGACCTGTGGAATGATTCTAGCACTTGCTCTGCCACCTTGCCAGAAGTTCGTTTCCTGCTTTTTACACATGTGTAGCACTTCTCTGCTAAAATTGAATGGTTTTAAACTAATGTATTTTTAGCTTAAGAGGTGTTGGTCAGTTAATTATTGAATTTTTTTTTTTTCTTTTTTAATTCTGTCTTGCCAAGGCCTCTCTGGGTTTCAGGGCCCAAGAGAAAACAGTGGAAGAAAGGATTCAGAATTTGGGCAAGGGTGAAGTAACTGTTCATGCAAGTTAAAAATACCTAAGTAAAGTTTTTGAAGATAAAATTGTGGTTTCAGAATAATGCTGATTGTTGGAGACTGTAAGAATCAGGTGCACTTGATTTTGCATATAAGCAAATGGTAAATCTATCAGAATCCTAAAACAGACAAGCATGAACTCTTCCCATTGCTGGAACTAAGTGCCCACAGTGTCAGACAAAATGGACATTGAACTTGGATTCTGTGATACACAGGGCACTTGATGCTTAAATGAAGATGGAAAGGTTAGCAATACCTGGGTGTCAGTTAGAATTTGAGAATTCTATATGTTTACATATTTAAATGTGCATCTTGATCTGGTGGGCTTCCCATGTGGAGACTTGCACTCTAATTAACTAAGAAGAATATTGCCTTGTTGGATCTCAGTCCACGTGCTTGCACTGCGATGGCAATGGCCTCTTCTTCAAAATACTAATTTGTGTGCCAATTTGTTTAAAATTATTTGAAGGCAGTTCAGCCTAATCTCAGTGTTCTCTTTCTGGGGTAGATGAGATGGATTCTTAATATTTCTGGGAGTACTTTTTAATGAGAGAATTGTCAAATTTGGAAAGATTTATTGAGCCTTAGGTTACATGGACAGTTAAGCTTAAGTAAACTGTATATTGATTATCAAACACAAGCTGTAATTGGAAAAGTTGAGAGGAAAAGCATGAGATCACAAATTAGGGGGAAAAAAGAAAAGGGATTTTTAAATTTGGTGTATTAAATTCATTGTCCAAGGGGGAAAATGAATAATGTTTCATTAGATTCCTTATATGCAAAAGTATTTATTTTGAACATGTGTCCTAAAATATATGCACTAACTGATGTGATTAAAATTGTCCAAGAAATAAACTTGAGCATAACATACTTTGTGTGCACCACAGTAAGCTATTCTGCATTGAAGTGGTCTTTTATAACTAAGGCCTGGACTTTGCTCCAACAGAGTCGTGGTCTTCTGAATAGTGACTTAAGGAGTTTTGTTTGCTTAAGTCAGATAATAGCACATTCACAGGGAAACAAAGAGAGTTGGTGGATAGAATTTTCTGACTATTAATTTTTCTTCCATGAAATTTTATTATGCCTTTGGCACTTTCTGCCACTCTTACAGCATATCACAAGATATCTGTTTAGCAGAAGATTATGTAGTTACTTTAATTTTAATATAAAAGTAGCTTGTGATACATTACCAAGAGATCTCTGATTCTTTAGTAAGTTTGAGAACACCTATTCTACAGAGATGATAGGTACTTAGAAATGAAGACTTTAAAGTACATTTTAATCTAATATAGGCCAGTAATTGGGGGAAGGGGCTTTGAGCAGTACAATTTTAAGATGATTTTGAGGGTTGTATTTCTTTATCATTTAAAAATATCCTAAAGTCAGTAATTTATATGAAGGAAACTCATTCATTATTGAAGGTATTAAAAATAGCCATCATCTGTATTAGGTAGCAGTTTTGGAGGATCATCTTTTTCTTTTGCTATAAAGCCCTATTAATGAAGAATACTTCCAGTAGAGTTAATAGCTGTAGCTTACCTAGTGTGTTAATGAAGTGTGTTTATTTATGTGACTTGATACCAGTAGTCATAATAGAGACTGAAGAGGTATGCGTTAAGCACGCCTACTTCTATGCAGTAAACAGGCTGCAGCTGCCTAGATTAGATTCTTAGAAATGTCATATTTTGAATTGTTTTATTTCTTGTAGGGGAAGCTTTGTCCCACTTCATTCATTTGCATGCCATAGGAATTACATATTGGTTATCATTACGTATCTAACAAGATTCAGAAACAAAAATCTTGGACTTTTCACATCCGAAATATGTCAGCTCTTAATAAATGTGTGGTGCTTAAGTCTACATATGGCATCCATAGTTGATTTAGAGTATGGATATGAGTGTGTTGACCAGTTATCAGTAGGTGGACAAATATTTGGGCATCTACAGATGAGACTATGCACTAAGTGTGGACTGAGTCCTAAAGAAGCTTATAGTCAGGTGTTGTTTAAAACATTATCAGAATTCTTAAACCCAAGGAATTTAATTTTATTTGGTATTTCTTAAGCCTAAAATGAACCAAGAGAAAGATGATTTTAGAAAGTACTTGTAGTGAAAGATGATTTTAGAAAGTACTTGTAGTGCATGTGTGGCTTCTGACTTTTGGGATGGCACCATTTTATAATAGTTTCAAAATTTAGCTTTTGAAATTCTCAACATTTTATGGTAGAAGACTTTGGACCTCAAGTATAAAATTATACGTTTATAATTTTTTTAAAATTTAAATTATAAGTATTGTGAATTCACACTCTCAGGCTATTGTCTGACTTGATCTACGTCTCATAAAGCCTGTACCTGAGTGGAGTGGAAGGTGGAGTCTTAGGTTAATCAGTTACTGACTCTACCCTCACCCTCTTTCAATTGAGGTAAACTTTGCTGTTTTTCTTTTTCATAAAGCATTCTCAAATTGTTGAGTTTATTGCTGAAAAAAATCTCCATGACTTTACAGATAGAATTACAAACTAAATGATGTCTTGTATTTAGAAGCAGAGTACAGACCTAACGAACTGTTAGATTCTCCACCATCACTTAGGGTTTGCCCAGAAGCAACACCAGAGAATTACAGACAACGCGCTTTTGCTGAACTGTCCATTTTGGTGGTTGTGTTTTTCAGTCAAATATAAGCAGGATGGGCGATAGAGATATATTTATATATAGATACATATTCTATATATCTAATGCCTAAATATGGGTATTAAAGGGAAAATTTTTAAAGTCTGATTAAATCCAATATGACATGAAATTAAATATATGGATTAGTAAGGAAAAATGTTAAAAAGTAGAGAGGATACCAAGAAGATTAAACTGGACTAGCCTTATTTGCAAGTGAAGGATCTGGTGCTGCTTTCAGATGTTTATCTTTTATTTTTTTCCCTTAAGCTTTAATCTTCGTCATTGTCTTAAAGTCAACTGGTGTTTCTTGTTCATTGACTTTGGTACGATGGTGCTTTGCAAGGATGTATTTATGTTATAATGGCCAACATTTGGTCAGCCCTTGTCCACTTATTCACTTCCCTCCTTTTGTAAAATAAGTGCTTTAATTATAAACTGTATAAAAATACCTTGTATAAACCCCTTTTTTGATTATTACAATAAATAAGCTGAATTGTAACAAATGAAATTTGATTTTTGTAATAAAACAGTGGAAAAGTAAAAGTGTCTGTCCTTTCTTTTCAGCAAGAAATTAAGACAGTAGCTGGTTGTCCTTCGCTGTTTCAGACACAAAACCCAGCTTTATTGTTTGCATTTTAAATAATACTCTGCCAGTACACCTATAGTCCCAGCTACTTGGAAGACTGAAGTGGGAGGATCACTTAAGCTGGGGAGGTTGAGGCTGCAATAAGACTCGTGATTGCGCCACTTGCACGGCAGCCTTGGGCTACAGAGTGAAACCCTGTCTCTAAATCAGTCAATCAGCCAATCAGTCTCTGCAAGAGAGATTTGCGAAGGGCTGTTGCTTAGTTCAGTGCTGGCAGCATTTGTGTTTGGGAACAAGAATAAGAAATAGCCTGTGCTTCAAAACTGCTCTTGTTTTCAGTAAACTGGAAGGAGTTCTAGTATGGACTCTGAGCACTTCCCTCTTTTCCAGGATCTTAAATTAGCTTATAAAATGCACATTGCTTTCCTGGTGAAGAGCCCAGTGTGATGTGATGATTCTTTTTCTGTGAGGGTAGGACATAGTAAAATCCAGTGAAATACCAGGTCTCTGCTTGATACTGAGCTTACTAGTTTGATAGGAAGGGAGGAAAGCTGCTTTTTTATTTTGCAGTATTTGAGCCCAAATACCAATTAAAGGGAAACCAAGTTTTAAAATGTTTTCCCTTAGCCAATGCCCTCAAATAAGTGAACTTACCTTGGTCTTTGCTGACTCCTCCCATTCTTTTTCCTAGAAGGAAAACAGAAACACGTTGTGCCATTCCCAGTTAAATGAAAGAAAGAAAAGGCAGAAGATTGGTTTGCCTGATGGAAAGGCAATCTCACGAATGGGGAAACACTGCAAACTGTTTTGGGTCCTTTTTTCCCCAGATAGGTTTTCAGCTAAGTAAATAATTAAGTAGTTTTCATTTTAATTCGTTGCCTTGTGTATGATTGCATTGTTTCTATAAATTTAATTCAAATGACGAATTACTGTCCTCAGATCTCTGGTTCCATCCATTTATATCATTATGTAATCTGCACAGTCCCCCCTCCCACAGAAAATCTGCTTGAGATTTGCATTTGCAAATTCATATTTAGTCAACATACAAAACCAGTCTTCTCCAATATGGAAGTTAAAATGAAGGATAATTTTATTAACATTCTAGCCTGCATTTACTGTGTACCAGGCACTGTGCTGCCTTTCCTCGCCTCCTGCCCTCCGACTTAAAATAATCAAAGATTGCCAGCTGTCGTAGCTTGAGCCTGTAAGCTACTCGGGAAGCTGAGACGGGAAGATCTTTTGAGGTCAGGAGTTTGAGACTAACCTGGTCAATAGAGAAACCCCTACCTGTAGAATAAAGAGAATAATAAAGTGATGAATGACCAGGCTTGACAGGAAATGCCCAATTTGAGTATGAAAAGTTCCACTGCAAAATTTTGATTAGAAATGGGTTGTCGCCAGCCGCAGCACTTTGGGAGGCCGAGGCGAGCGGGTTGCTTGAGGCCAGGAGTTCGAGACCAGCCTGACGGACTTGGTGAAACCTCATCCCTACTAAAAATGCAAAAATTAGCTGGGCATTGTGGTAGGCACCTGTAATACCAGCTACTCGAGGGGCTGAGGCAGCAGAATCTCTAGAACCCAGGAGGCAGAAGTTGCAGTGAGCCGAGATGAGGCCTTGGCACTCCAACCAGCCTGGGCAACAAGAGCGAAACTCCGTCTCAAAAAAAAAAAAGAAAAAGAAAAACGGGTTGTCTTTGGGTAGAGGGAAAAGGATATGGATTGAGGTCTAGATTTTAATCTTTATTCCACTGTAATTAATTGTCAAGGCATGTCTGGACTCATTTATCTCTCAGTATTTCTTGGTATTAGTCCCTAATGTAGAGTTTTCAGAACCTTAACTCTTTAATGAGCCGGTTGACTTTTTTTTCTTTTTTTTTAAGACTGAATCTAGCTCTGTCGCTAGGCTGGAGTGCAGTGGTGCTATCTCAGCTCACTGCAACCTCTGACTCTGTGGTTCAAGCGATTCTCCTGCCTCAGCCTCCCGAGTAGCTGGGATTACAGGCATGTGCCACCACACCCAGCTAATTGTTTGTATTTTTAGTAGAGACAGGGTTTCGCCATGTTGGCCAGGATGGTCTCGATCTGACTTTGTGATCCGCCCACCTCGGCCTCCCAAAGTGCTGGGATTACAGGCGTGAGCTACCACGACTGGCTACCACTTGACTCTTTAATTAGTCAATTCCAATACCTGTTCTAGAGAGGTACTTATACATAATGCATTTGAGGCAATGAATTGTATTACAAGGTAGAGTCCATTGAAGCCCAAACGCCTATGTGGTATCCTATTCCATGGAGATACCTATTCGATGCTTCCTTCCCCCTAAGCCCTTGCTTCACTTTCCAAAGAAAATAACTGTCAAAAAGGAGACAGCCCGATGCCCATCTTACATCACAAGCTGCATGGCAGACAAGAAGTGATTATCTTGAGGTCTTTTGACTTCTGATCATCCTACCAAAAGCTCCCCCACTACCATTACTCAATTGAACAGGCTTGAAGATTCTCGTCTTTTGTCCAGTAATTGAAGTTCCTTCTTGGGGATTCCATGGGAAGGAAAGGGTTAGGGTCCACAAGTATGCAGTGCTATGATTCCTAACTGCAGATACATATGTAACAGGAAAAATTTTAATACCTCAGTTTCTCTAATCTAGGTTATTCATATTTTCTCTTCTTAGGTCAGCTTTAGTTACTTGTGTCTTTCAAGGAATTTGTCCATTTCATCTAAGTTGTTGATTTACTGACATAAAATACGTTCTCTATCCTTTTAATGTCTGTTTTTGTTTCAGACATTGGTAATTTGTGTCTTCTCTACTGGGACTCAAAACGTAGTACCTAAAATATGACACCTCGGAATACTATTTTGAGCTGAAGGAATTGGAGAAAAATCATGGAAGCAGGATTCCTTCATCATTCTCACCTGAAGCAGTTTATAAACCTGGGATAAGTTTTCTGATCTTTCCCTTAAGCAGGTCTCTCGTGTGAGAGGTGCCCTCTCTACACCTGGAAGAGAACATTCTTATCTCTAAAGACAAAGTGTTGGCTGGGTGCAGTGGCTCACGCCTGTAATCCCAGGACTTTGGGAGGCTGAGGCGGGTGGATCACCTGAGGTCAGGAGTTTGAGACCAGCCTGGCTAACATGGTGAAACTGTCTCTACTAAAAATACAAAAATTAGCCAGCCGTGGTGGAGGGCGCCTGTAGTCCCAGCTACTCAGGAGGCTGAGGCACGAGAATGGCATGAACCTGGGAGGAGGAGGTTGCAGTGAGCTGAGATCGCGCCACTGCACTCAAGCCTGGGTGACAGAGCAAGACTCCGTCTCAAAAAAAAAAAAAAAAAAGTCACAAAGAAATCTAAACTTAGGTCTTGCTAAGTTTCCCCCAGTTATTATGAGATCATACCCTTTATGTCCTATCATATTTCTCCACAACTGTCTACTCTTCATCAAACCTACTACAAAACACACTAACACTTATCTGTTTCTTTGGGTCTTCATTTCAATATGAAGACTCCTGTACCATATAAAACATATTAAATAAATTTGATGGTTTTGTCTTTCTCCCTCTTTTTTTCTTTTCTTTTCTTTTCTTTCTTTCTCTTTTTTTTTTTTTTTTTGTGGAGACAGGCTCTTGCTCTGTCATCCAGGCTGGAGTGCAGTGACGCGATCTTGGCTCACTGCAACCTCCACCTTCCAGGCTCAGGTGATCCTCCCACTTCAGCCTCCCGAGTAGCTGAGACTACAGGCACACACTACCACATGCAGCTAATTTTTTTGTTGTTTTTTTAGAGATGAGGTTTTTTTTGTTTTTGTTTGTTTTAGAACAGCTCAGCAAAATAAAATTCCTGTTTATTGTTGGACAACATTGTTTCACACATACATCAAACAGGCCAAAAAAAAATAAACAGCAACTTCACAGACAAGGAAAAAAAAGAAACCTTTTATCTTTGGCCTTTTTAACCATCTCATACAAACCAACTACTTATAGTACAGCTAAGTACATACACAAAAAAGTTACTGGAATGCTCGGAATAAGATGGTTTTTCTGTTGTCATTTTTGCATTTTTTACAAGTTTTTTTTTCTCCTTTGAGATTATAATGAACATGGCCACACCACAAGTAAAGTGAGAAGTAGGACAGAGAACGCTCCGAAGGCTGGTTTGGTCATCCGAGATCATTAAAAATGGCCGACCCTAACAATATGTACAAAAATATAAAATGTAAATAAAAAATACAAGTTTCCTTTTTAAAGTACTTTTAAGAAAAAAAAAGCAGGGCCTTGGAAGTTTTGGTTCTTTTTCCCTCCCCTGTTGCAAATTCTCATGGTTTGGGTTGGGTGGTGGAGAGCGCGTGTCATCTGCGGGTGGCACTGCCCACGGTGGGCGGGCGGGCCCCTCTACTCGAAGGTGACCACGTTTAGATTCTGAGACGGGAAGTGGAGGGCGAATAGGTCACGGCGGCCTTTTTTTTTTAGTTTAACTTTTCCTTTTTTGCTGTCTGGTCATCCTCGTCGGTCTTCTGCTTCTGGGTATCGACATCGTCATCCTCATCATCTTCAGCTGCCCGCTTGCCCGTAGCTGACTCAGCTCCCTCATCTTCATCTCCGTCCTCTTCCTCACCATCACCTTCTTCCTCCTCCTCTTCCTCCCCACCTTCTTCCTCTTCTTCATCTACCTCGTTGTCAGCCTCCGGCTCCCCATTTTCCTCATTAGCATTCCTGTTAGCAGGGGCGTCTCTTCCATTTTCCGCCTCTTCCACAACTTCCTTCTTCTCCTTTAAGTCCTCGGTGGTGATTTCGGAGCTGGTGTCTACGGCTGCGTCTGACATGGTGGGGCACGCCGGTGACGCGATGCAGGGGATAAAAAAGAAAGCGAGAGTTCAGGGACTCTGGCGATAAAGCTGCCGGAGTCCGCGGCGGCGGAGGAGGCGCGCGGCGGAGGCGGCTGCGGCGAGCAAGGAGGCTGACGAGGCACAATGCAAAGATGGCTTTTCAGAGCAGCCAGTGGGGAGATGAGGTTTTACCATGTTGCCTAGGCTGGTCTTGAACTCCTGGGCTCAAGCAGTCTGCCCACCTCAGCCTCCCAAAGTGCTGGGATTACAGGTGTGAGCTACTATGCCTGGCCAAAAAATCTACTTATTTATAGCTCCATCCCCACCCCATTTGGTTGTTTGTAACAAAGTTATATCTTTATCCATGTTCCCCGAAACATAAACTAATAATTATTTTAAACACATTAGAATTTTAAATTATGGGCCGGGCGCGGTGGCTCACGCCTGTAATCCCAGCACTTTGGGAGGCCGAGGCGGGTGGATCATGAGGTCAGGAGATCGAGACCATCCTGGCTAACAAGGTGAAACCCCGTCTCTACTAAAAATACAAAAAAATTAGCCGGGCGCGGTGGCGGGCGCCTGTAGTCCCAGCTACTGGGGAGGCTGAGGCAGGAGAATGGCGTGAACCCGGGAAGCGGAGCTTGCAGTGAGCCGAGATTGCGCCACTGCAGTCCGCAGTCCAGCCTGGGCGACAGAGTGAGACTCTGTCTCAAAAAAAAAAAAAAAAAAAAAAAAAAAAAGAATTTTAAATTATGTAGAAAACAATGTGGAGGCCGGGCGCGGTGGCTCATGCCTGTAATTCCAGCACTTTGGGAGGCTGAGGTGGGCGGATCACCCAAGGTCAGGAGTTTGAGACCAGCCTGACCAACATGGTGAAACTCCATCTGTACTAAAAATACAAAAATTAGCTGGGCGTGATGGCGCACGCCTGTAATCCCAGCTACTCAGGAGGCTGAGGCAGGAGAATCGCTTGAACCCAGGAGGTGGAGGTTGCAGTGAGCCGAGATCATGCCACTGCACTCCAGCCTGGGCGACAGAGTGAGACTCTGTCAAAAGAAAAAAAAAAGAGCTGGGCGCGGGGGCTCACGTCGGAAATTCCAGCACTTTTGGGAGGCCGAGGCAGGCAGATCATGAGGTTAGGAGATTGAGACCATCCTGGGTAACACAGTGAAACTCCGTCTCTACTAAAAATACAAAAAATTAGCCAGGTGTGGTGGCATGTGTCTGTAGTCCCAGCTACTCGGGAGGTTGAGGCAGGAGAGTCGCTTAAACCTGGGAGGCAGAGGTTGCAGTGAGCCAAGATTGCGCCATTGCACTCCAGCCTGGACGACAGAGTGACTGTCTCAAAAAAAAAAAAAAAGTGTAGAAAACAAAAAGTAGAGTTACAAACCCTTGTCCAAATAATACTAGCTTTGGTTGAGGCATGGTGGCTCATGCCTGTAATCCTAGCACTTTGAGAGGCCAAGGCAGGCAGATCACCTGTTTGCGACCAGGCTGGCCAACATGGTGAAACCCTGTCTCTACTAAAAATACAAAAATTAGCCAGGCATGGTGGTGCATACCTGTAATCCCAGTTACTTGGGAAGCTGAGGCATAAGAATTGCTTGACCCCTCCAGGAGACAGAGGTTGCAGTGAGCTGAGATCGTGCCACTGTACTCCAGCCTGGACAACAGGGCAAGACTCTGTCTCAAAAAAATAATAATAATACTAGCTTCGGTAGTGGCCTATGTATTTACCTTCATTGAGATCTTTATTTCTTCAAATGACTTTAGTTACTGTCAAGGGTCCTTTAATTTCACCCTGCAGAGGTGACCTAGTCTAACAAACTCAATCAACTTTTGTTTATCTGGGAATTAATTTCCCCCTCATTTTGAAAGATAATTGATATGGTTTGGCTGTGTCCCCCCCACAAATCTCATCTTGAATTGTAGTTCCCATAATCCCCACCTGTCATGAGAGGGACCTGGTGGGAGGTAATTGAATCACAGGAGCAGTTTCCCCCATGCTATTCCCGTGATAGTAAGTTCTCACGAGATCTGATGGTTTTATAAGGGGCTTTCCCCTTTGCTTGGCTCTCATTTTTCTCCTGCTGCCATGTGAAGGAGGACATGTTTGTTTCCCCTTATGCCATGATTATAAGTTTCCTGAGGCCTCCCCAGCCATACTGAACTGTGAGTCAATTAAACCTCTTTCCTTTATAAATTACCCAGTCTTGGGTATGTCCTTATAGCAGAGTGAGAACAAGCTAATACAATAGTTTTGCTGAATATAGGATTCTTGGTTGACACATTTTTTTGTTTTTTTTTTGTTTTTTTTTTGTTTTCTTTTAGCATTTTGAATATATTGGCTTATTGCCTTTGGCATCCAAAGTTTTTGATGAAAAATCTGCTGATGATCTAAGGGTTCCTTGTATGTGATGAGTCAATTCCCTCATCCTACTTTCAGGATTATCTGTCATTGTCTTTCAGGCATTTGATTATAATGTGCCTCGGGGTAGGTCTCTTTCAGTTCATTGTGCTTGGAATTCATTGAGGTTCTTGGATATTTACATTCATATCTTTCCTCAAATTTGTAATGTTTGCAGCCATTATTTCTTCATGTATTCTCTGTGCCTCTTTGTCTCTCTCTCTCCTTTCCTCTGGAACTCCCATAATGCTTGTGTTGGGCAGCTTGATGATGTCTCACAACTCCCTTAGGCTCTGTTCACTTTTCTTCAGACTTTTTCTTTCTGTTCCTCAGACTTGATAATTTCCACTGTCTTATTGATAGAGGCAGGAGACAGAGAAATCCTAGGCAGATGGGCAGGTCCCCAGTGAAACCCCACATTCAAGCCAAAGAAAGTTTAAAGCCTGAGGCCAAGCTACAAGTCAAATTCACAGTTTGGATTGAGTACTGTCTTCCGGTTTGGTGTGCTTTCCTTTGATTGATCCCTACCCTTAACCTATTTTACATATACCTACCCTTCCCTAATTGTTTTTACACTGTGCCCACCTTTCACTGGTGCCTTGATTTTAACCTTTCTTGCATACTCACAAACCAGGAAGCATGCACTCCCTTATCCTGTGCCTATAAAAATCCCAGATTCAGCCACACTGAGAGAGACAATCTGACTTCAGGAGAGACAATCCGACCTTCCCACCCTCTTTCCACTGACAGCTGTTTCTTCACTCAATAAAATTATCTGTCTTTACCACCCTTTAATTGTCAGTGTGACCTCATTCTTCTTGGATGCAGGACAAGAGCTTGGGACTCACTGAATGTGGGTGGCCAGAAAGGCTGTAACACTGGCCCTCTGCCCTCAACGGTGGAGGGCAGCTTCCCCACATGATAGAAGCAGTGGCGGGGCCAAGCTGGTCCCAGAGCCACGCCAGTTCTGGAGCCCTGGGTCAGGGAGGGGCAAGAATCTGACTGAGCTGTTAACGTGCTGCCGTCCATCAGGCTGTGGACAGTGGAACTAAAAGAGCTAATTAGCACACTAACACCCCTTCTGGGGATTTGGGGTCATGGGGCACCCCTGCTTGGGCACTGTTGCGATCCCCTTAGGGCAACATACCTGGTCTGGCCGTGGGGCCTGCATAGAGCTTGCTCTTGTGTTGGCACTTGGAGCAACCAGCCAAGCCCTGCACTCGCTTGCCCATGTGCTCCCTCCTACCAGGGGCTGAGCACAGCAGGCCGAGGTGTTGGGTGCCCCTGCTGCAAGCCCAGCAAAGGGGCCAAGAAAAATCCTGCGTCATTATGTTCAAGTTTCCTGATTCTTTTTTTTTTTTTTTTTTTTTGAGATGGAGTCTCGCTCTGTCACCCAGGCTGGAGTGCAGTGGCACGATCTTGGCTCACTGCAGGCTCCACCCCCCGGGGTTCACGCCATTCTCTTGCCTCAGCCTCCCGAGTAGCTGGGACTACAGGCGCCCGCCACCTCGCCTGGCTAATTTTTTGTATTTTTAGTAGAGACGGTGTTTCACCGTGTTAGCCAGGATGGTCTTGATCTCCTGACCTTGTGATCTGCCCGCCTCAGCCTCCCAAAGTGCTGGGATTACAGGCGTGAGCCACCCTGCCCAGCCAAGTTTCCTGATTCTTTCTTCTGCTTTCTCAAATCTGTCTTTAAATTTGTTTAGTGAATTTTTTATTTCGGTAATTGTACTTTCAGCTTTCAAAATTTCTTTTTGTTTTCTTTTAAGTTGCTTGTCTCTTTATTGATATTTCTATTTTGTCCATATGCTATTTACATTATTTTTTTACTTTCTCCACATGTTCCTTTTGTTCTTTTTTGAGAATCTTTAAGACAGTTGTTTGAAAGCCTTTCTCTAGTAGATTTGCCACCAGATCTTTTTCAGAGAGTTTCTGTTGATTTTTTTCCTTTGGGTCATACTTTCCTATTTCTTTGTATGCTTTGATTTTTTGTTGTTGTTGAAAACATAGACATTTGAATCTAATAATATGGTAACTGTGGAAATCAGATTAATCCCCTTCCCCAGGGCTTGCTATTTTGTGGTTTGGGTTTGTGTGGTTTTGATTTTTAATTGTTGTACACTGTCTCTGTACCAAGGATCACCCTGAGGTATAAACTTAAGTCTTCTGAGGTCTTTTCTGAGTCTGTGCCTCTCTTTGGATATGCAAGGTCAATTTCATATTTTTCCCCCAAATACAGTTGCTTTTGAAAATCCTAGTCTCATTTTCTGGCTCCCCAAATGGGAAAAGGAGAAAAATGAAAAGGAGAAAAAGAGGGCAGAGGCCTTTTAAGTTTCCTGGGAGTCACTTCAGCTGGAGGAGGAGGGGCTTGTAGTCATGGGGAGAGGTGTAATGGGTCAGACTGACAAACAATGGCTGCCACCTCTTTACCTGCACCTCTTTGATCAGAGCAGGAGTCAGCAATCAGTGCACAGATCCCTGATATTTGGAGAACAGGGTTCTTTTTTTGCACTCTGCTTACCACAAGCTGTGTGCAAACTGCTCCAGGAACAGGTGCACCATTGCTTGCCATGGGACTGGAGTTGGGGGATAGGTAGCTGGTATTGTGCTAAGAGCTGAAATTGATTAAATTAACTGTAGTTTACCTGTCGAAGCTTTTGCCTGGAAGTTGCAAACCTTTAATAGACTTCAGAGTTCCAAAATAGTTATTTCAGATTGATTCTGTTTGAGTTATTGTTGTCTAGGTGGGAGACAGATTTCTAGTGTTTCCTACTCCACCATCTTCCCAGAATCCTTTCCTATCATTTGTGTATTTATTTATTTATTGGGAGATGGAGTCTCACTCTGTCACCCGGGCTGGAGTCTTGCTCTGTTGCCTGGGCTGGAGTGCGGTGGCACAATCTTGGCTCACTGCAACCTCTGCCTCGCAGGTTCAAGCCATTCTCTTGCCTCAGCCTCCTATGTAGCTAGGATTACAGGCATGCACCACCATGCATGGCTAATTTTTGTATTTTTAGTAGTGACGGGGTTTCACCATGTTGGCCAGGCTGGTCTCGAACTCCTGACGTCAGGTGATCCACCTGCTTCAGCCTCCCAAAGTTGGGGGATTACAGGCAAGAGCCACCACAACCTGGCCTCATTTGTGTTTTTATTGTCATAAGTTTTACTTCTGCATGTTGTAAATGCCATAATATACTATTATTATTTTGCTTTAAACAATTGTCTTTTAAATGTAAAGAAAAATACTTTTATTTATCTGCATATTTATTATGTTTGATGCTCCTTATTCCTTTGTAGAGATCTGACTTTCCATCTGCTATAATTTTCCTTCAGGCTGAGAGTTTCCTTTGGTATGTCTTCTACTCTTGGTCTGCTCATGACACATTCTACTTTTCAAAATTTTGAAAACATTCTGAAAATATCTTCATATTTTCTCCTTTTTTCTGATCAGTCAAGCTAGCGGTTTTATTGATATGCTCAACAAACCAGCTTTTGGGTTTGTAGATTTTTTTCACTATTTCTTGTTTTCTATTTCTTGAATTCCCTTTCTCATGCCTACTCTGGATTTGCCTTTTCTAGTTTAAGGTATACGCTGAAGTCATCAGTTAGTGACCATTCTTTTCTAATGTAGCTATTTAGTGCTTTAAAGTTTCCTTTGCTAAAGTGAAGCACTAAGTACTACCTTAGTGCCTCTCAGAATTACTAGTATGCTGTGCTTTCATTTTTAAGTTAAAAATACTTCTAATTTCCCTTTTGATTTGTGCTTTGACCCATGGGTAATTTAGACAGGTTTTGTTTCCAAACATTTGAGGAATTTTCCAGATATCTTTGTTATTGATTTCAAATTTATTTACAGTGTGGTCAACAAACATTCTTTAAATTACTTTAATCCTTTTAAATTTATTGAGATTTATGGTCCAGAAGATAGTTCAGTGTTTTAAATGTCCATGTGCACCTGAAAAGAATGTTTTTTTCTGCTGTTGTTGGTTTTAATGCTCCAAGTTTTCAAATCTGTACTATCCTTACTGATTTTCTGTCTACTGGTTTTATCAATCATTGAGAGATGTTGAAATCTCCAGCTATAATTGTGAAACATTTTTGTATATTGCTCCCTGCAATTCTATTAGTTTTTGCTTTATGTATTTTGAGGCTGTTACTAGATGCATAACATTAGGATTGTTATGTCCTTTGATGAATTGACTCCTTTACTATTATTAAATGACTTTATCCCTGCTGTATTAGTCCATTTTGCATTACTGTAAAGGAATACCTGGGACTAGGTGATTTATAAAGAAAGAGGTTTATTTTGACTCACAGTTCTGCAGACTGTACAAGAAGCACAGTGCTGGCATCTGCTTCCAGTGAGGGTCTCAGGAAGTTTACAATCATGGCAGAAGGGGAAGGGGGAGTAGGCATGTCACATGAAAGAGGGAACAAGAGAGAAGGGGAAAATTCCAGACTCTTTAACAACCAGATCTTGTGTGAATGCATTACTTCAGGGATCCCTCCCATTCATGAGGGATCTGCCCCTATGACCAAAACAACTCCCACAAGGCCCATCTCCAAAATTGGGAATCATATTTCAACATGTGATTTGGAGGGGACAAACATCCAAACTATATCACCTGGTAACGTTATTTGCTTTGAATCTACTTGGATTGATATTAACGTAGCCACTCCATTTTCCTTTGACGGGTGTTATGGTACATCTTTCCATCCTTTGACTTTTTTTTTTTTTTTCTTTTGGCAGGGTCTCCCTCTGTCACCCAGTCACCCAGGCTGGAGTGCAGTGACATGAACGTGGTTCACTGCAGCCTCGACCTCCTGGGCTCCAGTGAGCCTCCCTCCTCAGCCTCCCAAGAAGCTGGGACTACAGGCATGCGCCACCACACAATTTTTGTGTGTTTTTGTAGAGATGAGGTTTTGTCAAGTTGCCTAGGCTGGTCTTGAACTCCTGGACACAAGCAGTCCATCCACCTTGGCCTCCCAAAGCATCCATCCTTTTGCCTAAGACTGTTCATGTCTTTGTATTTAAAGTTTTTTTTTTGGAAGATGTGTATAAAGTTGGTCTTTCTAATCCAATTTGATAATCTCTGCCATTTAATTGGAATATCTATATCATTGCATTTATTGTGATTATTGATATGGTTGAGTTTAATAGACCACTTGCTGTTTTCTTTCTGTCTCATCTGTCCTTTTCTGCCTTGTTATGGATTATTTTTCGTGATTCCATTTTACCTCCATTGTTGGCTTATTAGCTATACATTTTGTATGAGTTTGTGTGTGTGTGTGTGTGTTTTAGGAGTTGATTCTGGGTTTAGAGTATACATTTTTAACTTACCACAGTCTCTCTCTTTTTTTTTTTGAGACAGAGTCTCACTCTGTCACCCAGGCTGGAGTGCAGTGGCGCAATCTTTGCTCACTGCAAACTTCACCTCCCAGGTTCAAGCGATCTTCCCACCTCAGCCTCCTGAGCAGCTGGGATTGCAGGTGTGCACCACCATTCCTGGCTAATTTTTGTATTTTTAGTAGAGATGGGGTTTCACCAGGTTGGCCAGGCTGGTCTCGAACTCCTGACCTCAGGTGATCCACCTGCCTCTGCCTCTGGAAGTGCTGCATTACAGGTGTGAGCCACTGCACCTGGCCCAGTCTACTTTCAAGTGAAATTGTACACTTCACATATAATGTGGATCTGTACAATTACACTTCCATTTCTGTCTCCCACCCTCCATACTATTATTCTTATACATTTTGATTTACATTATAAACCCCATAACACATTATTATTTTTTCTTTTAAATAGTATATTATCTTTTAATTAAAAATTCTTTATATTTA
This sequence comes from Homo sapiens, assembly GCF_000001405.40. Classification (NCBI taxonomy): domain Eukaryota; kingdom Metazoa; phylum Chordata; class Mammalia; order Primates; family Hominidae; genus Homo; species Homo sapiens. The sequence goes on along the minus strand of NC_000012.12, from coordinate 12,102,914 downwards.
CCCACATTTTATCATTTCTAGTGCTTTTTTTTCAGATACAGATTTCTATTTGGAATAATTTGGCTTCTACTGAAGGAATTTCTTTAATATTTATTATAGTTCAGGTCTGCTGATAAGGAATTCTTTTAGGTTTTATACATCTCAAAAAATCTCTATTTTCCCTACATTTTAAAATCATCTTTTGGCTGGGTATAGAATTCTGCATTTATAGTGTGTGTGTGTGTGTGTGTGTGTGTGTGTGTGTGTGTGTCTTGATACTTTAGAGAGGTTACTGTTTCTTTTGTGTTAGTCCCCAAGAAGTTTGCTGTCATTTTAATTTTTCTTTCTCTGCATATAATATGCCTTTTTCTCTGCTTGCTTGGAAGACTTTTTTTTTTCTTTATCACTGGTTTTGAGCAATTTATGGTGTGCCTTGGCATAGTTTTCTCCCTGTCCCTGTTTTTGGTGCTTGGCATTTGTAGAATTTCTTGGTTCTGTGGGTTTATAGTTTTCATCAAATTTGGAAAATCTTCACTTCAATTATACCTATATATATAGGCCATTCATTAGAAGTCATTCCACAATTCGCTATTGCTGTTTTTTCCCTCAATCTTATTTTTCTGTTTTTTATTTTGGATCTATTGCTATGTCTTCAAGTTTACCTATCCATTCTTCTATGATGTCTAATCTGCTATTAATCCAATCCAGCATGTTTTTCATCTCAGATGTTATAGATTTCATCTCTAGAACTTTGGTTTGAGTCATACTTATAAGTTCTATGTGTACTTTGCATGTTATATTTCTTCTGGCTTATTGAACATGTGGAATACAGTTATAATAGTTCTAATGTCTAACAATTCTATCATCTGTAACATTCTAGCTTTCCTGATTTTTCTTCTCATGATGGATTGCATTTTGCTGCTTTTTTGCATGCCTTATAATTTTTTATCAGAAGCTAGACATTGTGAATATTACCTTGTTGGATGCTGGATATTTTGATTATTCTATAGATATCCTTGCGTTTGTTCTAGAACACAGCTCAGTTATTTGGTAACAGTTTAATCCTTTAAGTTTTTGCTCTTAATCTTTAGGTTGTGCAGAACCAGAGAGTGCTTAGTCTAGGGCTAATTTTTGCCACTTCTGAGACAAAATTGTTTTGTGGATTCTACCTATTGCCAAAATAGGCAGTATTCATGGCCTTGTGTAGGCTTTGGAGAGCGTTCCCTTTAATATTTTCAGGTGGTTCTTCCCCATGCCTTGGGTAATTTCTTCATGCACATGTTTTGATCAGTATTCATCTGAATACCTAAGGGGAAATATCTGCAGGTCTCTGGAGCTTTGTGTGCCTCTCTCTTTCATCCTTTATCAGACTTGCAAACTTCAGCTGCTCTGATCTTTCTGGACTCCTAGCTCTATCCTCTCTACTCAGGGAGCTGGTGAACTCTGCGTGGGTTCCCCTCTCTCCAGCATGACCTAGAAACTCTTTGCATGCAGTACTCTAGGGCAAACATAGGGCTCACTTAGAGTCTCATCTCTCAGGGACCAGTTCTCTAAAAGGAGACTCCTAGCCAGACGCGGTGGCTCACGCCTGTAATCCCAGCACTTTGGGAGGCTGAGGCAGGCAGATCACGAGGTCAGGAGATCGAGACCATCCTGGCTAACACAGTGAAACCCCGTCTCTACTAAAAATACAAAAAAAAAAAAAAATTACCTAATGTCCAATGCCTTGAAAATCATTCTCATCTATAGTGTCTTTTTTTTTTTTTAGTTGTTTCAAGCAGGAGATTAAATCTCGTTAGTTACTTCATCTTGACCACAAGCCATAGATGATATTGGAAACACATGGAGAGCTTGTTGTAAGTACACATATCTTAGGGCATATTCCAGTCATACTGATTTACAAGCTGTATCAGTCAGACGAGGGTATGGTTCTGCAACTGTGTGCCAAAACTATGCCAGGCACTAGATATATAAAGTTAAATTAGGCATAGTACCTGTTTGCAAACGACTTTACAATCCACTGAGAAAGACTGGGTAAACCAAATCTTACGGTGCAATATATTAAGCATAATGTCTACATGCAGGGTGATTTGGAGCATCTTATGAGAAAAGGCATCCAAATATAGCCACATGATGGCCAAGGGAGGGTTAGCAAATGAGTCCTGGAGGAAACTGAGGAAATTTGGAAAGATGAGCTAGAGTTAGTTGTTTTAGTGGAAACAGGGGGAAAGGAAGCCATCATGCAAGAACACTCCAAGTAGAGAGGATACTGTTATGAAGGCTCAGAGGTGCCAGGTTGCATAATACCTTTGGGGAACTGCAAAAAGTTTGGAATGGCGAGATCAGAGTGGATGGAGGAAGAGGTGGTCTTCAGTGTCTCCATGTCTAAAAGGAGACTCCTGGCTGGGTGTGGTGGCTCACGCCTGTAATCCCAGCACTTTGGGAGGCCAAGGCGGGCAGATCACGAGGTCAGGAGATCTAGACCATCCTGGCTAACATGGTGAAACCCCGTCTCTACTAAAAATACAAAAAAAAAAATTAGCCGGGCATGGTGGCGGGTGCCTGTAATCTCAGCTACCTGGGAGGCTGAGACAGGAGAATTGCTTGAACCCAGGAGGCGGAGGTTGCAGTGAGCCGAGATCACGCCACTGCACTGCAGCCTGGGTGACAGAGCGAGAGTCTGTCTCAAAACAAAACAAAACAAACAAACAAACAAAAAATGGAGACTCCTCTATCCCTAACAGTGATGACTTTCATGTGGGAGAAGAAAACAAAAGAGAATAACTCATTTTATTGAGATGGGTAGGCTAGTGAAGCATTTGATAATAGATAGATCCAGTTTTCCCTTGAACCTGAGAGTATGTCTGACTTACTGACTTGTTTGTTCTTCAAAGTTTTATTAAGCACCAGTTTTACATCAGGCCATATGCTGGGTACTACATATCCAGAAATTTGTAAGACCTTATAATTTGATAGTATTTTTTAAATTGTTTTGTGTCTTAAACACTTACTATTGAGCATGTTTCTAAAAAACCTTATACCGAACAGCCGCAATCTCAGGAAAGCAATCAGTGACTGCGTTGACAGGAGAGGAAATTGGCAGCTTAGCTGAGGGCAGCACACATTAGGGACCATAAGTGAAGACTTAACATTAAGTACCAAGAAGTGTTCTGAGCATTTTATGTAAATTAACTCATTTGATAATCAGAAGACTTATTACTTACTAATCAGAAGACACTCTTTTGACAGTAGTCTTTCTATGTATTTATTTTACCTGCTACCAATCATTGTACTACCACAAAGAATGAGGAAGTCCCAGGGACCTTGGGAAGAAGAGGTGTGGTCCCTGAGAAAAGGGTTGAGGGGGTGTTGGAGTAAAAATTTTGTACCAAATGGAAGTTTTTCAAAAAGGCACAGACAACAGTTACCTCTCCAAACAAATGGATGTAGCAGTAAACCTAAGAGTTTCTTTAGGCTGTTTACTAACGTGAATAGCAACATCTTCCTAGGTATTAGGCCACCCCAAGTGTAGTTTAAAAATAAATAGTACTAGAAACGGAAGTGGAAACACATGCACAGTTTATCTTTTCACTCTTGTGAGGTCAGCAGACATCTGTAACGCACTTTCCCTACAGCAGCTAACAAAGGCAGGATGATGGTATCTGTTCTGAACGTTTGAAACAACATCACCACTTATCTTTACAGATTTCCTCAGGTTCTCAATGGAGGGCCTGAAAAACATCACTGTCAAGGATGATGCTGCTACATTTTATGAGCTGGAGACGAACGAGACCTCTCCTGATGCCTCTCCAGTCACAGGAATAATGGTTTTGAAAACGTCAATGCTCCATCTGCCTTGTACGTTGTAATCTCCTGTAGTCCATCTGAGGCCAACGTGCACAGGACCACAGTAGACAAAGAGTATTCCTGATGACAAATCTGATATTTCAGTCTACTTCTTCATGTGATATCCCAAGTATTTTTTCCTAGAGGGGAAAAATAGGTTCTTAAAATTCCAAGTTAGATTTACTGTTGAAGTGAAAACATATGGCTGCTAACTCTGCTCTATCCCAGGCGTGACCCGAGGCTCAGGAGACCATGTTAGTTTGGGGGAGGGTTTGGAGAGGTGACTGGCATTCTTGGTATGCCTGCAAGGAAGACATCAGCTAAGGTCTTACGTTACACACCCAGAGCTAACAGGCTGGATCTTTCCTTGAAGATGGGAGGGCTTCAAGGGTGTATTTAAAATGTAATAAAAGTGGGTACTGAAAGGTCAATGACTATGAAGGTTACAACTCTCTCCTTTCAAAGTGCTACAGAATGGGTGAGGTTGCAGGACTGCAGGGTAACTATGTGAATGGTGCTCCACAGAGAGCACAAAGAGCCAAGGAGTAAATCAGAATCTCGTGGTAGCTTGTTTGGCATGCCTTGTAGATAGAGTTGCTATTCATTCATTTGATCGATTCATTCACCGTTCTACAAGTACTGGCTGAACATCTATGGTGTTATGTAGAGGAATGGGAGCTATGGGAGATTAAAGGAGCCATCATAAAAACATGATCTCACCCTTACAGATTTGCAGTTTAGTTGGGAAGATGAGATGTACTCATATGAAATGTGGAATACTGAGATAGGAACCCTGAGCTTCTGGAAAGCTTGTGCATGGGACTAGATTTCTCTCCTCCCACACTACTACAAGGACAGCAGAGAGAGCCATCGAGACACTTGGTGCCAATGGAAGTCCCAGGAGGCTTACTTCCCATTGTCTTCTTTTTTTCCCGTTAAGGGACTCTGAGCACACGCCCCAATCCACATGTCCTTCACACTTCCATAGCTCATATCAGCTCATAAATATTCTTTATCATCCTCCTTTATTTTTTTCTACCCTTTGGAAAAATTAGTCATCCCTCTCACATTCTTTGTCTCCCCTCTCCTAATTTCCACTGACATGCTCCAAATTAAACTTAACTGTGGCCAAGAGTTAAGATTAAGGTTTATGATAACTTGGATAAGAAATACATTTTGAATTGAAACTACAGATGTTAAAGAACTAGTGCCATCAATTTCTAAAGCCTTTGGAAATCCACTTTAGTATTCCTACTGAATAATTCATCTTTTTTTTTTTCTAATTGGAACTGTTTTTTTTCTCCAGTACCAGCAGCCAAATTAAAAAAATAATTGCATTCATTTCTCTTTCCTCTTTTTGATTACTAGAATTAGAACTGCTAGTTTTATAAAGATTGATTGAAATATAATTATGCTATAAAATTCACTAATTCAGTGAATTCGTATATTCACTTTTAGTATATTCACAGAGTTATGCAAACATCGCCTCTGATTTTAGGACATTATCATCACTCCAAAAATAAACTTCACATCCCTTAGCAATTATTCCCATTCTCTCACCCTCAGCTCCTAGCAACGAGTCTACTTTCTGTATCTATACATTTGCCTATTCTGGACACTTCATATACATGGAATCATACAGTATATGGCCTTTTTGCCTGACTTTCTCTCACTTAGCATAATGTTTTTAAGGTTCATCCATGTATCAATACTTGCTTTATTTTTATAGTGGAATAACATTCCATTGTGTGGCTATACTACATTTTCCTTATCCATTCATCATTCATCAGTTGATGGACATTTGGGTTGCTTCCACTTTTTGGCTAATGGAAGCTATGAACATTCATGTACAAATTTTTGTATGAAAATATGTCTTCAACTTTCTTGGGTATATATCCAGGAGTGGAACTGGTAACTTTATTTTTTTTAATTTTTTTTATTTTTTGAGACAGAGTCTCGCTCTCTCTCCCAGGCTGGAGTGCAGTGGCGCGATCTTGGCTCACTGCAAGCTCCGCCTCCCAGGTTTACACCATTCTCCTACCTCAGCCCCCCTGAGTAGCTGGGACTACAGGCACCTGCCACCATGCCCGGCTAATTTTTTTGTATTTTTAGTAGAGACGGGGTTTCACCGTGTTAGCCAGGATGGTCTCGATCTCCTGACCTCGTGATCCACCCGCCTCGGCCTCCCAAAGTGCTGGGATTACAGGCGTGAGCCACTGCGCCCGGCCCCTGGAATTGGTAACTTCATAGTTAACATTTTTGGGAACTCCCAAGTGGTTTTCCAAAGGGACTGCACCATTTTACAATCCAACCAGCAACATAAAAGGTTCCAATTTCTCCACATCCTCACCGACGTCAATGCTTTTCTTTTTCATTTTAGCCACTGTAGTGGATAGAGCTCAATGTTGCTTTGATTTGCATTTTCCTACTGTTGAAATGAAGATGTCAAACAAGCGTCTTTTCATGTGCTTTTAGCCATTTATATATATTCTTTGGAGAAATGTCTATTCAAATCCATTGCTCATTTGAAAATTGGGTTATTTGACATTTTATTGTTCAATTATAATAGTTCATTATGTATTTAGATATGTCTTTTATTAGAGATTTTATTTGCAAGTATTTTTCCCCATTCTGTGGGTTGTTTTTTTTTTTTTTTCACATTCTTGGTGGTGGTGTTCTTGGAAGCACAAAACAAAATCCAATGTATCTATTCTTTCTTTTGTTGCTTGTGCTTTTGGTGTAGAACCACTGCTTTTTAATAGCATATTTATGGTATTTTAGCTACATTAGTGGGTTAAACAGATTTTTGAGAGCTAGCCTGTGAACCCAATTGATAATTATAATTTCTCTGAGAAAATATATTAAGAGGACTAACAATGATTTTTAAAATGAATGCTTGAAACATAGTCAATTGGGAATTTGATCATCTTTTGTATATTATTATGGTGCAAACATGAAGTGCTGGAGATTAGAGACTGTGCAGCCTTTGAGCTGGAAGGGTCAGGAGAGGCTTTGGGGCAGATGAGGGCTCAAGGGGGTTGTTGGGGTGAAGGAATCCTGGAAAGAAGAATAGGTAGAACTAAAATAATGTTGAGGAACCTGTCCTCCTTTTAGAATAAGCTAAGGCAGCTTAAGTTTAGAATACTTAAGAATGGCCTTGGTTGTTCAGATCAGCCACTTAGGGTTATCAAACTTGGTGCAAAAGTGGAAAATAGAAAGGAACTCAATGTACAGAAACTGAAGACCGTGGCAGCCACTGAAGACCATGGCGGGCACTTCAGACCCTTGGGCAAGATCAGCTGCACTTTCCTTCCATCAGCAAAGAGACCAAGGCTGTGTGGAGGTCCCAGGGTCACTCCAGCCATGCCTAGAGCCGACTCAATCCTCCTGCTGGCCCCTGGACCATTCTAGTGGAAAGAGAACTAAGGATAATGTGGGATGAAGGTCTGTCCGCCTAGGAATGCCTAGGCCTGTTGAGAGTTAAAGTTGTGGGGTAGTACATTTTGACACGGTGGACCTTATGTAGCTGTTTGAACATGGCAGTCTTAAGGAGACCTGAGGAACTGGGGATGAGGGATGGGAGAGGGTTTGAGGCAAAAGGGAAAGAGGTCTGTTTTGACTGATACCAGGTAATTGAAAATAGATGAAAGTTTAACTGTTGGCTTTTTATTTGGTATCAAAATGTCACCCTCAAAATGGCTGGGTCAAAGCAGCAATGACAAAATGCCATGAACCCTGAGTCTCTGCATGAGGCTTAGTCTCCGTGACCTCTAAGTATCTGCAAGTGTGAGGAACTGTCTGCCTGCCCTTGTCTCCCTGCCAGACTTCCGTTGCCTGCAAAATTTGTGAAAACAGAAATTACGTCTATCTAAACATTTCTTATCTCAGCATCTCCTCATTTCCTGTTCCATCTGACCAGTCCCTTTCCATCCACACATACCCTGCATACCCTTGGAGAGCTCAGTAAATATTTATTGATGATGAAGATAATCACTAAAAATATGTTCCCATCAATGGGATCTATCTCTGGCCACTCAAGTGTCCTAAACTCATGAGAACTGCTTCATAGATGTGTTCCCTTCATTTAAAAAAAAAAAAAAAATCCATCCCATCTCTTCTGAGTTCTGAGAAAATTTGTTTTTAAATAGGATACGCTTACCCATCCACCGTGCTGCTGGATCCATGGCGAGAAGTTCTCTTTCAGGTACTTGGTGCCAAAGCCCAGGACCCTGTTCATCGGGTGGTTGTCAATAGCTGTGAGCTTGGCCGTGACGTCTATTACAAGGGCAGCCTTAAAGCCCTGAGCTTTGACCTCTGATTCTCCCCTGGGGTCCACACCCATTAGGACCTGGTCTGTGATGGTCTTGAAAACAGAGTAGGACAGCCCATCCTGGAAGTGGCCCATCAAAGCCTTATCTTTCTTCAGCTGTGTACAAAAGAATAAGCACTCAGTACAGTAGCTTGGCTCCACGAGGCAGACAGAAGTTCATTCTTTAGCTCAAATGCAGGCCATCAAACCATCCTGTGGAAAACCCTGGATGCTGGTGTCAACCAAGGGAATGGGGATGAAGGCAGTGTCCTGCAGAACCAGAATGGGCATGTACTGCTCGGTGAATTCATTTCATCAGCACAAATACATGTATAAAATGGAACAGTCAGTTCATTTGACATTTAACAAATATTTCCTGAGCACTTATAATGGGCAGGTAGTATGGATGACTGAGATGCGGGTCCTCACTCAAAGGGCTCACAGTCTAGTGGGAATTGCAGAAAAATGTGATGTCCTTTGCTAGAAGTAGTGTAAGGGACAGGATCTGAAGCTTAGGAATCACTGTCTTGGCTCAAACCCCTGGGTCCACCTCTTACTTAGCTATGCAATCTTGGGGAAATTAACCTCTCAGATTCAGTTTGTCATCTCTAAACTAGGATGGTGATAGTATTGATACTATAGGGTAATTGTTTTCTTTCTTTTTTTTTTTTTTAAGACAGGGTTTCACTCCCATTGCCCAGGCTGGAGTGCAGTGGTGTGGTCTCAGCTCACTGCAACCTCTGCCTCCTGGGCTCAAGTGATTCTCTTGCCTCAGCCTCCCAAGTAGATGGGACTACAGGTGCATGCCACCACACCTGGCTAATTTTTTTCTATTTTTTTGTAGAGATAGAGTTTCGCCATGTTGCCCACTCCTGGGCTTAAGCGATCCACCCACCTCAGCCTCCCCAAAGTGTTGGGATTACAGGCATGAGTCCCTGCACCCAGTCTTCATTTTCTTTTCTTTTCTTTCTTTCTTTTTTTTTTTTCTGAGATGGAGTCTCACTCTCTTGCCCAGACTGGAGTGCAGAGGCGCGATCTCAGCTCACTGCAACCTCCGCCTCCCAGGTTCAAGCAACTCTCCTGTCTCAGCCTCCCAAGTAGCTGGGATTACTGGCACACACCACCACACCCGGCTAATTTTTGTATTTTTAGTAGAGACAGGGTTTCATCATGTTGGTAAGGCTGGTCTTGAACTCCTAACCTTAGGTGATCCACCTGCCTCGGCCTCCCAAAGTGCTGGGATTACAGGTGTGGGCCACTGTGCCCGTACCCAGCCTTCATTTTCTTAAGAAACTTTTATTATTATTGTTTTTTAGGGACAAGGCTTACTATATTGCCCAGGCTGGTCTCAAACTCCTGGCCTCAAGCGATCCTCCCACCTCGGCCTCCCCAGGAGCTGGGATTACAAGTGTGAGCCACTGTGCTTGGCCCTATACTATAGGGTAGTTGAACACTTTATAGTGCTGGACATAGAAGAGGTGCTTTGGAAATGCGAGTCATTTTTCAGGATGCTACGGGAGCATGGAGGTCAGGGAAGACTCCCTTGCATGCAATGTTCACTTAAAAAAACTCCAATTCATTGATTTCTTTCCCATTATTCTACCCTATTGATTTTACCTCCCGGCCTTCCCTTGAACCTGGTATCTCTCTGCTTTACCTCCTTTGAACTACCACGCCTTTAAAACAAAATCAATGCTGCCTCTTCTGCTTTTGAAAAATCAGGGCTCATATCAAAAAGCTATATATCATCTTCATTTAAAGCATTCTTGCAATGTCTGTTAATATGCTGGTTGTCATGTGAAAACGGAAATTTCTGAGTGAGCAGGGACAAAATATTTATTTGAAAATCCTCTAGTTCTGTCCTAGAGGAATGATAAGCCAAGCGGGTTTTCAACAAATATTGTTTCTAAAAGGGATATCTGGGGGATGAGTCAGATGCGATTGGGAGATTTTGGCAGACCTGTCTTTTCCCTGAACCACGCCCACCCCCACCGTCCAGGCCCCGTCTGGGTTGTGACTCTGCAGGAGGCATGGCCAGCCTCCTCCATAACAGGGAACAGACTCCTCTTCATCAGTTTCCCAATGGAGGAGGCCAGGCTCAAAACCCTAGCAGGCAGCCAAGTGGGGACTGTGCCAGAACAGTAAAAGAATCAAACGCCACAAAGACAGGGCTTCCACTGGCACCTCCTCACCCCTCCCCTGCCTGTCCCTCTCGGGTGCACCTGGCTCTTTGGCCTCTCCTGGAGGTGTAGGATGGGCCTTCGGGCTGTGTGTGCTCTTGGGACCAGCGGCTCTGCAGATCCCCTGCAGCCACACACACGGCACTCTGCAGTGGGAGCTTGGCACCCGCCCAGCACAAGGTCACACCTACCATGTGTCTCTAGCAGAGCTCCCTACTGGGGAAGCATGTAAAGGAAATAACAACCAAGGCTTTGCCATAAGCAATGTAAAATGTCCAAACTCCTTAAGAGAGAGCACCAGGCAAAGTGAGGTTTTTGAAAGTGGTAATTTGTGGGGGTGAAAATGAAACCATCGCTCTTCATAACCTGAGATCGGTGGCCTTCGTCCCACCTCCAGCACCCCCACTCCGCCTTTCCCACCTCCCTGACCAATGACCACAAGTCCCTGCTTAGGGAAGCTGGGAAGGAGGTTGCCGTGAGAGCCACAGAAACTCTGAGTTGTAAAGAGCCCTTGAGGTTGTCTAAAGGACCCCTCGGAGTTCTGTGCTGAAATGCTAACTGGTATTGGCACCTACTTGCAATTCTTCCCGTGACAGGAAGATCATTCTCTCACAAGGCACCCGTTGACTCTCATGGGCAGCCTGGAATGCCTATTCTCCAGGAATGGAGGTTCATTCTTACCATAAGGAGAAATCAATCACCCCATACTAGGCATAATTTGTGTATCCATGACACTAGCTCTGGAGAAATGCAGGGGTGCCCTTAAATCATGATCCTGTTCCATCTCTTGCTTCCTCTGCACCCCTCTCCACCCTCTACTTGTGGTCCCAAAGCTCACACACCCCGTTCTCTTTTCTTTAACCTAATATCCCTGGTTTTCTCGCTGTTTCTCATTCTGTCCCATCTCCCAGGTGCTTCGCCCTCTGGGTCACCAGCCTCTGGGCACACTTTTGACAAAGCTATAGACAGGAGCTGTTTGTCTTCCTGCAGAACCTCCCATCCCCACCCCCAGGGTCTGACTCCCTCCCCACAGATTCTGGAAAAACAAGGGTCTATGTCTGCAAGCCAGCCCCTGATTGACAGATTCTAGAGACTACTCAGTCGTCTGTGGGTTATGGACCCAGGAGGCATAGAGAAGCCCTTTTGACTCTGTTGAAGGTTTGCTCACCAACTGTTTACCTGAAGGCAACTCTCACCCGTTCCTGATTGGAAAGATGGGTCTCAACTTCCAAATGGCAGGAAATCCATACATTCTCCCAGTAACACTAGCGCACCTCCCTGGCTGAACTGCTAAGAGAGCCCTTAAACAGGCAACAGTCCAGCAACTACAGGGGAAAAAGATTCCAGAAAGTATTCCAGCTTTGGAGCAACTGTGGGACACAGATATCCAGGCTGCAAAGCAAATGCGAGTCTAAACTTCAATGAGGATCAGTTACATGGGGAATGAGATTAATAATTCCATCCAGCAAATTTTAATTTACTGGTGTCTTTTCTTGCAATAACAAGTTTCTTTTTTAGTTTCCAAAAATTCCAAGGAGGCTCCAGAAGGTTTACTTATGTTTTCCAAAGTGACTCATTTTTGAGATTCTACCAGCATGAAGAATTTTGACTCCAAGGGAAATAAAATTTAGGACTAAGTAGAAACCAGGACTTAGAAAGGGAATAAGGTTGCAACCTGGAATACAATTCCATTCTCGTGTACTAGTGCATGGGCACAGAAATCAATCGCATCAGTTCAAGGTGTTCCATACCTTTCTTTCCAACTGATCTCCTGAATATTTCAGCAGCTCAACAATTTTGGCTAGTATTTGTTCTTCTTCATCTGTCGGGGAAAATTCCAGTTATTTCTTTTAAGAGAAGCAAAAAATAATCTTACATTTTTCCAGGGACAATGAATGCTTGTGGCTTGGTAAGGGCTGGAGGAAGAGGCATGCTAATTCTTTTTTTTTTTTTTATTTTTTATTTTTTAGACAGAGTTTTGCTCTTGTTGCCCAAGCTGTAGTGCAATGGTGCGATCTTGCCTCACTGCAACCTCTGCCTCCCAGGTTCAAGAGATTCTCATGCCTCAGTCTCCCAAGTAGCTGGGATTACAGGCGTGTGCCACCACGCCTGGCTAATTTTTTTGTATTTTTACTAGAAACCCAGGTTTCACCATGTTAGCCAGGCTGGTCTCAAACTCCTGACCTCAGGTGGTCCACCCACTTCGGCCTCCCAAAGTGCTGGAATTACAGGCATGAGCCACTGTGCCTGGCAAGAAGCATGTTCATTCTTATCAAGTAAATCTTACCTCGCCTCTTCTGCCCAGACACAAACCATACTAGGGATTTCTCCTACAGCCCCTTCCTTTCCTTCTTTCCCCTTCTTCCTTTGCTCAGTCCCCCAGCTCTCACTGTGAAATTCATCGCTGTAGTTACCTTAAGCTTGTTGTTGAAGACATCGGTTTCACAGCACAGGATTCTGTCTATGAAGATATTTAGGGGGAATATTCTTCTGGTTTTTGGATTTTTCCTCAGCAGATGGTGCTTTTATCTTATGGACACCATAAATCTCATATTTGATTATATTTCACTCTTTGGGTTAGTTGCTAGAAAGTATAGAGCCAAATTTGTGGCCCATATCTAAGAGAGTGGATAGTCTTGCTGGCCTACATTTTGGAAATTAACCTAATTCCCAAATCCGTCTTATTTTCCTGTTTTTGTTTTCTTTTTACAAAGATATCTTTCAGATTGATGGATTTTATCTGACTAAAATTTATTCTTTGTATGCTGGGTCTTGACAATAAGGTGGGATATAAATAAGTAAAATTAATAAATTCCCCTATGGCCAAGGCTAAAAGGGCAGATGGATAGGAACGTGGCCACGGTTGGTGTATGGTGTGTGTTGGGGGGACAGGGTGCAGTGGAGTATGTGAGTCTTGCTCTGTCACCCAGGCTGGAGTGCAGTGGCACGATCTTGGCTCACTGCAACCTCCACCTCCCAGGTTCAAGTGATTCTCCTGCCTCAGCCTCCCGAGTAGCTGGGACTACAGGTGTGTGCCACCACACCCGGCTAATTTTTTTGTATTTTTAGTAGAGATAGGGTTTTGCTATGTTGGCCAGGCTGGTCTTGAACTTCTGGCCTCAAGAGATCCGTCCGCCTCGGCCTCTCGAAGTGCTGGGATTACAGACGTAAGCCACCGTGCCCAGGCTTGGCAAAATAAACCTTCTTCTTCTACTTTTTTTTTTTTTTATTGAGATGGAGTTTCACTCTTGTCACCCAGGCTGGAGTGCAATGGCGTAATCTTGGCTCACTGCAACCTCAGCCTCCCCAGTTGAAGCGATTCTCCTGCCTCAGCCTCCCCAGTAGTTGGGATCATAGGCACCTGCCACTATGCCTGGCTAATTTTTTTGTATTTTTAGTAGAGAAGGGGTTTCACCATGTTGGCCAGGCTGGTCTTGAACGCCTGACCTCAGGCGATCCACCTGCCTTGGCCTCCCAAAGTGCTGGGATTACAGGCACGAGCCACCGCTCCCGGCCAAAATAAAAGTTCTACACTGAGTAAGATCTGTCTCGATATATTGGGTTAACACTCTCTTAGGGAAAGTTGCTGGCACAGCTGCCTGTATTTCTCCTGTGCACAGAGGATGAGGTCATCTTAGCTTTAGCTTGGTTTAGGGGTGGCATTCCATCTCCCAAGCCCATGTGGGATAGTAATAAAATGTCACACTGTTTTTTTTTAGCAGACTCAGAGGCCTCCTCCTCTCCTCCAGCTCTTCACACGGTCCCCTGAGCCTCTGTGGCAGCTGTGGCCCCTTTAGTGTGGCTACCGCTCTGCATCGGGGTTGGGAGACACGGATACCTTTGGAGGGAGAACCTTCACCTTGTTCTTTAGGGAGGTGCAAACCCAAGATCCACCTTGGCCTCACTGTTAGAGGAGTTAAAAAGAAATGATTTAGGCAGATAGTGAGGGTAAGGAAGTTCTCGGGAAGGTTTTCCTTTTAATGAAAAGCAGCCCCAAATCATTTTCTTTTCTAACAAAGAGTAGCCTGTAAAATTGAGCTGCAGACATAGACAAGCAAGCTAAAAGCTTGCACAGTGAATGTTGGCAGCTGTGCCAATAGGAAAAGGCCACCTGGGACTAGGCATGTCCAACATGGCGGCCGCATTTTCCCTTTTCCTTTCCAACCACGTGTGCCCTAGGGAGCAGACAACATGGCGCTGGGCAAGTGGAAAGCCCACTTGCGTAATAAGATGAGGGTGGGGTGGCCAGCTTCCCCCATGCTATGTAAACGTCACACCTGGTTCAACTGATCTTTGGATCCTATGTAAATCAGACACCACCTCCTCAAACCTGTCTATAAAATCCGGTGCACTCTGTCGCAGGCCAGAAGTCACATTTGGGTTCCCCTCTCTGTCGCAGGAGAGAGAGCTGTTCTCCTTTCTCTTTGTTTTGCCTATTAAACCTCTGCCGCTAAACTCACTTCTTGTGTGTGTCCATGTCCTCGATTCCCTTGGCATGAGACAACGAACCTCACGTATTTATCCCAGACAATGAGGCTGCGTCATCACAACCTCCACTGTAGTTTGTGGAGGGAGCCAGGAGCAAGAACTGTGGTGGGGGAATGCCGGGCAGAGCTTCTCTTCCAGTGGCACTTGGCTTTGCTCCCCTTGACTCTCCCCTCAGTGCCTTGAGTTACCACCAGCCTGATGGGATCTACAGTCTCAGCTATTGCTATGGTTTGGGTGACAACTGACCCAGCCTTGTCACTACTTCTCAGTTCTGCTCCATGTCTTGCACCATAGCTGGTGCCTGACAACCCCTGCTTTTTCACAAAGCCCTAAAGCAATGTTATAATATAAATCCCTGGCTTGACGCTCCAACTGTACCTGATGCAAATTGGCCCAGGGTCACTGGTAACATGATCAGATCTAACATTGCATTTTCCGCCACAGACAAGGCTGAATGCGGGCTTTGTGTTTCCTCCTCTCCCTCTGTAGGAGACTTTCCTTTCTTACTTAGCAGAGAGCTGGGAATGTTTTTTCAACCTGCTGGGGCAGCCCCCTTGCCTTGGGCTGGTGTCTCAAGCTGGAGCTCATTGCCCACAGCCTGTGGCTGTCAAGCCCTCAGTCCAGGCAGCGGAGACTGTCAAGTTGCCGAGCCCTGGGATGGATAAATACACAAATGCTCCTGCGCCCCTGCCTGGCAAACACTCCACCCAGGGAAGGAAAGCTTACCTTTCTTAGAACTTGAAGCTACAGGCACGTGGCCTTGGAGCTGGAAGGAGAGACCCTCAGTTACAAAAATCTCTTTGGACTTGAAGCCTCCTGCCTGGGTCGCTTGTGGTGGTGGCCAGGAGTAAACAATTTCAGCTACTCGGTTGGCAATGGAAATGACTTTGGGGTCCACAGCTGAAACAAGACAAAATGGTGCTGAGAGGCCCTTCCCAGAACTTCATCTGGCTCATTGGTATGCAAAGTTGCCTGGAATGAAAAGACCAGGCCAGAATAGAAGGAAACTGCCTGGGAGTATGTGTGCTGGGGGAGGGTCATTCTTCAGAAAGGACTGAAAGTTGCCTGGCAGAGGCCGGGATGTGGGAGGGGTGCATGCAGGAATGATTGTCACCTTGAAACAATTGGCCTTCTGCACACTCTTTTTGAAGTCTTGCAAAATTAGGGTCTCCTTTCCCCTTTGCAAGGGAAGAGACACAAAAAGGAGTGCTTAGCTCTTTACTTGAAGGAATGCTCATTATGCTTTTATTTTTATTCTTTTTTCTCGACATGCTTTATACCTCTAAGAGCCAGCCCCTACATGCATAGGAGGACATTCGATAATTTGACAAGCATTTCGGGGTTGGTCACTGAAGAAAGAAATATCCCTGCTCTCAGGGCAATGAGATTCATCATCCAAGTCCATTATCAAGTGAACACCTAACTCCCGTTGCTGGTACAGTTCTGCCTCTTCTCTCCTCTCCATGTCTACTGGAAAACATTCAATGAATGCTTATAGGTAAACAAGGATGCAGTCAGCACAACTTACGGCCTTCAAGAATTTACAAGCTGAGAAAAGAGTTACGTCATGTATTTGCATACAGAATTGTAGAATAAAGCACTTTGAGATAGGACGGTGAAATGGCATTGGCCCAGTGAGTGTTGTAGCCTATAAGAGACCAGTCGCCTTTGCCCCTGAGTGGGGAAGAGGGGAGGTGGGGTGGGCAGATGGCATGGCTGAGTTGCTGGGTGGTAAAATTTTCACTGTTGATTTGTCACTAAGTTCTAACCTTTTATTTGTTTATTTACTTTTTTCCAGACAGAGTCTCACTCTGTCACCCAGGCTGGAGTGCAGTGGTGTGATCACAGCTCACTGCAGCTTGGATCTCTCAGGCTCAAGCGATTGTCCCACCTCAGCCTCCTGAGTAGCTGGGATGACAGGTGTGCATCACCACGCCTGGCTAATTTATTAAAATTCTTTTTCTAGAGATAAGGTCTCCCTATGTTGCCCAGGTTGTTCTTGAACTCCTAAGCGCAAGCAATCCTCCCACATCAGCCTCCCAAAGTGCTAGGATTACAAGGATGAGCCACCACCACACCCAACCTAAATCCTAAACTTTTAAAAGCTTGTACAAGCTGTCTTGGATGCCGTGTGGAGCAGCTGGGTTTTACCATGTAACATTTGAAGACTAACATTAGGTAATTCACAGGACTTGAAGACAGTAATGGAGTGGCGTTTTGGACAGAAGGTTGGTGTGCTCAAACTCCTAGGGCACTTCTGGGCTTTGTACAGCACTGGAGGTAAGAGAGGCAAGTAGGGGGCCTGGGAGGGACTGAGCCACAAGAGAAACAGGTTTTGACATCATATGCAGCTGCCAAGGTGGCTCCTGATCCCTCTCCCTGGATTCCTCCAAGCTGAAGGCTTCAGTGTCCTCCCTTCAGCCCTCCAGCCATTCACGGAAAGGCCACAGAAGATACTGCTCTGTCCATGATGCCATCCTCTGGTGGACATCTGACTCATAAAGCCATCTTTTCCATGGTTAGTCCACAGGGTTCAAAAACCAATAAGAAGCGAATGACGGAGAGAAGAAAGATCAAGAAGAAAAGGATCAATGTCTTTCCTCCTCGTTTTTTAAGAACCAAGCGAAACAGACTTTCCACTTTGTAATCCCCTTATTGCAGCCCAGCCGGCCTCCGCTGGAACTCTGGCCACCCATGGCCCCTGGCAAAGAAAGAAATGGCAAGAGGCTATCTTCCAAAGCCAAGGGAAACTTCCCTGGCCATGTCCTCAGGAGATGAGAAAGGAAAGCAGGCCTCTGCTGCCTTTTCAACCTTGTGCAGCTCATCTAGGGTAATCAGCATGCGGTTCTACCACCAGAAAGCACCCTGTGCCCATCTTGCACATTAAGAAGCTCCATGAAGGGTCCCAAAGGCTCTGTCCCCTCCTCCTCTCATAAGGCAGGGTGGCCACAAGATCACCAACAGGTACAAAATTACTCAATCTGGCTAACTGTGTACAGGGTATTGACTTTTTTTTTTTTTTTTTTTTTGAGACGGAGTCTCGCTCTGTTGCCCAGGCTGGAGTGCAATGGCACGATCTCGGCTCGCTGCAACCTCCACCTTCTGGGTTCAAGCCATTCTCTCTGCCTCAGCCTCCTGTGTAGCTGGGATTACAGGACGTAGTGGCTCCCGCCACTACGTCCAGCTAATTTTTGTATATTTTCAGTAGAGACAGGGTTTTGCCATGTTGGCCAGGCTGGTCTTGAACTCTTGACCTCAGGTGATCCTCCTGCCTCAGCCTCCCAAAGTGCTGGGGTTACAGCAGGGTATTGATTTCTGTGGGTTTGTGGACATGGAGTGAGACATGTCCAGGAGAAACTATAAGCAAACATGTTCCCACAGATGCACTAGCTCTAGTTAAAATTCCCATCTTGGATATTTTAATTTTAAAACATGAAAAAGAAAAGATTATATCCTTGTCAG